>NC_000004.12:13697916-14322916 GCF_000001405.40 Homo sapiens
TGTCTTAGCCCATTTAAGCTGCCATAACATAAACTGGGTAGATTATAAACAACGAAAATTTATTACTTACAGTACTGGAAGCTAAGAAGTCCAAGATCAGGGTGCCAGTATGTTTGGATTCTGGTGAAAACCCTCTTCTGGACTGCAGACTGCCAACTTCTTGCTGTGTCCTCACATGGTAAAAGGGATGAATGTTCTTCCTTGGGCTTGTTTTATGAGGGCACTAATCTCATTATTGATGGTTCTGCTTTCATGACCTAATCACCTCCCTAAAGGCCACAACTCCTAATACTATCAGGTTGGCAATTAGGATTTCAATACATGAATTTTGAGGGGAGACAAACATTCAGACTATAGCACGTGTCTGTAATCAAATAGGTGTTGGTGATTCCTCCATTTCTGTAAAACAATTTCAGGGACTATGCCAGGGACTAGAAAAAGAACTTAATTGTTTGATTTTCTTCTTTTTAACTTTTGTTTTAGGTTCAGGGGTACATGTACAGGTTTGTTAGATATGTAAACTTATGTTGTAAGGGTTTGTTGTACAGATTATTTCATCATCCAGGTACTAAGCCAATAGTTATTTTTTCTGATCCTCTCCCTCCTCCTACTCTCCACCCTCAGATAGGTCCCAGTGTCAGTTGTTCCCCTCTTTGTTCCCATGAGTACTCATCATTTAGCTCTCACTTACAAGTGAGAACATGCGATATTTGGTTTTCTGTTTCTGTGCTGGTTTGCTGAGGATAACGGCCTCAAGCTCCATTCATGTTCCTGCAAAGGACAGGATATCATTCTTTTCCTTATAGCTGCATAGTATTCCATAGTGTATATTACCACATTTTCTTTATCCAATCTGTCTTTGATGGGCATTTAGGTTGATTCCATGTCTTTGCTATTGTGAATAGTGCTGCAATGAACTTTCGCGTGCATGTATCTTCATGGTAGAATGACTTATCTTCCTTTGGGTTATATAGCCAGTAATGAGATTGCTGAGTTGAATGGTAGTTCTGTTTTCAGCTCTTTGAGGAATTGCCACACTGCTTTCCACAATGGTTGAATTAATTTACACTCCCTTCCACAGTGTATAAGTGTTCCTTTTTTTCTGCAACCTCGCCAGTATGTTATTTTTTGACTTTTGTATAATAGCCATTCTGACTAGTGTCAGATGGTATATCATTGTGGTTTTTATTTGCCTTTCTAATATCAGTGATGTTGAGCTTTTCTTCATATGCTTGCTGGCCACATGTATGTCTTCTTTTGAAAAGTGTCTGTTGATGTTTTTTGTCCACTTTTTAATGGGGTTATTTTCTGCTTGTAAATTTGCTTAAGTTCTTTATAGATGCTGGATATTAGACCTTTGTCAGATGCCTAGTTTACAAAATTTTTCTCCTGTTCTATAGGTTGTCTATTTACTCTACTGATAGTTTCTTTTACTGCACAGAAGTTCTCATTTAATTAAATCCCATTTATCATTTTTTGCTTTTGTCATGATTGCTTTTGTCATATTCATCATGATATATTTTTCTATTTCTGTATCTGGAACGGCATTGCCTAGGTTGTCCTGCAGGGTTTTTATAGTTTTGGGTTTTACATTTAAATCTTTATTCATCTTGAGTTAATTTTTGCTTATGGTATAAGAAAAAGGTCCAGTTTCAATTTTCTGCATATGGCTAGCCTGTTGTCTCAGCACTGCTTATGGAACAGGGAGTCCTTTCCCCATTGCTTATTTTGTCAGCTTTGTTGAAGATAGATGGCTGTAGGTGTGTGGCCTTATTTCTGGGCTGTCTATTCTGTTCCATTGGTCTATGTGTCTGTTTTTGTACTAGTATCATGCTGTTTTGGTTACTATATCCCTGTACTATAGTTTGAACTTGGGTGACATGATGTCTCCAGCTTTGTTCTTTTTGCTTAAGATTGCCTTGGCTATTTGGCCTCTGCTTTGGTTCCACTTGAATATCAGAATAGTTTTTTTTCTTCTAGTTCTGTGAAGTATGTCACTGGTAGTTTGATAGAAATAGCATTAAATCTGTAAATTGTTTTGGGCAGTGTGGCCATTTTAAGGATATTGATTTTTCCTATTCATGAGCATGGAATGTTTTTCCATTTATTTGTGTCATCTCTGATTTCTTTGAGCAGTGTTTTATAGTTCTCATTATAGAGATCTTTCACCTCCCTGGTTAGCTGTATTGCTAGGTATTTTATTCTATTTGTGGCAATTGTAAATGGGATTGCATTCCTGATTTGGCTCTCGGCTTGGCTGTTGTTGATGTATAGGAATGCTAGTGACCTTTGTACGTTGATTTTGTATCTTGAAACTTTGCTGAAGTTGTTTATTGGCTGAAGGAGCTTTTGGGTCGAGACTATGGAGCTTTCTAGACATAGAGTCATGTTGTTGGCAAACAGGGATAGTTTGACTTGTCTCTTCCTATTTGGATGCACTTTATTTCTTTCTCTCGCCTGATTGCCTTGCCGTGACTCCCAATACTATGTTGAATAGGAGTGATAAGAGAGTGCATCCTTGTCATGTGCTGGTTTTCAAGGGGAATGCTTCCAGCTTTTGCCCATTTAGCATGGCGTTGGCTGTGGGTTTGTCATAGCTGGTGCTTATTATTTTAAAGTATGTTCCTTCAATACCTAGTTTATTGAGGGTTTTCACTATGAAGAGATGTTAAATTTTATTAAGGGCTTTTCTGCATCTATTGAGATTATCATGTGGTTTTTGTCTTTAGTTCTGTTTATGTGATGAATCACATTTATTGGTTTGCATATGTTGAAGCAACCTTCCCTCCCAGGAATGATGCCTACTTGATCACGGCGAATTAGCTTTTTGATGTGCTGCTGAATTCAGTTTGAAAGTATTTTGTTGAGGATTCTTTCATCAGTGTTCATCAAGGATATTGGCCTGAAGTTTTATTTTGTTTGTGTCTCTGCCAGGTTTTGAATCAGGATGATGATGGTCTCATATAATGAGTTAGGGAGGAGTCCTTCCTCCTCAGTTTTTTGGAATAGTTTCAGCAGGAATGGTACCAGCTCTTCTTTGTACATATGGTAGAATTTGGCTAGGATTCTATCTGGCCCTGGGCTTTTTTTTGGTTGGTAGGTTATTTAGTACTGATTCAATTTTGGAGCTCATTATTGGTCTGTTCAGGGAATCATTTTCTTCCTGGTTCAGTCTTGGGAGGGCGTATGTGTCCAGGAATTCATCTATCTATTCTAGGTTTTCCAGTTTGTATACGTGTTTGTGTATATAATGGTGTCTGATGGTTATTTTTATTTCCGGGGTGTCAGTGGTAACATCACCTTTGCCAGTTCTAACTGTGTTTATTTGGATATTCTCTCTTTTCTTCTTTATTAGTCTCGCTAGTGCCTTATCTATGTTTATTTTATTTTCATGATGAACCTATGTAGTACCACCATCACCCCCTATTTAACACATGAGAAAATTGAGGCACATAGAAGTTAAATAATTGGTACATGACAGAATCAGAATTTTAACCCAGAGTCATAATTTTAATCTGGCCCCAGAACCTGCTTTCTCAATACTTCACTCAGTGCCTATCACAGAAATAAGCAAAATCTTACAAGCAGGGAATTCAGCCTTAAACCTCCCTGAATCTATTATTGAAATTTGCATGGCCCCTGTAAATTTGGGAAATTAATGCATTACTGCCTACTCCAAAGTTATATATAATTGTAAACTCTAAAGCAGTCTGTACAAATAAGAAATTGAAAAATTTTTTTCAGATACTACAATGGTCCAGTCATTTCATGGCTTCTAACTAAAGATCTGCCATACTGTGCTCCCTAATTTTGATGGGCTTCTTATTTTCCATGAGGTTCTCTAGGCTTGAAATATCATAATTATCCTAGAATTAAGATATTTACTGAATGTATTCTATGTTTCAAACAGTTGAATGCTGTAAGGGACATAAGAGAGACAGAATATGGAGATCCTAATTTTATCAGTAGAGTGAAAATTACGGTTTCCCACATCGTGCCTCTGGGAATATTGAGGCCTTGGTAGTCATCAGTTTAGACAAGAGGAAAGTTTTGTCCACAAGTCACTATGTAGTGCCTAGGGGTGTGGAAAGAAGAGACCTCTGAGTGTTTGGTAAAGTAGAGTTAATCAGTACCATCTTTAACTGAATTGTTTTCCACATAAACCAAGGGCTAAAGGTGAATTGGGCAGATAACACAAATAATTGCTTTATTTCAAAGGTGAGTCATTTCTGGCCTGGGGCACTTGATCCAGATTTCAGTTTGATTTCATCACATTCTTACAGTCACTTCTGCTTTAGCCTAGAGATTAATTTCTATCCTGGTGGACTAGTATGAAAAAACTATTCCACAAGATGTCTGAAGGTTTAATAATTAAAGCAGATGAAGATCTGTAACTAATCGAAGGTTCAAAGTACCAGGAGTTTTAAACACAGAGCCCTGATGAACAGCATGCAGTCTCTTACAATCAGCGTTCACCTCAAAAACTTCTGAGTTCACACCTCTTTTCTTAGCATTCCCTTTCTTTTCTCTGTTGGAATCCTTCCCATCCCCTCTCCCTTCAATTTTTTTCCCACATTTCTTCCTCTCACTTGCATTCTCTAATTGGTCACAGTGAATAATGGAAGCACCAAACCCTAGATATTAAGAGCAAACCCTGGGTTTTGCAGATGAGGAAACTGAGGCACAGGATGGAAAAGGGGTTTGAAGCAGTCAGAATGGAAACTTGGCTCTTTGGATTCACCAACCGAATATTTTTATATAGCATTTACCAAAAGTATTTAAAAATATTATTTTTTTGTCATATTATAAAATATTTCATGGCCATTGTAAAAGATGTTCAAAAATACAGAGACTGTAAAGAAAAAATAAAAATCACTTACTATGTCTTCACCCAGAGATAACCACTATTAACAATTTGGGTATATTTCCTTTCAGTCTCTTTTCCATTCAAATGAGCAGACATTACATTTATTTTAAAGAAATAGGATTCTACTGTAAGGGCACATTTGATCCTGTTTTTTTATGCTTACTTTTTGCTTTTTAGCATTGTCTCATTGATACAGGAGTTAAAAAGAAATCATTGGGCAGATGTGAGGGTATGGAAGTTCTCGGTAAGGCTTTTCTTTTTAAGGAAAAGCAGCCCCAAATTATTTTCTAACAAAGAGCAGCCTGTAAAATCGAGCTGCAGACATAAACAAGCAAGCTGGGAGCTTGCACAGGTGAATGCCAGCAGGAACTAGGGACTGGACATGTTTAAGACGGCAGCTCCATCTTTCTTTGTCTGCCAGCCACATGAACAGTAAGGAGCAGACAAGATGGGCCGGCCAAGGATAATTCATTTGCATAATAAGATTAGGATGGGGCCACCAGCCTTCCCCACACACTGTATAAATGTCATACGTGATCCAACCAATCTGTAAGCCCTACGTAAATCAGACACTGCCTCCTCAAACCCGACTATAAAATCCAGCACGTCCGGCCAGTCAGTCTGTTTTTTTTTTTTTTTTTTTGAGACGGAGTTCTTTTGAGCCTCCCGAGCAGCTGGGACTGCTGGCGCCCACCACCACATCTGGCTAATTTTTTGTATTTTTAGTAGAGACATGGTTTCACTGTGCTAGCCAGGATGGTCTTGATCTCCTGACCTCGTGATCCGCCCACCTCGGCCTTCCAAAGTGCTGGAATTACAGGCATGAGCCACCACGCCTGGCCCTGGCCAGTCAGTCTTTTCCACTCGGAGACCCCTCTCTCTATAGAGATAGCTGTTTTTTTGTTGTTGTTGTCTTTTTTTTTTTTTCTTTTTCTCTTATCTTGTGCCTATTAAACCTCCACTCCTAAACTGCTCGTGTATGTCCGTGTCCAAAATTTTCCTGGCACATGACAATGTACCCCAGGGTATATACCCCAGACAACATAGCTGCTTCATCATGGCAGTGAATATTCTTAAAAATATGACTTTTGATGGAGGCATACTATTTCAATCTATGGCTGCTGCATGATCTGTTTAACTACTTGTGGCACTTATTGAATAATGTTCTCTGTTTTTGATTTAAAAGCAGGTGAGTGAGACACTTCATACGTCCCAAAGGAGAGGGGAGAGAACTCCAACAATTCTGAATGAGTTGCTTTTCCTTCATAGCTTTCAATTTTTCTTCCCATTGTTTTTCCTTCCCATGGTTTATAGACCCTCACAAGGGAGAAAAAGGATGCTTTTGCACTCTAAATGTGCTGCTTTCATTACCATCATTGTCTAGTGACTTCCGTTCCTCTTATGTTCCCACATTGATTGGGTACAGAGTCCACTTCATTCTGTGCTTCCTCCTCTTGCAACCAGTCTTCATCTTAAGAACCAGTGGCTGCTCGTGCTGCCTGCCTTATGTGGATCACCCACCCCACTGGCTTTGCTCAAAATACTTCTCCTTTTTTATTTTTAGTTTTGTTAACTTGTTCTTTCCCCCTCCTTTCTCTTTTCCTTACCTCCTTCCCTCCTTTCATTTTTTTCTTCCCTTTCTTCTCTCTCTCTCTTTTCCCAGCTTTCCTGCGATATAATTGACAAATAAAAATTCTGTATATTTATGGCGTACAATATGATGCCTGTATATATTGTGAAATGTTTATGCAAACAACCTAATGAACACATCCATGACCTAGCATTGTTATTATTATTTTTTTAGTGGTAAGAACATTTATGATCTACTCTCTCAGCAATTTTCAAGTGTGTAATAGATTATTATGAACTAGAGTGACCATCCTTTATCAACATCCTCTTGAAGCAGAAAAAGTTCCTGCTGGGCACATGCCAAGCATAGACAGAGAAGGCTCAAGAGAAACGTGTTTATTGTTGGAGCATAGTATTTTACAGTTTACAAATCCTTACCTGCTCTGGGAAAGGTAGATAGAGATGTCTCTGAGGTGTTGGAATTACAAATTAGACCCAGTGTTTGGAATTCTTTTCCATTTTGAAGATGAGGCAGTATAGCTAGTGCAGTGGATAAGAGGGCAGACTTTGATGACAAGCAGACCTGTGCTTGAATCTCAGCTTTGTCTGAACTTGCTGTGGGACTTTGGTTAGACCATTCATGTAAATCATCTGAGCCTCATTCTTCATCTGTATTTGGGAATAATAAAGGGCCCTAACTCATAGGCCTGGGCAAGGATTGAAAGACATAGTCTACCTGAAGAGTTCAGCATGGTGTCTGGAATGTCAAAGTAGTAAACAAATGGTAGCAAGGAACATCATTTATCCTATTTGTCTTGCCCTGGTGTTCTTACATTCAAGGTCAATGTTTTATCTTTTCAGTGAATAATAGAAAATGAAAATTGAAGTGATAGCCAAAGAATGATCCCTTACATATATACATACACACACACATATGTGTTTGTGTGTATGTTTGTGTAAAATAAACATACTTCGTTTAAATTAAAAATGAGAGTTTTAAATTAAAAAATGAGAGATTTTGATTTTTAGAACTTGTTGAGAAGTTGGAGATCAAGTTTAAGAGCATCTTAATAGACTTATTTAAAGCAAGGTACTTAATTTTTCACTTTCTCAATGCTTATAGCCTTGTGAAATTCTACAGTGACCAACTTTAAGGGTCTGGGTTCCATGCACTGAACTTCCTGGATAATGGTCTGTTTCTGCGAAGCTGCATGATTGAGCTTCCTGGTTCCAGGCAGGCAGACTGGCCGCCCTCTGGCTTTGGAACCGGATTGGAGCTGTCACATCCACTTACTGGGACCCACATGACCTTTGTTCCACACTTGAGGCTGTTCTCTGTGAGCCAAATATGGATGTACCTGGCATAGAATAGATGTTCTTTGCTGTGAGAACAATTTGGAGTAATATTTGCTCATAAACGCAGTCGTTTCCTCAGAAAGTAATGCATTAGCAGCTTGGCTGGCTGATTCCTGCTGTTCTTTCAGGCTGAACAGCAGCAGTGTCTGAATCACCTTCCGGAAGCACCTTGTGGCAATTCGCTAATTATTTTTATGATGCCAGGTCAGCAGTAAAGGTGGCCTTCCTGCTTCGCTCTTTCTCCAGAGCCACGTGATGGAAGAGACTATTTTTCAAACCTGAGTTTGAGTGCCCAGCCTGCCAGGAGAGGAAGGCACTGAATATTCAGGCTGAGTTGCTTTGCACCCTTTTCCCTTTGCATGTCCTTGTCCTGGTCTTGGTATTTTGTCCCCGGAAAGCGTATTATTTTCTGAGGGCTGCTGTAACAAAGTACCACAAAGGGGGTGGCTTAACACAATAGAAATGCCTTCTTTCATAGTCTGGAAGCTAGAGGTCTGAAATCATGGTGTTGGCAGGGCTATGCTCTCTTTGAAGGGTCTAGGGGAGAATCTGTTCCATGCTTTTTTTTTTTTTTTCCTTTTTTAGCTTCTGGTGTTGCCAGCAATTCTCAGCATGCCTTGGCTTGCAGCTGCTTTGCTTCATTCTCTGCCTCTGTCATCACATGGCATTGAGACATGTCATTCTCCCAGGTGTCTGTCTCTGTGTCTCTTCTCCTTATAAAAACATCAGTCATACTGGATTAAGGGCCCACTCTACCCCACTTTGACCTAATCTTAACTAATTCCATCTGCAATGAGCCTATTTCCAAATAAGGTCACATTATAAGGTACTGGGGGCTGAGGATTTTCACCTCTTTTAGGGGGACATGATTCAAATGATAACAAAACATATCCAAGCATACCTTATTTATGAAAGCTGGGGCATTATTCCTAATTATTTTTCAGGTCTGAGACTGGTTGGGAGCTGTTTTGTTTCCTTTGTAGGTAGGAAGAGGGTGGCTGAGCTCTGAACTCAAGCTAGTGGTGTGCACACATGTTTTTTGAACATGTCGTCTGTGAGCTACAATCGTTTGGGTGAACAAAACTCTTTTCTTATTTTTATGAGATTATAGTGTTCCAACAAATAAAGAAAAAGAAGACTTCTTTCTCCTTGCTGAGTCAAGGCTTGTATTCTAGGGTTCCTTCATTCCTGTAACACCTCATCCATGACAAAACTCTTGTTTCCAGCCTGGAGGGAAAAAAATTACAGTCATATTAAAAGTACCACAGGAAAGTTAAAACCCTGGCGTCAGTCATTTCAGAAAAGGCTGAACTCTTTTAACTAAACAGAGCAGCTTTGAAATTTAATAGAAATCTTGTGAGGTGTACTATAATGTGAAACAGTATTTCTTTTAGTTATTTCATGAAAAGATGAGCATTTCTGTGGTGACTTTCATCTGAAGTACCTCAAATGCCACAGTAATTTGATAAATTATGCTGTCTGTGGGGCTTCTGCATCCTGCCCACTGTTCTTCCCAATTTCCAAATCCTACTGAGGCACAACCACCTCTGGAGTACAGGTTGAGGCTCAGTGTGGTAGCAATTCTACTTAAACAAGGTGTATTGGGATTTTGAGAATTTTCCATTCCTTATTTGTGTTTCAAGGAGATACTTGGCATCATAGAAAGAACTGTGGATTTAAAATTAGCTGTGTGAGGCCGGTCGCGGTGGCTCACACCTGTAATCCTAGCACTTTGGGAGGCCAAGATGGGGGGATCATGAGGTCAGGAGATTGAGACCATCCTGGCTAGCACAGTGAAACAATGTCTCTACTAAAAATACAAAAAATTAGCTGGGCGTGTGGCGGGCGCCTGTAGTCCCAGCTACTTGGGAGGCTGAGGCAGGAGAATGGTGTGAACCCAGGAGGCAGAGCTTGCAGTGGGCTGAGATTGCGCCACTGCACTCCAGCCTGGGCGACAGAGCGAGACTCCATTTCAAAAAATATAAATAAATAAGTAAAAAAAAACTAAATTAGCTGTGTGAATCTAGGCCTCAGTTTCCTCAAGTGGAAAATGAAGCATTTGGACTTATGACTTCTGAGGTTCTCTTCCAAGTTTAAATATCTAGGAGTCTATGGTTTGTGAAGACTTTTCTAAATTGCTTCGAAATGTTGACCAGGGAGTTAAGTGTGCTTTTAGGGAACCGTCTGTGACTTGGTATTCTGCTCAGTTTTGCTGACAAAATCTTCTGTTCCATGAAGGATTTCCCTGGTATTTGACCTCCATGTTCTTCAGGCTTGTCAATGTTTATAGCACAGCAGTGACCTTGCAAAGTGAAATAGCCACTTTGTATTTCTTTCTGCCAGTGTGCATGCTCCCCAAAGGCTGCCCCAGAGATTATTGATGAGGAGTATGGCCCATTGTGATTCCTAGTATTTCTGTAGCTCTTTATAGTTTTCACAATGAATTCATGAACATTCATTTATTGAATTCCCCCTGATAGTCTGGAGATAAGCTAGACTGGCATTATTATTCTCATTTGAAGGATGAGGAAGCCAAGGAACATTGAGGCTACATCACCTTAACAAGGTCACAGAGTAAATTAGTGGCAGAGGAAGGAATGGATACAAATATTCTGGCTTCTAGTTTAAGTTTTCTTTTACTATATTACATTTGAATCAAACTGTCCAGATGGAGAAAGAAAATAATGTAACATGTATACCTACTATGTGCTGGATATACTAGTCAGGATTCAAACCACAATGTATTTGCTTCTGAGGATGAAATTCTTTACATTGCCCGATATTTCTTCCTTAATGACTGGAAGCAAATGGTGAATACCAAGGGCCATTACATAAAATAGATTAAATTAGTTTGGTTTTATAGGCAACTTGAACACACTCAATTCTTTTTTATTATACTTTAAGTTCTAGGGTACATTTGCACTACGTGCAGGTTTGATACATAGGTATACATGTGCCATGTTGGTTTGCTGCACCCATCAACTCATCATTTACATTAGGTATTTCTCCTAATGCTATCCCTCCCCCAGTCCTCCACCCCCCGACAGGCCCCAGCCCCGGTGTGTGATGTTCCCCACTCTGTGTCCAAGTGATCTTTGTTCAATTCCCACCTATGAGTGAGAACATGTGGGAACACACTCAATTTTGATGTGTACACATAACAGAACTTCACTAAGCTATGAGCTTAGGATGTGAATCGCATCGGGCTGGGATCATTCTCCTAGTGCCTTCCAGGGAACTTCCATGGGAAGTGAGTGGGGAATGAAGAAAGCTGTGTAGGAAATATATTGTTTCTCTGTAAAAGACACCACTAGAAAATTGGAGGAGCCAGGAATGACATTGCCTTCTCTCTCGAATGGATGGGGTGATGTTCAGAGATGCCAAGAATTCCTTGTGGATACTCTTAAGTCTTTTTCCCTGGTAGCTGGGCCCACAGTGATAGCTCTAGAGACTAACCTGTAGGAAGTATTTTCAAATAGCTATAATAGTGCTGCCTTAAATTCCTCATTTTCTGTTGTGAGGACAAATGACAAAACGTATGTGATTATATTGTGGAAATACAGTCAACCGGTCATAGTAAGAAACCAACATTGTGTTTCATGAGAGAATAGACTGCTATTCTAGGGTGCAAAAGCTGTTCTGCTACTTGCTAGTTTTGGATTCTTGAGCAAGTGCCTTATCTTATTGAGCTTCAGTTTTCCCATCTTGCCTTCTAAGTCTTCAATGAAATGATCTCAGTAAAATCCCAGACCTAATACCTGGGTCTTTTCTAGTCTCAGATGAGAAATTCCTCTTTCTTCTCACCTCTCTTTTGAGTTAGTGACTTGATTCCTATTAAAATATTCTGGGATAAAACCATTTCTTTTGTTTTGTTTTTTGAGACAGAGTCTCACTCTGTCACCCAGGCTGGAGTGCTCTGGCAAGATCTCAGCTCACTGCAGCCCCGAATTCCCGGGTTCAACTAATTCTCATGCCTCAGCTTCCCAGGTAGCTGGGATTACAGGGGTGTGCCACCACACCTGCCTAATTTTTGTATTTTTAATTTCACGTTGGCCGGGCTGGTCTTGAACCCCTGACCTCAAGTGATACATCCACCTTGGCCTCCCAAAGTGCTGGGATTTCAGGCATGAGTCACCACACCTGGTCAAAGGTCAAAACCCATTTTTTTAAAAAAGTAATGTATGTTCTTATTTAACAGGCCTAAAAAAAAAAAAAAAAAAAGAAGACAGGATTAGCAAACATAATAGATTTTTTAAAACAAGTTTTCCAAGTTATGTCCTCACATCAAGCTCTATCAGTTGTTCCATTTTTTTGTATACTCAACATTCCTTCCTTCTGGGAACTCTCTTCCCTCTCAATGTATTTCTGGTGGGGTTGAAAATGATGTGGCTCTGCCTTTCTTGCTGAGTGATTGGCTGAAGGATGGACATGTGATTCTAGAGGAGCCAATCACAGTCTTTGAGTTTGCTTTGGTCACTGGTGGGTAAAGAGCAACACTATTCTCTGAGATTGCTGCCTGTGGGTAAGGTTGAGCCTGGGCTGCTGGTGGCTGTCTTTGATGCCATGCTGAAAGAGCCTCTTGAGGATGAAACCCCCATGTTGGAAAATGGAAAGAAACATTAGAAAGAGAGATTTTTCTTGACATATTTCAACCTCTGTATCTATCTGACCATTCTTAAATTCAGCTCTTTGGTCTGACTGATTACTTCCTTAGGATAAGAACTTCCGTTATGGTGCAAGCTAGTTATGGTGCAAGCCTAGTGGGTACTTGGAGTGGGTGGAGGAGTCAGTTGTTCTGGTCTTGTTAGGAAGCATATAGTCTAAGGGGTCTGTGTAGAAAGCCGGCGAGGTGTTAAAGTGGGTCCCTGATGATCAGCTCTGCCAGATCTCCATGGTCAGGATCTGGCTTGCTTTTCAAAACAGACTTGCAGAGAGAATTCAGGGCATACAGATTGATTCTTGATGCTCATCCAACACAGCTGGACTGTGGACTTTTTGGGGAGACTGGTTCCAGGCCAAAATCTTATGTGTGATCTTTCAGGCCCAACTCGAGGCCGTTACAAGGCTTTGTCCGGCAGGCCTCATGGCGGGAAAGCTACCCTCCCCACACCAGACTTGGTGCACAGACAGTGCATTGCAGTTCTCTGGAGGGAGATGCAGTCAAGAACTCAGGCCGGGCACGGTGGCTCTCGCCTGTAATCCCAGCATTTTGGGAGGCCGAGGTGGGCAGATCACGAGGACAGGAGATTGAGACCATCCTGTATAACACGGTGAAACACCATCTCTACTAAAAATACAAAATATTAGCCGGGTGTAGTGGCACGCACATGTAGTCCCAGCTACTCGCGAGGCTGAGGCAGGAGAATCATTTGCACCCTGGAGGCGGAGGTTGCAGTGAGCCAAGATCGCGCCACTGCACTCCAGCCCAGGTGAAAGAGTGAAACTCGGTCTCAAAATAAATAAATAAATAAATAAAATAATAATAAAGAACTTAGCCCCCCTTGGGCCAGCCACGCTCACCTGAATATCTGCATTTCTAGACAGGTACATCCATTCAGAAGCCTCTTTGCTGAAAGCCTTGACTAAGGCACTTTTATCCACTTTGATTCAGTATCTTTCTACTCCTAGCCCTTCTTCTCCCAGCTGACATGTTCATAAGAGGAAGGAGGCTTTTGTTCAGCACTCCTCAGTTGTGAGACAACCTCACCTATCTGTGCTGCATCCACTCGACTGTTGCCCAGTGCCATTCTGTAGGGAAAAACGGACCACAGGGGAGCCAGCACCTCTTTTTGCATCTTGCTTGCATTGTTGTAGTAAGTGAATAAATGCTTAGTTGTTACTTTCAGTTTGGCTCATTGTCCTAATTGACCACCTGGACACCTGGCAACTAGACAATTTTAAATTCATCCCTCTGGGTTCTTCTAAACATTATCATGCATAATTATCCAGACTGGCAAGGAGCAGAGAAGCATGGCTGAGAGTGGAACTCAAATGTCAGTGTAGGATTTTCAACGCCAGCTGTCCGTTTAAAAGAAACTGATGCTCACGTCTCATCCCAGACTATTTATAGGAAAATTTTTGTGGACGGAGCTCAGGCATGAGCTCCAGGTGACCTAAGATGAGCCAAAATTGTGAACATTGCATTAACAGGCATCAGAATCCTAATCCTGGAAATTAGTAGCACAGATTTCTAAGCTCTCTTTGATCTGTTGGATGAGAATAATCTAGGAGTAGGGCCTGGGAAACCGGGGAATTCAGGCGATTTTGACACAGGTGGTGATTAATTTGAGGAAGATGGAAAAATATTGGTCCAGTGTATGAGTGTGTGTGTGTGTGTGTGTGTGTGTACTCTCTCGATGGAGAGAAAGAATCATGGAGAAAGGGAATAAAAAACCTCAGAATCCAAGGAATAACCTAAAAAAGAACTTTATATTCATCCACTCATCCATCTATCCAGGTTGGTGGCAATGTGGCACAGCCACAGCCGTTAAAAGCATAGAATGGTTCTGTCATGTTGGGCAAATTATGTAACCTCTTTCAACCTCAGTTTCATCATCTGAAAATTGGGAACACACATAATATCCCCTTGCAGGTTATTATGATGTTTAAATAAATTATGCTTGTAAAGTATTTAACATAGCATCTAGAACTGCACTGTCTAATACAGTAGTCACTAGTTGTGTGTGGCTGCTGGGCACTGAAAATGTGGCTAGTTTGAATTGGGATGTGCTATAAATATAAAATCCACACTGAATTTTTAAATCTTAGGATAAAAATGCAAAATGTCTTATTAATAATTTTAAAATATTAAAATTATAATTTGACTATATTGTATTGAAATAATATTTTAGGAATATTAGGTTAAATAAAATATATTGTTAACATTAGCTTTATTGGTTTCTTTTTACTGTTTTACAAATGAGGCTACCAGAATATTTGAAAATAACAGATGTGGCTCGTATTTTATTTCTACTGGGCAGTGTTGACCTAGAACATAGCAAACTCTCAGTGACTGTTAGCATGTTGTTATTGGTATTATTTAATTCAAAAGCACTTAGTGAACACTTGCTATGAAGGATATAAACATCAGTCATTGATTAGCTAGTGTATCTTCCATTGAGGTAGTTAAAGTCTTGTTAAGGCAAAAGAAGTAACCAAGAATATTTGGGATTTGATTCATCTTAGAACTGTGGTGTGTGCCTGGCATAGTCCACATTTCCACAACAAATGCAAGATGAAATGCTACCAGAATTATTAATGAGACATTACAAATTGGGGTGATTAACTCAGGTACCTTAAAGCATATGCGGTGTCTGGTGACAAGAAGGTGTCTCAGAGAGGACGCTGGAGCTGAAGAACTTCATCAGACCTATAAAACAGTATTTGACAAATTAGATTCTAATACATATCATGTAGCCCATCATCTCTCCCTTTCCTGCCATTATAAAGAAAGGAATCAACACTTCTTGGAATATTGGGTCAAATATTTCCCCCTAAAATTCATGTCTACCTGGAACCTCAAAAATGACCTTACTTGGAAATAAGGTCCTTGGAGATGTAATAATTTAATAGAAAGTCATATTTGGTTAGGATGGGCTCTAATCCTATGATGGTGTCCTTTTAAGAAGAGAAAACAGAGACAGACATACAAGAGAACACATGTGAAGATGCAGGCAGGGATTGGAGTCATGCAGCTATAAGCAGATTATTGGCAACCACCAGAAGCTGGAAGAGGCAAGGAAGGATTCTTCTCTAGAGCTTTTGGAGGGAGCTTGGACCTGCTGACATCTTGAATTTGGACTTCTAGCCTTCAGAACTGTGAGAGAATAAATTTGTATTATTTCAAGCCACCCAGTTTGTGGAAATTTGTTATGACAGCCCAAGGGTATGGATATATTGAATATTTACTTAAGCCAGGTTTTGCTTTCTTAATTCTTTAGGAGACAAATATTAACTTCTTTGGTTTTCTGGGATTCACTTGTGGTTCTAGGGAGAATGTGGATCCAGGGAGACATGAAGGTCTTGGCAAAGGCAGAAACAGAGTCTAAGAGAAACCAAGGCATATCAAAACAATATAGCCAGATGGAGTCTCCAAAATGAGGATGAAGGGGCAAGCTAAAGGTCAAAGTTAGAAAACAGTGCCCAGAACTGGTTTAAAGTGAAGTCATGAAAGGAAGAGAAATGGTGGATTAGAAATGGATTAAATTGTGGATAGACTGGCAAGCAGAGAGTAAGATGGGTCCGGATGAAGAGACTGGGAATATGGCTGATATCAGTATGGGATGGGTGAAGCCCCATGTCTGTGTTGTGCCAGCTGTGTGGCAGAGTGACATCTTTACATAAACTTGAAGTTATTGTTCCTTACACTAAGATATGGCTACATCTGGACACATGGTGATTGACAGGAGTTATATAAACCTATAGCACAAGGGTGGTGCATCTTCTTCTATCATCATAATACAAAAACAAACACATGTTTAGAAGTATAATATACAACTTTCCTGAATGCTAATCTAAAACATGAGATTATGAAAGTTTTTCTTTTGTGGCATTCACTTCAGGCTTTTAGCATTTCCCAGCAGTACACAGCCACTTTCATGTGCTCTCATGGCCATCTCCACTGCTGGAAAGTTGGAGAATCACTGAAGGAAAAGGCTTGTAAAGAACTGGACAATATTCCCATCATTTCTAAGATATGTCCCTTGCCCTAAGCCTGCATATTTAGGCACTCATTAGACATTTGGTAGTTCTTTTGTGAGAGTGAAAGTCCAAAAAAAGTGATGCATTTCTTTGGGTCTGCACCTTGGCCCGTGTGTTTATAAACAAAGAAAACTCATATAGGGAGGGTGTTTTCAGGAGTGCTAGGGGGCTGTGCATAGTAAGAAGTGCTTGATGATTCTCAAACTTGCAGACACTTCGGGCATATCAAGGCAAGAAGAACTTAAACCCAGTGCAAATATGAAAACTTTACCTTTATCTAGACAAGGCTTTCTAACTAAGAAATGCATGGTATTTAAATAGCCTGAAATTACAGTGGGTTTTCTTGTGTAGATTCATCTGGTTCAAGTTAGGTGTCTGTAACTTTTCTGCTACAAACCTATGTTCATATTTATATTACTCTTCTTTTAGTTAATTATATGTAGGTGTGTACTATTTTATCCTCTGGATCATCAAGGACAAATGGAACCTTTTTGAGGCTGGTTTCCTCTGCAGATTTAGAGCGATTGCTTGTTCCTGACGTGCTAAGCATTGGGAAGATGAGGAAGTTCATGGACATGCCCAGTTGCCAAAAGTGGAACCTGGGAGTCATCCTGGAATTTTTTCCTCTTCCTTGTGGCATCTCATCCATTACCAAGTCCTAAAATCTGCATCTGGAGAGCTCTCAAATCCACCCAACTTCTCTTTGTCCTTTTGCCTAGGTAAGAGTAGAGTCTAATCCTACACAGGAATGAACGTAGGGGTAGAAAAGAGTTAAAGATTCTAGAATTTGCTTATAAAGTGAAAATCATTTATAGTTAAAATTACCCTTGGGAGAAAAACATGGGGAAACCATTCCTTAAATTATACTTAGATTACCTGGGCCCTCTATAAATAAAAGCTGCCACATAAACTGTTATTTCTCTTGCTTTTCCAGCTGAGGCCATCCTTTATCTAATAGGACTAAAGGCTGTTTTGGACAGGGGGATGGATGATAAGGTAAATGAGGAAATTTCTCTGTTTATTTCATTTTATTTTAGTTAAACAATTATAAATGAATGGATGTTATGGCACTGGGTTGCATTTGGCTGGACAGTCATCAGCTGTTTCAGGCAGACCTTGCTAACCCAGTTAATAAATCCTATTAACCAAACAGGATTTATTCTTGCTGCAGCTTCATTTCTGCCACAAAGTGTTGTCTGGGGCAGTAATGTAAAAGAAAGCCAATGTTAGACTCAGCTGGTTAGAAACACAACAAAGCAGAATGTGGGTCTTCTGGGAAAGAAAGTGGATGGGATTGTTGAGAAAGGGAGACCTGGTCTTCTCCAGTCCCAGGAGGCTGCCAAACGCTCATTCCCAAGGGCGAAGTCTTGGATTTTCCCTTTTTTTCTCTCACAAAGTAACCACCTGTGGGAAATTCTCCTGCTTATCTTATTTTTCTTGCCCAGCATTCTAGACAGGCCTTCCTAACAGAGACCACCAAAGGTGTGTGAGGTCAGTGGCTGGATTGCACATTGGAGTGGACAAAACTGGGTTCACATCCTGGTCTTGCCGCAGAGCTGGACATCCCTGGGAAAGTTACTGAACAAATCTTTCCCTTGGTTCCTCTCATCTGTTAAATGGAGATGTTCCTGCTAACTTTATAGAGCTGGTGGGAAGATGGAACATGCAAGCTCCTGGATGGCCTAATAAATGAAGTTCATTCCCTTGCTCTGGGAGAATGTTCCTGCAGATTTCTAGAAGAGGCAGTAGCTAGGGAGAGCCCATCATCAATGCACCCTGTGTATTATACTCCTAGAAGGTGCAACAGGGCAAAAAGGACTTTGAAAGTGGCTTTGTTTGAATGCTCTTCAATCCTAAGATTATTTTTCTGTTTTATTCTTGTACACACTTGCTTTCAGATAATCATACAGATGTATGAGCTGTTAGGTCTTGGGTTTAATTCATCATGACGAGGTCACTTTTTGCCACCATACAGTTACATATGAACATCTGCTTGGCCATCCTGCCTGGGATAGAGAAGGAATATTCATTTTTCTAATTCCCGACTAACAGGTATTTCTCAGTTACTTTCTAATGTGTGGCCACCTATAGTAATGCCAAGATAAAGAGAAGAGGGAAAATCTACCTTCTTACTCCTCCCAATGTAGCCGTCCTTCAACACAATTGCATTCAAGATCTAGCCCTCTTGAGAGGGCAAATAGTTCTTAACTTGGAAGCCAAACTGATCAAGTGGTAGTGGGACCTGTGATGCTTTGTTGAGAAGATGTCTGAGGTTGCATATCTGGAATCCACAGCAAAAAGGCCATGATCAATGTATGATGTCTGCTGTGGGTTTGGATTGAGGCGTGGTGCCACATGGTTCCCATAACAATCTACCATTCATCTTATTGATTCTCCAGATTTCTATCACAGTGCCTATTTCTTCATTCCACCTTTTACTTTCTTGTAGGATATTGGTAGACCATTGCCACATTGTAGAAGTCTTGAAGTTAGGTAGGGACTGTCAGTCTTTATTACTGTACTCTCCCTACCTCACACCTCCCACTTTAAAACCTGGTACAATGCTTGACACCTTATAGTCATTCAATTATATTGCCCAGTTTAACTTTCAACCTTACTCCTTTAAGCCACTTTCTATACTGCCAACAGAAATATATTTCTAAAATAAACATATAATCTTGTTCTATTTCTACTTAAAACTCTTTCCGATCCCAACTAGCTCAAGGATAAAGTCCAAGTTCTAAATCCTTTATTTTGGCAAAACAATTCTTTGGAGGTTTTGTTTTCACCTAGTTCTCTGACTCACCAGCCACTCTTCCCTCCTCCATCTCTTATGCATCATTTTATTTTGTACTTTGGAGTCTTTACATCTGTAGGTTATTAGACAAAGAATGCCCATTCGCCATTGTCCACCCCGTGGGCTATTCTTCATCCTTCAGAATTCTGTATCTTGAAGGACTGAGATATAATATAGTGGTTAAACATATGGGCTGGGCATCAGGATGCTTAAGTTCAAATCTTGATTAGTTTCATAACTTTGTGCAAATGCTTTGACTTTTCCCAATCTGAGAAATGGGAGGTAGTACTGAGTTGTGTGCATAGTGGGAGAAGTCAATGAGCAGTATGTGCAGAACTTAGCATGATGCCTGGCACAGTGTGAGTATTCAGCTAAATTTATCTATTTTCTTAACTGGGACTCAGAACCAAGCTCACAGTCTTTAGGGGAAATGGACAAAATTGCAATATAATGTGAAAAGAATTGTAATCATGGCATGAATAAGAAGCAAAGGGAGCCCAAAGGGCAAGCCCAGGAAAAGAGCACCAAACCCAACTGGAGGAAAGGGATGTCTGAGGAAATACGTTTGGGAAGTGGATGCTTGAACTAAGAACTAAGAAATGGGCTAGAAGTTTGGCACAATGATGAGGATGCATGGTGTGTAAGAGTTGGGGCTTCATGGACCATATCTGGCCCCATGCAACTGTGTCAGGGGGAGAGACAATCAGCCACAGGTGAATGTCATCTTTTGGTTACTTTTGAATGCAGTGTTCTGGTTAGCCCACTGGCACTTCAGGTGCCTTGTCCCTTTCTCATATACAGGAGAAAACTGGGGAGAAAGAGGATTCATGCAGCAAAAGCTTTTCTCCTGATGGAAGGGCAGATGAGAGAGAGCTATGTGTCTCTGTAAGCTACATTGTGTGAGTGTTGCTTACATGGAAGCCTCCCCTTAATCTCTCTCCTTGATCTTACTCTCTTACCCTTGATAAATTGAGATGGGGTGTGTGGAGCATCTTTTGTCCCTCCTTTTTGGAGAGAAAGGCGAGGATGGATATGCCAGAGCTGCATGGCCCTCTGTGAGCAAAGAGCAGGCTGTTTCACCCTTGACATCCCAGGGTTAGACCAGTACCCTGGGATGGCTGATGAGAGCTCCAACTCTATAGTTGCCTTTGGCATGTTGGAAACAAAACTCTTGATCTCCCCCTGCCCATGAGCATCATTCATGATTGATCAAAATTACTTTCCCAACTCAATGGAAAAAGGAGGGGAGTTATTTTTACTATAGGCAGGGGACTCCGAAAAAGAGGTGTCCTTATGAGGTTTTGCGTTCTGGCTTAATTTAACTGGTTAAAAATTTGGCAGGTAGCAGAGTGTATGTAGGGTCAGGTGAAGGCAGGGCATTGGGAGCAGACAGCATGGCATGAAGAAAAGTATGGCACCATATTAAGTTAAGAATTAAGAGGCAATGTGAATTTATTTTTGTTTCAAAATTGAAACTGATTAATATCAATATCACTTAGTAAAACTCAGGAGAAAAAATCAAGTTAGACGTGCAAAAACGTGATCTGAATGTGATAGATGTTATTCTGTGAAGCTTAATTTCATCTGAAAGCAATGTAAGAGAAAATAAAAAGCATTGTATTGCTTAGTAATTATCCTGTGGCTGATAGGGATATTTCATTAAAAAATGGATAGAGTGCTAAATATCCCCTAACACAGCTATTTAAGTGAAGTATCAAAGTGTTGAAAGAGCACTCATTGTTTAATATTCCTTAGGTAGGCTAAGGTTTTCCTGTTTCAATTGTTGACAATGTGTGAATATTGGATTCCTTTTCTTTCTAAACAATACATAAGTTACTTGTGAAATGTTATAGTTCTCTTTTCAGTAAATGAAAAAGTCAAGGCCTACTATTTAAGTGACTTAACCAAATGTTATTTAGCACACCTGAGGTTTGAACCTAGCTCTCCTGATCCCACATTTGTTGGCATTTCTACTACATTATGCTGATCCTGTTTGGAGAATTAAGCAGTAAACATGGTACAGGTGAATCCTGTTGGTTCTGGGGAATAGTAAACCTCTTCAAATTCCATTTTTATTGCAATCAAGAATGTGAAAGAAAATGGCATTCACCCCTAAGCATTGACCCCACTTGAGAATTTTAACAATTGCCAATGTCATCTCTCTTTTTGCAAATAAAGACTATGTTTCCCTATTCTAGGTGTCCACGTGGAAACTTAAAAACCAGTTAATAGTCCATAGTGTCTCGAGATTGAGACAATATGTCAGGTGAGCAGAGTAACTAGATCTTTTTACCTGAATGCTTTGGTTTTCATCAGACACTTGAGTGTCATGGGGATATGGCCAAAATGATCTCTTGTTTCATTCTCTTTCCCGGTGATCAGGCTGAGGACCAATGCTCTCTATGGGCAATGTCCATCTGTCAAGGCTAGTGACTACTGCTTAGTTGGTTCCTTGTGATGAGTTTGAATTTCAGGGCCAATTTGCTCAGCCGTGAGTATTACTTCCCTATGCTAGTCAATATTTTATTTTCTTATTTAAAATTAGTTCAGATTTCTTGGCTTTTTTCTTTACAAAACATAATCTTTTCTATTATTTAAAAATAATCAAATAAATGAATAGGGCGAAACATTTAAATAGTCCAAATTTCTTTTTCTTTTCTTCTTTTTGAGACAGAGTCTTGCTCTGTCACCCAGGCTGGAGTGCAGTGGTGCTATCTCGGCTCACTGCAACCTCCACCTCTTAGGCTCAAGTGATCCTTCCACCTCAGCCTTCCAGGTAGCTGAGACTACAGGTGCATGCCACCACTCCTGGCTAATTTTTGTGTTTTTAGTAGAGACCAGGTTTCGCCACTTTGCCTAGGCTGGTGTCAACCTCCCTGGTAGCTGGGACTACAGGCATGTGCCACCATGTCTGGCTAATTTTTGTATTTTTAGTAGAGACTGGGTTTCCCTATGTTGCCCAGGCTGGTCTTGAACTCCTGAGCTCAAGTGAGCCATCCCCCTCAGCCTCTGAGAGTGCTGGGATTACAGGCATGAGCCACTGTGCCCGGCTCCAAATGGTACAAAATTCTGAAAGCTAAAATATGAATCTTCTTTATATTTGAGAAGTGCATTTCCCCCCTACCCGTGGCCCCCAGAGAAGAGCTAAATATTAGAAGTTTATTTTGTATTCTACCAGAAACTTTTTGTGTGTGCATTTATGCAAAAAAACAAAGTTGGTGGTTCCCATGTTTGATAGTTTACTAAAATGGCTCACAGAACTCGGGAAAGGACTTTACTTGTTCCTCTCAGTTTATTACAAAGGGTACAACTCAGGAATCATCAAATGGAAGAGAAGCATAGGGTAAGGCATAGGGGAAGAAGTGCAGAGCTTCCATGCCCTCTCTGGGCACACCACCCTTCTAGCTCCTCCACGTCTTCACCAATTGGGAAGCTCTCTAAACTTTAATTTTTAGACTTTTAATGGAGGTTCCATTTCTATAAGCATGATTGGTAAAATCACCGGCCATTGGTAATTAACTTAATCTTCAGCCCCTCTCTCCTCACTGGAAGTTGGGGAGTGGGACTGAAAGTTCTAACATTTTAATCACATGGTTGGCTCCTCTGGCAACCAGACCTGATCTTGAAGCTCTCTAGGGGCTTAGCAAGAGTCCCCTCATTAGCACAGACTCAGATATGTTGGAAATGATGCAAGACAGAGGCTTCTGCATCATTTTTAATCAAGGGGAGTCTCGGCTGGGAATATGGAGGAATAAGATGCTTCTCCAGGCCTGGAGTAGTCAGGAGAATCTGGAAGTTCAAGATTTCTGAGTGTATTGACACGAGTCTTTTTATCCCACATCTCCTTTCTAATCAGAGCTCTCACCTAAGAGGAGCAGACTTGCCGGGGTTGAGAATTCGGTCTTCTCGGGAACTCCGTTACCACTATGCTTAAATGCTGGGTCTGAGCCCTAGTTTTTTTCTGTCCTCTAGCTATAGAAGTAGGAGAGTCTCCTTACATGCTGCCAGGGAGGCCTTTTGTCTTTGGTACTCTGTCTTACATTTGTGATTGATCATCTTAGCCTTTCATTGTATTTCTTTAGTGCATCAATATCCCCCACCCCCAACCTGCAAAATCCACTTACTTTTATAATCCTTGAAATTACTGCGTTTTCTGAACATCTGCAACACTTGAGATATTGCCCCTACTTGCTTTTTTTCATCCACCAATATTCCATCTCAGTTTTCCACTAGTGAAAACTGTAACAATTGCAGCTATAGTATACTGAGGGCTATTAGCACTTCATCTGTCACTTGTGATGAAGTCCATAGTGTCAACCAGCTGGCAGGTGATATAGCTCCAAAATCCCATTTAAAAAATCTGTTCTTTACAATGAGAACACATGGACACAGGGAGGGGAACAACACACACTGGGGCCTGTCTGAGGGGTGGGGTGTGGGGAGGGATAGTATTAGGAAAAAATAGCTAATGCATGCTGGCTAATGCATACCTAATACCTAGGTGATGGGTTGATAGGTGCAGCAAACCACCATGGCACACATTTACCTGTATAACAAACCTATACATCCTGTACATGTACTCCGGAACTTAAAACAAAAATTAAAAAAAAATTCTATTCTTTAGACTACTTCTAGCACTAACTATCTCTGGGTTTCTTGGGAAATGCTCTGAGATCAAGATGTATACATAGGGAGTTTACTGAGGAGTAGTTTTTGCAACAACACTTAATAGGGAATAAGGAAAACATAATTGGTCAGATGGAGAAGTTAGTGCACTTGCAATAGAGGTTTTAGATGATTCCATGGAGTTTGGAGCTGGGATGGCCCTTCAGAATTGTGCCAAATCTAGGTGGGGTTGATCTTTGTACTTGCCGTGGTTTGAATGCTTCCTCTAAAACTCATGTTGAATTTAACTGCCATTGTAACAGTATTAAGAGGTGGGGCCTCTAAGAAGTGAGGTTATGAGGGCTCTACTGTCATGAATGGATTAATGCTGTTATCACTGGTGTGGGTTAGTTACTGTGAGACCTGTTATAAAAGTGAGTTTGGCCCACTTTCGTCTCTCTGTCTTGCCTTCTTGCTTTTGCCTTTTGCCCTTCTACCATGGAAAGACCTTTGCTAGCTACTGGTGCCATACTCCTGGACTTCCCAGCTTCCAGAACTATGAGAAATAAATTAATTTTCTTAATAAATTACCCAGTCTGCGTTATTCTATTATAGCAACAGAAGAACTAAAACAGCACCCTCACATCACCTGATGTCCCTAAGAAAGAAGTATAACATGGGGTAAGGCTGCTCAGCTCTGCCAAGGGGTATGGAGAAGGATTCAGCTATGAGACATCAGCAGCCACTACTCACAGAAGCTGGGCAGGAGAGGAAAAATGAGTGCTTCTGTTGATCAGGAGGATCTGAGCAGTGTGCAGATCACACCCACGGCCTCTTTAAAGTCATTGTATTAGTTGATGCTCAAAACTTTCTTATAGGACAAGTAAGGAATTACTAAGGTAGAAGAACATAGAGATAATTTCAAGACACCATCAAAAGACAGTGTGCCAGCTAGAAGTATATAAAAGATAGAGTAGTAGCACAAAGGAGCTAATGATTTACTGTGCTTGCTGTGTGTAATACATCAGTTACATAAGGTGTGTCTTTAATCACAAGGCGAAGCTTGATGGAAGAATGTGAGTGAAGGTACAATCTGGGCAGAAGAATCAGTAAGTATAAATCCATGACTTTCTGGGTGTGGTTAAGTGGTCAAAAGGGTGGTTGTCTCATCCAGATATCTTAGAGAAAATTAAACCAATGCAAAAGAGGTCACAAGAAGTGGTCTATACTATTAGTAGAAACCCAAACTCTGACATCCTCCTGAATATTGTTCTATTTTTTAGGCTTTTTTCCCCACTTCTATTTTTTAAATTAAGCATTTTATTTTGAGATAATTGTAGATTCACGTGAAGTTGTAAGAAATTCCTGTGTTCCATTTATTCACCTTCCCCCAGTAATAATATCCTACAAAACAATAGTACAATACCACAACTAAGATTATCATTGACAGAGTCAAGAGGCAGAATATTCCATCACCATAAGGATTCCTTGTGTTACCCTTTAGTAGCCACGGCCAGTTTCCCCTACCCTTGTCCCTTCCATAAACCCTGGGAACCACTAGTCTCTTCTCCATTTAGATAAATTTGTCATTCAAGAATGTTATATAAATGGAATAATATAGTATGAAACCTTTTGGGATTGACTTTTCTACTTAGCATAATGCTCTGGAGATTCATCTAGGCTGTTGTGTATAACAATAATTCATTCCCTTTTATTGCTAATTATTAATTCCTTTTAATTGCTTTGTATTCCATGGTATGAATGTACCAGTTTGTTTAACCACTGAAGGACATTTGGGTTGTTTCCAGTTTTTGGTTATTATGAACACAGCTGCTGTAAACATTTGTTTACAGATTTTTGTGTGAACATAAGTCTTTATTTCTCTGGAATAAATGCCCAGGAGTGCTACTTCCATGCCGTATGGTGGCTGTATATTTAGTATTTTAAAAAACAGTCGAACTGTTTTTCAGAGTGACTCTACCATTTTATATCACTATCAGCAATGTATGAAAATGCAGTTTCCCTGCATCCTCACTATCAATGGCGGTGTTGCTATTTTTACTTTGGCCATTCTAATATGTGTGTAGTATTATCGCCTTGTAGTTTTAATTTTCATTTTCCTAATGGCTAATGATGTTGAACATATTTTCTTGTGCTTATTTGCTTACTCTGTATTCTCTTTGAAGAAATATCTCTTTATGTCTTATATCCATTTTATACAGTTTCTTACTGTTGAATTTTGAGAGTTTTTTTTTTTTTTTACACATTTTAGGTACTAGTTCTTTGTTGGATGTGTGGTTTGCAAATATTTTCCTCCATTCTGTAACTTCTCCTTTCGTTTCTTGTTTGTTTTTAAAAACATTTTTAATTTTTAATTTTTGTGGGTACATAATAGGTATATATTTTTATGGGGTACATGAGATGTTTTGATACAGGTGTGCAATGTGAAAAAAGCATATCATGAAGAATGAGTTAACCATCCCCTCAAGCATTTATCCTTTGATTAACAGACAATCCAGTTATACTCTTTAAGTTATTTTAAAATGTACGATTAAGTGACTATAGTTACTCTGTTATGCTTTCAAATTGTAGGTCTTATTCATTCTTTCTAAATATTTTTTTGTACCCAGTAACCATCCCCACTACCAACCCCGCACCCTCCCACTACCCTTCCCAGCCTCTGGTAACTTCTACTCTCTATGTCCACGAGTTCAGTTATTTTGACTTTTAGATCCCAGAAATAAGTGAGAATATGTGATGTTTGTCTTTCTGTGCCTGGCTTATTTCACTTAACATAATGATCTCCAGTTCTGTCCATGCTGTCTACGGCCATACCACCCTGAATGCACCCAATCTTATCTTTTCATTTCTTAACAGTCTATTACAGAGCAATGTTTTTATTTGGATGAAGTTAAATTTATCATTTTTTTTCTTTTAAGGGTTGTGCTTTTGGTGTCAACCCTGAGAATCCTTTGCTTAGGTCTAGATCTAAAGATTTTTTTATTATGTAATTTTTTGTTTACCTAAAATCCATGATCGTTTTTGAGTTAATTTTTTAATAAGGCAAGTAAGGTATGAGATTTGGGTTTAGATTCTTTTTTTTTTCTTGTCTATGGATGTTCCATTGGCCCAAGAATGGATGACCATTTCTTGAGAAGGCTATTTTTTCTCCATTGAATTACTTTTGCAGCTTTGTCAAAAATCAGTTGGCCATATTAGTGTGGATCTATTTCTAGGTTCTGTATTTGGGTCCATTGATTCATGTGTCTATTCTTTTGCCATTCCTACACAATCTTGATAATGTAGCTGTAAAATAAGTCTTGAAACTGGGTAGGCTAATTTTTTCACTTAATTCATTTTCAATATTGTTTAGCCATTACAGTTTCTTTGCGTTTCCACATACACTTTAGAATACTCTTGTCTGTATCTACAAAAACTCTTGCTGAGATACTGATGAGCATTGTGATTAAATCTGCATATTAATTTGGGGAGAACTGACATTTTTACTATGTCGAGCCTTCCAAAACCTGAACACAGTATGTCTCTCCATTCATGTAGACCTTATTTGATTTTTAAACAATCAGCATTGGTAGTTTTTAGCATGCAAATCCTATGCATGGTTGTTAGATCTAGCTCAATTTTACATTAAAAATAATCACTTACTGATACACAAATTTTTACCCTGCAGCGGGATCATAAAATATTTTCACTGGGTTATTGTCAGTACCCAGTGAGATATTGCATAGGAAAGTGTTTAGGAACAGTTTTACTTCACAAAAGCCAATAATGGCAAGATATAGTAGAACAAAGACTTTGACTATTTGACCTCTTAGCAGCTGTGCCACATTCAATTTATTCCTTATTCTCTATGAGCCTTGGTTTCTCCTTCTGAGAATAAGTATTTTGTTCTTGCAAGGGTTTTCTCAAGGACAACTGAGTCAATGCTTATGAATGTGTTTTTTAAACTGGGCAGACCTATCCAAGGTAAAGAGCTATACTCTTACTTCATCTGAATCTGCTCACTCAGATAGATTTTGTCTTCACTATTCTTTGGTGTACCCGATATATGACTTAAAACAACAGTGAGTTTAAAAAGGATGCAAATTTTATTTAATTTAAAAGTTTAAATAATTTAATGTCCCTTTTCTCACAGTACAAATCTGTGTTTGTATAAGCCTCTTTTGGAAGCAACATGGAAGAGACCATCCAACAAGATAATAAAAGTTAGCTCTGTCTGGTTAAAAATTCCAGCTCACTGGGCCAGTCACAATTGAATACTGAGTCTTGGCTTCTCCCAGTGCATCCCATGGTCAGTATCTGTCTCTCCAAGTAAAAGTCAGTGACAACTTGCCTGTGAGGGAAAGATCCAATTGCATCTCCAGAATGAAGATCGATACAATGACTGCAAGTAAACCGTGTCTGACCTTATCGTTTGTAAGAAGGAAAAGAATCAACAGGGCATGAAAAGTGTCAGCATTTTCAGTTTTGGGAGGTGATAAAGGGGAAACAGTTTGTGTTGTGCTCATCCGTCATTGGACATCAGTAAGATCATTAAGGGTAAAACGAGAGGTAAAGAAGTAGCAATTTATCCAATTTCACTGCTGGAAATCCTAGCACCAATTCAGTTCAGTTCAGTTCAATTCAACAAGCATTTATTAAGTACCAACATTGTGTATGACTGTGCTAGCTTCAGAAAATCCCCAACTTCTGAATGTTCATTCAGTTTATTTCATGCCAGACTCTGCTAAGTGCTGGGAATAAACATGTCTGATATGTGAGGAAGATAAGCAGACACAGAAAATCTATTGGAAAATCTTTATCCATAAAGAATATGGATAAAATTATCTGAAATTATTGTGGATGGAGACAAAAACTACGTGCTCACAGAAAAAAGGAGGCGATTTTTGAGTTAGGACTTCCTGCAGCATGAGTAGGCATTTACTCACAAGTAGAAAAGGGTTTAGTTTGGTTCAGTTGGACAATTATTTGTTGAGACCTACTATGGGCTGGACCCTGAGATGGGCATTGGTGTTAAGGAGATGAATAAAACATTGTTACCCTCAGGAAGCACAAAAGTATCATATCAAGTGGAAGCAGCAGCCTGAAAGGGCTTAAGCCATAGCCTTATAGAAGAGATGAGCAAGTTTCTAAGAAAAGGTCTCGTTTGCAACCCATTCAACATGCCTGGTTTCTAAGACAATCTTTGGGCTGGTCCTAGTTGTTATATTTTGCTCTCATAATGGCAGAAACATTTTCAAAACAATGCTAGGGAACTGGAGATAAATAAGGACAAGTGCAAAGATATGGTGACAAAGAAGTTTCCAGGGTGTTTTTTTCTGGATTATGGTGCATATGTGCAATGAGATAAAATACAGCTGTTTCAAATGGCGTGATCAAATAAATATACTATAACATGGAAAATTACTTATGATATATAGTTGAGTTAAAGATGCAGGTAATAGTACAAGTACATATGGTGTGACTCTATTCTGGTAAATTTATATTGCACATTCACAGAAAACAGTGTAAGAAGATGCCCTAAAATGTTAACAAATTTTTCCTTTGGATGAAGGAATTAGAAAGAGAGATTATGAATGATAATTTCTGTCCTGTCTTTCTTCCGTTTTTTACTCCTCTTTTTTCTCTTCTTCTTTTAATTTGTTCATGCGCATTTCCTTTTTTTATGATGAATCTGACTTCACAAACGAGAAAAAAACAAAGTAAAAGTTAATTTAAAAATTCTTTAATCTAAATAAGCAGTTCATATTTGTGACAATTCACCATTTATTCCATTGTTCCTCATAAAAGTCCATGCTATTGGAAGGTCAGATCTTATTACTAGCTTTGTTGTTGTTATTATTATATTTCTATGGACTGGTATTATTTTGAGGTTTTAATTAGTGTGCTTTCTTTACTCTCAACTCATAAAAAAAGACGCAAGTCATCTTCTGCAGAACTAGAAACAAAGGCTGCAAACATGAGAACAGAAAGATTCAGACTTCTTTTTTTCAAAACAAATTTTTCTGTTCCCAGAGATCATGAAAAACAAAAACGAGGCCACAGACAGGAGTGAGAACATGCAGACAGGAAAGCATGATAGACAGAAATGGAGAGACTTGACCTGGGAATCCTGGGGCTGTGTGGAAGCTGAGTGGGCACTGTCTTAGTGCTCCTGACACTGAAGAGGAAGGACCACCAAATGATGGTCATCCACCCATCCTCCATTAATCTTCCAGTCTGAAGCGATGCTCATCTCTGCCTTGAGCTTCTGCTCAACTCCCATGCATCTGTGTGTGGACACTGTCTACCTCTTACCCTTGGCAATCCACTGTTGCATTCCCATTTATTGATGAAGGAGTGAAGGTTTCGAGAGGGTGAGCAATTTGCCTACAATTTACCCCCAGGCTTGCAACGAGAACTAGGGACATGTGAGTTCCTGCTGAGCACTCTTTCCAGAACCCCATCATATTGCCTAAAACTTGATTTGTGGATCACAGTGTTTGAAGCTGACAGTTTTGTTTCTCATTGCTCTATGGGCAATTACTCCTTCCTGTGACAAGAAATAAACAGGATAGTGACAAGCTCCTGAGGTTGTGCCATTTTCAACCTGGTGCTCTGCTCCTGCAGCGAGAGACAGGGTTATTTCTGGTGAAATCCTTGCTGTAAAATACACTAATCAATTTTCCTTACAAATGATTTCTAATATGTAATTATGTAATCAAGCTCTCCCATAAACAAGCTGAGCCTTGACATAGAATGATGGGGTGCAGTAATATTTTAAATAAAGTATGATCAGGTCGCCATTTATTTTGAAGTCCAATTTTCAGAGTTGGGAACTATACATTAATGGCAGATTGGAGATTAACAGCAAGCTAAATGTGAAACTCTATGAGTCAATGCCTTTGACATAAGCAAATGTACAAAAAATAGCATCCCACAACTGTTTGCAAAGTCTGACAGAGCTACAGGGCTTTCTGCAAAGCAGAGGGTGCAAAGAGTACAAGATTCATCAAATTCTGGCAGCGATCTGTCCAAAAATAATGGTTTTGTCTACAAATGGAAACTGCTAACAGCTTTCCCCGTCCACTGCAATCGTCTTTCCATCTGCTTGGGTTTTATAATCATATCGCCTTTGGAAAATTACAACACAGAACATATTCTCCTGGAGGTCTTTTGTCTAGCTGAATATTCTGGACCATGAAATGGTAACAACAGTGGAAGTTTCCCCGCAGAAGTGTTACAACCATTGCATCCCAACAAGTCACGCTGGTGCTGCAAGACTCTGGCAGGAGTAGAGCATCAAATTGCATTTGAGTGCAATTTAAAAAACTCTCACTTAGGTAGCCACTAACACTCACAGTTCCTTGGTGTAATGGCTGCTTCTTTCTTCCCTCTTTCCTTCATCTTTTCTCTTACTGTTTTATTTTCCCCATTTCCCTACCAAAAATTATTATCTAAGATATTATTTTTGACCCAGCAACCCCATCGCTGGGTATATATCTAAAAGAAGATAAATCATTTTTCCAAAAAGATACATGCACTCATATGTTCATCCCAGCAGTATTCATAATAGCAAAGACATGGAATCAACCTTCATGCCCATCAGTGGTGGATTAGATAAGGAAAATGTGGTACATATAAACCATGGAATACTATGCGGCCATCCAAAGGAATGAAATCATGTCCTTTTCAGCAACATGGATGCAGCTGGAGGCCATTATCCTAAGTGAATTAATGCAGAAACAGGAAACCAAATACCACATATTCCCACTTATAAGTGGGAACTAAACATTGAGTACTTATGCACATAAAGATGGCAACAATAGACACTGAAGACTACTAGAGGTAGAAGGGAGGGCAGGAAGGAGAAAGGTTTGGAGGACTAACTATTGGGTACTATGCTTACCACCTGGGTGACGGGATCAATCATACCCCGAATCTCAGCATCACACAATATACCCATGTAATAAATGTGCACATGTACCCCTGAATCTAAGATAAAAATTGAAATTATAAACCAAGAATTTTCCTGTCCTTCTCTTTTCTTTATTTTTGTTTTAATTTTTTTTTTTTTTTTGAGGCAGGTTCTTGCTCTGTCACCCAGGCTGGAGTGCAGTGGTGTGATCATGGTTCACTGCAGTCTCTGCCTCCTGGGCTCAAGTGATCCTGCCTCCGACCTCAGCCTCCTGAGAAGCTGGACCACAGGCATGTGCCACCACACCTGGCTAATTTTTTGAATTTTTTTTTTTTTTTTAGAGACAAGCTTCCACTATGTTGTCCAGGTCTCAAATTCCTGGGCTCAAGCAATCCCCCAGCCCTGGCCTCCCAAAGTGCTGGGATTACAGGCATGAACTATTGTACCTGGCCTAAGATATTAGTTTCTAAAACAAGGCCGTGCTGAATCTGGGGGTCTCCTCTAGCCTTTGATCTGGTCAAGAAAGGACATCATTCCTTACTTCAAGATCCTTTGCCCAGGGCCCAGCTCATGGTGGGCTGATCAGTACCAAACTGTGGAATAAATGAATGAATGATACTGTCTCTTTCACAGGATGTTTTGTATTTTGTAAAGCCTTATATACTTTATAAGACATTTTCACTGACACCATCTTCATAACATGTGAGATAAAATATGTTGTTGTTTTCCCAGTGTGTTGGTTCAAGAAGCAGGAGTTAGGATGGTATTAAGTATGCAAGGGATTGATTAGAAAAACCACTCTCGAGGGGAAACAGTGAAGAAACATGGAGACTGGAATAAGAGCCATGATATAGGTCTTATTCATGGGGAGCAGAGAGGCAAGAAGTTCGAGTGGGGAAAGTACTAGATTGCCATGCAGTGTGAAGAAAGTTTTAGCAAAGCTGGTGGAGAGTTGGGTCAGAGCTGCTGATCAGAGGAGTTCTCTGTTTCCTAGAAATGCACCTACCTCTTTCAGAAGTGTCCCTGCCACACACGGACTTTAGCTGGGAGCTGCTGGTGGTGCCTATGTGGTAACTGATCTCATACAGTAAGGCTGGGATTCTTGGTCAATTCTGCTTCATGTAGTGGGAGTTCTCAGAGGTGCATTCTCATGGCCACCACACCCTATTTGTAGGTAAGGAAACTGAGAGCCAGAGAGGATAAGAGACATTCTCAAGAGACTCCAAGTGAGTGGCAGAGTGGGGATTAATGCCCAGCTCCTGAATCCTAACCCATGTTCTCTCTTTGCATACACTGCAGCTTCACTTGTGCAGCTAAGTCCCCCTCCCCATCTGATCTGTGGTGTTTGGTGGGTGTGATGGTTAATATTGAGTGTCAACTTGATTGGATTGCAGGATGCAAAATATTATTCCTGGGTGTGTCTGTGAGGGTGTTGCCAAGGGAGATTAACATTTGAGTCAGTAGACTAGGACAGGCAGACCCACCCTCAATCTAGGTGGGCCCCATCTGATCAGCTGGCAGTGTGGCTAGAATAAAGCAGGCAGAAGAATGTGGAAGGACTAGACTGCTGAGTCCTCCAGCCTACATCTTTCTCCCTTGCTGGATACTTCCTGCCCTCAAACATCAGACTCCAAGTTCTTCAGCTTTTGGATTTTTAGACTTACACCAGTGGCTTGCCGGGGACTTTCAGGCCTTTGGTCACAGACTGGAGGTTGCACTGTCAGCTTCCCTACTTTTGAGATTTTGGGACTTAGACTGGCTTCCTTGCTCCTCAGCTTGCAGATGGCCTATTGTGGGACTTCACCTGTGATTGTGTGAGTCAAGTCTTCTAATAAACTCCCCTTCATATATACGTCTATCCTATTAGTTCTGTCCCTTTAGAGAACCCCTACTAATACAGTGGGAAAGCCTAAACACTGGCTGGACAAAACACCCAGCAGAGATAAGAGAAGAGGCAGGGGGTGGGGTTTCTGTCACTCATGGTAGGAAGCAGAGGATGAGGCTGGAAGGCAAAGATTAAATGTCTCATTCCAGGGTGGCAGTGTGTAAGAAACTCACTCTCTTGGAATTAAAATATTCCATAAGTAAGATAAAACCTTTTGAGAATTCAATAGCAGATTTTGCTCCAGAGAATCCCATAAACTCCTTGAAGGTAGATATATTCTTGGCTGTTCTTCCACAGCTGTATTTACTGCATCTTGACAGTGCTTGGCACAAACACATGGCATATATATATGTGTCTGTCTTTGTTGAGTGAATGAATGTTAATTAACTTTAGCCTGGGAAGAGGCCTCAGAGAACATCCAATGTATTTTAGAATATAAAGAGAATGAGACATTGAATAATTATTAGTCACACCTCGGAGGGAAAAAGAACCTGTGATCCTTGACTCCCTTCCCTGGGGGTCTGTTTCCCTCCCACCCAGGGCATCCCTGGGTCAGGGGCTCTTCTGTGTCAATGCAGTAGGCACATTGATGCTGAATCTCTAGCATCTTTTACCAAAAGGAAGATGCTTCATCTGTCCATTTTTTTGAATTTAAACCCAAATGTGGTGAGAAGATCAAAATAGAATTCTCAGATAAGGATGAGTGGAGAGAACAATGAATTGTTTCAAGAAAAACAATGCATAACATTTCAATGATGAGACCAATATTTTGAGACTATTCTGGGAAACCCCAGCTGATTGACAGTAGATAACAGATAATTTATTAGCTGTCATTTGTATTTTTTTGAAAACACCAGCCTTTAGGGGTAGTCTGGCAGGGTTAGGTATGAATTCATCCATCCATCTGGTCAGACTTTTTGAGCACCAACTCTGTACCAGACACTGTGCTAGGCTCCGAAGATGATCAGCAAACAAGACCATATTCCTTCTCTTACAGAGTAGAAAATCTAGTGGGAGAGACAGGCAGTAAATGCACACACACAATAAATTTACAGAGTTGCAAATGTTTTACAGAAAAATACCCAGGGGGATGGGAAGTTAGGATAACCATGTGGTGATGGGAGGAATCTGAGACAGGGATTTGGCTTGAGATCAGAATGACAAGGGGTTACCTCTGTGAGGTGAGTCTGAGGTCAAGGGTTTCAGGGAGAAGAGAAAGCAGGTGCACAAGCCCTGAGGCCCCTCGCAAGACTCTCGGTGTTTGGGGAGCAGAAGAAAAGATCTTATGGAAGAAGCACAGTGTCAGGGAGATGGTAGACGTAAGGTCAGAGAGGTTGGCAGGGCATGCCCCTGGGGGATCTTGTTTGGATTAGACCTTAATCGTGTCTAGAAGCCATTTTGTTCTTTTTTTTTTTTTTTTTTTTTTTTTTGAGACAGAGTCTCGCTCTGTCGCCCAGGCTGGAGTGCAGTGGCCCGATCTCGGCTCACTGCAAGCTCCGCCTCCCGGGTTCAACGCCATTCTCCTGCCTTAGCCTCCCGAGTAGCTGGGACTACAGGCACCCGCCACCACGCCCGGCTATTTATTTTGTATTTTTAGTAGAGACAGGGTTTCACCGTGTTAGCCAGGATGGTCTCGCTCTCCTGTCCTCCTAATCCGCCTGCCTCGGCCTTCCGAAGTGCTGGGATTACAGGTGTGAGCCACCGCGCCCGGCCAATTTTGTTCTTACTATATGCCACAGACTTTTAAGCAGGACAGTGTTGTGATCTGAACTATATTAAGCAAATGAAACTAGGAAAGTCGGAAGGCAGTCCTGGCAGGAGGAAGAGTCTGTTGACAGAAGCCAGTTAGTTGAGTGTCATGGGGGTTTGAGCTGAGCTGGATGGACAAGCTGCAAATAGCTAGGTGAACAATACAGACAGAGATTCTGGGGGGCTGAAGAACCGCATGTGCAAGGCAGATGGGCCTGGGGTTGAGGACATGGTCTATCTGGGGGCTCGCAGAGTTTGCAATGGCTGGAGTATAGGCTGTGCACTGGGGAGCAGTGAGACATGTAAAATAAGGAGGGTGATCACTTCACCAAACTATTGAGGAAGAGCTTGAGAAAACAGCCGCTTTTCCTCTCCATGCCTCAGTTTCCTCTTCAGTAAAATAGGGGGGTGGTATTGCAATACCATCACTAAGATCGCTTCCATTCTGCATTTCCCAAAAAATCCAGGTTGTGAGTCCTGATTGAAAAGTATTGTTTCTGTGATGTCTCAATGTTGGGGTTTCACTATGTGGGTTTTTATGCCTCCAGGTGCTGGGAACACACATTGAGAAGTCAGAAAAAATAAATGAATCATGGAAATAGGCATTGATGATATACCAAGTGTTGAAAGCCCTTTTCATGGGAAATACAAAACAGGCTGTAATAGGAGACACCTGGTACAGCCTGTTTACTTCCTGTTTTCCCATCCTTATCAGAGCTCAATCTCCCATGAACCCATGAGGTCTCTCCTTAGCGTTCTGAACACACAGAAATTCCTTCTGTGGAAAACACCAGAGGCCAAGAAATAATGATTACCAAATTGTGTTTTTGTTCTTACTATATGCCAGATGCTGGCCTAAGCAGTTTACTTGTAGCAACTCGTGATCTGCAAAGCTCTGTTATGTTGGTGATATTATCTTCCCCATTTTACAGATAGAAAAGTGAAGACCAAAGAGATTAAGTAATTGCTCCAGGCCATGTGACCTTTCTATAGCTGTTAACAGTTGAGATGGAGCAAAAAGCACATGAGACTTAGCCTTCAGAGACTTGGGCTCTGCCAGTTGGCAGTGTATGACCTTGACCTTCAAGATACTTCATACTCATTGTCCATTGATTTCCTCATCTGTGAAGTGGGAATTGCACTAGCTATGTTGTGAGCATTGAGGTAAAGTATACAATTTATATTATTATAAAGTACCTGATACAATAAATGTTAGTTCTCTCCACAAATGAAGATACTTTATAAAACTCTATTATACAAAATAATTAATACAACCCCTCTGAATATTTCTAGGCAATTAACTTGGTTTTGTGCAAAATTGCATTTAATGTGAAGATATTGGTATTGTAGGAGAATTCTTCAGGCTTTTGATTTCCACATATGTGTGGAGGGAAGCCTGGAGGTAAATATTTCCTCTGGAGATTGGAGTGAGCCAGAACTTTGAATGAGTTGATACTAATTTCAGGCAATGTTTTCTTTTACTTTATGAAGTCAACACAGAATAAATAAACTAAATATTTATTAAGTACTGGGTTCTGTTCTAGGTGCTTTGGGAAAAGAGATGGTGCCTGGGGATGCACCTGACTGTTCAGTTCCTGGAGGAGCTTCTCATCATCTAGTGCTGTGATTGGAAGGGGTGGGCCTTCCGCTGGAGACACAGGAAGGAGGCTGTCTCAGCAAATCTGCTGTGTGTGTGTGCATGTGAGAGAAAGACACACATACACACACACACACACACACACAGAGAGAAAGAGAGAGAGGGAGAGAGAAATTGTTTTTATGTTACTCAAAAAGTCCTGGATTAGCGAATGTTGAGAAACTCTGGCCTGGACAAAGAGATCTGTGAGAGAAGAAATGAATCAGCGAGTTTGTGAGAAATTATACGTAGTTTTTATTCAGATTATAAATGGGTAATCAAACATTAGTCAGGGGGCTTCTGGGTCTGGGTGAGCCAGTTTAAGCTGTCTAAAGGCAGTGATTTGCTATCTTATGCCCTCTTTTTATAACAAATATTACATAACACTTTCTTCACTTTACTGAAAAGGTAATACAACCCACCTATAATATAGTTTCAAAACCAAATCCACAAAATTCCCTAACATAACAAAAGGAAAGTAATTTAAGAGAAAGTAATATCTGTAATATTTTAGTATGGAAATGTTCAGATGTGGCTACACTAGACAGACAATGATAATCCAACTCTTCTATCTGAGATGGCTCCTGGACACCTCTGGGCCTTGGTGGCTGCTGGCTGCAGTGCCTCAGTCTTTCTCTAAGTGGCTTTTCTCTGCATGTGATATTGCACTCTTCAATGGCTTAGCCCCAGCTTTTTTCCAGGCCAGCTGTCTAAGAGAGTAAAACAGGTGCTCCAAGGCTTTTAAGTTCTAGGCTTGAAGTCACAAAGCATCAGTTCTGCTGCATTTTATTGATGAAAGCAAGTCACAGGGCCAGTCCAGAATATTCAAGCGAGGAGGTGGGTGAGAAATAGATTCTGCTTCTTGATAGGGGGAGAGATTGTCAAAGTCATATTGCAAATGGGCACGTGGAATAAGAAATCATTGTTATTTATGTGGAGACAACATATCATAGTGAGAAGAGCCCTGAAAAGTAAAAATAAAAAAATTGATCTATTAAATCCTTCCTACATGCCTGGCATGGTATTAGGCTCTTACATGTTACTTTAAGTAAACCTTTCAGCAACCTTATGAGGTAGGTATGATTGTTATCCCTACTTTACAGATAAAAGAACTGAATTTCAAAAAGGTGAAGTAACTAACCATGATCACACAGTCAATAAGGGGCTGAGTTGGGAAGCAAACCCATCTCTGACTACCAAACTTGTGGTCTTATCCATGGTCCATGTGTTTGTAGCAGCTACCTAGAGCAGAGGGAAATATGTTTTCTGAATAGAAGAAAGGGACTGGCTTGAGCGTTGGATAGATCCAGGGACTGGACACAGAAGATGTTCAATCCTCTGTTAGTAGAGAGTCATAGTCATCTACTTGATGCTTTTCAGTTTAGGGGGATAGAGGAATAAGTCCAAGTTTTGGTCTGTGAACTTGTTCCCACCCGGTGGGTCAGTAAAAGAGGCATTGATAATATTTTAAGTCTGTCTATTTTAACACCGGTGAGACATTCAGATCTTCACCCTTACAGAAAAAGTGTGGATCTGGAGTGTGAGTCCTTTGAAGAATGGTCATATTATGCAGTTCACAGGAATAATTGCCAACTGACCCAGGGAAAGAAAAGAAAATAGCATCAGAATGACAGATGAGGCATATGTGCGCTGGCTCAACTGGGAAGGGAGAGATCCTGCTAGGAACAATTCATGGCCTGGTATGATCTTAAGGAGGGAACAAGCTAAAACATTCCTGATCCTTTTGATCATTGTCCATGATCAGGCAAAGTTAATCTACTTAAATTTTTTTGTTTTTGTTTTTGAGACAGGGACTCTCTCTCTCACCCAGGCTGGAGTGCAGTGGTGCAAACACTGCTCACTGCAGCCTTGACCTCCTGAACTCAAGTGATCCTTCTGCCTCAGCCTCCTGTGCAGCTGGGACCACAGGTGCATGCCACCATACTTGGCTAAAGCAAGATTAATATTTATGGAGGTGTGAGACTCAAGTCATAGTTGATATTTGTTATTTGAATTGACTTAGAAAATATAACAGAATAAACTATCTCAGTCCTGAGTGACCCTCAGCTCTGCATTTCTTGAAGGTTCTGGTTAAGAGCATGGAGAATCTCCTCAACATCATAGTATGAAAGCTGATTCTGATTTTTTATTCACATTTTTATTGTGGCCCTGATTTGTGAAAGGTCTTTCCAGAAAACATTAACAGCCTCATAACCCAAAAGTCCATTCATCCACTCATCATTCATTCATTCACTCAGCTTATTTTCTGAATGCCTCTAGAGACATTGTTGTAGGCACTGATAAGGTAGTATTGAACAAAAAGACATGAAGTGCCTAGTCTCATGGAATACATATTCTAGTGGGGCGAACAAGAGATCACACAAGGTGTCAGGATGGATAGACACTAAGAAGAAAAACAAAGCCAGGGTAGAAGACAAGAGTGAGAGTGCACAGCTATTTTACACGGATTACTTAGGGTTCCATTCCATTAAGGTAATTTGGGTATAGACCTGTGTGAAATGGAGGAGGAAGCTAAGAGAGGATATCAAGAGGAAGAGGTTTCTAGTCATGAAGAGCACTCAGGACAACATTCTAGAGGCAGATAAGTGATGGATGGAACAGGACAGCGTGGAAGCCACTGTGGCAGGAGCAAAGTGAGAGAGGAGGCACAGGTAGGAGATGGGGTCAGAGACGGAGGGAGCCAGGCTGGGATACCAAAGGCCTTTAGGACTGGGTAAGGGCTTCTAGGTTTATTCTGAGTGACATGGGAATCTGTGGGAGAGTTTTGACCACAGGAGAGAAATCGTTTGATTTTAAAAGGTCATTCTGGCTGTTTTGTGGGAAACAGAGTGTGAAGGGGCAAGAATGGAAATAGGGGGACTAGTTGACTCATTCAAAGATTTATTGCATTAATTATTTAGGGAATGAATGTTGGCAGCTTGGCCTAGGGTAGTTGTGAGAAGTGGTTCACTTCTAGATAGTCTTCAAAATTAAGGACAACAGTTGACAAGTAATGTGTGGGATAGGAGTAAAGAATGACCCTAATGTTTTTAGCCTGAGAAACTGAAAAGATGGAACTGCCATTTGCTGATGTAGGAAAGGTGATGGGAAGAGTGGATGGGAAAAAAAATTAAGGAACTGAGTTCTGTAATTGTGGAGTTTGAGATGCCTATGGAACATCTAGGAGATTTTAAATAGGAAGTTGGATTAGGAGTGTGGGGTTCAGAGATGTCTAGGTTAGTGATGAATGTATGGATATCATAAACATATCAATGATATATAAAGCCATAGGATTAGATGAGTTGACCCAGGGAGTAAGTTTAAATAAGATAAAGATAAAATAAATAAGAATTGAGATCCAAGGACTGGGTCCTGAGCACTTCACCATTCAGAAGTCAGGAAAAAGAGGAGATACCAGTGAAGGAACCTGAGAAGGAGAAGCTAGGAGAATAACCACGTGATGCTTAGAAAGTGAGGGCAAAAGGCACTTAAGGGGAAGGGAGAGGTCAATCCTGTGAATTGAAGCTGGTGGGTTAAGTCCGGTAAGAACTAAGAATTGATTGAGAATGCCATTGTGAAGGCCATGGGTGACCTTGACAGAATCAGTTTTGGTGGAGACATAAGGTTCAAAGCCCTACTGGCCTATGTTTAAGAGAGAACTGAAAGAGAGAAAGTGGAGAAGGAATAAAGACTATTCTTAGAAACAGTTGTTCTTTAAAAGAAATGGGGCCGTATGGGAAGTGTAGGTTGCAGTGAGCTGAGATTGTGCCACTGCACTCCTGGGTGACAGAGAGAGAGAGAGAGAAAAAAAAAGAAATGGGATCTGTATTAGTCAGTGTTCACGCTGCTGATAAAGACATACCCAAGACTGGGAAGAAAAATAGGTTTAATGGACTTACAGTTCCACATGGCTGAGGAGGCCTCACGATCTTGGCAGAAGGCAAGGAGGAGCAAGTTACATCTTACATGGATGGCAGCAGGCAAAGACAGAGAGTTTGTGCAGTGGAACTTTTTGTTTCTTTGTTTCTTTGTTTCTTTCTTTCTTTGTTTCTTTCTCCTTTCTTTCTTTCTTTCTTTCTTTCTTTCTTTCTTTCTTTCTTTCTTTCTTTCTTTCTTTCCTCTTTCTCTCTTTCTTTCTTTAAGTTCTGAGATACATGTGCTGAATGTGCAGGTTTGTTACATAGGTATGTATACATGTGCCATGGTGGTTTGCTGCACCTATCAACCTGTCATCTAGGTTTTAAGCTCCCCATGCATTAGGTTTTTGTTCTAATGCTCTCCCTCCCCTTTCCCCCTAACCCCTGACAGGCCCCGGTGTGTGATGTTCCCCTCCCTCTGTCCATATGTTCTCATTGTTCAGCTCTCACTTATGAATGAGAACATGTGGTGTTTGGTTTTCTGTTCCTGTGTTAGTTTGCTGAGGATGATGGTTTCCAGCTTCATTTGTGTTCCTGCAAAGGACATGAACTCACATAGTATTCCATGGTGTATATGAGCCACATTTTCTTTATCCAGTCTTTTTTTTTTTTTTGAGACAAAGTCTTCCTCTGTCGCCCAGGTTAGAGTGCAGTGGTGTGATCTCGGCTCACTGCAAGCTCCGCCTCCTGGGTTCATGCCATTCTCCTGCCTCAGCCTCCGGAGTAGCTGGGACTACAGGCATCCACCACCATGCCTGGCTAATTTTTTGTATGTTTAGTAGAGACGGGGTTTCACCATGTTAGCCAGGATGGTCTCGATCTCCTGATCTTGTGATCCACCTGCCTTGGCCTCCCAAAGTGCTGGGATTACAGGTGTGAGCCACCGTGCCTGGCCTAGCCAGTCTATCATCAATAGGCATTTGTATTGGTTCCAAGTCTTTGTTATTGTAAATAGTGCTGCAATCAACATATGTGTGCATGTGCCTTTATAGTAGAATGATTTATAATCCTTTGGGTATATACCCAGTAATGGGATTGCTGGGTCAAGTGGTATTTCTGGTTCTAGATCCTTGAGGAATCACCACACTGTCTTCCACAATGGTTGAACAAATTTACACTCCCACTAACAGTATAAAAGTGTTCCTATTTCTCCACATCCTTGCCAGCATCTGTTGTTTCCAGACATTTTATTGATCACCATTTTAACTGGGGTGAGATAGTATTTCATTGTGGTTTTGATTTGCATTTCTCTAATGACCAGTGATGACGAGCTTTGTTTGTTGGCCACATAAATGTCTTCTTTTGAGAAGTGTTGGTTCATATCCTTCACCCACTTTTTGATGGGATCATTTGATTTTTTCTTGTAAATTTGTTTAAGTTCTTTGTAGATTCTGGATATTAGCCCTTTGTCAGATGGATAGACTGCAAAAATTTTCTCCCATTCTGTAGGTTGCCTGTTCACTCTGATGATAGTTTCTTTTGCTGAGCAGAAGCTCTTTAGTTTAATTAGATTCCATTTGTGAATTTTGGCATTTGTTGCAATTGCTTTTGGTGTTTTATCATGAAGTCTTTGCCCATGCCTATTTCCTGAATGGTATTGCCCATGTTTTTTTTTTCTAGGGTTCTTTTTTATAGTTTTAGGTCTTACATTTAAGTCTTTAATCCATCTTGAGTTAATTTTTGTATAAGGTGTAAGGAAGGGGTCCAGTTACTGTTTTCTGCATATGGCTAGTCAGTTTTCCCAGCATCGTTTATTAAATAGGGAATCCTTTCCCCATTGCTTATGTTTGTCAAGTTTGTCAAAGTTCGGATGGTTGTAGATGTGTGGTGTTATTTCTGAGGCCTCTGTTCTGTTATATTGGTCTATATATCTGTTTTGATACCAGTACCATGCTGTTTTGGTTACTGTAGCCTTGTAGTATAGTTTGAAGTAGCATGATGCCTCCTGTTTTGTTCTTTTTGCTTAGGATTTTCTTGGCTATACCGGCTCTTTTTTGGTTCCATATGAAATTTAAAGTAGTTTTTTCCAGTTCTGTGAAGAAAGTCAGTGGTAGCTTGATGAGAATAGCATTGAGTCTGTAAATTACTTTGGGCAGTATGGACATTTTTATGATATTGATTCTTCCTATCCATGAGCTGGAATGTTTTTCAGTTTGTTAGTGTCCTTTCTTATTCCCTTGAGCAGTGGTTTATAGTTCTCCTTGAACAGGTCCTTCACATCTCTTGGAAGTTGTATTCCTAGATATTTTATTTTCTTTGTAGCAATTGCAAATGGGAGTACACTTATGATTTGGGTCTCCACTTGTCTATTATTGGTGTGTAGGAATGTTTGTGATTTTTGCACATTGATTTTTATCCTGAGACTTTGTTGAAGTTGTTTATCAGCTTAAGGAGATTTTGGGCTGAGGCAATGGGGTTTTCTAAATATACAATCATGTCTGCAAACAGAGACAATTTAACTTCCTCTCTTCCTATTTGAATACCCTTCATTTCTTTCTCTTGCCTGATTGCTCTGGCTGGAACTTCCAATACTATGTTGAATAGGAGTGGGCATCCTTGTCTTGTGCCAGTTTTCACAGGGAATGCTTCCAGCAGTTGCCCATTCAGTATAATACTGGCTGTGGGTTTGTCATAAATAGCTCTTATTATTTTGAGATATGTTCCTTCAATACCTAGTTTATTGGGAGTTTTTAGTGTGAAGAGATGTCGAATTTTATCAAAGGCCTTTTCTGCATCTATTGAGATAATCATATGTTTTTTTCATTGGTTCTGTTTATGTGATGGATTACATTAATTGATTTGTGTATGTTTAACTAGCCTTGCATCCCAGGGATGAAGCCAACTTGATCGTGGTGGATAAGCTTTTTGATGTGCTGCTGAATTTGGTTTGCCAGTATTTTATGGAGGCTTTTCACATCAATGTTCATCAGTGATACTGGCCTGAAATTTTCCTTTTTCGTTATGTCTTTGTTGGGTTTTAGAATCAGGATGATGCTGGCTTTATAAAATGAGTTAGGGAGGAGTCTCTCTTTTTCTATTGTTTGGAATAGTTTCAGAAGGAATGGTATAAGATCCTCTTTGTACCTCTGGTAGAACTCGGCTGTGAATCCATCTGGTCCCAGGCTTTTTTTGGTTGGTAGGCCATTAATTACTGCCTCAATTTCAGAACTTGTTATTGTTCTATTCAGGGATTCGACTTCTTCCTGGTTTAGTCTTGGAAGGGTGTATGTGTCCAGGAATTTACCCATTTCTGCTAGATTTTCTAGTTTATTTGCGTAGAAGCATTTATAGTATTTTCTGATGGTAGTTTGTGTTTCTGTGGGTTTAGTGGTGATATCCCCCTATCATCTTATATTGTGTCTATTTGATTCTTCTCTCTTTTTTTATTAGTCTGGCTAGCAGCGTATCTATTTTGTTAATCTTTTCAAAAAGCCAGCTCCTGGATTCATTGATTTTTTTGAAGGGTTTTTAGTGTCTCTATCTCTTTCAGTTCTGCTCTGATCTTAGTTATTTCTTGTTTTCTGCTAGCTTTTGAATTTGTTTGATCTTGTTTCTCTAGTTCTTTTAATTGTGATGTTAGGCTGTTAATTTTAGATCTTTCCCACTTTCTGATGTAGGCATTTAGTGCTATAAATTTCCCTCTAAACACTGCTTTAGCTGCGTCCCAGAGATTCTGCTACATTGTCCCTTTGTTCTCATTGGTTTCAAAGAACTTCATTATTTCTGCCTTAATTTTGTTATTTACCCAGTAGTCATTCAGAAGCAGGTCGTTCAGTTTCCATGTAGTTGTGTGGTTTTGAGTTTTTTAATCCTGAGGTCTAATTTGATTGCACTATTGTCTGAGAGGCTGTTTCTTATTATTTCCATTCTTTTGCAATTGCTGAGGAGTGTTTTACTTCCAATTATGTGGTCGATTTTAGAATAAGTGCTATGTGGTGCTGAGAAGAATGTATATTCTGTTAATTTGGAATGAAGGAATGAAGAGTTCTGTAATATCTATTAGGTCTGCTTGGTCCAGAGCTGGGTTCAAGTCCTGAATATCCTGGTTAATTTTCTGTCTTGTTGATCTAATATTGACAGTGGGGTGTTAAAGTCTCCCATTATTATTGTGTGGGAGTCTAAGTCTCTTCGTAGATCTCTAAGAACTTGTTTTATGAATCTGGGTGCTCCTGTATTGGGTGCATATATATTTATGATAGTTAGCTTTTCTTGTTGCATTGATCCCTTTACCATTATGTAACGCCCTTCTTTGTCGTTTTTGATCTTTGTTGGTTTAAAATCTGTTTCATCAGAGACTAGGATTACAGCCCCTGCTTTTTTTGCTTTCCTCTTGCTTGGTAAATATTCCTCTATCCCTTTATTTTGAGTCTATGTGTGTCTTTGCATGTAAGATGGGTCTCCTGAATACAGCACACTGATGGGTCTTGACTCTTTGTCAGTTTGTGTCTTTTAACTGGGGCATTTAGCCCATTTACACTTAAGGTTTATATTGTTATGTGTGAATTTGATCCTGTCATCATGATGCTAGCTGGTTATTTTCCACGTTAGTTGATGCAGTTTCTTTATAGTGTCATTGGTCTTCATATTTTGGTGTGTTTTTGCAGTGGCTGGTACTGGTCTTTCCTTTCCATATTTAGTGCTTCCTTCAGGAGTTCTTGTAAGGCAGGACTGGTGGTAACAAAATCCCTCAGCATTCGCTTGCCTGTAAAGGATTTTATTTCTTCTTCACTTATGTAACTTAGATTGGCTGGATATGAAATTCTGGGTTGAAAATTATTTTAATAATGTTGAATATTGGCCCCCATTCTCTTCTGGCTTGTAGGATTTCTGCAGACAGATCCACTGTTAGTCTGATGGGCTTTCCTTTGTAGGTAACCTGACCTTTCTCTCTGGCTGCCCTTAACATTTTTTCCTTCATTTCAACCTTGGAGAATCTGACCATTCTGTGTCTTGGGGTTTCTCTTCTTGAGGAGTATCTTAGTGGTGTCCTGAATTTGAATGTTGGCCTGCTTTACTAGGTTGGGGAAGTTCTCCTGGATAATATCCTGAAGTGTGTTTTCCAACTTGGTTCCATTCTCCCTGTCACTTTCAGGGACCCCAATCAATCGTAGATTTAGTCTTTTCACATAGTCCCATATTTCTTGGAGGCTTTGTTCATTTCTTTTCAATCTTTTTTCTCTTATCTTGTCTTCATGCCTCATTTCAGTAAGTTGATCTTGAATCTCTGATATCCTTTCTTTTGCTTGACCAATTTGGCTGTTGATACTTGTGCATGCTTCATGAAGTTCTCGTGCTGTGTTTTTGGCTCCATCAGTTCATTTACGTTCGTCTCTAAACTGGTTATTCTAGTTAGCAGTTACTGTAACCTTTTGTCAATCTTCTCAGCTTCCTTGCATTGGGTTAGAACATGCTCCTTTAGCTCAGAGGAGTTTGTTATTACCCACCTTCTGAAGCCTACTTCTGTCAATTCCTTAAACTCATTCTCTGTCCAGTTTTGTGCCCTTTCTGGAGAGGAGTTGTGATCATTTGCAGGAGAAGAGGCGTTCTGGTTTTTGGAGTTTTCAGTCTTTTTATGCTGGTATTCCTTATCTTTGTGGATCTATCTACCTTTGATCTTTGAGGTTGATGATCTTCGGATGGGGTTTCTGTGTGGGGGTTCTTCATGTGGATGTTGGTGTTAACTGCTTTCTGCTTGTTAGTTTTTCTTCTAACAGTCAGGCCTGTCTTCTGCGGGTCTGCTGCAGTTTGCTAGAGGTCCACTCCAGAACCTATTTACCTGGATATCACCTCAGAGGCTTCAGAACAGCAAGGATTGCTGCCTACTCCTTCCTCTGGGAGCTCCTCCCCAGAGAGGCACTAACCTAATGCCGGCCTGAGCTCTCCTATATGAGGTGTCTGTCAACACCCGTTGGGAGGTCTCTCCTAGTCAGGAAGCATGGGGGTCAGGGACCCACTTGAGGAGCCAGTCTGTCCCTTAGCAGAGCTCATGCGCTGTGCTGGTAGAACCCTCCTTGTCAGGATTCGCTGCTTTCTTCAGAGCTGGCATGTAGGAATGTTTAAGTCTGCTGAAGCTATGCTCACAGCCGCCCCTACAACCAGGTGCTCTATCCCAGTGAGATGGGAGATTTATCTATAAGCTTCTGACTGGGGCTGTTGCCTTTCTTTCAGAGATGCCCTGCCCAGTGAAGAGGAATCTAGAGAGGCAGTCTGGCTACAGCCTCTTTGCTGTACTGTGTAGGGTTCTGCCCAGTTCTTAGCACTGTGAGAGGAAAACCGCCTACTCGAGGCTCAGTAATGGTGGACGCCCCTCCCCACACCAAGCTCCATTGTTCCAGGTTGACTTCAGACTGCTGTGCTGGCAGCGAGAATTTCAAGCCAGTGGTTCTTAGCTTGCTGGGTTCTGTGGGAGTAGGGTCCTCTGATCAAGACCACTTGGCTCCCTGGCTTCAGCCCCTTTCCAGAGGAGTGAATGGCTCTGTCTCACTGGGGTTCTAGGTGCCACTGGAGTACGAAAAAAAAAAAAAAAAAAGACACTCCTGCAACTAGCTCAGTGTCTGCCCAAACACTTGGCCAGTTTTGTGCTTGAAACCCAGGGCCCTGGTGGTATAGGTACACGAGGGAATCTCCTGGTCTGCTGATTGCAAAAACCATGGGAAAAGCTACTGGGCTGGATAGCACAATCCCTCATGGCTTCCCTTGGCTGGTAAAGGGAGGCTCCCCTGCTCCTTGTACTTCCCGGCTGAGGTGATGCCCCACCCTGCTTCTGCTCACCCTCTGTGGGCTGCACCCACTGCCTAACCAGTCCTAATGAGATGAACAGGGTACCTCAGTTGGAAATGCAGAAATCACCCACCTTCTGTGTTGTTCTTGCTGGGAGCTGCAGACTGGAGCTGTTCGTATTTGGCCATCTTGCCGGAACCTAAAATATATATTTTTAAAAATCTTAGAACTCCTCTTTTAAAACCATCAGATCTTGTGAGACTTATTCACTATCATGAGAACAGCATGGGAAAGACTTGCCCCCATGATTCAATTACCTCCCACCGGGTCCTCCCACAACACGTAGGAATTCAAGATGAGATTTGGGTGGGGACGCAGCCAAACCATATCAAGACCGTAGCTGGAAGGGATTGACGTGGGTTATTATATCCTATTGGTATGCTGCTGGTGACGATTTGGAAGAGAGGAAACAGTAATGGAGAAGACAGAGGGAGACTTTGCTGCAGCAATTTTCTTGAGTTGGTGAAATGGGATTTAGTGAAATAGGATAGGATCTAGCAGACACATGAAGTGGGTGGCTTTAGATAGAGCATATCCTGTCACCATTATACAGAAAAGAATGCAGTACGTGTGGTCCAGATGTAGATAGTATGGTAGGTGTGGTATGGGAACATGTGAAAATTATCTTCTGATTACTCTGATGTCTCAGTTAAATGAGATGCAAGGCCAGCTAAGAGTCAGGAGATGGGGACAGATGAGAGAACTTTGAGGAGAGACAAGAAGGTGAGAAATAGACAACCAGGAGAGTGGGAGAGACATTTGACTAAGGCACTGTGGTATGTTTCCTGGACAGCAGTGAGGACCTTCTGAAGGTTAGTGCTCATGAATTCAAAGCAGAACCAATCCATGTGGTTGTGTGTTTTCCTAAACCATGTTTGCAGGCACAGAATGGGTGGCAAATTGGCCTTGAACATGGTTTAGGTCTCCCTCCCTTCCCGGGCAAGAAAAGGGAGAGATGCTGAGAGTATGTAGAGTATTGATGGACTACAAATTTCAAGTTGAGTAGGAAGAAGAGGTGAGGAAGGACAGTGCAAAAAAAATCAGTTTTAATCTATGTGGGAGGAACTGTTGCAATGTGGACACAGCAGGAGAAGCTGTATATGGAGCTGGTAGTAAGTATGGTATTCTTAATAATTTAGAGGAATAGTAGTAGAGTGTGGTAGTCTGGGAAATACCAATAAAGTGGGTGGCTGAAGTGGGATGGAGGACACAATTTCTATAGGGGAGGAAGTCAAAGATTCAAGCAGTCTGGGTCTTGGATAGATCATCTATATGGATATTGAAATCATCAATTTAAACTATCTGTATTGCCACTTACTAGGATACTTACAGGAATACTGTAGATTCCCAGGGAATATTTGTTCAATGAAGAGTTGCTCCACAATAAAAATCAAATTGCAATCTGAAACTACTTTCTTATGTGCACAGGTAAGGCAGAAGTAGATTAATCTTATTCTGAAGTGAGCAAAAGTGAGGGTAGTAATCTCTAAAAATAGAGTAGCAAATTAGTTCTTTGGGGGAATTTCTTGGTAAATTCTCTCTCCCTGTATCCTGAGAGCATTTAGCTTTCCAGAGCCCTAACAGAATAAATTCACATCACATCTACAAGCATTTTTCTCTTTAAAAATATTTCTGTTTCCTTTATAATTGGATGTTTGGAAAGAAGATGAAAATAAGCAGAAGGTATTATGTGCAGAGAAGATGAATGGGAAAAGAGTCAGTTGAATTTGGATTTTCTTCATTATCATGGTCCCTAGAGTTTAACATAGTGTGTTTTTTTTTCAATTAAAAGTGAGATGTTTAGAGCTGATACTCTCATAAGAAATACTGAGTACTTTGAGAACGTATTGCTATATTTATACTGATAAATGGATTGTGTTTCCAATCTTTGGTGAGTGGGTTGTGTAGGTTGTAGAATGTATTTTTGCATACAAACAATGTTCAATATGGAAGCTAGGTTCCTAGACAAGCTACTTAATCATAATGTACCCAAGATAAAGAGTATTATTTCATCTTAATAAATAAGACTGTATGCTTATTATAATACTATGTTAATATAATTGGAAAGAGAGAAGTGTCTCCTTTTCCTTGTAGCTATTTTGACTCAAAAATTAGACAATTCCAGCAGTGTTTCTCCCCTCTTAAAGAAGGGTCCATGTCAAAGAATTGAAAGTGATTCTTGTATACAGCCTAATCACTTAGTTCCCTCTGGAAATAGAATGTGGGAGAAAATAAAGGATAGTTGTTCCAGAAGCCCATTTTGGCTGTGGGTCCAAAAAGCATCTATGATCCAGCTTTATCAGTAAAAAAAAGCAGGCACTGGATTTTACCCTCTGTCTTGTTGCTTGGTCTAGTTCCGAAATGAATCCAAATCTTTAGAGGAGGATATTTACTCCACATATTCTCCTCTAAAGATTTGGATTCATTTGGGAACTAGAATCTTGTGTTAAAGTATCAGCTATCAGTTGGTATTTTGACAGAGTCAAACCCCCAAAATATATAGCACTAGACCAAGATGCAGTCTGGTGGCACACTTCATGGATGCAAGTGAAGACAGGTTTTTCCACCCAAATCCTCCAACTTCCCTACTGTCTAAGAGTTTCTCCCTGATGTTGACATTGTTCTCTCCCTCTGCTTCTCTTCCACATCCTTTTTCCTGCCACGAATGTCACGTTCTTGAAGGGGGTATATGTTGTAACTTAAAGACCCCTGGAGAAAACTTCCTATGTGTCACCATTCTGCCTGTCTCCTATACACCTGTTTGTTCTTTGATGGGTGGCAGCATGGTTTGCAAGAAAGCTATAACTCTGGGCTTATAGCTTTTAAACTTGGGTTTAAACTTGGGTTGACCACCTACAGGTTCTGGAGACTTGATAAACTTAATTAGCTACTGGAGACTCAGTTTCTTCATAAGTAAAATAAAAGATGCTGATTAATACCTGACTTGAGGAATTTCTGTATGAATAATAATGTGCTCATATGTGTATCTAATATGGTGTGTGGCATAATTATGTATATTATTATTAACTCCCTTTTGCTAACTACAGAGAGTGGGAATTATTTACATTTTATAATATGAAATAGCTGAGGCTCTGAGAGGTTAAGCAAAGCACAGATCTGTAATTCCTATCCAGACTGATCTTACTCCCATTACATTACACTCTCTGCCTCCTCAACTGCGGCCTTTCATGGCATCTGCAATGATGGGGTGCTATTTGAGGTGGCTGCTGGTGCCATCCCCAATATCCTCCCAGAAAACAGCTGTCAACCAAAAGAAGGTGACTGTTAAGGAATGACAGAATGCCTAGCTTATTCTAGGCTCCTTCCAAGACAAATTTCAACGTCTGGTGATACACTTTCTAACAAGAAATTATACCATTTCCTTTTTTTTTGAGATATCAGTGGGCCCCATTAAAATGGCTATTTAATGGCAAATTCAAGAATCCCAGCTTGATTAGAAATGATTATCAAAACCAAAAAAAGCAATGTAATAGTAAGTGAATGGAGATAGACATGTGAGACACATTATTTAATTATTTATAGTCGGAGATGGCATAGAATGTAAAGATAAAAGTATGGCTGATCATGGTTTCTGGTATAAAGGAAAAACACAACAGATCTCCCAAGGTAGGTGGCCCTGAGTAGGAGTAACTTTGTCATTACACACCCAGCACACATCTTTCAATTGCCAACTCCCCCCCAGACACACACACACACACACACACACACACACACGAATTACTAGTGTTTCAGAGGTTTTGAGTTATGAGTAACTTTTTGATGAGACAAGTCAGTACTGGGAATTTTTTTTGTATAAAGTTCAAAAAGTCACCCAAATCATTCCCTCAAAGGCTTAAGCTGTCTTTCAAGAATTTATTTTACTTATATCACAGAGAGATGGGAAGACAAAATAATAAATAGAAGGAATGAAAACTGCTGAAGGAAACTATGAGCTAGAGAGAAGCACAAAAGGAGAAGAAATATTAACACTAGGGTAGAGAGTAGGTGCTACCTATCATGAGGGACAAGAAAACATTGTGGTCTGGGATGGCTCCCAGCCAATGCAACGAAGTTTATTTGCTCTTTTCATCAGAAACTCTAGGGAAAGACATAATCATTTTTTATTGGAATTTGATTGGTTTTTAGCTGTGTAGGTGGGAAATAACCTTGGATGGCTGTGTTAGTCTTAAGAGTCCCAGGAACACTCCTGTCTGAGTCCTATATTGTAGCCACCTGTTGGTGGTAAATCTGTGTGCGATTGATACCTGTGGGTGGATGGCAAGGACACCACACTCCTTTATTCAGGGAACTTTGCATGTACTTTTGGTTCTAAGAAGGACCCTGGCAACAAGGACATGAATTCACTGTAGGAACCATATGTCTCACGCAAATAGCTACTTTTAGGCAGGACTGCATTGAGTTTAGAAGCTTCTCTTACTGCAATTCAGGCTTGTGTGATCTTGGTCAAAACCTTACTATCTCTGTGTCTCAGTTTACCTGCTTGTAAAAAGAAGACAATGTACCCATAGAGTTTCCATAAAGAGCAAATATAATGATATGTTTAAAGGCTTAGCATAGTGTCTGATACATAGTAAGTTGAGTCAGTAAGGATTCTTCATTCAGGAAAGCAGAAGCTCTAACTGATATTTTAATAGGGGCAACTTAATGTAGAGAATGGGTTAAATAGGGGTTGGAGGACTCAACAGGCAGAGTGAAACATTAAGGTAACACAGGGATATTAACTGGGAAAATGAATGAGGGTGAGATCAGAACCTAGAAGCTTGGGGGAAAAGCTAAGGACCCAGGTTTCTTGGGAGAGGGCACTGTCCAGCTGGTACTAGTGTCTCTGAGAGAACATAAGAAGGCTAATGTTGAAAGTGTGGGGGTTATGGCAGGCTGGGGGGTAAGGGGACAACTGAAAATTGCGACTGTCCAGGTAAGGAGCTTTACCTGGTGTGGAACAGAAAGGAACAGAATAAATGCACGCAACCTTTCCTAGAAAGGAGGGAAAGAGGAGACAAAGGAGATACCTGCTGGTTGTAACTAGAAAAGAGGACAAACAGAGGGGAGGCAGGGCCTTGGGTGACTCATTAGTTTGACCTCAAATTTATTGCTTGTTTACTTCTGCCTTGCAGCAGGTGTGCTGAGTGTTCTAAGAAGTGAAGACACTTTCTCATTCTCCAAGTGCTCAAAGAAGGCTAGAACAGTAGTCTCCCCTTAACCATGATTTCACTTTCCTGGGCTTCAGTTACCCATGGCCAACCACAGTTTGAAAATATTTAATGAAAAATTTCAGAAATAATCAACTTATAAGTTTCAAATTGCATGTTGTTCTGAGTAAAGTGATGAAATTTTGCATCTTATTGCTCTGTCCTGCCCAAGATGTAAATTATTCCTTTGTCCAGCATATCCATGTGGCATATATGACATTTATCGTTTAGTCACCTCAGTAGCTATCTCAGTTATTGGATCAACAGATCACAAAGAAGGAGAAGGGTAAGTAGAGTACGATATGATATTTAGAAAGAGTAGGGGGCAGAGAGAGAGAGAAGAGAGAGGTCATATTCACACAACACTTATTGCAGCTGATTGTTATTTGTTCTATTTTATCATTAGTTATGGTTGTTAAACTCTTACTGTACCTAAGTCATAAATTAACCCTCATGATAGGTATACATGTGTAGGAAAGCACATAGTGTATATAGGGTTTGTATTGTTCACAAGTTCAGGCATTCGCTGGGGGTCTTGGAGCATTTCCCCTGCAGATGAAGGGGACTGAAGTACAAAAATGCCTAAAATATGAGGCAAAATTCTAGAATCAGCCCTGCTCCCAGAAGTAGCAGCAGTATTTTCTTCTTTGCTGAATCAGACACAGTTTTTGTCCTTTTCAAATATTATGGGTTTGTTTTAGACTATGACAATAGTAAATGGGTTCTGTATGACTTCAGATAGAAAATGATTTAAAATTATGGGCAAACCCAGTGAGGACGGAGAAAACACACAATTCTGTTTCAAAATGATGAGCTATTACTCTCTAAAATTGGCAATTTATGATTAATCTAATCATCTACTCAGATATCCATCCACCCACCAATCCTTGCAAAAATCCATCCATCCATCCACCCGCTTACCATCCTTTCATCCACCTACCCACCCACCTATGCTTCCATTCATCCATCCATCCATCCATCCATCCATCCATCCATCCATCCACCCATCCATCCATCCACCCATCCATCCATCCATCCATCCATCCATCCAACCATCCATCTACTTTGCCCGCCTGACCTTTACTCCTTCCCTCCTTCCATCTATACAGCCAACAAATCTCTAGAGGGCAATGTGCCTACTTACAATATATCAGACCCAGGATGCTGGGACTATTACAAAAGACTACAATATAGTTCTGACCTGTAAGGAGCTCACAGTCTAATGGAGAAGAGAGGTATATAAAAACTAAGTTATTACCAAATGGCAAATGGTTTTGTAGAGGCATGGGGAAGGTACTGATTTCTTGGTGTAATGGGTAGTATTACAAGGAAATCTAAAGCAACAGAAAAACAACTCCTAGGATGTTCAATGTGGCATCATGGTCTCAGATCCTGGATCTTGCATTACTGGCTCTGTCATCTTAGCAAATTCCTGAAATGTTTTGCGTCTTGTTTTTTTCATATTTAAAATGGGACTAATAGTATTTAGCTCATATGATTACCAGTAGGCTGAAATTAATCAACAAATATAAAGCCCGTAGAGTCACATCTAGCACATAGAGAGCATTAAAAATGTTGACTAAATTGGTATCTGAATGGCACCTGACAGCTTAAATTCATTGTTACATTTAGTCCTTAAAATCTCTCTCTGCCTCAGGGAAGTAGGCAGAATAGTTATTGCTTTCCAGTCAGGGACAGTGAGGTCCAGGGAGATTTTTTGAAGGAGTCACAGAACTTCAGAGTAGTGGAGCTGGAAATCCACCTCAGAACTTCTTCTACAATGTTCTTTCTATTTATGCCATGAAGTCTCATATATTGATTTGGAAAAGCAACTGTTATTCCCCAAGTGTCATAGCTGCTGACTGGCTGCAGGTGGGCTGGCTGTAAACAGAGCCAAATGACACAGGCTGCAGCACCACCAAGTCACTGCTGCTTTGTCCACATCTGCCACTCAATACATGGTCCCTGGTGATGAAGAGACAGAAGGCGTGGGTCAGGAAGCTGCCAAACACCAAATATACATCTTAATTGGTTGCAGGCAGTCACCTTCATCCAAGTCCTGGACGGTAAAATGTCTCCCACAGGCGTTCATACAATTAGGAAGTTAATGTCCTTTTAGAATAAAAACTAGCTTTGGAGTTTGAAGTCAACTCGAGTGAGATATTTTAAATTGATATCCCATTCAAAATGTGGAGAAGTTTCCTTGATTGATTTGGTTTGTGGGTTGAGTCTTATGAAAATGCATCAGAAACATGAGTGCTGCAATATGTGAAGCTGAGAGAGAAGCAGAAAAGTATGCAGGAGCCCAGTGCTTCCATGGAAAGCAGTCTCAGACCACAACCTACAGCTGTCACAGAATTAACGGGGGCATGGTAGTTATGGAAAGAGATGTAGAAGACTTGGGGGGTCCTCATCATTTCAGTGCCTTTATTGCCATATATTGAGACCTGGGGCAGCAAAACGAAACAGTCGTTGCTTTCTATTTTAAAAGTCACTAGTCTAACTTGGGGAGAGACATAAATACAAAATTATAGTACAGTGTAATATGGGATAATACAACTTTGTATAGGCAGCACAGAGAAAGAAATTATTGATTTTGCTTCTGGCAATTTGAGGAGGTCTCAGTAAGTAGATGCTGTCAAAGTAGGCTTTTAAAGCATAAGCAATAGCTTTTCTAGATAGACAATTTGAGGATACACATTCTAAGCAGAGGCCACAGCATATCTAAGCACCTGGAATTATTAACATGTTTCACTTAAGCCAAAGTGTCTTCTTAAACAGTTATATCCATTACCAACACTTGGTATTATCTTCTTAATTTTTGCCAAATGAGTGGGTATAAAAAGATATCTTATTTTGGTCTTAATTCATACTTCCTTAATTTCTAATGAGGTTCAGTATCTTCTTATATGTTTTCGACAATTTATATTTTGTGTGCCATACCTGTTCATGATGTAGGCCTATTTTTCTGTTTCGGTTGTTTGTGTTTTTCTAATTGACTTATACAAATGTTCATATATTCTGAATACTAATCCTTTGTAGGTTTTGTTTTTCAAATATATTCCCTTACATACTTATTCTCATGTATTCTCATTTGTATATATAAACACACATATGTATATTACACATAGGCATAAAGATATATAAAATCGACATGTACTATATAGATCTATATCAATGGCTCATATATTCCTTTTATAGTATTTAATATGCCTCATGTTTGAGAAATAGTCTTCAACCTTCATCAGCAAAGTATGCTCTTTTAAATATTTTTAAATAGTTTTAAAGTTTTGCCTTCTATATTTGAATATGAAAGCTATTTAGAATTAACATATGTGTGTACTGTGATATAGGCATGTACTATGTTATATTTGCCAAGACAGATAATGGTTCTTTCAGCAGCATTTATTAAATGATCCATATTTTCCCATGTGATCTACAATATTAACTCTGACATATATGACATTTCTTAGAAGTGCATTATTACTATTATTATTTTAATTTCAATAGGTTTTTAGGGAACAGGTGGTTGGTTACATGAATAAGTTCTTTAGTGGTGATTTCTGAGATTTTGGTGCACCCATCACCCAAGCAGTGTAGACTGTACGCAATGTGTAGTCTTTTATCTCTTACCCTCCTCCCATCCTTCCCCCCAGGTTCCCAAAGTCCATCGTATTATTCTTATGTCTTTATGTCTTCATAGCTTAGCTCCCACATATCAGTGAGAGCATGCAATACTTGGTTTTCCATTCTTGAGTTACTTTACTTAGAATAATAGTCTCCAATCTCATCCAGGTCACTGCAAATGCTGTTAATTCATTTCTTTTTATGGCTGCATAGTATTCCATCATATATCTATACCACAGTTTCTTTATCCACTCATTGATTGATGGGCATTTGGATTGGTTCCACAAATTTGCAATTGTGAATGGTGCTGCTATAAACATGCATGTGCAAGTATCTTTTTTGAATCATGACTTTTTTTCCTCTGGGTAGATACCCAGTAGTGGGATTGCTGGACCAAATGGTAGTTCTACTTTTAGTTCTTTAAGGAATCTCCACACTGTTTTTCACAGTGGCTGTACTAGTTTACATTCCCACCAGCAGTTTAGAAGTGTTCCCTGTTCACTGCATCCATGCCAACATCTGCTGTTTTTTGATGTTTTGATTATGGCCATTGTTGCAGAAGTAAGGTGGGATTACATTGTGGTTTTGATTTGCATTTCCCTGATATTAGTGATGTTGAGCATTCTTTCATATGTTTATTGGCCATTTGTATATCTTCTTTTGAGAATTGTCTCTTCATGTTCTTTGCTCACTTTTTGATGGAATTATTTGTTTTTTTCTTGCTGATTTGTTTGAGTTCTTTGTAGATTCTGGATATTAGTCTTTACGCAGATGCAGAGTTTGCAAAGATTTTCTCCCGTTCTGTGGGTTGTCTATTTAATCTACTGATTATTTCTTTTGTTTTGCAGAAGATTTTTAGTTTAAGTCCCATCTATTTATCTTCATTTTTGTTGCATTTGCTTTTGGGTTCTTGGTCATGAAGTCTTTGTCTAAGCTAATGTCTAGAACAACTTTTCCAATGTTATCTTCTAGAATTTTTTATGGTTTCAGGTCTTAGATTTAAGCCTTTGCTCCATCTTGAGTTAATTTTTGTATAAGGTAAGAGATGACGATTTCATTCTTCTACATGTGGCTTTGCAATTATCCCAGCAACATTTTTGGAAAAGGGTATCTATTCGCCACTTTATGTTTTTGTTTGCTTTGTCAAAGATTAGTTGGCTGTTAAGTGTTTGGGTTTATTTCTGGGTTCTCTATTCTGTTCCATTGGTCTAGGTACATATTTTCACACCAGTACCATGCTGTTTTGGTGACTATGCCCTATAGCAGAGTTTCAAGTCGGGCAATGTGATTCCTCTGGATTTGCTCTTCTGCTTAGTCTTGCTTTGGCTATGTGAACTCTTTTTTGGTTCCATATGAATTTTAGGATTTTTTTTGTAGGTCTGCGAAGAATATAATGGCATTTTAATGGGAGTTGGGTTGAATTTGTAGATTACTTTTGGCAGTATGGTCATTTTCACAATATTGATTCTACCTGTCCATGAGTATGGGATGTGTTTCCATTTGTTTGTGTCATTTATGATTTATTTCAGCAGTGTTTTGTAGTTTTCCTTGGAGAGGTCTTTCACGTTCTTGGGTAGGTGTTCCTAAGGTTTTTTTTTTTTTTTGCAGCTATTGTAAAATGGGTTGAGTTCTTGATTTGATTCTCAGCTTGGTCACTGTTGGTATATAGCAGTATTACTAATTTGTGTACATTTATTTTGTACCCTAAAACTTTACTGAATTCATTTATCAGATCTAGGAGCTTTTTAGATGAGTCTTTAGGGATTTCCAGGTATATAATCATATCATTAGCAAACAGCAACAGCTTGATTTCCTCTTTACTGATTTGGATGCCGTTTATTTCTTTTTCTTGTCTGACTGTTCTGGCTAGGACATCCAGTACCATGTTGAATAGAAGTGATGAAAGTGGGCCTCCTTGTCTTGTTTCAGTTCTTAAGGGGAATGCTTTCAGCTTTTCCCCACTCAGTATAATGTTGGCTGTAGGTTTGTCACAGATGGCTTATATTACCTTGGGGTATGTCTCTTTTATTCCCATTTTGCTGAAGGTTTTAATCATAAAGTGATGCTGGATTTTGTCAAATGCTTTTTCTGTGTTTACTGAGATTATCATGTAATTTTTGTTTTTAATTATCTTTAGGTGGTATATCACATTTATTGACATTAAGTCTACTGTTTCTTTATTCACTTTCTGTCTTGATTACCTGTCTCGTGCTGTCAGTGGAGTATTAAAGTCTCCCACTATTATTGTGTTGCAGTCTCTCTCATTTCTTAGGTCTAGTAGTAATTGTTTTATAAATTTGGGAGCTCCAGTGTTAGGTGCATATGTATTTAGAACTGTGATATTTTCCTATTAGGCTAGTCCTTTTATCATTACATAATGTCCCTTTTTGTCTTTTTCTACTGTTGTTTCTTTAAAGTCTTTTTTGTTTGATATAAGAATCTCCTCTCACTTTTGGTGTCCATTTACATGAAATATCTTTTTCCACCCTTTTACCTGCAGTTTATGTGAGTCCTTATGTGTTAGGCGAGTCTCTTAAAGACAGCAAATACTTGGTTGGTGAATTCTTATCCATTCTGCCATTCTGTATATTTTAATTGGAGCATTTAGACCATTTACGTTCAGCATTAGTATTGAGATGTGAGGTCCTTTACTATTCATTGTGCTAGTTGTTGCCTGAATGCCTTTTTTTTTTTCCATTATGTTATTGTTTTACAGGCCCTCTGAGATTTATGCTTTAAGGAGGTTATATTTTAGTGTACTTTGTGGTTTTGTTTCAAGATATTTAACTCCTTTTAGCAGTTCTTATAGTGCTGGCTTGGTAGGGCAAATTCTCTCAGCATTTGTTGGTCTGGAAACGACTGTATCTTTCCTTCATTTATAAAGCTTAGTTTTGATGGATACAAAACTCTTGGCTGATAATAGTTTTGTTTAAAGAGGCTAAAGATAGGATCCCAATCCCCTCTGGCTTGTAGGGTTTCTGCTGAGAAATCTGCTGTTAATCTGATAGGTATTCCTTTATAAGTAACCTGATGCTTTTGTCTCGCAGCTCTTAAGATTCTTTCATTCATCTTGACCTTAGATAACCTGATGACTATGTGCCTTGGCGATGATCTTTCTTGCAATAAATTTCTCAGGCAGTCTTTGAGCTTCTTGCATTTGTATGCAAGGCCAGGGAAGAGTTCTTTGATTATTCCCTCAAATACGTTTTCCAAACTTTTAGATTTCTCTTCTTCCTTGGAAAAGCCAATTATTTTTAGGTTTGGTCATTTAGCATAGTCCCAAACTTCTTGGAGGCTTCGTTTATTTTGTTTTCTATTCTTTTCTCTTTGTCTTTGTCAGACTGGGTTAATTCAAAAGCCTTGTCCTCAAGCTCTGAGGTTATTTTTTCTACTTGTTCAATGCTATTGTTGAAACTTTCCAGTGTAGTTTACATTTCTCTAAATGTGTCTTTCATTTCCAGACATGGTAATTTTTCTTTATTTATGCTATCTATTACTCTGGAGATTTTTCATCCATATCCTGCCTTATTTAAAAAATTTCTTTAAGTTGGTTTTCATCTTTCTCTGGTGCCTCTTTGAGTAGTTTAATAATCAACCTTCTGAATTCTTTTCCTGGAAATTCAGAGATTTCTTGTTGGTTTGTATCCATTGCTGGTGAACTAGTGTGATCTTTTGGGGGCGAGAGAACTTTCCTTTGTCATATTACCAGAATTGTTTTTTGGTGCCTTCTCATTTGGGTAGACTATGTCAGAGGAAAGATCTAGGGCTCAAGTACTGCTGTTCAGATTCATTTGTCCCACAGGGTGCTCTCTTAATGTGGTGCTTTTCCCTTTCCCCTAGAGATGGGGCTTCCTGAGAGCCAGACTGCAGCAACTGCTATTGCTCTTTTGGGTCTAATCACTCAGTGGAGCTACCCAGCTCTAGGCTGGTGCTTGGGAGTATCTGCAAAGAGTCTTGTGATGTGATGTGTCTTCAGGTTTCTCAGCCGTGGCTACCAGCACGTACTCTGGCGGAAGTATCAGGGGCACAAAGTGGACTCTGTAAGTGTCCTTGGTTGTAGTTTTGTTTAGTGCACTGGTTTTCTTGGATGCTGGTTGTGCTAGCAGTGAAGTTGTCATGTGGACAGACCCAGGATCTCTGGTTAGCCAGGATGTTATAGGCCATGGAATTAGCTATTGTTTTCTCCTTTGTTGAAGTGGGTTATTGTTTTATATAAATTGCTCTAATGGCTTAAGTTGGTTGGCCCCAAGCCAGGAGGTGGCACACTAAACAAAACTATACCTCACAGCACCACAAGTGATGGAACCCACTAAACTGTAGTTTCTTCATTGGTAAGATGATATCATTACTCACATGTAGAACTGTTGCGAGAACTAGATGATACATATAAAACACTCAGCACAGAGCTCAATGAGCACGAGGTCATGTTGCATAGAACATATAGGTTTGTATGAGTAGGTAGGAAGTCAAGAGTGTACATATTGAGTCCCTCAATTTTCTGGTGGTTCTGTGAGGGGATGGTGGTACTGGGATGGTAATGAAGATACTTACTGTGCAAGAGCTATTCTGAATAATGGGAGAAGGAACCAAAAACTCACAATTCCCTTCTTCTTCTGGCATTTGCATAGAAGGCAAAATTGGCTTAAAATTAGAATGAAGGGCACTGGTTTAGACTGTCCTTTTGCTGGTTACTACAAATAAGTGAGGCTGAACAGAATCTCTCAGATTCTTGGAACTGGCCATCAAAAAGTATGGTGGGTTCTCTGAAGCTGGCTGCCTGTTTGGTAGGTCACCTTCTTGAAACATGGTAGTATGTCTTGTTTTGTGTAAAATTTGTTTGGTGTTCAAGTGATTTCTTCTTTTAGGGTGTGCTGTCTGAAGTTATGGGAGGGAAAATTTCAGTTTCTGAAATTATGTAGATATTTAGTTAAATGTATGTTTAAAGCTATCACAAAAAGACCTCTGGATAGGGAGAGCCAACTCTCTGGGGTTGATATTGATTCCTTTACCATTTAGCTGTGTGATTTTAGTTAAGATCTGGAGAAGGAGAGGTCTGGACTCAGCATTTGGTAATTTCCATTTAATTCTCCAATCACCTGCAATACAAGATCTTCCCTAAGGAATTCTTGCATCTTGAAGATATAGAGTGAAAGGGGATTCAGTTGGCAGGAAGAAGATGTTATCCAACAAATTAGAGGTAGCCACTCATGTATTATGTTAATTACTTACTGTTTTTCCTATTTACTAACAGATTTGCTTGACAAACATTATCCTGTCTGCTAGGTGCTAAAAAATATGATAATCACCAAGACAGACTCAGCTCTAACTTCACGGACATTATCACCTTCTTTTCACTGAGGCAGCCCAATAGGAACCTTCATTGCACAATAGAGTATGCTTTGATACTTCACTAAATATTGTAGACTCAGCTTGATTGCATTCGTCTAATATTATATACTTTGAAAATTATTTTATTCACATTTGTATGCCTAGGATCCAGCACAACTTCTAGCACATACAAGGTATACAATAAACATCTGAAAGAAATAGTCCCTGGTAATTTGAGAATGTGTAGACTGAATAATGTAATTTCTATTTTGGTACATTATGGAGGAAAGAGCATATATAAAAATATATATACATAAATGGCAGGGAATTAACATGTCTTTAGCATTTACTATGTGACATCCATTGTGTGGGTACTTTAAATACATTTGTTAAGAGGATCCTTTTTAATTGCTTGGTTTTTTTTTTAAGGTGAAAAAACTGATATCCAGAAAGGATACATAACTAGCCTATATCATTTAGCTATTATGTAGTAGAGAAATAATTTAAATCATGGCTGTATGACTCTAAAATCTATAATCACCTTGTTCTATTTCTGTATGTTTTTATGGTTGCAGGAATTACTATTGCAATTGGATATAAAAATCCTAACCAGTGCGATTATGTAAGTAAAGGCTCCATGATAATTGGGAAGCCTGCAGATCCTGCCTGCCTAGAGTCAGACTTCCTCTAGCTTTGCTGTAACCGACCACAAAGATTCCAAAAGCTACAGACCAGAATAGACCCCAGACTGAATATTGCATAAAATTACAAACTGGAGTTAAAATAAGTGCTGATTTTTTTTTTTTTTTTTTTTTTTTTTTTTTTTTTGCCTTCAAGCATCTGTTTAACAAAGCACATCTTGCACTGCCCTTAATCCATTTAACCCTGAGTGGACACAGCACATGTTTCAGAGAGCACAGGGTTGGGGGTAAGGTCACAGATCAACAGGATCCCAAGGCAGAAGAATTTTTCTTAGTACAGAACAAAATGAAAAGTCTCCCATGTCTACTTCTTTCTACACAGACATGGCAACCATCCGATTTCTCAATCTTTTCCCCACCTTTCCCCCCTTTCTATTCCACAAAACCGCCATTGTCATCATGGCCCGTTCTCAATGAGCTGTTGGGTACACCTCCCAGACGGGGTGGTGGCCGGGCAGAGGGGCTCCTCACTTCCCAGTAGGGGCGGCCGGGCAGAGGCGCCCCTCACCTCCCGGACGGGGTGGCTGGCCGGGCGGGGGACTGACCCCCCACCTCCCTCCCGGACGGTGCGGCTGGCCGGGCAGAGGGGCTCCTCACTTCCCAGTAGGGGCGGCCGGGCAGAGGCGCCCGTCACCTCCCGGACGAGGCGGCTGGCCGGGCGGGGGGCTGACCCCCACCTCCCTCCCGGATGGGGTGGCTGCCGGGCGGAGACGCTCCTCACTTCCCAGAGGGGGTGGCTGCCGGGCGGAGGGGCTCCTCACTTCTCAGACGGGGCGGTTGCCAGGTGGAGGGTCTCCTCACTTCTCAGACGGGGTGGCTGGGCAGAGACGCTCCTCACCTCCCAGACGGGGTCGCGGCCGGGCAGAGGTGCTCCTCACATCCCAGACGGGGCGGCGGGGCAGAGGCGCTCCCCACATCTCAGATAATGGGTGGCCGGGCAGAGATGCTCCTCACTTCCTAGATGGGATGGCGGCCGGGAAGAGGCGCTCCTCACTTCCTAGATGGGATGGCGGCCGGGCAGAGACACTCCTCACTTTCCAGACTGGGCAGCCAGGCAGAGGGGCTCCTCACGTCCCAGACAATGGGCGGCCAGGCAGAGACGCTCCTCACTTCCCAGACGGGGTGGCGGCCGGGCAGAGGCTGCACTCTCAGTACTTTGGGAGGCCAAGGCAGGCGGCTGGGAGGTGGAGGTTGTAGCGAGCTGAGATCACGCCACTGCACTCCAGCCTGGGCACCATTGAGCACTGAGTGAACCAGACACCGTCTGCAATCCTGGCACCTCCGGAGGCCGAGGCTGGCGGATCACTCGTGGTTACGAGCTGGAGACCAGCCCGGCCAACACAGCGAAACCCCGTCTCCACCAAAAAAATACGAAAACCTGTCAGGCGTGGTGGCGCGCGCCTGCAATCGCAGGCACTCGGCAGGCTGAGGCAGGAGAATCAGGCAGGGAGATTGCAGTGAGCCTAGATGGCAGCAGTACAGTCCAGCTTCGGCTCGGCATCAGAGGGAGACCATGGAAAGAGAGGGAGAGGGAGACCATGGGGAGAGGGAGAGGGAGAGGGAGACCGTGGGGAGAGGGAGAGGGAGAGGGAGAGGGAGAGGGGCTGTTTTTTTTTTTTTGAGATCTGTTGTTGTTTTTAACCACAGTGATAATAATAATTTACACTGATGTGATGGTTTATAGATTTCAAAGCACTTGTTTATGTGTCAACATGCCTGGGAAGCAGGCATGACAGGGACCAGCAAGGGTTGCATTACTCACTCAAGCTCTCCCTGCTGGTTAAAGGCCTGACTAAGTCTGTTCTTTTTGCTCGTATGTAGAATAATGAGACACTCTCAGATTAGCTCAACCACGTGTATACCAACTGTAAGCTAATGCAGCAGATACATGGATTTATAGTGAGGTTTAAAATAGTAACAATGTAATTTCATATCATCTCACAATTTTTTTTCCCTGTTGGAAAGGAAAGATGCCCTTTCTTCTTTCTTTCTTTGTGCTTTGTAAGAAAACCTAGTTGTGGGTTGCAGTCATGGGTGGAGAAGAGGGTCCTTTCAGTTCGTTCAATTTTCAGACTATCACAAAGGAAGGAACATTTTTCAGTTATTTGGAAATTGTAATAAATGAGACTGTGAGACAGGCAATTCTCAGGAGATCCAAGCAATTATGATACTTTAACATTCTTTGAAAAAAGCTCCCCACACAGGAGGATCTTTGTAGGCCTTCCAATCAACATCTCCCACATAAAATTGCAGCCAGCAAAGGTGCTGGAAGGCACATCTTCCTTTTCTTACCCAAGGGAGCTAAGACACAGTTTACCTGTGAGTTGGTCATTAGCCAATAATTACACACTATTGCTTCCATGGGTTTCAGTGGTGGGGGTTACTTTTCTGTCCCCTTTCCTTCTCTGAGTTATGTTTTGGTCTCAGCACACTTCCGTTCCTCTGGAGGCAGGCAGCTTGGTTCAAAGAAGTACACAGTAGATTTAGGAAATGCAACACTGGAAGTCTGATGCCAGCTCCATTATATACTTGGGCACTCTTGGGAGATTCACATACCATCACCAGCCTCACTTCATCTGTGAAATGGAAATAAGGTCTGTCTCACCAGGTTGTTGAGGAAGTGAAATGTGATGCTCTATATGAAAGCACTTCGCTCCCAAAATAGATCACTACTGTCTTAATTATTGTGTCTTTTTCACATTTATGGTTTTTTTTTTTAAATGGATTCTTCATTTCCAACAAAGTGCTCATCCCTAAAACTCATTTCAACTTGCTCTTTGTCATTTTTCTTGCAAGGCCTGGGCTGGTTTTAGGACAGCATCCTTCTGAAGTTGCCTTTGAGTTGAGGAGCGATGCTCTCTCATCAGAGTCCCTGGGCTGCTTGGTCCACTAGGATGCTGAGCTGAGCTGCTGGCACTTGCTGATCCTGAGGCAGGCCTCCTGTTTTGAACACAATTGCAGCATGATGAGAACTGACCCCCTAGTACCAATGAACTCTTCGAGTAGGAAGCTCTGAGGCTCCCACTCCCTTTCCATGAACTTCCTTCTCCAGCAACTTCAGGCAAAGTTACATCTCTCCTCCAGATGTTTAGAAACTTCATACCTTGTGCCCATCGGCCTTGATTAAACATCAGCAACTCAAGTTACTCCCTCCTTTGACACCCCTGTGGTTCCCTATTTCTATGACATTAACTCCAAACACCCTTGTTTCCTGGTCCTGAGCACATCATAACAGTCTTCTTCCTGTGCCATGAATGTGACATGCTCATTTCTGCCTCCATACTCTTGCCCATTTTCACCCTTTCTCAAGTGGCTGTCCTCATTTCATTCAGGGCTGCCCAATCTTCTAGCCTCTCTGAGGTTCTACTTCCCCCACGAAAGCCCCTTGATGCTGTCCCACCTTTTCCTTCTGCCTTCAACTTTAACACCTCTGACAAGCCTGTTGTACCACAGGGTTTAGCACCAAGTTATACACTGGCTTGTGGTCATTTTTTGAAATGTCAGTTTTAGATCCTTAACAGAGTTGAGAGCTTTTAAACTCAACCATGTGAGAAATCGTTAATTGAACAACTACTATTCACTTTATTGGTTATCAAAGATAAATGTATGAGCCATGGCTGATATTCTTGAATAGCTCATATCTAGTAGTAGAGACAGACCAGTAATCTAAAAACCAAAATGCACTGTTATAAGTGCTGTAAAATAGAAATATGTACAAAGTCCTAGGAGAGAAGTGGAAATGAGTATGGCTGGGTGGGGGACTATGGAGGAGGCATCTATTATTGAATAACTTCATGTTCCAAACCCTGAGCTAGGAATTGGTATGCATCATTTTATTAAATACTTAAAACCATCTTGTAAGAAGATGTGAAGGAGTGTCCCCATCTTCCAAATGAGATCAAGAAAGAAGTGATTTGCCAAGCTTAGAGAGCTTGGTGGGGCCCACAGGTCTGCTGGTTGTAAAGGCTATACCATGTAGGTTTCCATTATCCTGCCCTGAAGAGGATTGATTGGTAATTGCTAGCAAGTGCTGCTCAGCCATTGACCTCTCAGGCCCTTGCCTTCCTTTAGGAGATTTTGGACCATTTGCACCTATTCTTTCACATGAACTTCAGTTTTGCTGGACTTAAACAACAAACAACAGTAAATAAAAAATCCTTTCTTTTTTGTGATGTAAAGAGATCTTTCATTATTAATTTGCTCTTAAAACATGAATTGGGAGGAATGAGTTTTAATTTTTTTACTATTATTTGCTTGGTAGCCAGACACAATCATGAGAAGTCCAACATACATTAAGATAGTCCATCAAACCTGGTTTTGAAGCAATTTGTTCTCTTGGTGACTTTGTTATAAAGCCTCTTTGTTATTCAAGCAGACATATCTATCCCAAGAAACAATAGATTCAAATATGATTTTGATAGTAAGGGAGGAAAGAAGGAACAAAGAAAAAAAAGGAAGAAGAATAGAAGGAAGTGTGGGCTAAGAAAGTGGATCACTGAAAGGCATTCTGGGAGTGATAGTCTACCAGTAGCTCTGGGTCCCCTTCCCTTGGACACATTGAAGATTCTGTGTTCATTCACCTCAGGTCAGAGGAGTGCCTGTCATTACAGGGCTCCTCTGTCGCTATACTGCAGTGTTCAGTATTTTGTCTTCTCTTTTCCTCTGACACTTAAAGTGTCCAGTGCCTTATTGACTTAATCCTGCGGTGGGAATGAAGTATCTTTTACTTGATTGATGGGTCTTTCCATCTAAAACATTTCCATCTTTCCAACTTAATTTTTCAAAGCACCTCCTTCCAACCCTGACATCACTCTATATTCCAGTCAAACTGGGATTTGCTGCCCCTCAACACTCTCTTGGTTTCTGTCAATTCTTCCCTTTCCATTTTTACTTCGTTCTTCAAAACCCAATTTAACAAAGGCTTCCCTATTGTCATCAATCAAAATCTATCTCTCTTCCTCTGTTATTAACATTTATAGGTGGAAGATACTCACGCCAGATCCAAATCCAACTTCGGTCAATCACCAGCTGTGTGATCTTTGGTAAGTTAAATAACTCATTGGAACCTCAGCTTCCTCTCTTATTGGATGAGGAACATAAGTCTCCCCGCTGCCTTTGGGACTTTGTGCATGTTATTTTTGCTGCCAAAAACAATCTCCTCCTCTGATTTATTTGGATGACTCATTCTTCAGGACTCAGCTCAGAAGTCACTTCTTCCTGGAAGCCTTCTTTGATTTGCCAAATCAGATTAGATGTCCCGGCTATTCTCTCTTATTTTCCCTGTCACTACTTCCTGTTACATTGTAATTACATGTTTGTATCCCTCTCAAGACCATGTCACCAGGCTTAGACCATAGATTACATGAACAGTAAATATCACCAAAAGATGCTTTATTAATCATATGGGTAAAGCACCAGGCACATAGTAGCTGCTGAATAAGTCATTCCGTATCCTTTAGTATACATTGCACTGAAGTTAGTGTTATTTATGTCTCTCCACTTGACTTTGTGTATTGGAAGACATAGACCCACTCAATTTTATACGTCTTAAGACCTAGATCCACAACTTGATTATCTTTGTGTCCCTCGCAAGATCTAATACATACAAAAAGACAAATGTTGGATTGAATCATAATGAACATAAATTAAAATTCTTTAAATTCAAGCCTTCACATGAGGAAAACATTTTGCCAAACTTCACTGTTGTTATAATAGAGAATCCAGTTTACTTTAAAAATGGTTTCTCTTTTTGATAAAAGGTGCTCAGTAAATGATTATGGAACACACAGATGATGAACACATTGGATTTTTCCTGTATGTGCATGTACTGGATTCTAAATTGGTCCGATGAGGATAGAGTAACCCCCATTCTTCATCTTGCCTCTCATTGTGCCTTGCATCTGGACTGGTGCTCAGAAAAGCTTGCTGAATTGAACTGGGGAAGGAGCTATTGTGATCCTGCTTTTTCCTTGCTTTTTAGAATCTTCTTAGAGAACTGCTCAAAAGGTTGCTTTGCTATGCAGAGAGGCAGATAGTATGTGAGTATATGAAAGGAGAGAAACTGAGAGGAGAGGTATGGATAAATTGTTAAAAGGAAAATATCATGTCAAGTCAGGGATGAAAAATCACTTTCTCTCATCTCTTTTTCTTGCTGCCTATTAAACGGTTGTCCAGGAAAGATCAAATAAGAAACTGAGGTTTCTTCAATCAGAGATGAGCGACAAAAATGTCAGCTGAGGATAGAAGATCAAGGCAACATGAAGGCGGCGGCGGGGTGGGTGGAGGGGCAGTGGTGTCTTCCTCAATCTGCTCCCAGCTCTGCCAGGCAGGCCTTGGCTTGTCTAGAAGTTCCATCGCCAAGGGCTTCCTCCTCATCCTTTCAGCTCAGCTGAACTGTTAGGGCTGTTGAGAGAGAGAAGTGTGAACAGGGTAGGCATGAGGGCAGGTGCTGAGAGCAGGCGCTGCAGCAGTAATGCAAAAGAAGAATCATTTATTTTGTATTTGGGTTTACAAGTATAATGAGGCTTTGTCTGTTGACTGTCTACCATCCATCAACACTGTTCTGCTGGAGGCAACGCCCAGGTCCTGATGGGCCTCCAAAACATTGGTTTGTTCTCCTCTCCTGCCTAGTAGTGCTAGTAAATAAAGGAAATGGAGCTACAGATGGAAGTTGTTTGCTGCAGTATTATGTCTGGGGGCGGGCAAGGCTACGGCTGGTGTCCCTGCCAGGAAACACACCAGCTGGTGATGTTTTTACGTCTGCTCGCCCCAGCTCCAACTCCAATGGGGAGCAAGTGGGAGGATTGATGTGCTAAGCCTGCCTTTCTTTTCCCTCCAGCTTCCATTTTGGGTTTATGCACTTTTGGCATGAGGGCTGCCCAGCTGTAAGCCCTGCTTCTCACACATCCTGGCAGTGAAGCTGTGATGATTGCCCCTTTGGGATGAAGGAAGGAGGTGGATGGCTTCCTGCACCTGCTCTGGCTTGTATTAGGGATTTCCCCCTCTCACCCATTATGCTGAGATGACTTTTTACAAATGGACTATTTCTAGCTGATTTTAGTGATGTAGTTGGATTGAATTCTCTGCTGAGAAGGAAAGCCTCATGGATACCGCTAGTGCTGCATCTTGAGAGGAGACAGCCTGGATCCCATGTTCAAGACTGGCCACTCATCACCTCTGTCACACTGGGTTCCTCAACGCTAAAGGCATTGCAAAGTCTTTGGACCACATGATTCTGGATTCATTGACTTTTCAGACTTACTTATTTAACTTTCCTTACTCTCTCAGCATCTTCATTTGTGAAATGAAGAATGAATGAATAAATGGATAGATACATACATGTATGTATGTATCTATCTAGTATCTGTCTATGTGTCTATCATCGATGTCTATCTATCATCTATCTATCTATCTATCTATCTATCTATCTATCTATCTATCTATCTATCTAATCATTCATCTGTTTCTCTCTCTCTCTCTGTGTCTCTGAGTTTTAATTCTAATTCCTACATGCTCTTTTGGCTCTACAAGTTGTGCTGATTTGTGTGGAAATCTCATGGGTTTTCAAAATCCTATTTTACAGTGAGATGTTTATAACTTGGGATTACCAGTACTTCACTTTCTCAAATCATTTGTGTTTGCTTGTATGTGTGAATATTTGCATGTGTTCATGTGATGGTCTTTAATACACTATCTTGAGAGTTATATTGCATAATGAAGGCACTCTAAGGTCAAAATGTCCAGGTTGGATCTTAGCACTGCTATTCACTAGTGATTTCACCTTGGGAAAGTGGCTTAATGTCTCTGTACTTCAATTTTTTCTTTCATAAAATGGAGATAATAATGATAATGTCTCTTAGTGTTGTATGATTGAATGAGTTTATATAGTAATTACTTAGACAATGCCTGGCATATGGTATGCTATATAAAGGTTTGCTATTACTCTGGGTGATGGTCAAGGTATATGGTATTAGAGTTTCTTACTCTCAGCAAGTTTTTTACTGGTATATAAACATATTTATCTTGTGCACAAGACTACAATTTTGCATTCAGAAAGTATTCCATGTAAAGGCTCTCTCACTCCTTAATTTACTTTCTGCCCTCCATATTTCCTTGTCTTCCTTCAGAAGCTCCTCTTTAAGTATCCCTCCTACTGATGTCCTACTTCCCTCTGACATAAAAACACAATCTATGCTTATGTCCCTTCTTTGTCATATAGATATAGAAATATGCACACCCACCCACTTATATGTGTATGTAGTATAAGAAATAATTCCAATATCATTAGGAACTGAGGCTTTTACTCATTAGAGAGGAAAGATATAAGTAAAATATATTTTCTTATTTTATACTGGAATATATTTTCTTCCAGTAAGAAAAAAACAAATTAGTTGTGTCCACTGAAAAAGTCTAGACAGAATGATCAACCCAGTAACAAGGAGGACCCTTGACATCCAAATTGTGGTCTCCAAATATCATTTCTTACTAAGGAGCTTGGGCTTCTTTGAGAAATGGTTGATTATAAGTGTGGGACAAAAAACACATAAGATGAGTTATGTGTCTCATTGCATCTCACTAGAACATCTCATTGCATCAGAAAGCAAGGAAGCTATCAAAGGCCCTTGGGACCATGTAAAATTAACTTAGGAACAATATGAAATTGCTTCCAAAGGCTAAATATGGAAGTTTAACATCAAAAGAACCCATCACCTGAGCAGTATACAGTGCACCATATTTGTAGTCTTTTATCCCTTGTCCCCTTTCCACTCTTCCCCCCAAGTCCCCAAAGTCCGTTGTATCATTCTTATGCCTTTGCATCCTCATAGCTTAACTCCCACATATCACTGAGAACAAACGATGTTTGGTTTCCCATTCCTGAGTTACTTCACTTAGAATAATAGGGTCTAGTCTCATCCACATCACTGCAGATGCTGTTAATTCATTCCTTTTTATGGCTGCTTAGTATTCCATTGTGTGTGTGTGTGTGTGTGTGTGTATATATATGTATATATCACAGTTTCTTTATTCACTAGTTGATTGATGGGCATTTGGGTTGGTTCCATGATTTTGCAATTGTGAATTGAGCTGCTATAAACATGCGTGTGCAAGTACCTTTTTCAAATAATGATTTCTTTTCCTCTGGGTAGATACCCAGTAATGGGATTGCTGGATCAAATGGTAGCACTTTTAGTTCTTTAAGGAATCTCCACACTGTTTTCCATTAGTGGCTGTACTAGTTTACATTCCCACCAGCAGTGTAGAAGTGTTCCCTGTTCACTGTATCCTGGCCAACATCTACTGTTTTTGTTTGTTTGTTTGTTTGTTTTGACTTTTTGATAATGGCCAATGTTGCAGGAGTAAGGTAGATTACATTGTGGTTTTTTGATTTGCATTTCCCTGATCATTAGTGATGTTGAGAATTTTTTCATAAGTTTATTGGCCATTTGTACATCTTCTTTTGAGAATTGTCTATTCATATCCTTAAGCCACTTTTTGATGGGATTGTTTGTTTTTTTTCTTACTAATTTGTTTGAGTTTGTTGTAGATTCTGGATATTAGTCCTTTGTCAGATGTATAGATTGTGAAGATTTTCTCCCACTCTGTGGGTTGTCCGTTTACTCTGCTGACTATTCCTTTTGCCATGCAAAAGCTCTTTGGTTTAATTAGGTCCCAGCTATTTATCTTTGTTTTTATTGCATTTGCTTTTGGGTTCTTGGTCATGAACTCCTTGCCTAAGCCAATGTCTAGAAGGGTTTTTCCAATGTTATCTTCTAGAATTTTTATAGTTTCAGGACTTAGGTTTAATTCTTTAATCCATCTTGAGTTGATTTCTGTATAAGGTGAGAGATGAGGATCCAATGTCATTCTCCTACATGTGGCTAGCCAATTATCCCAGCACCATTTGTTGAAAAGGGTGTCCTTTCCCCACTTTTGTTTTTGTTTGCTTTGTTGAAAATCAATTGGCTGTAAGTATTTGGGTTTATTTCTGGGTTCTCTCTTATGTTACATTGGTCTATGTGCCTATTTTTATACCAGTACCATACTGTTTTGGTGACTATGCCCTTATGGTATAGTTTGCAATCAGGTAGTGTGATGCCTCCACATTTGTTCATTTTGCTTAGTCTTTCTTTGGCTATGCGGGCTTTTTTGGTCCTATTTGAATTTTAGAATTTTTTTTTTAACTCTGTGAAGAATGACGGTGGTATTTTGATGGGAGTTGCATTGAATTTGTCGATTGCTTTTGGCAGTACAGTCATTTTCACAACATTGATTCTACCCATCCATGAGCATGGGTTGTGTTTCCATTTGTTTGTGTCATCTATGATTTCTTTCAGCAGTGTTTTGTAGTTTTCCTTGTAGAGGTCTTTCGTCTCCTTGGTTAGGCACGTTACTATGTGTTTTATTTTCATTTTTTGCAGCTATTGTAAAAGGGGCTGAGTTCTTGATTTGATTCTCTGCTTGGTTGTTGTTGGTGTCTAGAAGAACTACTGATTTGTGTACATTGATCTTGTATCCAGAAACTTTGCTGAATTCTTTTATCAGTTCCAGGAGCTTTCTGGAGGAGTCCTTAGGGTTTTCAAAGTAAATGATCGTATCATCAGCAAACAGGGACAGCTTCACTTCCTCTTTACCAATTTGGATGCCCTTTATTTATTTTTCTTGTCTGATTGCTCTGGATAGGACTTCCAGTACTATGTCAAAGAGGAGTGGTGAGAGTGGGCATCCTCGTCTTGCTCCATTTCTCAGAGGGAATATTTCAGCTTTTCTCCATCAGTATTATGTTGGCTGTGGGGTTGTCATAGATGGCTTTGATTATCTTGAGGTATGTCCCTTGTATGCCGATTTTGCTGACAGTTTTAATCATAAAGGAATGCTGGATTTTGTTGAATGCTTTTTCTGCATCTATTCAGATGATCATGTGATTTTTATTTTTAATTCTGTTTATGTGGTGTATCACATTTATTTACTTGCATCCTGCATCCCTGGTATGAAACCCACTTGGTCAAGGTGGATTATCTTTTTGATATGTTGTTGGATTTGGTTAGCTAGTATTTCGTTAAGGATTTTAGCATCTATATTCATCAAGGATATTGGTCTGTAGTTTTCATTTTCTGGTTCTGTCCTTTCCTGGTTTAGGTATTAGGGTGATGCTGGCTTCATAGAAGGAGTTGGAAGGGGGGTTCTTTCTTTCTCTAACTTGTGGAATAGTGTCAAAAGGATTGGTACCAATTCTTTTGAATGTCTGGTAGAATTCTGCTGTGAATCTGTCTGGTCCTGGACTTTTTTGTTGTTGGTAATTTTTAAATTATCATTTCAATCTTGCTGCTCCTTATTGGTCTGTTAAGGTATCTGATTCTTCCTGATTTAAACTAGAAGCATTGTATTTTTCCAGGAATTTATCCATTTCTTCTAGGTTTTCTAGTTTATGTGCATGAAGGGGTTTATAGCAGCCTTGAATAATGTTTTGTATTTCAGTGGTGTCAGTTGTAATATCTTCTGTTTCATTCCTTAGTGAGGTTATTTGGATTTTCTCTCTTCTTTTCTTGATTAATCTTGCTATGAATCTATCCATTTTATTTATCTTTTCAAAGAACCAGTTTTTGTTTCATTTATCGTTTGTATTTTTTTTTTGTTTCAATTTCATTTAGTTCTGCTCTGATCTGGGTTATTTCCTCTCCTCTGCTGGGCTTGGGTTTGGTTTGTTCTTGTTTCTCTAGTTCCTTGAGGTGTTACCTTAGAATTGTCTGTTTGTGCTCTTTCAGACTTTTTGATGTAGGTGTTTAGGACTATAAACTTTCCTCTTATCACCACTTTTGCTATATCCCAGAAGTTTTGATAGGTTGTGTCATTATTGTCATTCAGCTTGAAGAATTTTTAAATTTCCATCTTGATTTAGTGTTTGACCCAATGCTCATTCAAGTGCAGGGTATTTAATTTCCATGTATTTGCATGGCTTCGAAGGTTCCTTTTGGAGTTGATTTCCAGTTTTATTGGAGTTGGTCTGAGAGAATGCTTGATATAATTTCAATTTTCTTAAATTTATTGAGGCTTGTTTTATGGCCTACCATATGGTCTATCTTGGAGAAAGTTTCATGTGCTGCTGTATAGAATATGTATTCTGCAGTTGTTGGATGAAATGTTCTGTATATATCTGTTAAGTCAATTTGTTCCAAGGTATAGTTTAAGTCCATTGTTTCTTTGTTGACTTTCTCTCTTGATTACCTGTCTAGTGCTATCAATGGAGTATTGAAGTCCTCCACTATTATTGTGTTGCTGTCTATCTCATTTCTTAGGTCTATTAGTAATTGTTTTATAAATTTAGGAGCTCCAGTGTTAGGTGCATATATGTTTAGGATTGTGATATTTTTCCTGTTTGACAGGGCCTTTTATCACTATCTAATGTCTCTGTCTCTTTTAACTACTGTTGCTTTTTTTTTTTTTTTAAGATGGAGTCTCGCTCTGCAGCCTAGGCTGGAGTGAGTGGCATGATCTTGGCTCACTGCAAGCTCCACCTCCCGGGTTCATGCCATTCTCCCCCCTCAGCCTCCCAAGTAGCTGGGACTACAGGCGCCCGCCACCATGCCTGGCTAATTTTGTTTTTGTACTTTTAGTAGAGATGGGGTTTCACTGTGTTAGCCAGGATGGTCTTGATCTCCTGACCTCGTGATCCACCTGCCTTGGCCTCCCAAAGTATTGGGATTACAGGCGTGAGCCCAGCGCCTGGCCAACTACTGTTGCTTTAAAGTTTGTTTTGTCTGATATAAGAATAGCTACTTCTGCTTGCTTTTGGTGTCCGTTTGCATGCCTGCTCACTTTTGGTGTCCATTTACATGAAATGCCTTTTCCCACCCCTTTACGTTAAGTTTATGTGAGTCCTTACGTGTTAGGTAAGTCCCCTGAAGGCAGCAGATTGTTGATTAGTGAGTTCTTATCCATTCTGCAGTTCTGTATCTTTTAAGTGGAGCATTTAGGCTATTTACGTTCAATGTTAGTATTGAAATGTGAGGTATCATTGCATTCACTGTGCTCTTTGTTGCCTGTGTACTTTGTTTTTTTGTTTTTGTTTTTTTGTTTTTGCTTATTAGTTTGTATTTTTCTTTTATAGGCCTTGTGTGAGTTATGTTTTAAAGAGGTTCTGTTTCAATGTATTTCCAGGATTCATTTCAAGATTTGGACCTCCTTATAGAAGTTCTTGTAGTGGTGTCTTGGTAATGGCAAATTCTCTGAGCATTTGTTTGTCTGAAAATGATTGTATCTTTCCTTCATATATGGTACTTAGTTTTGTTGGATACAAAATTCTTGGCTGATAATTGTTTTTTTTTTTGAGGAGCCTGAAGATAGGTCCCCAATCCCTTCTAGCTTGTAAGGTTTCTGCTGAGAAATCTGCTGTTAATCTGATAGGTTTTCCTTACAGGTTACCTGGTGCTTCTGTCTCACATCTCTTAAGATTCTTTCCTTCATCTTAACTTTGGATAACCTGATGACAATGTGCCTAGGAGAAGATCTTTTTGTGATGAATTTCCCAAGTGTTCTTTGTGCTTCTTGTATTTGGAAGTCTAGGTCTCTATCTAGGCTGGGGAAGTTTTCCCCAATTATTCCCCCAAATATGTTTTCCAAGCTTTTAGAATTGTCTTCTTCAGGAACACCAATTATTCTTAGGTTTGGTAGTTTAACATAATCCCAGACTTCTTGGAGGGTTTGTTCATATTTTCTTATTCTTTTTTCTTTGTCTTTGTTGGACTGGGTTAATTCAAAGACTTTGTCTTTGAGCTCTGAATTTCTTTCTTCTACTCATTCAATTCTATTGCTGAGACTTTCCAGAGCATTTCACATTTCTAAAAGTGTGTCCAAAGTTTCCTGAATTTTTAAATTTTTTAAGCTATCTATTTCATTGACTATTTCTCCCTTTACTTTTTGTATCATTTTTTTGGATTTCCTTGCATTGGGCTTTGCCTTTCTCCGGTGCCTCCCTGATTAGCTTAATAACTAACCTCCTGAATTCTTTTTCAGGTAAATCAGGGATTTCTTCTTGGTTTGGATCCATTGCTGGTGAACTAGTGTGATTTTTTTGGGGTGTTGAAAGGCCTTGTTTTGTTATATTACCAGGGTTGGTAATGTAACAGGTAATATTACAGGGTTGGTACAGTATTCAATGAATTTCATAAGATATTTAACACTGTATTATAAAATAGGCTTTGTGTTGTTGATGATTTTGCTCAACTGTAGCCTAATGTAAGTGTTCTAAGCACTTTTAAAGTAGGCTAGGCTCAGCTATGATGTCTGTAGTTTAGGTGTATGAAATGCATGTTTGACTTATGATATTTTCAACCTGCAATGAGTTTATGACATAACCCCATAATAAGTTGGGGAGCATCTGTATATCCATTAGGTGAAATGTTAATGGGGGACTTCATGAAAGGTACAACAACTGACAACACTGATTAATCTTAACATCATGTAAATAGAAGCAATCAGACATTAGGTGCCTCCTGATAGAACCTCACTTTATCATAAAAGTTGACAGAAATTGAATTTCAATGTGATCAAACCTCTAAATCTACCTAACAGCTTCTAGGAAATACAGGAGATAGAGGAACATACTAAACAACATCTCAGGCATGCACTTGGAAAAATCTAGACTGTGAAAAACTCTGCTGAAATAATTACAGATTATTCCAACAAATAAGTTGTAAGGGAAAACAAAAGAGATGAAAAAGCCTATAGATAAAGAAAAAAATAATAAAAGACAGATTAACCACTGTAATAAGGAAGAGGAGGAGCTTTGAACAGATTGGATACTTGATAATACATTAGGGTTAGTGTATTAGTCTGTTCTCACACTGCTAATAAAGACATACCCAAGACTGGCTAATTTATAAGGAAAGAGGTTTAATTGACTCACAATTACACATGGCTGGGGAGGCCTCACAATCATGGCTGAAGGCGAATGAGGAGCAAAGTCATGTCTTACATGGTGGCAGGCAAAAGAGTTTGTGCAGGGGAACTCCCCTTTATAAAACCATCAGATTTTGTGAGACTTATTCACTATCATGAGAATAGCATGGGAAAAACCTGCCCCCCATGATTCAATTACCTCCCACTGGGTCCCTCCCTTAACATGTGGAAATTACAGGAGCTATAATTCAAGATGAGATTTGAGTGGGGACACAGCCAAACAATATCATTTTGCCCTGGACCCTCCCAAATCTCATGTCCTCACATTTCAAAACCAATCATGCCTTTCCAACAGTTCCTCAAAGACTTAACTCATTTCAGCATTAACTCAAAGTCCATAGTCCAAAGTCTCATCTGAGACTAGGCAAGGCAAGTATCTTCTGCCTATAAGCCTATAAAATCAAAAGTAAGTATTAGTTACTCCCCAGATACAATGGGGGTAAGACACTGGGTAATCCATTCCAAATGGGAGAAATTAGCCAAAGCAAAGGGCTACATGCCCTATGCAAGTCTGAAATCCAATAGGGCAGTCATTAAACCTTCAAGTTCCAAAGTGATCTCCTTTGACTCCATGTCTCACATTCAAGTCACACTGGTGCAAGAGGCAGGCTCCCACAGCCTTGGGTAGCTCTGTCCCTGTGGCTTTGCAGGGTACAGCCTCCCTTCCTGGCTGCTTTCATGGGCTGGCATTGAGTGTCTCTGGGTTTTCCAGGTACACAGTGCAAGCTGTTGGTGAATCTACCATTCTGGGGTCTGGAGGACATTGGCCCTCTTCTCACAGCTCTGCTAGGCACTGCCACAGTGGAGACTCTGTGTAGGGGCTCCAACCCCACATTTCCCTTCCCCACTGCCCTAGTAGAGTTTCTTGATGAGATCCCTGCCCTTGCAGCAAAATTCTGCCTGGACATCCAGGCATTTCCACACATCCTCTAAAATCTAGGTGGAGGGTCCCAAACCTCCATTCTTGACTTCTGTGTACCCACAAGTGTAACACCACATGTAACCCACTAAGGTTTGGGACTTGTACCCTCTGAAGCAATGGACTGAGCTATACTTGGCCCCTTTTAGCCATAGCTGGAGCTGAAACAGCTGGGATGCAGGGCACTATTTTGGAGGCTGCATAAAGCAGGATGGCCCTAAGTCTGGACCATAAAACCATTTTACTCTCCTAGGCCTCCAGGCCTTTGATGGGAGGGGCTGCCATGAAGCTCTCTGACAGGCCCTGGGGACATTTTCCCCACTGTCTTGCTGATTAGCATTTGGCTCCTCATTACTTATGCAAATTTCTGCAGCCAGCTTGAATTTCTTCTCAGAAAATGGGTGTTTTCTTTCCTGTTGCATCATCAGGCTGCAAATTTTTCAAACTTTTATGCTCTGTCACCTCTTGAATGCTTTGCCATTTAGAAATTTCTCCTGCCAGATACCCCAAATCACCTCTCTCAAATTCAAAGTTCCACAGATCTCTATGAAAGGGGCAAAATGCTGCCAGTGTCTTTGCATAGCAAGAGTGAACTTTACTCTAGTTCCCAACAAGTTCCTTATCTCCATCTGAAATCAGCTCAGCCTGAATTTTATTATCAATATCACTATCAGTATTTTGGTCAAAGTCATTCAACAAGTTTCAAACTTTCCCACATCTTCTTGTCTTCTGAGCCCTCCAAGTCTCTAAGAAGCTCCAAATTTTCCCACTTTTTACTATTTTCTTCTAAGCCTTCCAAACTGTTCCAACCTCTGTCTGTTACCCAGTTCCAAAGTCACATCCACATTTTCAGATATCTTTACAGCAGCATCCCACTCTTGGTACCAATTTACTGTATTAGTATGTTCTCAGGCTGATAATAATGGCATACTGAAGACTGGGTAATTTACAAAAGAAAGAAGTTTAATTGGCTCACAGTTCCCCATGGCTGGGGAGGCCTCACAATCATGGCTGAAGTTGAATGAGGAGAAAAGTCATGTCTTACATGGCAGCAGATAAGATAGTATGTGCAGGGGAACTCACTTTGCTAAAACCCTCAGATCTCAGGAAACTTAGTCATTGTCATGAGAACAGCATGGGAAAAACTCACCCCTATGATTCAATGACCTCCCACTGGGTCCCTCCCATGACATGTAGGAATTATGAGAGCTACAATTCAAGATGAGATTTGAGTGGAGACACAACCAAACCATGTCAGCTAGTGTATTTTTTTGACGTAATAATATTATTAATACACTTTTATAAAGAGACTTTTATCTTTCAGAGAGAAATACTGAAATAATAAATGAAATAATATATCTAGAATATGTCTCAAAGCAATCTGGAATGAAGAAATGGGGGCATATGAATGAAACAAGAGCCATCATGATTAATAATTGTTGAAAGTTGAAAATGCATACATAGGATTTTATTATATTATTCCCCCTGCTCTTATATATGTCTGTAATTTTCCTAATAAAAATTTTAAAACCAAACAGAAGAACAGTAGTGGCCATACTGTCTTTCCATGGAATTTCTCCACATCCTGCTTCCCAAGCTTCTCTTTGAACCCTCTTGCTCCTTAGTGCCAATCTTGCTTCCATTTGCTGGTCATGTCCTCTTCCTCCAGGTCCCGCAGGTTGATGACTTAGTTGGACAAGCTGTCTGGTTTTAATTTCCATTTTGCCCTTGAATGCTGTCCCTGTTTTTTTTTTTTTTTCTCCCCAAGAGGCCAGCTTCCAGCTTTATTCCAGGCCTTGCCCCACCCTCAAATACACTAACAGAAGTATCAACCCCATGCTTTCAGAGCCTATGTTCTTTGTCCCAGGTGCTCACTCAACTGGGTTTGGAAATTGTTCATTTTCTTTCCTTTCCTTCCATGTAGCCAATAGAATATGTCTTGGAGGTATGACTTATTTGGGAAGGCAAATAATTTTAAGAAAAGTAAAGAACATAAGGCACTAGGGAAGGCACACATGGTTGGGTAAATTGAAAGTTCCCATCCTACCCCATTCCCAACTCTCTGCCATGCCTTCTATCAAAAGTGAAATATAAAGATTGGAAAAGAGGCATTTTGGCATGGTGCCATCTTTTCCAGAGGGGTTGGCAAGAACTATCCTCAGTTAATATGGGAGGCTTTAAAAAGAGTGTCAGCCCAGGGGAAGATGAATAAATTGTTTGCATGATAGGGTGACTGTATTAGTCCATTTTCATGCTGCTGATAAAGTCATACCCAGGACTGGGAAGAAAATGAGGTTTAATTGAACTTACAGTTCCACGTGGCTGGGGAGACCTCAGGATCATGGCAGGCAGTGAAAGGCACATCTTACATGGTGGCAGCAAGAGAAAATGAGGAAGAAGCAAAAGCAGAAACCCCTGATAAACCCATCAGGTCTCATGAGACTTAGTCACTATCACGAGAATAGCACAGGAAAAACTGGCCCTCATGATTCAGTTACCTCCACCTGGGCCCCTCCCACAACATGTGGGAATTCTGGGAGATAAAATTCAAGTTGAGATCTTGGGGGCGGGGGGTGGGACAAAACCAAATCATACCATTTTGTCCCTTGCCACCCCCAAATCTCACGTCCTCACATATCAAAACCAATCATGCCTTCCCAACAGTCCCCCAAAGTCTTAACTCATTTCAGCATTAACCCAAAAATCTACAGTCCAAAGTCTCATCTGAGACAAGGCAAGTCCCTTCTGCCTAGGAGCCTGTAAAATCAAAAGCAAGTTAGTTACTTCCTAGATACAATGGGGGCACAGGTATTGGGTAGATACAGCCATTCCAAATGGGAGAAATTGGCCAAAACAAAGGGGTTACAGGGTCCATGCAAGTCTGAAATCCAGCAGTGCAGTCGAATTTTAAAGCTCCAAAATGATCTCCTTTGACTCCAGTTCTCACATTCAGGTCTTGCTGATGTAAGAGGTGGGTTCCCATGGTCGTGGCAGCTCTCCCTCTGTGACTTTGCAGGGTACAAAGCCTCCCTCCTGGCTGCTTTCACAGGCTTGTGTTGCATGTCTGCGGCTTTTCCAGGTGCACGGTGCGGTGCAAGTTGTCGGTGGATCTACCATTCTGAGGTCTGGAGAACGGTGGCTTTCTTTCCACAGCTCCAGTAGGCGGTACCACAGTAAGGACCCTGTTTGGGGGCTCCGACCCCACATTTCCCATCTGCACTGCCCTAGCAAAGGTTTTCCACAAGCGCCCCACCCCTGCAGCAAACTTTTGCTTGGGCATCCAGGCATTTCCATACATCTTCTGAAATCTAGGCAGAAATTCCCAAACCTCAGTTTTTGACTTCGGTGCCTCCGCATGCTCAACACCACATGGAAGCTGCCAAGGCTTGGGGCTTCCACCCTCTGAAGCCACAGCCGGAGCTGTACCTTGGTCCCTTTCAGCTACAGTTGGGATGGCTGGGACACAGGGCACCAAGTCCCTAGGCTGCACATAGCATGGGGACCCTGGGCCCGGCCCACACAATCACTTTTTTCTCCTGGGCTTCTGGGCCTGTGATGGGAGGGGCTGCCATGAAGATCTCTGACATAGCCTGGAGACATTTTCCTCATGGTCTTGGGGATTAACATTAGGCTCTTTGCTACTTATGCAAATTTCTGCAGCTGGCTTGAATTTTTCCTAAAAAAAATGTTTTTTTCTTTTCTACTGCATCATCGGGCTGAAAATTTTCTGAACTTTTATGCTCTGTTTCTCTTTTAAAATGTAATGCCTTTAACAGCACCCAAGTCACCTTTTGAATGCTTTGCTGCTTAGAAATTTTTTCTGCCAGATACCCTAAATCATCTCTCTCATCTTCAAAGTTCCACAAATCTCTAAGGTTGGGGCAAAATGCTGCCAATCTCTTTGCTAAAACATAACAAGAGTCACTTTTGCTCCTGTTCCCAACAAGTGCCTCATCTCCATCTGAGACCACCTCAGCCTGGACCTTATTGTTCATATCACTATCGGCATTTTGGGCAAAGCGATTCAACAAGTCTCTAGGAGGTTCCAAAATTTCCCATATTTTCCTGTCTTCTTCTGAGCCCTCCAAACTATTCCAACCTCTGCCTGTCACCCAGCTCCAAAGTTGCTTCCACATCTTCAGGTATATTTTCAGCAATGGCCCACTCTACTGGTACCAATTTACTGTATTAGTCCATTTTCATGCTGCTGATAAAGACATACCCGAGACTGGGAAGAAAAAGAGGTTTAATTGGACTTACAGTTTCACATGTCTGGGGAGGCCTCAGAATCATGATGGGAGGCAAAAGACACTTCTTACTTGGTGGCAGCAAGAGAAAATGAGGAAGAAGCAAAAGCAGAAACCCCTGATAAACCCATCAGATCTCATGAGACTTAGTCACTATCACAAGAAGATTACAGGAAAGACCAGCCCCCATGATTCCATTACCTCCCCCTGGGTCCCTCCCACAACACATGGGAATTCTGGGAGATACAATTTGAGATTTGTGTCGGGACACAGCTAAACCATATCAGTGATCAACCATCCCTGTTTGCCCCGAAGTGAGGCTCATCTCAAGACACTGGATTTCCAGCTAAAAACAGACAAGTACCAGGCAAGCCTGGACAGATTGATCACACAATAGTAAAACCAAGGATATATTTCTTAAAAAGATATCGGTCAAGTCATGTGGGTAGATAATTTCTTTTATCATTGGAGATGAGTCTGTTTACTTTAGGATAAAATTAATAATTCTTGTGATACAGCATGTTTGTTCTGGAGTAATTGCCTAGAGACAGACAAAGCTGGTTGGGAGATGGATATAGATTTAGAACACTCATTCTCTTTTTCCAACTCATAAGACCATCTTCCATGGTTCTCTACTTTAAAACTAACAGAAATCCAGGCAATGAAAATCTCCAATAACACTTTGCTGAAGGCTTATAGTTTGAAATAACAATGTCAATATTAAACTGAAAATATAATTACTGAAAAGAGTTTACAATTCCTTTCCAGTTGCTATTTTTGTTCTTAGAGGGATGTACTGTAAAATTACTGTGCTCCGGAAGTCAATGGAAATAATTCTTTTCTCTGAGTGGTTAAGCACTAACTCTAAACACAATTAGCTTCACTTGCTTCATTTTGCTTTTGATAGTTAGGATTTCTCATTTCAAAAATTTAAGAACTTTAAAAAATTTGATCCTTGCCTAAGAGAATGACAGTGGGGGTTGGGAAACTGTTAGCTTGGCCAGGAGGTAACTTTGACTCCTTTGTTCTTTCACCCTAAAGCTCCACCCTTTAGCATAGAGGTTAATTTTGTGTTTGTAAAATGGATAGCAGATTGTTTTTCCTTTCCATAGAAACAGCATAAGTGGGAAACATTTGAGCTCTTCAAATGGGACTTACGTCTTATCAGGAATACATAAAATATATAGGTTCTGTGGAATGGCTTCAGGAGACTGTCAGGCTGTATCCCACACCATGTCAATGCAATGTGAATTTTTCTAGCTAGAGTGTCCATAACTTTCACCAGATTCCAAAGGAAACTTGAATCCAAAAACAAAGATTGGAACCAATGTCTTAGAATGGTGAAGGACAAAAGGAGAATCAACAGAAGTGCCTTGCACCAAATGACAGAGGAATAAACACTCTTGACACATTTCATTGTATTGATTCTGAGGTCTAGAATTTTTAACATCACAAATTGGAGTGAATCTTGTAACTGATATAATCCTAGATCAGATGAAGTATAGTAATCCTTTGTAGATTTTGTTGACTTTATTTTATAATTCTGCACTTCTTAGTAAGAAAGCCTAGTTGTCACAAATGAGACATCAAAATACTGTCAAAAGAGCTTTGGCTTCGGAGCCAGGGGACTTAGAATTCCTGGCCCTGCCGCTTTTGAGCTGAGTGAGCTTTAGTAAATGATTTCCTCTTTCCAGGCCTTTCTTTCCACATCTACAGACTATGAAGGTGTAATCAGCTGGTGCCTCAGAGTGCCTTTAAGGGCACCTGGGTGGGAAGGGAGTGACAGGTGGGTGAGATTTCATAGCTCCCCCAACCTTCTTCAACCTGGAGCAGTTCTGTGTTACCTGTTTTACAAAGCAGACTTGTTTCTAAGGTTGTTTTTTGTTTTGTTTTGTTTTGTTTTTGAAGAATGATTTCTGTTACTAGGGAAACAGAAAAATTAAAAGACCATCCAACTGGCATTTCCAGTTGTGGGTCTAAAGAGTTTTATGAATGTGTTCCTGGATTTTTGTACCTTCCTTTTAATGATACCAATTGACTTACCGTTTGAGAGATCTACAGTAGAGTGATAAGAAGCACAGATGTTGGGTAAGATAGACCTACCTGGACAGTTATCTTTGCTGTGTGACATTGGGCATATAATTATAACAATGGGAATAATTTTGGTACCTCTTTCAAAAGATTGTTTTGAGACACCAAGAAGATAGTTCATGGAGAAGGTTCATACAATGCCTAACAAATACGGATCCTCAGTGATCACCAACTGGTGGTAGTATTTCTGTCTCTTGGGTCTAAATGAGGGGAAGGATCTTTATTCCTCCTCACCAGAGTATCTACATTGGAATTCAAACCCCCTAATTCCATCACATAGAAAATCTTTCAGATCCTTGGACCCATAATCAACCCTTAAGAGACATTTGCTGCTGCAGATGACCTTAGCATGCTGGAGAGATCATTATGCATATAGCAAACACTTTCAGACAGGCAGGAGACCTAAGATAAAGGCAGAATGAGGTTTAATTTAAGAAATGTTCATTGTGGCCTTAATGAGAGCACACAGGTGTTAAGATGTGGTCTCTGCCATTTAGGAGCTGGCAGACCAACTAGGTACTTAGGTGACCCAGCAGTAAACGATATGCCAGGAGCTCACAGCAGGACTGAGTGACCCCTACTTGCAGGTCTGAGGGTAATTGGAGGAAATGATGTTTAAATCAAACTTTGCGGGAAGAGGAGAATGATCACAGGTGAAACAGTGAAAGGGAGGAGGCCATCTTAGTCAGGGAAAGGCAAAAACCAGGAGTCCCCTACAAAATAACAATAAATAAAATAAAGGAGTGATTAAGCAAAATCATAGTTAACATTGCTTCTTAACTGCTAGGTACTTATAAAACACTTTATACGCATTATTACTTGTAGTTCATGTAGTCCTTAACCAACTCTGCAAGATAAATTTTATTATTATATTATCCCCATTCTACAGATGAGGAAAAGGAAGCACAGAGAATGAAGTATCTTGCCCAAAACCGAACTGGGGCCAGTTTATGGATAGAGAGGAGCACTATGCCTCCCACCAGTCAGGGAAAGAATGCTGGTTCTTCCTAATAGGTTAGAGTTACTTGACTGCAGAAGTATCAACATTTTAGGCTGGATAATTCTTTGTTCTGCAGGGCTATTCTGTGCATTATGGGACTGTTAGCAGCATCACTGGCCTCTACCCACGAGACGCCAGTAACACTTCCTTCCCTGTTTGTGACAAACAAACACGTTTCCAGACATTTCTTAATGTCCCTGGGGTTGGGGGCAGAGTGACCCCAGCTGGGAACCACCATTGCAGGCAGGCTTATGCTAGGCACTGGCTTGTTGCTCTGCATGAGCAGAGCTGAAGCCAGGAGAAATTCTCTCTGCTGTGCACAAAATTGTCTCCAGCAAACTTTCGGCTTTAAAGTTGTTCATTTCAGCAGCTGGGGTCTTGATTTTCCCAAGGTGACTCATACAGATACAGTCTGTGGGAGTCAGTCGGTTATCTGTTCTGACAAGGCCCCTTGTGTGTTTGAAGGAGGTGTGGCCTCCAAACCATCAAAGCATGCCGGGTGCACAATTACATCTCCGCATTGTGCTTGCCAGGGCATGACAATTGGAACACTGTGATCCAAGGCTTGTTTTGTTCTGACCAGCATCAGAAGTTCAGAACGTTAGCTTGAGTAGCAAAATTGATTATATATTCTATTTGCTACAAGCCTACCAGCTAGTGCATCGATTCACCCTTTCATTTTCAGAGTCCACCTCTACAGACAACACTTATGTAACATTCTGAAAGGCGTTTTCCATGGTGATTAAGCTTTGCAGAGTAGGTTTGAGTGGTTTATCTGCATTACCAGTATCTCTTTCTTGGGACTTTGGAAGAGACACCCTGGGTAGGCCCAGCAGGTGGAGTTTTTGGGGTTGGGGCTGGACTACAGGAGAAGGAGAAAGCAGGGAGGAACAGTGTGGAAGGAAAAAACTGAAACTCAGAGGAACAGGGTAAAGATTTTTCTCCGTAAAAGTACCAAAAGCAGGCCGGGCGCGGTGGCTCATGCCTGTAGTCCCAGCACTTTGGGAGGCTGAGGCGGGTAGATCATGAGGTCAGGAGATGGAGACCATCCTGGTCCACATGGTGAAACCCCGCCTCTACTAAAAATACAAAAATAAGCTGGGCATGGTGGCATATGCTTGTAGTCCCAGCTACTCAGGAGGCTGAGGCAGGAGAATCATTTGAACCCAGGAGGTGGAGGTTGCAGTGAGCCAAGAACACGTCACTGCACTCTAGCCTGGGTGACAGAGCAAGACTCTGTCTCAAAGAAAAAAAAAGTTCCAAAAGCAGATCCTAAAACCAGAGACTGAGCCACACTCTTGGATAGGGGAAATGAGAGCATGGGGAAGGAATCAGAGGTGGTTGAGCAGAAGAGTCACTGCCTGTAGAGACATTTGTTAGACAAACATTTAATGAGCACTAGCTATGAGCCAGACACGGGGCTGTGCAGCCTCAGAACAAATCCATGCAACAGTTTCTACCATTCTGGAAATGGAGGTAGAGAGCGGTTGAGTTACCTGTTCAAAGTCATTTGGCTGGAATGTAGATGGGCCAAGGTAAGGATTCAGGCCTGTCTGACCCCAGAACTCAGGATTTGAACCACTGAGGTATGTACCACTCTGAACAGGGCACACCTCGGGGTGGAGTCTGGGAGATCTGACCCAATTTAAGGGATAAGGAACAAGGAGGAACATAATATTATTTCAACCATCCTCCCAGGGGCAGAGGCAGGGGAGAAGGAAAAGAGGTCCCTGTGTACAACTACTGGAGCTGAGAGAGGGATATTGGTTTACATACCTCCTGAAGAAGACACAGGTAGGATCCTGAATGCTGAATCCTTGTCCCATTGCCTACCATGGAGGCTGTATTCATTTGCTTTGGCTGTTGAAGCAAAGTACCACACACTGCAGGGCTTATACAACATACACAGATTTTCTGTCTGTTCTGGAGATTGGAAGTCGAGAATCAAGGTGTCAGCAGCGTTAGTTCCTTTTGAGGGCTGTGAGAATCTGTTCCAGATTCCTCTCTTAGCTACTGGTAGTTTTCTGGCAATCTTTGGCATTTCTTGGCTTATAGATGCATCATCCTTATCTCCGCCTTCATCCTCACATGCATTCTCCCTGTGTGCACCTCCGTCACTGTCTAACTTTTCACTTTTTATAAGGACACCAATCATGTTGGATTTGGGTACACCCTAATGATCTCATTGTAGCTTCATCATCGGTAAAACCCTATTTCCAAATCAGGTCACATTCACAGGCACTGGGGGTTAGGGCATCAATATTTTTGAGGGGGACATAATTGAATCCACACAGGGAACATCCCAGTAAAACACACAATCGTTACTAGTTTGGCCTTTGGTCCCAAAACATTTTTGTGAGATGAGTTGGGCCGTTTGAGATTGATGAGGCAGCTGTGCCCCTTGAAGGTAAGACTTCAGGAGATGTCAGCTCCAACAGTATCCTATGTCTTCTCCTGTCCCTGCCACCCTCTCATCCTGCACCAGCCTTTGCACACTAGTTAGTAAAGGAAACTTAAGAACACCTAGGGACTGGCAGCACTTGGAGAAAACAGAGGGAAGAGATCAATGATAGTTATACCTATAGTTCTTCTCCCTTCTCCTGACAATGCCATCCTCTTGCCTTCTGACCCCTGTGTGTGAACTTGAAACTCCATTTTCTTTTTCGACTATGTCATGGAGATTTCTCTTTAAAACAGGGTTTCTCTCCTTCCCTCCCTCCTTGTTTCCCTCCCTTTTTTCCTTCTTCATTTTTTTTCCTTTTTGTTAAGGAAGAGGAGGTACAGTGAAAGGAAGAAGCCTTATTCTCTTCCTAGGGAATAGAGTGTAGTGAGTATAACTTAATAGGGAGCAGGTGGGAAGTCTAAACTTTCCTTCTTAGTTTAATTTTTTTCGTCTCCCTTTACCCCATTCTTCTCAACTGAAGGGAATGAAAGTGTGTAATTCTCAGGTAGAACTGAGTGCAGAAACGGAATGTGGTGAGGACTACACAGAGGTGGTAGGAGGGAAGAAAAAACAGGCCTGACAATGCAATATATGTTCCTATCCAGTTCAGCTAGATGTGATGAGACAAACTCATTTAGATTAGCTTATTTTGTCTTGATGTATAAATGTCAGATAATCCAACTGTGCTAGGATTTTTGCATATCACAAACATGTTGTTATTAACCACCATCTGTAATTAGCAAAATAGTGAGCTAAATAATGAAGGAAGGAAGAAACTAACATATTTGAGCATTTATCATGCATCAGGCACTGCATTAGGGACTTCTGCATATATTCTTCTGTTGCATCCATCAAAGCCAGGGAAGCAGGCAAGATCAATCCGGTTTCGCTGATGAGGATGCAGAGGCATTGCCTAGGGTTACAGAATATTTCTTTTTTCTTTTTTTTTTTGAGATGGAGTCTTGCTCTGTTGCCCAGGTTGGAGTGCAGTGGCGCGATCTCAGCTCACTGCAAACTCCGCCTCCCGGGTTCACACCATTCTCCTGCTTAAGCCTCCCAAGTAGCTGGGACTACAGGCGCCCACGACCACGCCCAGCTAATTTTTTGTATTGTTTAGTAGAGATGGGGTTTCACTGTGTTAACCAGAATGGTCTCAATCTCCTGACCTCGTGATCCGCCTGCCTCGGCCTCCCAAATTGCTGGGATTACAGGCATGAGCCACTGCGCCCAGCCAGGTTACAGAATATTTCTAGGCACCACAGGCCTGGTCAATAAATGGTTTATGTCACACAAGCTAGCTGAACTCATTTATTAAATTTTTTTTTTTTTTTTTAGTGAATTCCTCACAATTTTCTCTTTTTAAATTTTTATTATTTATTTATTTATGAGACATGATCTCGCTCTGTTGCCCAGGCTGGAGTGGCTCACTGCAACTTCAAACTCCTGGACTCAAGCAATCCTCTCACCTCTGTTTCCTGAGTAGCTGGAACTACAAGTGTGCACCACCACACCCAGCTAATTTTATTTTTTTTGTAGAGATAAGGTCTTACTATGTTTCCCAGGCTAGTCTTGAACTTCTAGACTCAAGTGATCTTCCTGCCTCAGCCTCTCAAAGTTCTGGGATTACAGACATGAGCCACTGCGCCTGGCCACAATTTTCTATACTTGTAAATATATTACCTGTGAATAGAGATAGTTTTACTTCTTCTTTTTTTTTTCTTTCAATCTGGTTGCCTTTTATTTCTGTGTCTTGCCTAATTCCTCTTGCCTAATTGCTCCAGTACAATGCTGACATAACAGTGGCAAGAATGGATATCCTTGTATTTTTCCTGATCCCATGAGTAAAAGCTTTCAGTTTTTTACCTTTGAGTGTGATGTTAGCTGTGGGTTGGTTGTAGATGCCCTGTATGTCCTCAACTTCTGTATGAGGTTGAGGACATTTTCCTCTATTTCTAGTTTAACGAACTAGTTTTTTTTAATCATGAAAGGGTGTATAATTCTATGTTGCTGAAGTCAGTTTGCTAGCTTATTTTTTGAGAATTTTTCATCTATATTTATAAGGGATATGAGGTCAAAGTTCTATATTCTTGAAATATCTTTAGGTATGGTATTAGGGTAAGAATGGTCTCATGAAATAAGTGAGAAAATGTGTTTTTTTATTTCTTTTTTTTGAAGAATTTGTCAAATATTGAAGATTGGTATTAATTCATCTTTAAACATTTGTAAAATTCATCAGTGAAGATATCTGGGTCTGAAATTTTTCTTTTTGTAGAAAGTTTTAAAATAACTAATGTCATCATTTATTATAGTTCAATTAAGATTTTCTATTTCTTGAGTCAGTTCCAGTAATTTTTATCTTGCTACGATTTTGTCCATTTCATCTTGGTTATCAAATTTGTTGGCATAGCTGTTTATAGTATCCTTTTATAATTTTTTAAATTCCTATAAGTAGTGATGGCTCGTCTTTCATTGCTGTTATGAGAAATTTGAGTTATCTCTCTCACTTTCTGTCAGTCTAATTAAAGATTTGTCATTTGTTGGTCTCTTTAAAGAAAGAGCTTTTGATTTTTCTCTATTGTTTTCCTATTTTTTATTTTATTTATATATTTTCCAGTCTTTATTATTCCTTTCCCCTACTTGCTTAGGTTTCAGTTTGCTCTTCTTTTTTATTTCTTAAGATGAAAAGTTAGGTTACTTACTCATTTGAAATATTTCTTATTCTTCTTTTTAAAATATAGATGATTACAGCTATACACTTCTCTCTAAGCACTGCATTAGCTGCGTATCATGAGTTTTGGTATGTTGCATTTTTGTTTACATTCATCTCTAAATATTCACTTAGAGAATATGTCTTGTAATTTCTTCTTTGATCAATTGGTTATTTAGGAATGTATTAATTAATTTCCATATATTTGTGAATTTCCCAGGTTTTATTCTGTGTTTTATTTCTAATTTTATTTTATTGTGGTCAGGGCACATGTTTTGTATAACTTCAATCTTTTAAAATTTATTGTTTTTATAGGCAGACATATGGTCTACCCTGGAGAGGTTTCATTGTGCACTTGAGAAGAATATGTATTCTGCTGTTGTTGGGTGGATCATTCTATAGAGGTCTGTTAAAACAAAAACTTTAGATAAATTAAATTTAGCAGAGTTTTTTGAGCAAAGAACAATTCATGAATTAGGCAGCACTCACAACAAGAAGAGGTTCAGAAAGCTCTACCTAACAGCCTGAGCAGTGAGATTTTATAGGCTAAATGTGGAACCAAAGTAGAAAGATCACTTAATTGGTTACATGTAGACATACGCCTTATTTGGGCACGGTGTGATCAGTTAACTGATTTGCTGAAGCTTGGCTGCTTGTGATGGCTGAAACTCAGTTATCAAGTCTGGTTTCAGTTTGTTTATAAAATATGTTAGGTTGTGCTACATTACAACTCAAAGTAGGGAGATAGCCTCGAGTCAATGGCTTCCTGCTTATTTAGTTTAATAAATGCAGTTGGAGTTATTCAAGTCTCCTATTTCATTGTTGATCTTCTGCCTGTCCTGTTCTGTCCATTATTGAAAGTGAGGTATTAAAGTTGTTACCTGTTACTGTTGAATTGTCTATTTCTCTCTTTAATTCTGTCATTTTTGTATCTTCATATATTTTGGAGCTCTCTAGATAGGTTCATACACAATTGTTATGTCTTCCTGATGACCTCAACTTTTTAAATTATAAAATGTCCTTTTTTGTTTCTAACAACAATTTTTGTTTGAACATCTATTTTGTCTGATCTTAATATAGTGACTCTAATTGTCTTTTGGTTACAGCTTGCATGGAATATCTTTTTTTTTCCCCATTTTTAACATTCAACCTATTTGTGTCTTTTCTACATCTATTGAGTTTCTTCTGTGTTGTGGTTTTCTCCTTTATTCTATTTATATGATAAATTACATTTATTGATCTTTGAGTGCTATACCTACCTTTCATTCAAAATATAAATCTCACTTGTTCATATTGAGTTATCTTTTCTGATTATTGTTAGATTCCAAATGCCCATATTCATAAAGGATTGCCCCATCTCTGTTCATGAAATGGTAGTTTCATAGTGTCACAGTAACATTAGCCTTGTAAAATGAACTGAGACGTGCCCTGCACTCCTTTATTTTTGAAAAGTATCTGCACAAGATTGGTATTTCTTTTCTAGAAATTTCACAGAATTCACCAGTCAAGTCATCTCAGTCTGGAGGGTTCTCCTCTTCCCTGGGAATGTTTTTAACTGAAAACTCAATGCCTTGAAGAGATATACAGCTATTTTGATTTTCTCTTTTCTCTTGTTTCAGGTTTGGCAAATTTTTTGTGTCAAGTTTGGTCTTTTGATACGTTTGTCCATTTCACCCACGTTCTCACATTTGTCATATGCTGCTCATAACATTTCATTATTGTCTACTTAACGTACAGAGAACGTTCAGTGACATCCTATTTTGCTTTTGATATTAGAAATGTTTGTCTCTTTGTTTTTGATCAGTCTAGCCAGAGATCTATCATTTGTATTGATCTTTTTAAACAAGCAACTTATGGTTTCATTGATTTTTCTCCATTGTTAGCTTGCTTTTCATTTCATTGTTTTACACTTTTGTTTTTCTTCCTTTCATTGTACTTTGGGTTTCAGTTCTTTTTTTTTTTTTCTTTTAGCTTCTTACAGTGGAAGCTCTGATAACTAACTAATTTTGGACATTAAAAAATTGGCAACAGAAGCATTTAATGTTATGAAATTTCTTCTAATTGCTACTTTATTTTCATCTAATAAATTTTGATATGTGTTTCATTCATTTCAAAATATTTTCTAATTTCTTTTGTCAATTTCACTTTGAAAAATGGGCTATTTGAAATGAGTATTTCCCAGGTATTTTAATTTTTTTGATATCTTTCTGTTTTTGAAATGTGTTGTCATTCTACTGTAGTCAAAGAAAATGGATTGTAAAATTTCCGTCCTTTGATATGTATTAAGACTGGTTTTATGACCCAGTTTTGGGTTAGTGTATGGCATATCTTAGTGAATTTTCCATGTGCTCTTGAAAAGTATCTACATTCTGTTGTTTAGTTACTTGTACTATAGATATCAATTTGATCAGGTTGAAGGTAAGTGTTGTTTAAGTCTTCTATGATCCTATTCTGTCTAATTTATCAACTACTAGAAGAGGAGTGTTGAAGTCTCCAACTATAATTGGGAATTTGTCCATTTCTCTTTTCAGTCTTATCAGTTTTCACTTCACGTATTTTGATGCCTATTACTACATGCCTATTCAGTTAGCATTGTTGGTCTTCTTAATACATTGACTCTTTTGTTTTTATAAAATGTTCTGCTTTATCACAAAAATTGGTAATATTTCTTGTCCTGAAGTCTACTTTATCTGATATTAATGTAGCCACTCCAGTTTTCTTATTATTAGTGTATGCATTGTTTATAATTTTCTATCCTCTTACTTTTATAATGTGAGACTCTTCTGTTCACCCCAAGGTTTTCTATTATTGTTGTAATGCAATTTACTTCTACATGTTATAAACTCTATGATACATTCTTTACTTTTTTTTAAGAAAGCAATTTTCTCTTAAAGAATTGAAACACAAGGAAAAACTTTTTCCCTTTATATAAATAGTTATCATTTAAATGATTCTAAATTCTTTTGAGCAGATCCATGTTTCCATATGGTATCATTTTCTTCTCTGCAAAAAACTTCCTTTAACATTTCTTGTAGTTGAGATCTCTTTACAAGTAAATTCTTTTAGTTTTTGCTTATCTAAAAACATTTTAAATTACTCTTAGCTTTTGAAAGATGTTTTCACTGGAGATAGAATGACATTTTTTCCCCAGCACTTTGAAGATGCTTTATTGTTTCTTGTCTTGCATTGTTTGTGATCTAAAATTGATAGTAATTCTTATCTTTGGTTTTCTGAATATAATCTGCCAATTTTATATGACCAATTTTATATGGCTTCTTTTAAGATTTTTCTCTTTATCACTGGTTTGTAGCAATTTGATTATGATGTGCTTTCGTATAATTTTCATTTTTATTTTTTTAAAATTTTGTTTTGTGCTTATTGAATTTTTTGACTGTGTTTATGGTTTTTATCAAATTTGAATAAAATTTCAGGCATTATTTCTTTGAATACATATTTCTGCCCCTTCCTTTTTTCTGACTCCAGTTATATTTACACTAAACTACTTAAAACTGTTCTACATGTTATGAGGGTTCTGTTAATTATTTTCTTTCTCTTTTCTTTTTATGCTTAAGTTTGGATAGTTCCTATTTCTACATTCTCAGATTACACTGATTTTTTTTTTCCTTTTTCTATAATGTCTAATCTGTTATTGGTCCTATGCAGTAAAAATTTTATTTCAAATATTGAATTTTTCAGCTCTAGAAGACCTCTTAATTTTGTTTTTATTTCTTTAATTTCTCTCTTTATCATTTTTGTTTTCTTGTACATTCTAGAACATATTTATATTAGCTACTTTAACGTCCCTGTCTGCTATTCACTCTGTCATTTCTGGATCTATTTTTATTGGCAATGACAGTCCTGCCTGTTCATGGAAATGTTGTACCCACAAGGTACAATGTAGAAAACTTCTCTGTATCAGTTGGTAGCACATTTGGCTTCAAGTAAAAGAATGACAGTAACTTAAAGAAATAGGAGGTTTATTTGTCTCATAAAAGTGTCTGGAGGTAAGCAATTGCTGGCTCTGATTCAATAGCTCAGTAATGCAGAGATTAGTATAATTCTTTTTGTTGCTTTTCTCATCTTGGTAACCTCATTGTTTCCAGAAAACTGCAAACCTCCAGATACTAGACATCACACTTGTATTCTAAGTAGGAAAAACGTTATGCCTTAAATCTATTTTTTTCCCCTGAAAGCAGTGGTTTATTGGAAGTTCAACCTAGTGGCTTTCCATGTAATTGGCCAAGACTGGGTCACATGACTTCCTATGGACTAACCACTCATCAAGTTAAACAAGATTGTCACGACTGATTTAGACCAGTGATAAATTTCCTTGGACTCATGAACAAATTGGAGCTCGAATAACAGGGAAATGGATGTTGAGGAAAGGCTAGGCTAGACAGTGTTGCTCATATGCTGCAGTGCCAAAAAGTAAGGTTCACTCTCAGAATGGCATTTGATCTTCATCTTGTAGGAAACTTGGTGGGAGAGAGGAGAGCCAAGAGCAACATGGGCAACTTCTAATATTATCTAGATCTCAAACAAGGAGAGGTTTAGAAGCAAATCATAAAGCGAGGTTTAGAAGCAAATCATAAGACCTCTGTGAAGTCTAGTTTCTGTGGTTTTTTAAACACAGAGACAATTTAGTTGCTGAGTTTTATATCAGCAGAAGCGTCTGGGGCACAAAAGGAAGGAAATGTCACAATAAATTAAAACAAATGAGAATGTGAGTCAATGATAGAGTTGGTGGACTCTTAATTCTTGAAAACTTTTATTGTGAGCTGTGTGATCTCGAACAATCCACTTAACTTCTCTAAGCCTCAATTTCTTCATTAGAAACTAGAAATAATAATATAACTGTTGTGGGTGATTAGCAATTAACCATCTGTATTATTAGTTCTAGTTTATTATTGTGTTATAACTTCTTGTTTATTATTATTTTTAGTTTATTCGTCAAAAACCAGGAATAATAAGATGGCCATTGTAGTTAGTTAAGAGCAGCAATTCTCAAAGATTTAGGTGTTAGGGCCACTTTAAATCCTTAAGAATGATTGAGGATCCCTAAGCACTTTTGTTTACATTTGTTGTAACTATTGATATTTACCATATTAAAAATTAAAACTGAGAATTCAAAAGGTATTTATTAATTCATTAAAATAACAGTAAGAATGCATTGCATGTTAAATTAGTAACATTTTAAATAAAAATATATTTTCTAAAACAAAAAATATGGTGAAAATGTGGCATTGTTGTACATTTTTGCAGATTTCTTACAGTTTAATAGAAGGGAGCGGGATTTTCCTGTGCATTTCTGCATTCAATCTGTTGTAATATCACATGTCATTTAGGCTCTGAATAACCCTACTGTGTACTTGTGAGAAAATGAGAGAGGAAAAAGGCAAATAATGCTTTAGTATTATGATGAAAATAGTTTGTGATTTCACAAACTTCCCTGGGGGTTCCTGGACCAGATATTGAGGACTGTTAGTTAAGAAAATAGTCTCTTTCCCTTCTAAATGAGTAAATGTGAGCAAGATATTAAATGTCTCAGTTCCTTCATCTGTAAAATGGAGATAATAATAATAGCTGTTTCATAGGTCTGCTCTGAGGATTATATCAGTTCTCTTAAGATAGTGTGGAATTCAGTAAGTGATCAAAATCAATTACTATTACTGCTTACTGAATGCACCACAAAAGAATTTTTCTCTCCCCTTTTCCTTTGGAGCAGAAGAGAGATCTTTGGAACATTTTGTTTGAGAAGTAGAAGAGGCAGACCTCTGGATTTATTGATAAGGGCCCAACACTTGGATAAAATGATCCCTTTAGTCAGTAATAATTAATGCATAGCATCCACATCATATTATAAATCATCCTTTTCAGCCCCTATCTCACTTAATTCTTGAAACCGCCTGTGATATGGGTGAGGTATATTTATTATCCCCATTTTGCATACCAGGCAACTGAGACTCAGAGGTTAAATAACTTGCCAAAAGGCAGAATTTCTACAGGGAATCTTTATCTTCTGACTCCACATTCTGTGCCTTTGAAGTCTCCTCCCTGCCTCCCACTTCTGATTTTTGCACATTAATATGCATGTAATGCACCTGCTCCCTGGGAGGCAGGTTTGCCTGCATCAGCTTTTGAAGTTGGTGCCTGAAACTTGTTTTGATTAAGGATGGAAAATTCACTGAATAGACAGATGGACTCGAAGGCCTTTACATCATTTTGGAGATGAAAAGTGCTGGGTAAGTGTTATGATCCATGTGCTGGTAATTTGATCAAAAAAGAAATAACTATGCAGAAATGACCCTAAGAAAATGAGATCTGAAAAGGGGGCAGGGGCTATCAGCTTTGATCCAGAAGACCTCAGGGTTATTCAGATTTTGACTCAGGAAGTTCCTGTGGGTGAAGTAACACATCTGCCTGAGATACTAACAAATTCCTCAGCTGACCTGAGTGTAGTGGGAGGCTGGCAAGAATGTGTAAATTCAATATCATTAGCAGACAAGTGAAGATGAACCCCCAGTGACTACTAGGAAAATCTTGCAGGCAGGAAACCAGGAGAGAAAGGTAAAAGTGCTAATGGTGGACATTAAAGGCTTCTTAGAAAGCTGGGTGCCTGGCTCTATTATGGAAGCAGTCATGCTAATCACGACACCTGACATGGATTAGCATGTCCTCTTGGTCAGCCTCTGTGCTGGGGACTTTACATGCTCTGTTTTATTTAATCCTTGCAAGAATCTTGTGAAGGAGGTATTTTTGTTATCACCATTTTACAGGTAAAAAAAAACCCTTTGCTCAGGGATGTCAAATAATTTTCATATGAGAATTAGTGAGAAGTAGAGGAAAGAGTCAAACCAGCTCCAATGTCAGTGTCCAAATCACTGGATTTACTGCATCCCCAAGATGTTTTGATCTCACTGGAGATAAGACAGACCTATAGGATGATATTTGTTGCTGGAGAGATGACCATTTGGTAACTAAAGCAAATATGAGCTTTTTAAGAATAGCTTTACTCTTCTGGATATTTGCTCATTTAGGGTTCCAAACATGGATCAGTTCCTATTTTTTTCTGATACTTGCTATTGCTCCTTATTGCTTCTGGCATAAGATTCAACCTCTCAAGTAAAGTTAAAGTTCAGTATTCTCTCTGGCAGGTTCTGGAAGCCAACAAAAGGGAGACAGCTTTTGGAGCACTACCATTGTCCAAGGTCATTAACAAGAACCTATTATGTGCAGAACATGTGGATAAAGCTGGGTAAATCCCACCTGTGCCTCATCATGCATCATGCCTCCTTGGGGAGCTCACCGTCTAGCATGGGATTTATATTTATATTTATATTTCTTAAATAATAACTTAGAAAGCAGTGAGTGCTTTCTATGCACTTGCAAGAATCTGTCTTTCTAAGCAGATTGCAAGAATCTGTCCCAGGAGATCTGCAGAGGATCCCTGGCTGGGGGATAGTTTTTTTTTTTTTCTTAGCAAACTTTAATAAAAGGACTAAGCTAAGTGTGATAGAAATTCAAAAGTTAAGGTAGAAGGAGAAAACACGGAGAGACGATGTTCTATGAAGGTCAACTAGTAAGGCCTGGGAGGGGTAGCTGGAGGGCATGTCAGAAGGAGAGTGACTAGACGAGGGGGCAGCAACCTTGGCACATGGATCCAATACAGCCCACTGTCTTGGCTGACTTTTCACTGAGTCTGCTATATTTATATATTATGCCTGAAATCACTAAGGAGGCTCATCAAATCCCCACAACAACTCTACGGCCTTTATAGATGAGGAAACTGAAGCTTTAAAGACTTGGTTAAGGACACTTGTCCAAGATCATGTAGCTACTAAGTGGCAGATCCAGAGTTTAGATGTAGATCTCCTGAATCTAAGTCCAGCTCTCTTTCTCTTGCACCAGGGCCAAGTTTCATGGCATTCTGTCCTTCCTAAGGCCTCTGCTCTGATATTGGGGATGCCCAGGAGCTCCAAATTCTCCTTGTCAAAGTGCATCCTCTGGACTTGCCTTTTCCCATATTCTCCTCTCTTTACACAGATCCAGAGAGGACAGGTCCTGGAGGACAGGATGCTGCTATTGCAGCGTCAGGCCCAGGACTGGACGGATGTGCATCTGGTCATGTGAGCACAGCTTTCTCCATGCTGCCACTCTGACCCTAGAACATGTGTCCTCCTTCACACAGTGGTCATCCCAATTTCAGCCCCTTCCCTCTTTCCTTTCAGTCTGTAAGCCCTTCCTATCGCCCCGGCACGCTGGCTTCCACCTCATCAGCCTATCATCATGTGAGGTTGGAAATACCACAGTTCTTGCTGCCTCGTCGTGACTACAGAGTTCTTACATTGCTCTTTTCACAGAAACATTCATTAGTTTCCTACAATGATGTATTATGTGGGAATGTTTACCACCAAAGCAAGGCCAGTAAAGGATATATTTTTAGTTGGGAGAACGGATGACTTTGGTTTCTTGGACTCATACCTAATATGCACGCAATCTATCAGTATAGCTCTTCTGGCAGACTTGGGAGAAGGTTCATGTGAGCTCTGGACAGGAATGAGGAGTTGGTTATGACAAAAACACAGATTGCAATAATCTGTCCCAGGAGATCTGCAGAGGATCCTTGGCTGGGGGATTTTCTTTTTTTAGTAACTTTCTATGGCATTAATTTCCATGAGAGACATTTACTGGAGGTCTGTGTACCAATTAGAGTGCTGGTGGCTGTAATAGAAACTCAACATGACTAAAACAACAACAAAATATCCCATTGAACAGGAAGGCCAGAATTAAGATGGGTCTTGAGCATGGAACTGAGAGATATGGCTGTTTTCTGTGATTCTCTTACCTTTTTTCTTCTTGTATGTTATGGCATTTTAATTTTTTTTCTCTAATTGATCCCTTCAAGGTCCATACAATCTTCTATGGACATGGGGGATGGAGGGAGGGATTGAGAGAGAGAGAGTGAAACAGAGAGAAGAGAGAGAAGAGGAAGAGAGGGAAGGAAGAAGAGAGAGAGCAGGAGATAGAGAGAAAGAGAGGAAGAAGAAGAGGAAGAAGGAGAAGAAAGAAGGAGGAGGAGGGGGAGGAGAAAGAAGGAGAAGGAAGAGGAGGAAGAGGAGTAAGAGGAGCTGGAGGAGCAGGTGTCAGAAGGAGGAATAAGAATGAGGAGGAGGAGGAGGAGGAAGAGAAGGAGGGGGAGAGAGGTAGAAGAAGAAAAGAGGAGAAAGGAAGGAGGGGCAGCCAGGAGATAGAGAAACCTTTGCCTTAAGCAGACTGACAGAGCTTACTTAGGTCACATGCCCACTCTAGAGATGGGATAATGTCATGTGCCATTTGGCTTAAAATAATCATAATCTGAGGACAGTACTGGAGTGGATACCTTAATTAATCTGGAGTTGTGTGGGTGCAGATATGGGTAAACAACACCAGTGATAGCCACAGTCTAACAAGATTCTCTGCTGCCTGAGGGTTCTCCAGGTCCTCAGGGTCCCTGGAGACACTTGGAGGTTGTTGTCTATGTCTGCAGATGGCAGAGGTGGAGATAAGGAGAGTGGAGCATTTCTTATGCATGTGTGTGTGTATTTACTTCTAATGTAACATGTAATATGATATACATGTTAATATACATAGTACTTTTAGGTACAGCAAGGAATATACCAGTCCCTCAGGGTGACCAAGTTACCCCTCATAATTGAATTATAAAGGAAATTCCCTCATGGGGTTTTACATGCAAAATACATTCAAATTTATCACTGAATGACAGAGCACAATTTCTAATAAGATCCTTACATTCTGCAAAAGCAGTGATATATTTCATTAGACTGCTTGATGTCCTGTCTCTTGATAATTTCCTGGTATATGAGATGAAAGCCTAGCTTAGAGATGGTGATTTTGGCTAGGGCAGAGTCGGTGAGGCCCAGGCACAGCCCTATTGGGATGGTAGGTTAGGGTTAAAGTTGGAAGTCCATGTAAGCTTTTGATCAAACATTTTTGTCCAAGTCTGCTCACAATAGAGGACACAGTATTTATATATGGTATGGCTTTAAGAAGCTGAAGAGGGGGAGGAGCCAAGATGGCCAAATAGGAACAGCTCTGGTCTACAGCTCCCAGCCTGAGCTACGCAGAAGACGGGTGATTTCTGCATTTCCATCTGAGGTACCGGGTTCATCTCACTAGGGAGTGCCAGACAGTGGGCGCAGGTCAGTGGGTGCGTGCACTGTGCGTGAGCCAAAGCAGGGCGAGGCATTGCCTCACTCCAGAAGCACAAGGGGTCAGGGAGTTCCCTTTCCTAGTCAAAGAAAGGGGTGACAGATGGCACCTGGAAAATCGGGTCACTCCCACCCGAATACTGCGCTTTTCCAACGGGCTTAAAAAACGGCACACCAGGAGATTATATCCCGCACCTGGCTCAGAGGGTCCTACGCCCACGGAGTCTCGCTGATTGCTAGCACAGCAGTCTGAGATCAAGCTGCAAGGTGGCAGCAAGGCTGGGGAAGGGGCACCCGCCATTGCCCAGGCTTGCTTAGGTAAACAAAGCAGCTGGGAAGCTCGAGCTTTGTGGAGCCCACCACAGCTCAAGGAGGCCTGCCTGCCTCTGTAGGCTCCACCTCTGGGGGCAGGGCACAGACAAACAAAAAGACAGCAGTAACCTCTGCAGACTTAAATGTCCCTGTCTAACAGCTTTGGCGAGAGCAGTGGTTCTCCCAGCACGCAGCTGGAGATCTGAGAACGGGCAGACTGCCTCCTCAAGTGGGTCCCTGACCCCTGTCCCCTGACCCCCGAGCAGCCTAACTGGGAGGCACCCTCCAGCAGGGGCACACTGACACCTCACACTGCAGGGTACTCCAACAGACCTGCAGCTGAGGGTCCTTTCTGTTAGAAGGAAAACTAACAAACAGAAAGGACATCCACACCAAAAACCCATCTGTACATCACCATCATCAAAGACCAAAAGTAGATAAAACCACAAAGATGGGGAAAAAACAGAACAGAAAAACAGGAAACTCTAAAAAGCAGAGCACCTCTCCTCCTCCAAAGGAATGCAGTTCCTCACCAGCAACGGAACAAAGCTGGACGGAGAATGACTTTGACGAGCTGAGAGAAGAAGGCTTCAGACAATCAAGTTACTCCGAGCTACGGGAGGACGTTCAAACCAAAGGCAAAGAAGTTGAAAACTTTGAAAAAAAATTAGAAGAATGTATAACTAGAATAACCAATACAGAGAAGTGCTTAAAGGAGCTGATGGAGCTGAAAACCAAGGCTTGAGAACTACGTGAAGAATGCAGAAGCCTTAGGAGCCGATGCGATCAACTGGAAGAAAGGGTATCAGTGATGGAAGATGAAATGAATGAAATGAAGCAAGAAGGAAAGTTTAGAGAAAAAAGAATAAAAAAGAAATAAAATACTTTACAGACAAGCAAATGCTGAGAGATTTTGTCACCACCAGGCTTGCCCTAAAAGAGCTCCTGAAGGAAGCGCTAAACATGGAAAGGAACAACCAGTACTAGCCGCTGCAAAATCATGCCAAAATGTAAAGACCATCAAGACTAGGAAGAAACTGCATCAACTAACGAGCAAAATAACCAGCTATCATCACAATGACAGGATCAAATTCACACAAAACAATATTAACTTTAAATGTAAATGGACTAAGTGCTCCAATTAAAAGACACAGACTGGCAAATTGGATAAAGAGTCAAGACCCATCAGTGTGCTGTATTCAGGAAACCCATCTCACATGCAGAGACACACATAGGCTCAAAATGAAAGGATGGAGGAAGATCTACCAAGCAAATGGAAAACAAAAAAAAGGCAGGGGTTGCAATCCTAGTCTCTGATAAAACAGACTTTAAACCAACAAAGATCAAAAGAGACAAAGAAGGCCATTACATAATGACAAAGGGATCAATTCAACAAGAAGAGCTAACTATCCTAAATATATATGCACCCAATACGGGAGCACCCAGATTCATAAAGCAAATCCTGAGTCACCTACAAGGAGACTTAGACTCCCACACATTAATTATGGGAGACTTTAACACCCCACTGTCAACATTAGACAGATCAATGAGACAGAAAGTCAACAAGGATACCCAGGAATTGAACTCAGCTCTGCACCAAGCGGACCTAATAGACATCTACAGAACTCTCCACCCCAAATCAACAGAATATACATTTTTTTCAGCACCACACCACACCTATTCCAAAATAGACCACATAGTTGGAAGTAAAGCTCTCCTCAGCAAATGTAAAAGAACAGAAATTATAACAAACTATCTCTCAGACCACAGTGCAATCAAACTAGAACTCAGGATTAAGAATCTCACTCAAAACCGCTCAACTACATGGAAACTGAACAACCTGCTCCTGAATGACTACTGGGTACATAACGAAATGAAAGCAGAAATAAAGATGTTCTTTGAAACCAATGAGAACAAAGACAAAACATACCAGAATCTCTGGGACGCATTCAATGCAGTGTGTAGAGGGAAATTTGTAGCACTAAATGCCCACAAGAGAAAGCAGGAAGGATCCAAAATTGACACCCTAACATCACAATTAAAAGAACTAGAAAAGCAAGAGCAAACACATTCAAAAGCTAGCAGAAGGCAAGAAATAACTAAAGTCAGAGCAGAACTGAAGGAAATAGAGACACAAAAAACCCTTCAAAAAATTAATGAATCCAGGAGCTGGTTTTTTGAAAAGACCAACAAAATTGATAAACCGCTAGCAAGACTAATAAAGAAAAAAAGAGAGAAGAATCAAATAGAGCAATAAAAAATGACAAACGGGATATCACCATCGATCCCACAGAAATACAAACTACCATCAGAGAATACTACAAACACCTCTACGCAAATAAACTAGAAAATCTAGAAGAAATGGATAAATTCCTCGACACATACACTCTCCCAAGACTAAACCAGGAAGAAGTTGAATCTCTGAATAGACCAATAACAGGATCTGAAATTGTGGCAATAATCAATAGCTTACCAACCAAAAAGAGTCCAGGACCAGAAGGATTCACAGCCGAATTCTACCAGAGGTACAAGGAGGAACTGGTACCATTCCTTCTGAAACTATTCCAATCAACAGAAAAAGAGGGAATCCTCCCTAACTCATTTTATGAGGCCAGCATCATTCTGATACCAAAGCCGGGCAGAGACACAACCAAAAAAGAGAATTTTAGACCAATATCCTTGATGAACATTGATGCAAAAATCCTCAATAAAATACTGGCAAAACGAATCCAGCAGCACATCCAAAAGCTTATCCACCATGACCAAGTGGGCTTCATCCCTGGGATGCAAGGCTGGTTCAATATATGCAAATCAATAAATGTAATCCAGCATATAAACAGAACCAAAGACAAAAATCACATGATTATCTCAATAGATGCAGAAAAGGTCTTTGACAAAATTCAACAACGCTTCATGCTAAAAACTCTCAATAAATTAGGTATTGATGGGACATATTTCACAATAATAAGAGCTATCTAGGACAAACCCACAGCCAATATCATACTGAATGGGCAAAAACTGGAAGCATTCCCTTTGAAAACTGGCACAAGACAGGGATGCCCACTCTCACCACTCCTATTCAACATAGTGTTGGAAGTTCTGGCCAGGGCAGTTAGGCAGGAGAAGAAAATAAAGGGTATTCAATTAGGAAAAGAGGAACTCAAATTGTCCCTGTTTGCAGACGACATGATTGTATATCTAGAAAACCCCATTGTCTCAGCCCAAAATCTCCTTAAGCTGATAAGCAACTTCAGCAAAGTCTCAGAATACAAAATCAATGTACAAAAATCACAAGCATTCTTATACACCAACAACAGACAAACAGAGAGCCAAATCATGAGTGAACTCCCATTCACAATTGCTTCAAAGAGAATAAAATACCTAGGAATCCAACTTACAAGGGATGTGAAGGACCTCTTCAAGGAGAACTACAAACCACTGCTCAAGGAAATAAAAGAGGATGTAAACAAATGGAAGAACATTCCATGCTCATGGGTAGGAAGAATCAATATCGTGAAAATGGCCATACTGCCCAAGGTAATTTACAGATTCAATGCCATCCCCATCAAGCTACCAATGACTTCCTTCACAGAATTGGAAAAAACTACTTTCAAGTTCATATGGAACCACAAAGGAGCCCGCATCGCCAAGTCAATCCTAAGCCAAAAGAACAAAGCTGGAGGCATCACACTACCTGACTTCAAACTATACTACAAGGCTACAGTAACCAAAACAGCATGGTACTGATACCAAAACAGAGATATAGATCAATGGAACAGAACAGAGTCCTCAGAAATAACGCTGCTTATCTATAACTATCTGATCTTTGACAAACCTGAGAAAAACAAGCAATGGGGAAAGGATTCCCTATTTAATAAATGGTGCTGGGAAAACTGGCTAGCCATATGTAGAAAGCTGAAACTGGATCCCTTCCTTACACCTTAAACAAAAATCAATTCAAGGTGGATTAAAGACTTAAACGTTAGACCTAAAACCATAAAAACCCTAGAAGAAAACCTAGGCATTACCATTCAGGACATAGGCATGGGCAAGGACTTCATGGCTAAAACACCAAAAGCAATGGCAACAAAAGACAAAATTGACAAATGGGATCTAATTAAACTAAAGAGCTTCTGCACAGCAAAAGAAACTACCATTAGAGTGAACAGGCAACCTACAACATGGGAGAAAATTTTCGCAACCTACTCATCTGACAAAGGGCTAATATCCAGAATCTACAATGAACTCAAACAAATTTACAAGAAAAAAACAAACAACCCCATCAAAAAGTGGGCGAAGGAGATGAACAGACACTTCTTAAAAGAAGACATTTATGCAGCCAAAAGACAGATGGAAAAATGCTCACCATCACTGGCCATCAGAGAAATGCAAATCAAAACCACAATGAGATACCATCTCACACCAGTTAGAATGGCAATCATTAAAAAGTCAGGAAACAACAAGTGCTGGAGAGGATGTGGAGAAATAGGAACACTTTTACACTGTTGGTGGGACTGTAAACTAGTTCAACCCTTGTGGAAGACAGTGTGGCGATTCCTCAGGGATATAGAACTAGAAAAACCATTTGACCCAGCCATCCCATTACTGGGTATATACCCAAAGGACTATAAATCATGCTGCTATAAAGACACATGCACACGTATGCTTATTGTGGCATTATTCACAATAGCAAAGACTTGGAACCAACCCAAATATCCAACAATGATAGACTGGATTAAGAAAATGTGGCACATATACACCATGGAATACTATGCAGCCATAAAAAATGATGAGTTCATGTCCTTTGTAGGGACATGGATGAAATTGGAAGTCATCATTCTCAGTAAACTATCGCAAGAACAAAAAACCAAACACCGCATATTCTCACTCATAGGTGGGAATTGAACAATGAGAACACATGGACACAGGAAGGGGAACATCACACTCTGGGGACTGTTGTGGGGTGGGGGGAGGGGGGAGGGATAGCATTGGGAGATATACCTAATGCTAGATGATGAGTTAGTGGGTGCAGTGCACCAGCATGGCACATGTATACTTATGTAACTAACCTGCACATTGTGCACATGTACCCTAAATCTTAAAGTACAATAATAAATAAATAAATAATTAAATAAAAAAGAAGCTGAAGAGATGGGTAAATCTGAGGGAGTAGCACACACTTCCTTTGAAATCTTGTATTTCAAGTTCAAAATTCCCATACACTTTACATTCTTCTCCTTAATAGACCTCTGCATGTTTTAATATAAAAATAAAGTTTTCCCATAAATCTCTGAGTAAAATAGATGGTTTGGGAAAATGTACCATGCCTCATTCTGTGGTTTAATGGAGTTCCAGCACATGGAGGGATTCTCTTGTCAGTTTCCCCATAATTGTGTCATTCTAGGATTACTGTTACTAGTTTGTTCATAGTTATGCAACACTACTACTTTTTCTGAAATTTGATATCTTTGAAATAGACTAAATTTTAAAACCAAATACATTTTTCGTTTCTTTTTTTCTTTCTTTCTTTTTGAGATGAGGTCTTGCTCTGTTGCCAGGCTGGAGTGCAGTGGCGTGATCTTGGCTTACTGCAAAAGCCACCTCCTGGGTTCAAGTGATGCTCCTGCCTCAGCCTCCTGAGTAGCTTGGACTACAGTCGTGTGCCATTACACCCAGCTAGTTTTTGTACTTTTAGTAGAGACGGGGTTTCACTACATTGGCCAGGATGGTCTTGATCTCCTGACCTCGTGATCCACCCGCCTTGGCCTCCCAAAGTGCTGGGATTGTAGGCGCCCGGTCACAGTTTTCATTTTCATACTAAGCTGTAGTATCCATGAAATGTTAAATTCCAGATCATGTTCAATTTCTTGTATTCGTTAAAATGAACATAAAATATCACAACTGGAGGGTACCAACAGGGACCTATGTTTTCCTTTGGGAAATGCTTCATTTCCCAGTTTGAGAAGTGCAGAATCACAGCGATAGTTCTCAAACTTTACTGTGCATAGGAATCACCGAGGGAGCTCATACATTCCATGTTCCTGGGCCCTAACCTCAGGAGGTTTGATTCAGGAGGTCTTAGGTGGGCCTAGAAATCTGCATTTTTAAACAATTACTCCAGATGACTGTGATGCTGGTGGGTTCTGGGAAAAATATGAAGAACGTTTTCCTAGGAGAAAAGATAGATGGCTTGTCTTTTAAATGATCTTTCATAAATCTCTCAGGTTTTAAACAGAAGCTAAATAATCAACAATTTAACACCAACAGAAATATAGTTAACATTTCTTGGACAACCATCATGTGTCAAACACTGTGCTCATGAATTTATGTTAACTCATTTGTTGCCTTATTCAATCCTCACACCAGCCCTATATGGTGGGCTATGGTAAATACTATATATGGTAAATACATATACTATAAATATTATATATAAGGTATATACTATTATTTTACCTGTTATACAGATGAGAAAACCAAGGTTCAGAGAAGTGCTCCAGGTCACACAACTAATAAGCGGTAATGTGGAATCCTAGCTCAAATCTGCTCACCTGAGTACTGGTCTCCCAGTGGGGGCTTTCCATTTCATGGATGAAAGAAACTATGTGCTTTGATGACCCAGTGACTAGGTAGCAAAATTGACATGTGATCATTGAAACCGTGGATCTAAAGCAGGAGTCAACAAACTTTTTCTGTAAAGGGCAAGATAATAAATATTTTTGACTTCGTGGGCCATTCAGTCTCCATTGCAACTGCTCAACTCTGCCCTTGTGGTGAAAGTAGCAATAGACAATACAGAAATGGATGGACATGGCTCTGTTTCAATAAAACTTTGTTTATAGAAACAGTAGTTTCCAACCCTGGATTTGAGTTTTCTGGCTTTCAGAATAAAGAGAAGCTTGTGGCAAACACTCCATCCCTTTCCTTTACTTCCTTCTTTGCATCTATGGCTCTGGTCATTCCACAGCTACCTTCCTTCTGGGACATTACACATGAACTCCCCACTCTGTGCCTTTGCTTGAGTTCTCCCAGTTACCTTCACCAATCCATACGTCCTTCTCTCAAAGTTCAGTGCATGTCTCACTTCCTCCCCAAAGGCTTTCTCCTCCTGGCTTTCCCTTGAGCTTCCCCCTGCAAACACAGCCACATGAGAGGTATTCTAAAAGCAGATCTGATGTGGCTTTCCCTGGTTAGCACCCTTCAGTAGCTTCCCATGACTTTCAGGATAAAATCTGAGTTCCTTTACTGCAAGCCCTCACCAACTCTGCTGATGTTTGCAGATGGGGACCTAGTGCCCCAGTAATACCAAAGTGCTTTGAGCACACACTGTGTTCAGGCCGTGGGTTCATCACTTGGATAGCCCTGACTGGGGTGTCAACTTGTACCACTCATGTGGGCAAGAATGTAACTCTCCTTTCTCTATATTATTCAGGAGCCCCCCATTTCTTTATTTTTAATTATCTCAGAAATCCCTGTTTCTGCTCATGGTGAAAAAAATAACTCTTGTCATTTCATGGCAAGCCGGTCACTTCTGGATTTCAGCACAGTCGATTCAGAATGTCAGCTTGGCCCATTTAAGACTCCATTTTCTACCCTCTCCTCCAAGGTGATCTAAGCTGCCAGGGAGTGATGTTTCTCCCAGGCATTGAGGAGGGCACCTGCTGGCTTCGGGCCTTTCTGGTGGCTGACTTCTTATTGTGGAGGCAGCATCTGCTGCTGTGACCTGTGATCATGCTCTTGTTCTGCGATTTCCGGGTCTACACATGACATATCTTTCCCCTCTCTCCAGTTGGTTAGACCTGTACCTCCTTTAGGGCAGGAAAGCTATTCGGTCATTATTCATTCTTCCCTACCCTGAAGTTTATGGTATAAAGTCTATGCTCTGCATTAATCATTTTTCTTTACGTATGTAAAGGTAAGCTTTTGAAATTTTCTCAGACACAACCAGCCAACCAAATCCTCAAAAGTTTTCTCCCTAGAAAAGTGGCTTTTCAAATCTGAGAATTTGACTCTGTTCTAAATGCTGCTTTTTCCCCATGAAGCTCATGCATGTAGTAGTCTCTTGCTCCTGTCTGAGATCTTTCAAAATATTACTGCTCAGCATTTAGTAAGTCACTTCTTCCATGAGGCCCACCCTTATCTCCCCAGTTGGTGGTGGTAGGTGGTCCTCTTCTGTGCTACTGTTAAAGCCTTATGCATTATTTCTATCATTGTAACCTGTATCCTAATTGTCCATTTACTTGACATCTCCCAAGAGAGTATGGTCATCTTGAAAATGAAGGTCATGCTTTTTAATTCGTTATATTTCCAGGGCTTAATGCAGGTCCCTGCACAGTGTAGCTGGTAAAAAATACATATATATATATAAAAATATATAATATATAAAAATATATATATTATATATTTATATATTAATATATATATTATGTATATAAATATATAATATGTATATAAATATATATTATATGTATGTAAATATATATAATATATATAAATATATATTATATGTATATATATATATTATATATGTAAATATATATATATAGTTTGTTGATTGAATAACCCACACAGCCTCTCCTGCAATTCACTTCAGTGACCATCTGGTTAGTATCTACGGCATTGTTAACTAGCTTTTAAGGCTGTGTTTTATCTTTTCAGCTAATCATAAAGTCCTTGAAGTCACCGGCAATGCTATATAATGTTAGTTTATTTTTTAATTCTCCTACAATACTCTGTGCAGGACTAGGTATACAAAAATATTTGTTTAGTCGATGATTAAAATTACTCCTCTCTTTTTAAAAGAAAACAAATACGTGCAATTTACAATAACATTCTAATTGGGTTCTTCAGGTAGGTCATGTTGACTTTGCTGCATCATTTATCCTCATTGGTGTTTTAGTTATTAGATATTTGTCAACTCTCCCAGACTTATGACTGTGTTTATTTTAAGGCACTCTGTTCAGCACCTCCAGCAGTGGTTTGTGCTAAAGGGAAATTTAATAAACATTGAACGATGATCAGATATTGGCTCTTTTCCACCAAATAAGCTCTCTAATCATTCCCTGTCCTGTCCTGTGAACTTGCTTAGATTACAAAGGATGTGCTATGCATTGCACAGTATGTCCCCCTCATCTTAAATTTAGCCATGGAAATATAGCATTAAGGAATTATGCTAATTGGCTGAGGCACATTGAGCTAGTTACTTCCATTATTCGGAACTTAGTTTCCCCATTTGTAAATAAAGTAGGAAAGACAGTGTGATCTTGGGGTTCTCTCCCTGTTGTATAAAACTCTGTCCATCCAATCCAGGTACCTGGAGAAGGGAATTGAGCACAGGCACAGACAACAAGAGACAACAGGAAATGCTGCCTTACCAAGCCAGCTGCTTCATACGGAAAACAATTCAGAGTCTAAAATTGACTCAGCAGCAACACGGGGATGAAGAAAAGCTATGGGTTTGGGGGAAATAACATCTAGAGCTTACTGGATGCATTTTCCTAAAGGCCAATTGAAGTTCTTTTTCTTAGATACAGAAAGTGTTGATTTTTATGCCAAGTACTAGACACTTTCACATAAGTAACCCTTACAACAATCTGAAGATAATCTTTCTTTCTTTCTTTTCTGAGACGGAGTTTTGCTCTTGTCACCCAGGCCGGAGTGCAATGGTGCCATCTCGGCTCACTACAACCTCTGCTTCCAGGGTTCAAGTGATTCTCCTACCTCAGCCTCCCGAGTAGCTGGGATTACAGGGGCCGATACCATGCCCAGCTAATTTTGTATGTTTAGTAGAGACGGGGTTTCACCATGTTAACCAGCCTGGTCTCGAACTCCTGACTTCAGGCGATCCACCTGTCTCAGCCTCCCAAAACTGCTGGGATTACAGGTGTGAGCCACCATCCCCAGGCTGATAATTTTTATTTATCATTCTTTTTTAAGAAAAAAACAAAAAAAAATGATTCATTGAGATTAAATAATGTGCACAAAGGCAGACAGCTAGAATATGGCAGATCCAGGATTGAAACTCTGAATTCGTGCATGCTTGTTCCCCTCTGCTTTGCAATACCCAGTACTGATAATAGTCCTCTATCTTTATTTAGACAACAGTGTGATATTAGTGCATGTCATTAGAAGTGGCTGGGAGCATTGTTAAAGCTTTGGGCCACAAGAGTACTGTTCAGTGCAATGAAGCAAATATCTTTTCATACAAATAATTTATTTGTACCAAAGTTTTCCACTTGAACACCCGAAGTGAATTGGACTAATGTACTATTTTATACTAATGAGGTGGTTGGAAATTGATGTATTTAGAGCTTATGAAATTTCAGACTGGCTTTCAAACCCTTTATTTATTTCCTGGTGGACTTCAAGTAAAATGTAACCTAAATGATTCTTATTCATTTACATGTTTATGCTCATGAAATATATTTGGATGAATTATTTAATGCCCACTGCTTAAGATCCTTTTCTTAAAGGCCATTTGAAGTCCCTTTTCTTTGAAACAGAACATGTTGATTTTGATGTCAAGGGTAAATGAATTTGAACCATAGACAAGTTTGCAATTTAGGATGAAGCCTTGAACTTTGTAAGCTCCAGTTGGCATCCAACCTTGGCAAATGCATTCTTTAACCTCTAAAGTAGTTATATTAGAGAAATCCAGAGGGAAAACAGGGCTTTAATGAAAATTGTCAACAAAATAGAAAAGAAAAAAAGAAAGCATATTTTAAAATCCAGAACTGGAGAGGTCCCTAACTACAAACAACTGAGGCATAAAACTCAAGAAGGCTTCAAACAGCTTCAATCTGCTAGTGAATCTGTTCTTTGATAGCATGTAAAATCTAGGCTGAGAAGTGTGTGCTGAAGGGTTTCAGTACACTAATTCCAACTAATTCCAAGATTGGTTTTGCAAAAGAACCTGACTGGCATTCTAAAAAGAAATGGCAGGGAAGGGAAGAAGAAGAAAGAAAGAGAAGACAGAGTCAGAGACAGAGAGAGAGATGAAGAGATAGAGATACAGAGACGATGGGAGGGGGTGGAGAGAAATTGAGAGAGAGAGAGCAGGACCGAGAGCAAAAGAGAGAGAGAGAAAGAAGGGGAGGGAGAGATCTTTGTTTAGAGACCGAAGATTTAGGTTTGAATCTTAGTTCTGTTATTAACATTTATAAGATTTCACGCAGATCACTGAAAGCAATTTGAACTTCAGTTTTCTTACATATATAGTGGGAAGAAAGACATCAGACTTTACACTGTAGGATCAATTGAGATGGTGAATGTGAACAATTCTGCAGATGTAAAGATGATGCAAATGTGGACATCGTTAACCCCTCCTCCCCTACTGGTAGGTCAACACACAATCCTCACCTGTTTCCATCCCCTCTCTGAAATTTCCTGTGTTGCTCCTCTGAGGCAAATCTTTCCAAGTGTGCTCTAAATCTGATGCCTAGATCTCATCCTCTTCCACTGGTTTTCACTCTGTTGTTTACTTCTGCCTTTCTGCATTCCCTCAATTTGTCATTTATTTTTGGATTCTTCCTGGGAGTCTTCAAACATCTCTTGACTCTCTAGTTGCTCTCTAGGTACCACCCAAGTCTCTTCTTCATTTCATTTTCAGGATTCTTGTAAGATATGTCTACACAAGCTGTCTCCACTTATTTACCTCCAAAGCTCTTCACCCATTTCAGTGTGGATCCCACCACTTCCCACATCTCTATCCCTCCCCATTTTAACAGACCAAATGGATTCCATAGTGCAGAAACTGGTGTAACTTTCTAGTTTCATATAATGAAGCTGTTTTCACATTGAATATTCTTTCCTTCTTGAAATACTATCTTATTGGGGCTTCTGTGACTTCAGTCTCTCCAGGTGTTCTTGCTAGCTGCCTGGAAGCCCCTTCTGAGCCTTTTTTGATGGTTCATTTTCCTCCTCACAATCTCGGTATCTTGGAATATCTCGAGGAACAGTCCTAGGCCTTTTCTCTTCTTGGTCCACACTCTCCTCTAGCAGTCCCATTTACTTACTTGACATCAAAAACCCTTATTATACCAAAATTCCCCAGTTCAGTCTGCATCATCCAGCCTCTCCCTTGTCTTGTATCTAGGCTCAGATTTCAATAGTATCTCAGCAGCTCTACTTAAATATCTTCCAGACAACTCAAAATGAACATGTTCAAAACAGAAGTTATGTTTTTTTCCTCCACATATGCTTCTGTCTAAGGCCTCCCCAGCTCAGTAAATGACTGCTTGCTTATGTCTGAAAGCTGGGAGTTATTCCTGATACCTCCTTATCCCTTATTCCTCACACTAAATTGAATACCAAGTCCTATTAATTCATCTTCCAAAGCACCTTTGTGTTTGCTCACTTCTGTTTAGGTTCATTTATGTCACTAGTCCAAATCACCATCATTTCTCACCTGGACTATGGTGCTCCTTTCCAAGCTGTATTTTCCACTTGTAATTCTGTTGTCTTTGATTCTGTTCTTCAAACAGCAATAAGAGTGATATTCAGAAAATTCAAAGTGGTTATACCATTCCTAAGTTTTAAATCCTTCATTTGGGTTTCCAATGGCACTTTCTATAAAATCCAACATTTTTATTACAGTCTGCAAGACCCTCCATGATCTGAGCTTTGCCCCTCTTCCCCAATCTCATCTAATTCATCACTGACCCTCTTATTCATTGCCAATCATTTTTGCCAGAATGTTCTGGAGTTTAACATTTCTTTGTGTTACAAAAGCCAGACAACTATGAAGAATTCAGAGTTGTGATGCCAGAAACACAGATGTCCTTTTGTTTGTGTCAGAGCCATTTGAACCAGAGTGACTCCATCTTGAAAGGGGGCTGGGTAAAATAAGGCTGAGACCTACTGGGCTGCATTCCCAGGAGTTTAGGCATTCTCAGTTGCAGGATGAGATAGGAGGTTGGTACAAGATACAGGTCCCAAAGACCCTGCTGATAAAGCAGGATGCAGTAAAGAAGCTGGACAAGACCTGTTAAAACCAAGATGGTGATTAAAGTGACCTCTGATTATCCTCACTGCTCATTATACTTTAATTATAATGCATTAGCATGCTAAAAGACACTCCTACCAGCACCATGACAGTTTACAAATGCCATGGCAATATCCGGATGTTACCCTATAGGGGTAAAAAGGGGACTCTAAAAAGGGGAGGAAACCTCAGTTCTGGGAAATCTCCACCCCTTTCCCAGAAAACTCGTGAATAACCATATAATTTAGAAATAACCACATAATTTAGAAATAACTATATATCTATTATATATAACTATATATATTAATAACTATATATAATAACCATATGATATAATAACTATATAATAACCATATAACCATATAATTTAGAAATAACTATATATAGTTATATATAATATATAATATATAACTTTATATTAATAAATATATATAACTGTATATAACTATTATATATGTAGTTATTATATATAGTTTTATATATAATATATTATATTATATAATATTATATATTATATTATATAATATAATATATATTATATTATATTATAATATATAAAATATAATATTATATAATATAATAGATTATATATTATATTATAATATTATATATTATATATATTATAATATATTATATATAATTATATGTATAATATTATATATTATATAATATATAATATTATATATAATATATAACATATATATAACTATATATAGTTATTATATATAATATATATTCTTTCTTGTGCAAAGTCCAAGAACCCTCCCTTGGAGTCTTGAGACCGCTTTCCAGTAACACTTGTGCTTTTTGTAGACAATATTATTTTATATGGTTCCTAAGGGAATATTGGGGAGAAAGGAGACCATTTAGAAAAATATGAACAAATAAGAAGTCCAAGGGCTTCCTTTCTTTTGTGCTAGAATAATAGCGCTGAAAGGGAGCTCAGAGGTCATCTAATTCAACCTCTTCCTTTGGAAGATGAGGTGACAGTGGTTCAGGGAAGAAAAATGATTTCTTAAGATCACAGATCTTGCCAGTTTACCTGTAATGTAAGTAGTTTTTTTCTTAGGTATAATTGTGGGTAGACCAAATTTACCTTCCTTGTACTAAAATGATCTTTTGCTCTTCAAATGTTCCTCTGCACTATGATGGAAAGGAACTCTGTCATCTGTGTGTTCCTACAAATAAGTTTAAGGAAAGACACTGTAAAAATGGCTACTTAGAGTTTAATCTTTATTCTTCAAGGAGAATAATATAATCTTTCTTTCTCTTAAGAAACTTCAGGCATAAAAGAAGGCAGACATTTTTACGTTGAAGGCATCCAGAAGCTTTTACCTCTCGTATTTAAAATCTAGTCATTGAGAGTATCCACTTGCCAAGCTCTTTGTGCATGCAAAGAACGAGGCTAGCTTTTCTCTAAGCCTCAATTTCCCCATATGTGGAACAGAGATAATATTCATACTATAGTGTGTTTATGTCACAAAGTTGTGGTGAAAATAGGTAAGAAAACGTATTTAATAGCATCAAGCATTCTGTACATGCTCACTTCCTTTTTTGCCTATTTTGCTTTCTTTCATCCTTGGACAAATTATATAGCTGATTTCATCTCCTCGCTGTAACTGAGGGGGCTGAGAGATGTATATAGGTGCATATATTCACCCCCACACATATAATTATGGTGTAGAAACATACATACTCTTAAATGTTCTCCTTTGTAGCACTTATTGCAGTTGTAAACATTTATTTAAACATTTGCCTAATGCCTAACTTTCTATCTGAACTCTAAGCTTCATGTGAATAAGGACCATTCTTGCTCTGTTCGCTGTTGTATGTGAGTACCTGCAGATTGTTAAAAATTAATCTTACATCTATTTTTTGCATGTTAGTTTAAGTGCCAAACATTTTTCTAGGCCATGGGTGTCTGGCAGTTTACAGAAAACAAATCTCTGGCTATAGCGCTTTGTTCTAGTGGAGGAAACAGATGATCATACATTACTGCTTCTCCATTTACTTGCTGTGTGATTTCAGGAAAATTACACGACCTATCTGTGCCATAGTTTTCTTATCTGCAAAATAAGAGATCATCATCCATAGGTTTCTCACGTTTTTTAGCTCCTGTGAACAGCTGTTATTCTGGGCCAGCTTTTTAGGTATATATATATGTATATATATTTATTTATATATTTATAATTATATTAAATATACATATAGTTATTATATGTATGTGTATATATATATATATATAAAGTAAAAAAATTACTTAAAAAATATATTTTTTGAGACAGAGTCTCACTCTGCTGCCTAGGCTGAGTGCAGTGGTGTGATCACTGCTCACTGGCAGCCCTGACCTCACTGGTTCAAGCAATCCTCCTGCCTCAGCCACTTAAGGAGCTGAGACTGCAGGTGTACACCACCACACCCAGCAAATTTTTGTATTTTTTTGTAGAGACAGGGTTTCACCATGTTGCCTAGGCTAGTCTTGAACTCCTGGGCTCAAACAATCTGCCCTCCTCAGCCAATCAGTGTTGAGAATACAGGCATGAACCACCATGCCTGGCCTTTAAAGTATATTTGTATAGCACATAGCCTTGGAAGGTATAGCACAGGGGTGTCCAGTTTTTGGTTTCCCTGGATCATATTGGAAGAAGAAGAATTGTCTTGGGCCACACATGAAATACACTAACATTAACTATAGCTGATGAGCTAAAAAAAATTGCAAAAAATCTCGTAATATTTTAAGAAAATTTATAAAATGTGTTAGGCCACATTCAAAGCTGTCCTGGGCCACATGCAGCCCTGTGGGCTGTGGGTTGGATGAGTTTAGTATAGCGTCTCCCTCCATGGACAGGGCAGATCTATTTCCTGACCAATATAATAAAAATAATGTCTTCCTCTGAGACAAAGGTTGAGCAGGTTTGCCAGTGGCCTGGTTATAAGATTAGGGGTTTCCTAGGGTCAGATTCCTTGGCTGTGACACAAGTCCAAAGTGTGTGCAGTGTCTACACAGGCCCACCTCCATTGTCTGTGTGGAAATTGGGTGGAGCAAAGGGAACTGATATGAACATGAAGTTCATGCCGTCTGCTGTGCCATGAGTAATAACATCTTTGCTTCTGACCCGGGAGTCTCATATCTTCTGCCAGCATCTGTGTGTGGCAGCTTGACTTATTAGCTGGCAAGCAGGGGAAAATATCAGATCCTTCACAATTTTATTTATATTTATGTATTTATTTTTTAAATGTATTAAATTTATTAATGCTAAGCTTATTAAATTAATATAAATTATGGAGTACAAGTGTAATTTTGTTACCTGGGTAGATGGCATAGTGGTCAAGTCAGGGCTTTCAGCGTATCCAGCATCTGAATAACATACATGGTACCCATGAAGTAATTTCTCATCATCTACCCTCTTCCCACCCCCACACCCTTCTGAGTCTCCATTGTCTATCACTCCATACCCTATGTCCGTGTGTACACACACTTATAAGCGAGAATAGGCCTTATTTATCTTTCTGTGTCTGATTTGTTTCACTTAAGATAATGGCCTCCAGTTCCATCTATGTTGCTATAAAAGACATTATTTAACTTAAAAACTGGCTGAATATAGTATTCTATTGTGTATATAAACTACGTTTTCTTTATCTAATCATCCATTGATGACCACTTAGGTTGATGTCATATCTTTGCCTTGTCCTTCACAATTTTTGATGATAACATAGTTCCTACTTCACAGTGTTGTTGTGAGGATTAAATAAAAGAATGCCCTTGTGCTTGCTGCTACTTTGTCTGGTATCCTTGTCTCGCCTCCCAACATATACATTCTGATCCTGCATTCACATGATAGTTACTTGCTCATTCACTCACCAACTTTAGGTTTCTCCTCAGGTAGTACCTTCTTAGTGAGGTCTATCTCAACATCCCTGTTTAAAATGACAGCTTCCCCCTATTAGCCAGGGTTCAACGAGAGAAACAGAAGCAGTAGGAAACACATATTAAGAGATTTACTGCAGGAAATTGGCTTATGCAATTGTGGAAGCTGGCTAGGCATGATAAATATCCATAGGGCAGGTCCATGGGGAAGGGTGGGCTGGAACCCTCAGGTATGAGCTGACACTGCAGCCCACAGATGGAATTTCTTCCTCAGGGAAGCCTCAGCTCTACTGGTAAAACCTTTCAACTGCTTGAATCAGGCTCACCCAGACCATCTAGGATCATCTTCCTTACTTAAAGCCAACTGATTATGGACTTTAATCACATCTACAAAATACCTTCATAGTAACACCTAGGTTAATGATTGATGGAATTATAGAGGACTGAAGCCCTGACAGGTTGACCCATCAAAAGACCAGAAACCACAATACTGGCTGTTTTCTTCATCTGTTTATTTTTGTCACCACAGCTATCAGCCTCTAATTTACTATTTTAACTTATTTTTCCAGTTGTCTGTCTCCTCTACTAAAAGGTACATCCCATGAAAAGAGGGATTTTTGACTGTTCACTGTTATCTTATTTGCCTATACATTGTGTATATGGGAAATAGCCTACACCATGCTATTATTGATCAATAGCAGTAGATGGACAATAAATACATGCTAAATTATTGAATGAATGAAGACCACATGCTCAGAAAAGGGCCTGATTCATTATAATTGTACACTAAACGGTATAATAAATGTGCAAATGATACCATCCACTTTGTATTTATGCATCTCAATATTTTTTTCACACTTTCCTTCTTTGATCCTCGACACCTTTTCAAGGGTGCTAAATCCAGTAGCCTTTGCTAGATCCAGGTCCCATGGAACTCCCCTGCCTGCCCCAGTCTCTAGCCTCACTTGTGGTCCACTCAAATGCATCAAATGTTTCTGCTGGCCTGAATTTCTTTAAATCCTTAAGTTCTTTTTGCTGCACCTTCTACCTCTCTTCTCTTGTACAAGCTGTTCTCTCAGCCGTGAATGCTTTCTCCCACCTCGTATTCACCTGGCTCAGTTTTATTCTTCTTTTAATACTCAGTTGAGGTGTTGATTCCTGTTCAAGGTCCTTTCTGATCCCCAAGACGGGTGCCTCCTTTTGTGCCTCCCTGGTGTTCTGCCCTCAGTCTGTCCTAACACCTAGCCAATTCCTACGCTCCATTATATTTGGCTTTTTCACACATTCCACACTAAAATTCTTGAGGACAAGATCATGTCATTTATTTCTGTATCTCCAGAATATAGTATGACTTTGGGCACAGAGAGATGCACAATACATTTTGGACAAACGCGTAGTTGAAGGAGGGCACCCAAATGACACAGAAACAGCTACTTTGCTCAGCAAGGGCAGTGCCTCTCAACTCTCACCTTGCATTAGAATCCCGGGGGACAGTTTTAAACATATAGTGCCTGGGCCTGAACTCCCCAAATTCTGATTCAGCTGGTCTAGCATGAGGCTTGAGTGTTGGTATTTTTTTTTTAATGGAAACTCTACAAATGAGTTTGATGTGCAGCCAAGGCTAAGAAACACAACCTCTGGGATAGCTCTGAGCTAAGTTTCTATTTTATTTGCTCCCTGTCTGGCCAGAGGAACAGAGTTGCCCCTTTCCCTTTAATTTGAGAGCAGTTTTTTTCTCTGGGGAAGCTTTGTACCTGGAATCCTTGCTCAGTGCTCAAAGTTAATGGTGCACCTGTGTTTATGGCCTTGAGCAGCCTGGCCAGGGAAGAATTTGCATTTTTACTGCATTTGTATCATTTGTTGAAAAGGATGTATTATGTGATCACAGGCAGATGCTTTGAAGGTAATACAAATGATTCGGAATTTGTCATTGAAACTCACATTGTTTTTTGGGAATGAGAAGGAGGTTGTAGCTGGGTGGTGGGCTGTGGAGGTTGTTTAAGCGAGATCAGCCTGTCAGGGCACCTGAATTTCTTCCTTGTTAACTACCTTAATCTACACATGGTGGTTAAGAGCGAGTACTCTGGAGTCAAATGCCTGAGTTTGGGTCCAAGCTGAGACGTTTAACAACTTACTAGCCTTGTAATTTCTTTGTGCCTCAGTTTCCTCAACTGTCCCATAAGGCCATAGTGCTACTGCATACAATTTTGAGGATTAAATTGTATGGTGTATATAAATTACCGGGCACATAGTAGGTGTCCCAAGACAAAGTTGTTATTGCTGTCATCTCCCCCATGCCTTCCTCTTCACCCCTGGTCCCCAGCCTCAGGTGACGTCTGTACAATCACTCACCTGTACGGTTGCAATAGCTTCCTAATGGGACTTCTTGCCTCCACCTGCCTCAAATCCATCCAGCACACGACCTGCATTTCTGTCTTTTGGGCACTTTGTTTTTAACAATTTATTCACTTATTCAGTCATCTTTGATGGCTCTCTCTTGCCTGTTGCATTAGCCCCAAGTTCTCCAGTTACCTTTCCTGAGCCGTCCTGTCCTTTAGCTGCTTAAGGATATTTAGTGCTATTCATGCCCACCTGCTCCACCTTCACCACATTCCCATTGGGTGGAATGGCTTTTATTTTTTCTCTATGAGGTGCTTTAAACTTTCCAGTCTCCCTACCTTTGCTAGTCTTTTTCCATGTAATTACGTAAATCCAAACTACATAATGCTGGTCTTATCTCCTCCAATTAACTTCATCCTTTGACTTCAGCCACACTACTGTGTCTTCTATAAAGGACACATTTCTTTAGGGTTTGCTAATTTATTTTCGGAGCAATCCCCCAATTCCAGTGGCTGAACCCTTGTTCTCAACCCTGTCACAATGCAATATAGGTCTCTATCTAAGAGTGTGGATCTGCTATGATGCAGCTGTGATTAAAAGACCCACACTTCGTCCCTAGAGCGGACCTGCCATTTCCCAGGGCCTTTGGGAATCGATGGGATTCTCTGCACTGATCAGAGGCAAAAGAAGAGGAAAGATTGCTTAGGGGCTGGCCAGGCTTAAATGAGGCATATGTCACATCCCTTCACATTTCTCTGTCCAAACTCAGTGTCATGGCTCCACTTAATAAAGATGGAGGCTGGGAAATGTAGTCTGTCTTTGTGTGCCGAGGCAAAGGTAATGGAGATGGCAAACATACCATGTTCTCTCTGCCACATTCACTGCAGTACAGTTTAACAGTTGACATTTCTAGTTTCTCGAAAAATGGACTTTCAGTTTTTCTAGGTTGTACTTATTTGAGATGCTTTTTTCAAACACAGAATTCACTGGTCGTTTTTTCTTCTGAGCAATATTGGCAAGAAGTGAGACGTGATCAGCGTTTCTTTGTGTTGCTTTTCACAGTGACCTTGATTGGCATTCTCTAAGGACACAGACATACTGTTTTAAGCCATGGCTGAAAGTACATTCTGACACAAGAGAGGGTGATGAGAGAGAAGTAAAAAGACAGAGTGAATAAAGAACTTTATAATTTATCAAGGTGTGAATACCCAAATCTTTTCTGAATATTTTTCTTCAAAAAAAGTATCACAGGTGACTTGTGGATGTGGCTTTCTTTCTGGCCAGTGGGAGAACACATCAGGGGAGAGTTCTGTAGTTTGCTTTGTGCCCTTGACAGAGATATGTTAAAGTCCTTACCCCTAGTACCACGAAGGTGACATTATTTGGAAATAGGGCCTTTGCAGATGTAATCAAGTTGATATGAGGTCATAGTGGATCAGGGCAGGCTGGAATGCAATGGCTGGTGTGCTACTCAGATGAGGGAGGTTTGGACACAGACACTCAGAAGAGCACCATGAAAAAGCACAGAGGCACAGACACATAGAGAAGACAGCCATGTGATGACGAAGGCAGAGATTGGGGTGATGCTTCTAGAAGACAAAGAATGTCAAGGATTGCTGGGCAACCACCAGAGGCCAGAAAGAGGCAAGAAGGATTCTTCCCTAGAGATTTCAGAGAGAGGGCAGCCCTGCTGACACTTTGATTTTGGACTTCTGTTTTTGGATATGCTGTTTATTTTTCAGGTTATCCAAAGTTATATTGATTCTTTTTGTTGTTGTTGTAAATTTGAAGAAGGAGCATCTTTTGTGAATTCATGCAGAGATGTGGTATGGGCTAGCAGTGGCCTGGATATGAGCCTTAACATTCAGCCTGGAGTAAATATTGTGGTTTGCTTGGTAAGAAAGAAGATTTAATAAGATTCCAACTAATTTTCCTATTACTGATCCTCACTGTTCTGGTCACTGTGTCAAATTCTGACCTTATCCTTGAGGATATTCCCATCTCATGGGGTGACAGACAAGTCATGGGCTGCTAAACCATGTGTGCTCAGGGCTGGATAGCAGCAAGCACAGAGCAGTCACTGTGTGAACACAAACAGGAGCATCTCACACTCAGCACCAGCGAGGTGGGGAAGGGTTGGTCAAGGAAGGCTTCCTGGAGGAGGTGGCTGCTCTGCCGTCACTCCCAGCTTTTTCTGAAGGTAAATGTTGTGCAAATATTTAAAAAGTTGCAACCCTCAGAGTGCTCACATACTTGAGACCAGTCCTTTTGGGATGCTTGAGAAAGTGTGGAGCTTTACTGATCATGCCTTTGTATTCTGTATTTTTGATGGTTTGACAACTTGAGGCCTTGCTAACGTTGGTGGGATTGCACCTCCCTGGACTAGCTAATTCCTAGTGGTTACTAAAAACTGGTTCTGAGCATGTCTTTCATATGCAAACCAACAAATCCAGAGCCCATACCCCTAGCACCTCCTTTACAGAGATTTTATACTTCAGGCCACTATTTCCCTTATCGCCTTAGGGCCAGGTACCAGTAAGATAGGGGCACCCTCCATGCCCTAGAACCTGCTAAAATTATGCACACTAGCCAGTCCTAATGCTTACCCTGTCTCACCCATTTCTCTGGAAACCACAACAAAGGCTCTTGCCCCCAGTTCCCCTTCTCCCCTCTGCCCAGGGGTCAGACCCTGCTGCTTCCCTGCATGGCCTTGCATAGAGTGGCATGAGAACTGTGAGAGGACTTCTTCCTTCATGACAGTCATTTCTCTGCCTGTGTGTCTTACCATACCTGATTAAAACAGTCCCGGGTACCCATTGAAAAAAGACCTGATTAAAGGGTTTAGGGAACTGTTTGGATTTCAGAAAGGATGGAGCCTGAAGGGAGAGAGGGATGTGGTGAGTAAGAAGGCTGCAGAAATGAGCAGCGCTCACATCCTGGGGAATATGGCAGGGATGAAAGAAGACAGCCAGAGACAACCCAGCACCGGGCAGCTCCACTGACAGAAGCCTTGGCTGGGGAACCAGAAACCTATGCTGTTCATCAGCCCTCTGTCGAGTCGTGACCACCGTAAGTTATCTGAATTTCCCTACAGGAGGCAGCAAAGGCCCTTGTGCATCCCTCTTGTGGCAGTAATAAAGGTGGTTGGAGGCTGAGAGCCAGAGTCCCTGTCCTAAGCAGGTTTTCAGGGAGATAACTGGGAGAGAGTGTGGAGTCCAACAGTACAGTTTTGGGAAAGAAAACAGGCCAAGTCCCTGGAGAATAACAGAAAGCCAGTTTGGGCCTCAAAAGTAGCTCTGGCAGCCTTATCAGTCAAAAGGCTTCTCGGAGAAAGCATTTCCAGGGCCCTACCTGTGCTGCCACAGTGGCAACCTGCCCTCCCGTGGGCTCAGCCCTTCCAAGCTCTGATGAAAGGACTGGCCTGGAACACCTTTAATCAATTCCCCTTTATCTCTTCCTGAGGGAGGATAATCCTCTGTTTTGCAGTCTCTTTCCATCCAGCATGTAGCATCTATTGATTTTTATAGCTGTTTTTGCCAGTCAGTATGGGTGCTGAAGGAGAAAGACCTGCAGGTCTGAAGTTCTGAACTTGAGGAAGGAGTTCAGACTCTTGAAAGTAACCACTCTTTTTCTTCTTCTTCTTCTTTTTTTTTTTTTAAAGTGCCAGATCCTATGGGATATAGTACACAGGTCCTCTTTGAGGAATGCACAGTTATTCTGGTTTAATCGTTTTATTCCTTTCACATCATCACCAAAACAAAACTCTCTTCCTGATTATTTGTTCATGAGAATACATAGTGGCACAATGTTACATCCAATACCATCTTACTTATGTGTTCTTAGGCACAGACATTACAGCAACAAAAGGTCAAATCATAGCATCTCAGATTTGGAATAATCATTAGGTAGGTACTTGTGGCTCATAAAACACTTTCTCCTTTGTTATGTAGTACAATTCTTACATGGAATCAGTGTTTTATGGATTAGGAATTTGAGCCATAGAGAGAAGGTCATTTATTCTATCAGAAAATATCCACTGAGCATCCTCTTTGGGACCAGTATTATTCTAGGTGCTGGGGATCTGGTGTAACCAGAAGACAGGAACTCCCTGCCTTCCTGGAACGTATTCATAAGTAAGGCATTCTGGAAACTGACTTGTACTCAAGTTTCCTGTGATAAGTGCAACAAGAATGATTTCTGAGGCTGTTTAGAGTGAAGCTTTGCCACTCCATAGCTGTGTAATCTTGGTCAAATTACTGAACTCACTTGAATCTCTGTTTAAGATACAGAAAATGACTGTACCTGACTCAAGGGGTTGCTGAGAAGTTAAGGGATTATGGAGGTCAAATACCTGGCCCACAGCAAGGACTCGATAAAGGACAATTGTTATCACTGCGCATGAACAGCTGTAAAGGCTTGGAATTAGAAGTCATTTCTTCCCACTGGATGACAGGAGCAGAGAAACCTTCTCAGAGGAGGTTACCTTGACTTGGGCATTACAGGACAGGCCTCTATTCTTGGGAAATGATCTTTTTCTATCTGTTAGAAAAATACTTGATTGAGACCCATTTAACAAGTCTTTTGTGTAAAGACATTACTTTCCCATTAGAAAAGTTTTATTCTGGAACTTGTGAGTTCATGTCAACATATTGAAAGTGAGAGTCATAAAAAGGCAGCTGAGTGACAGGATGCAGAAATGCAACCAATATGAAATTCAGTTCAGTTCTTTTACAAACCTTCCCCTACAGTAACAAAGAGTGGGCTCTGTAGTCAGGCAGAAAGACTGCATTGGACCCTGGTTCCTCCATGTATTAGATGTGTGCCTCAAATAAGTGCAGTAAACCCTGTGGGTCTCAGTCCTTCATCTATGAGTTAGGAAGAACATTTCCTACATCTTGGGGATAATGCTTATAAAGCACTTAACATGATGCCTGGCTAATGAAGGACAGCTGAAAACATAAAATTAATGCACCCAAGACTGGTTTCTTCTTGCATAATTGCTTTGGTTAGTGGCACATTGTGGGGAGAAAGAGCCCTGTGTCCAGTCCTGGGCTTGTCCCTAACTCAGCAATGGCCATAGGCCAGTCGATTGCCCATTCTTTCTTTCCATTTTCTCCTCTGTAAAATGAATATTGGCACCAAACCTGGGTGCTTAGACCTTTTCTGTAGCCCAGAGGAGGTCCTAGAAGCTGCTCCAGGTGTTTTCATTGTTCCAAAAAGCCTTCTGGATACCTTATGGGTAGGCTAAATAAAAGTACACAGGCTAGGAAAAATGATTTTTGTTGTATCATTCCTTTGTTTAAAATTCTCCAAGGCTCTCCATTTTTCTTGGGGGTAAAGGCCAGTGTCTTTCCAACACCATACATGGTCTTGCACCATCTTTTTTTTTCCTCAGCCCCACTACCTTTGTGGATCATCTGAGACTGTCCTAGGATTTTGCCCAGTCTGCACTAAGTGACTGTTTCTCAGATACTCTGGGCATGCTTTGGTTTTCCAGCCTTTGCTTAGAATGCTTACCTTAGAATGATATTGTATGAATGACTCTTACCTCCTTTAACTAGCACCCCATGAATCCTATTGATATGGTTTGGCTCTGTGTCCCCACCCAAATCTTATCTTGAATTGTACTCCCATAATTCCCATGTGTTGTGGGAGGGACCCAGTTGGAGATAATTTGAATCATGGGGATAGTTCCCCCATACTGTTCTCATGGTAGTGAATAAGTCTTATGAGATCTGATGGTTTTAACAGGGGTTTCTGCTTTTGCATCTTCCTGATTTTCTCCTGCCACCACCATGTAAAAAGTGCCTTTTGCCTCCCATCATGATTCTGAGTCCTCCCCAGTCATGTGGAACTACAAGTCCAATTAAACCTCTTTTTTCTTCCCAGTCTCATGTGCGTCTTTATCAGCAACATGAAAACAGACTAATATAGTAAATTGGTACCAGGAGTGGGGGTGTTGCAGAAAAGATACCTGAAAATGTGGAAGCAACTTTGGAACTGGGTAACAGGCAGAGGTTGGGACAGTTTGGAGGGCTCAGAAGAACACAGGAAAATGTGGAAAAGTTTGTAACTTTCTAGAGACTTGTTGAATGGCTTTGACCAAAAGCCTGATAGCAATATGGAAAATAAGGTCCAGGCTGAGGTGGTCTCAGATGGAGATGAGGCACTTGTTGGTAACTGGAGCAAAGGTGACTCTTGCTATGTTTTAGCAAATAGACTGGCAGCATTTTGCCCCTGATGTAGAGATTTGTGGAAATTTGAACTTGAGAGAGATGATTTAGAGTATCTGGTGGAAGAAATTTCTAAACAGCAAGGCATTCAAGAGGTGACTTGGGTGCTGTTAAAAGCATTCAACTTTTTAAGGGAAGCAGAGCATAAAAGTTTAGAAAATTTGCAGCCTGAAAATATGATAGAAAAGAAAAACCGATTTTCTGAGAAGAAATTCAAGCCAGCTGCAGAAATTTGCATAAGTAATGAGGAGCCAAATGTTAATCCCCTAGACAATGGGAAAAATGTCTCCAGGGCATGTCAGAGGTCTTCATGGCAGCCCTTCCCATGACAGGCCAGGACATCTATGAGAAAATGGTTTCATGGGCCTGGCCCAGGGTCCCCATGCTGTGTGCACCTAGGGACTTGGTGCCCTATGTCCCACCCACTCCAGCTATGGCTGAAAGGGGTCAACATGGAGCTCGGGCCGTGGTTTCAAAGGGTGCAAGCCCCAAGGTTTGAGAGCTTCCACATGGTGTTCAATCTGCAAGTCCACAGAAGTCAAGAAGCAGGGTTTAGGAACCTCCTCCTAGATTTCAGAAGATGTATGAACATGCCCGGATGCTCAGGCAGAAGTTTGCTGCAGGGGTAGGGTCCTAATGGAGAACCTCTGCTAGGGCAGTGCAGATGGGAAATGTGGGGTCAGAGCCCCCACACAGAGTCCCTACTGGGGCACTACCTAGGAGAGCTGTGAGAAGAGGGCCACCATCTTCCAGACCCCAGAATGGTAGATCCACTGACAGCTTGTACTGTTTGCCTGGAAAAGCCACAGACACTCATGCCAGCCTATGAAAGCAGCTGGAAGGGAGACTGTATCCTGCAAAGCCCCGGGGGCAGAGCTGCCCAAGACCATGGGAACCCACCTCTTGCATCAGCATGACCTGGATGTAAGACCTGGAGTCAAAGGAGATCATTTTGGAGCTTTAAAATTTGTCTGCCCCACTGGACTTTGGACTCAAATGGGCCCTGTAACCACTTGGTTTTGGCCAGTTTCTTCCATTTGGAATGGCTGTATTTATACAAATCCTTTATCTCCATTGTATCTAGGAAGTAACTAGCTTGCTTTTGATTTTACAGGCTCATAGGTGGAAGGGACTTGCCTTGTCTCAGATGAGACTTTGGACTATGAACTTTTGGATTAATGCTGAAATGAGTTAAGACTTTGAGGGACTGTTGGGAAGGCATAATTGGTTTTGAAATGTGAGGACATGAGATTTGGAGGGGCCAGGGGCAGAATTATATGGTTTGGCTCTGTGTTGCCACCAAAATCTCATCTTGATTTGTACTCCCTTAATTCCCATGTGTTGTGGGAGGGACCCAGTGGGAGAGAATTTGAAGCATGGGGGTGGTTTCCCCCATACTGTTCTCATGGTAGTGAATAAGTCTCATGAGATCTGATGGTTTTATCAGGGGTTTCCGCTTTTGTATCTTCCTCATTTTCTCTTGCCACCACCATGTAAGAAGTGGCTTTCACCTCCTGCTATGATTCTGAGGCCTCCCCAGCCATGTGGAACTGTAAGTCCAATTAAACCTCTTTTTCTTCCCAGTCTCGGGTACATCTTTATCAGCAGTGTGAAAATGGACTAATACACCTATGCTCAGTACTCTTAAATTACAGCCTCCCTTCCCCACATTCATCACCACTATCCCCTGACATCTCATGACTCCCTCTCTTACCTTGCATTGCATTTTCCAGTAGCACTAATCATGACATGATATACAATGTAATTTGCTTTTTCTTGGTAAATTTTGTTTTGACTTTATGTTTAAACTAGAATTAATGCTACACGAGGACCTAGAATTTTGTTCACTGTTGTATCCCAAGTATGGCAAACAATGCCTGGGTCATAGCAGGTATTTACTGTATTCATGATTATTGAGTGAACGGAGACACTTTGGCTGGAAGTCTATTAACTCAGTAAAAGCACATGGGTTATTTCTTGAAAGAAATTCCTATTGGAAATTCTAAATACAAAAATGGGGAAACAAAGTATTTCTTAATAAATATAGTTTGCTTAACATGAACACAAAAGATTGCTAGACACAATCTTTCAAAGGAATATAGGTGAATATTAGTGAAGTCATAGACTCTTGATGGTGAATGTTGTAAACGAAAATATCTTCTAAGAGTCCACTAGATAACTAAAATTTCTTTCCCTTTTTTTTTTTTTTTTTTTTTTTTTTGAGACTGAGTCTCGCTCTGTCACCCAGACTGAAAGGCTGAAGTGCAGTGGCATGATCTCAGCTCACTGCAACCTCTGCCTCCTGGGTTCAAGCAATTCTCCTGCCCCATCCTCCTGAATAGCTGGGATTACAGGCATGCACCACGATGGCCATCTAATTTTTGTATTTTTAGTAGAGACAGAGTTTCACCATGCTGGCCAGGCTGGTCTCGAACTCCTGACCTCAGGTGATCTGCCCACCTCGGCCTCTCAAAGTGCTGGGATTACAGGTGTGAGCCACCATGTCTGGCCTGAAATTTCTTAAAAGTGTGTGAATGTGAGTTGTGGGGACTGTCAAGGGGAAGTCAGAATTGTGCTTTCTGAGCAGAGACCATCATATTGAACCCAGTGTCATAGTAGGTACTCAGTAAATCTTTATGGATCTGTTTTGAAATGAGTTTAGATAAAAATACTGTCTCATTTTTTTAAGCAAGACTGGGAACTTAAGGAGAAATATTTTTATTATTTTATTAAGTGAAATAAACCAAGGAGACACAATATTTTATGCCCTGATTATCTCTCTTCATCAACTTGCCCTTTGTTACCATGGGGAAACTAGAGGCAATAATTAAAGAATTAAACCTCCTTTATTCACTTATGCAGTGCACACTATCACATGCCATTTGATGTTTATTTTCCCGATGAAGGGAGTTTAACTTATTTATTTTTCTTCTCTTGGGGCCTAGTTGTCTGACCCACGGAAGCCTCCAGGTTTGGCTGGAAATGGCCTCCATTTTCACTCTCCTATGGACTCACTCACCTATGGGCAGGTAAAGAAATGTGCCGGGTGATTTAATGAAATCAAATCTTCATCCACCTTGGCTAGCAATAGATGGAGAAGCTCCCCATGGTTAGCAGGGAGTTCTTTCTTATCCCTGAGACACACTTTCTCTTTGCATCCAACAAAGCTGGTTCCAGAGACTGCAGATCTTATTTTCACACAAGTGTCCAAGGTGAACCTAAATCCACTCCTTTATTCCCCATGGTACAACCAAGGCATGAAAGAATGATTAACAGGGCTCCCAGATAACAGAAGCGAATTAACTCTAGAGGGTACCACTTGACATTTTATTGTATGGGATACCTGCTACCTAACAGTAGTCTCAATTTTCCTACAACCTATCTCCCTACCCTGCCCTAAGTCTAAAAGCTATCTTGAGTCAAGGGCCAGTTTTCTGCCACCTTCTTTTTCAATATGTTCAGATGCATTAAAATCTTAACTAAAGAGAGTGGGCTCAGAGAATGATGACCATTCCTTGGTCCTGCCCATCTAATCCTTGCCTTACAAGGCTGGGTTTTCTATAACAGAACCTGCCTCTTCCTTGATGTCTAAAACTGGGAAAAGTCAGACCCTTTAGAATGGACAAAGTTTTTCTTCTCCCAAGGATGTAAACTTAGTTTACAGCTCTGACTAGCAAGCCCTCCTGAGCAGAGTGTGACACACTCCCACCCTCATACGATACCTCTCTGTGCCTCAATTTCTCATAAGCAAAATGAAGATATACTGGTACCTCTTCGGTTTTAAGTACTAAATATAAATGACTTTTAAAAAGTACCAAGCACATAGTAAATGCCATTTAAATTCTAACTGCCATTGTATCTTTAGGCTCAAACACAAGTAACCCTAATATAAGCTGGGGCTTTATATGAGGCAGTATTTTGGGGGAGTTATATTCAAAGCAGCACAGACTGACAACCCAAACATAGCTTAAGATAACTCAGATTTTTACTCTTGATCTTGAGAAGCATCCAGGAAGAGGAAATTTGTTATAATCACAAGAAGAGAACCTATGATTGCCAAATGTGTTCTGGGTCTGATCATGGGGTATTGGATACATGGCAGCAAGTCCAGGGCTGAACTGAAGGTGTGTGTACTGGTAGAGAACATAGAAAGCAGGTGCAGTGACAGAATGGACAATACATCTTGTAGTAAAGTGAAAACAGTAGTAATAGCTAACATTCATTCAATGATCACTAAGTTCTAGGCACTGCACTAAGATATTTATATACACTGATCTCATTTAATATTCACAACATTACAATGAGGTAGGCATTATTAATACCTCTATACTTCTACTGTGCCTGTTTTATAAGTAAGGAAGCTGAAGATCAGAGAGGTTAACTTACTAAACTGAGGCCACACAGCTTCTAAGTGGCATGGCTGGAAACTTCCAAAAAAAATATATCTGTCTGATTCAAGAACCCAATCATCCTATTAAGAGTCAGGCATTGTAAAATGAATTAGATGCCAAACTCAAAGAGCTGAAGCTGACAGGTGGTTAGAAATGGGAAGTATTAGTCCAAGTGGAGCACTATAGTTTAAATATGTTTCCCAAATTTCTTGTGTTGGAAACTCAATTCCCAAATCCGTATGTCAGTTGGAGATGGGGTCTTTGCAAGGTAATTAGGATTAGATAAAGTTGTCAGGGTGGAGCCTCCACTATGAGAACAACAGCTTCATAAGAGAGGGAGAGAGACCTGAGCTGGCATGTGTGCTCTTGCCCTCTCGCCATGTGATACCCTCTGCCATGTTATGACACAGCAAGAAGGCTCTCACCAGATGCCAGCATCATGCTCTTGGAACTCCCAGCCTCCAGAACTGTGAGATGAATAAAATTCCTTTCTTTATAAGTTACCTAATCTGTGATATTCTGTTACAGCAACAGAAAATGGGCTAAGACATGGAGCAAGGGGCAGAACGACTCTTGAAGATGCTGAGCAACTTCTGGTATGTTTGCTTATTTTATACACACTTTGCCATTCTCTTGGGATATGAATTTTTATGCTTAAAGCAACAATACTACATGCAATGCTGGGGAAAATATCTTGTAAGTTATGGTGCATGTCTTGTTTGTTTCATCCTTCATTCTACAATGAATACAGAATGTGCTACCACTGAATCATGTACTGTGACTACAGATTTAAAGAAACTCTGTTACCAAGGACCTGAGTCCAGGGGAGGAAAACAACATTTATTATACAATGAAATGAGAGATAAAACATAGTTCACGATGAGAAGGAAGCCTTGGTCTGCCTCTGGGAGTGAGGTAGGCTTCCTGGAGGAGGTAACCCTTGAGGACAGCTCTGGAAAAAGGAGCAGGAATTTGTCAAGTGCATAAGGGATGTGGAGGAAGGCATTCCAGGCACAGAAAATTGCCCTTCCTGTCTGAATTCCACATCGTTCTTGCCTGTGTTAAAATGCTCAGGTATTTGCTAAACATGCTTCTTACCAGAGGCAATGCTGCTTTTTTAAAGGACATAATTAATTAGGTCTCAGGATATTGGTAATCAGGAAGAGTGTAGCATTGATGATATTTTCCTCAGACTTCCAGCACGCATGCTAGCTACGTGCCCCTCCCTCACTGGCTTCAGCCTGTGCCCAGAGGCAGTTTGACCCTCACATTTTCCTGTCTTGCTTTTGGCCTTGAGAATCCAGGTGTCAGTAGGTGCCTTTGCCTCTGTTTGATGGAGCTGTGTTTTGCCTCCTTTCCAGTTGGTGCCCTCCTTGGCTCTGGCAGGTGTCCAAGCCCTGTTGTTCTCCCTGCACGGGGCGGCTAAGCAATGCTTTGTAAATTATGCACCAGTCCCACAATGTTTGGGGAGCCTGTGGAACCCTTTTGTCTACATGGAGGTAAATTATTTAGCAAAGGCAATTTAAATGATTCAGAGGGGATGGCGTGAAGTCTGGCTGTGGAACAGCTTGTCTGTGGAAATGTAACTGACCCTGGCGTGCGGAGGACTCAGCTCCAAAGCAGAGCCGAGCACATTTTACCTGCTCCCTAGATCCTGTAGGTTCCATGCCCTGCCTGTCTCCAGACACTGTCCCACGTTAATAATCATTATAATTTAAAAGTCTATGATCTCATTTGGTGCTTGTTTCGCGTCTGCAGCAGGGAGGTTTATAATAGTGTGGTCTGGGGAAGCAAGCTGGGTCTGGACAGGTTTTGTTATGAGTCCTGCTTTTCTAACCTGCGAGACCTCAGTTTCCTCTTCTGTAAATTAGGGATAATAAAAGCAACTTTTAATTGTTAACATCTCCATTTGACTATCTAATCTAAGGAATCTGGCCAAGACAAGCTCCTTAATATTCTGCCCCATGCTGTCCACAAACCTGCCCTAGGAATAGTGTCTCCATCTCAGTAAATGAGAACTTTTTACTCAGTTACTCAGGACCCAGCCCTGCACATCATATTTGATTCGCTTCTCTCCTGCAGCCTCCACAGTGAATCTCTTCACTGGTCCTGTCTGCCCTACTCCCAAACACATAGCCCGTGGGATCCTTCTCACCAGGTCTTCTGCAGCTCTCCAGCTGAAGCCTCTGTCAGTTCAGCTGTGCTGTTGAAAAGCCCCTTACTCATTCTCCTGCAGCTGCCTTTACTTCTCCAACCCTGTCTCATCCCCACCAAGCAATCAAGACCTTCTTTAAAAAATAAACAATAATAAATAAATTGGACGATATTCTTCCCTTCTTAACCCTCTGATGGCTGCTACTTACTCTTAAAATAGAATCCATGGCCTCTTTTAAAAAAAAATCACCTATGGGCCTTACATGACTGGGCTCCAGCACACCTCTCTCCACTTAACATTAACCCCACTGGCCTTGGGATTCTAGAACATCCCAAACATGTTCCCACATGAGGGCCTTTGCTCTCGTTGGCCCCTGAGGCTGGACTGGTCCTCCCCTGGCTTGGCTAGTTCCATTTCAATGTCCAGGCATCTGGGGAAATGTTACATCCTCACGGGACTTCCCTGACAATCTTGAAGAGTCACCTTCCTGTCACACTGTAGTGGTTTTATTTCCTTCATGCCACTTATCCCTACATTCAGTTCTGATATTGAGCTTCATGGTTTGTGCACCATCCCCTCCACTGGAAGACAGCTCCTTGCAGGATGGGCTTTTTTCAGTGTTATTCACCATGGTAGCCCCAGGTAGGGTCATTAGATAAAATACAGGACAACCAGTTAAACTTGAATTTCAGATAAACAACAATTATCTTTTTAATAAAAAAATATTGCACAGGGCATACTTATGCTAAAAAAAAAAAGATTTGTTGTCCCTGTATTTTTACTTACTAAATATGGCAACCCTAGTCCCTTCAGAACTGTCATCTCTGTTGAGGCTTTATAAATACTTGTTGAAAGAAAGAAAGAAATAGTGAGTGAGCAATGAGAGGTGATCATCACATAAAATCTGCAGACTGAATTGCCTTTATCTTTTTGCCTTCATATTCCTAGTGTCTTGTCAATGCTTGACATATGATCTTTTTCCCCTTCCTGTTATATTGTTAGTTTCATTTTGCAGTTGGATAAATAGGGTTAGAGAATAGGAGGCTTTTCCAGAGTTAAGCAGCTAGAGATAACATCATAAATATAGAAGAAAGTGGCTTCTGAAAGGTGTGTTAAATGTGTAAAAGCTTACTTCCCTTCTCCCATAAAAGAAGTTGGCGTAAAGGCAGTCTAGGCTTGGCATGGTGTTTCCGAGACCATGCTTCAATCTTTCTCCTCCAGAATCATCAGACCAGTTTCTAACCTCAAGTTTACTGCATGGTCCTACGATGTCTGCTGGAAAGCCTGTCATCACATTCACATTCCAGGCAGACAGCAGGCGCAAGTGGATGAGGACAAAGATCATTTATTCCCTCCCCTTTAAGACCCTCCTGAAAGTCAGTCACACATGACTTTTCCCACTTCATTGGCCAAAACTTTATCTCTTGACCACTCCTGGCTATAAAGCAGCTGGCAATGCCATCATTTCAGGGGTTTATATGTGCTGTTCTAAATACTGGGGTCTGTTCTTACGAGCAGAAAAGAATGAGAGAATGGATATTGGGAAGCAAGAGCAGCCTCTGCTCCAGCTAGAGAGGGGCAGAAAGACCCTGGTGTATCCTCAGACTGCTGTACCCTATGCCTGCTCACAGGACAGACAAGAGCCTTTTAAGGGTGAAGACAGGACTAGACCCCAGCCTCCTGGTCACATGACTCAGAGATCTCCCATATCCTTTTACCTTCTGTTGCATGGAGTGGAATGGGTCGGAGTTTGAGATGTGGATCTTTGTGTTAGTCTGAGACTTTTTCTGTGTGGGAGAGATTGTATCCTACACACAGTCTAGAAGACATTGGGGAGGCCCTGAAGCAATTACTATTGCTAGAAATAAAGTGTAGAGACAGAAGTGGGGATGGGATGGTACTAGAGAGTTAGGCACAAGTCGAGTGATGAGAGGTTGAGTCTGGTCTGCACAGGATCCTAATAGATCTTAACAGGCTGCAGCAATGGTCTAAGCATAATGAGGCAAAACTGAAACTGAACAGGAACAGAACATGTTACACCCGAGTCCAAAAGAAAACTAACAAGATGCACTGATGTGACTTAGTATCTTCAGGATAAAAATGACAGAAGCACTTCAGTAATATCAGCCATAATGTGTAAGGGAGTTATTTTGATCTCAGCCTGCAGGAGCAGAGAATTTCAACGAGGTGAGAGGCATGCTTTGCCATGCACAGGCTAGACCACACTTGTCATGCTGCATGTAGTTCTGAAAAGGACAGACCAAAGTTTTAAAAGGAGAGAAGCCAGGATGGGATTGAAGAATCCTCAGGTTGTATATTTAACATTTTTATCAGTCACTTAGGTCACGCCTGCTTACCAAATTTGTGGATTACTCTAATCTGACAGAGGTGGTAGATACAGTGACAGGCAGAATCAGTCAAATAGAACAATGAGCCAATGCCAGGCTATGAAATTGAAAACAGATCAAGGTATCTCACCCCCAAAAATGATAAGTATGTGAAGTAATGCATATGTTAATTAGCACTATTTAGCCATTTCAGAAAGCCTGCTTATTTCAAACAACATGCTGTACACAATAAATATATATAAGATCTGTGTCAACTAAAGAATTAAAATTAAAATTAAAAGTCAAAGAAAAAAAAAGAAAAAAGTTTGGAAGAGCAATCCATTGTTCAAGAAAGGGATGAGAGAGACCTGGTACAATGGCTGTTCTAACAAATCAGCACTTTAGTGGGCAGCAGGGCTCATCAAAGTACCAGTGTGTCTGTGTGTGTCCCAGGCTGGTGGATGGTGGGCTTCCAAGGAGCCTCCAGGCAGCACTGATATTCATGACTTCACCCAAGCCAGGATTTTGACCTTGGCTTTGTGGGTTTAGATTTTCAAAGTGTTTGAGTTTCCTGGACTTGGGGAGGCTGACTCTCACTAACAATGCTTTTAGGAGACTGCAGATGCCGAAAGTATTGATTTTCAGCATGAATTCTACTTGTTAGGTACCTTAAACCTGATCAGCATACATATGGTTCTTCTTCCATGTAAGAAAACCACATGAGGAACCAAATAATACCTCTAAGGAGTTTTGAGGAGGATGGAACTGAAAAGAGGGATGTGAGTAGTGTGACTCGAATGCTGTTAGAAGAGTCTGATGTGTCCTTCTTCCTCAGGTGAAAGTTCTCAGACTGAAAACATCTAGATAACCTCTAGCTATGCTAAGCCACAGGCACTTTTATAGGCCTAGAACCTATTTCGTGTCTTTAAGGTGACTTGACAGAGTGTGGTTTTGTCCTCTTATTTTTTGACATATTCTGCAACTCAGGAAACAGTCTTGTTTCCCTTTCTCTATAGCACTCGAGGTGCATCAGTCTGCTCCTCCCTTTGCCTCAAGGTCCCACAGTGGCAAGGGGAGAGGAGACCAGTCTGGGGGGTCTGCTTATTAAGCCTTCATTGCTGTCTACCCCAAGAAAACTCAGAGTCACTGTCTCCTAGGCACTTCTCAGGTAGAAAGAAATCTTTCCTTACCCTCCAAATCTGCTATCCTTCAGGGATGGATTCTCGGGTACCTTCGACCAGCTCCCTGCTCTGTTCCAGCTTCCTGGGCATAAAGGCAAATAATCCCAACGTGTTTGGCTTTGACTTTTTCTCATGGCCTCCTTTCCCAGTGGGTGGCCATATATATTCATTCACATGTCCAAGGGGATTCCTCCTTCCATCCCCCGTTTATTGATGTTCTTGTCACATCTCCCTTAGGAGCTTGTTGTGTCAGTCAAGGTCCCAGCAAGAAACAGATGGCACACTTACACTTGGATAATGTGAAATGAATTTAATAAAGGACTACTTACAAAGCTGGGAGCAGGGCTTAGGGAAACCACGAAGAATAGTCAAATGCCAGAGGACTATGAAATCTAGGTGCTATTGTAGGCCTGAAAGAGTGGAGAGAGGGGAAAGAGAGCCAGAAGACTGCGGGGGCTATGCGGAAGAAACATAGGATTCCTGGCTTTCAACAGAACTGGCCCATGGAAACCCCACGGCAATAGTAATAAATGCCACACCCTCACTCACTTCTCTCCTTCCAATCTCCTGCTGATGCACAACACTGGCCATGTGCAGTTGGTAGTCAGTGGTCAAGGGAGCCCAAGAGTGTGGTTCAGGTTCAGCTTCCCCAGGGAATAGCAGGGTGGACAAAGATAGAGAGTGGATTTGGATAGGCAAATAGAATAATCCAGTAAAAACACTGAAGGCTAGACTTTGTTGTTAATACCTGTATTTTTTGGTTTCCCATCCCACACATAGTAGGTTTGCAGCAGTTGACTTGGCCATGGATTTCTTTGGGTAAGGAGATGATCTTTGATCCCTGTATTCCAGGGCCTATCCCAGTACCCCCAAAAGATGCTCCATAAATGTTTATGAAATGACTAGTGAATGAATGAATGAATAAATGAAGTGAGCTCAGTGGGAATTTTCCCTTAATTTTGCTCACTGTTTCACTCCTTGGAAGTAGCCACTTCTCTGCTTCACTTGTAGGCCAGATCCAGTTATTAAATTTCTAAATTATCCTTCTGTCTATGGGGCTGACTCTCTAATGAGGTCTTGTAAGTCTTTGCTTCCATCCTCGGAGTCCAGACAAGGAGCTCTTGCCTCAGGCACAGCCTCTGTTCTCTGGGATGTCTCACCTTTTTAGCAGGGAAGCGTTCTGTGCCAGATGCTTAACTTGTGTCCTCCTACCAGGGAGATTCCATGAGGAACCTTCTCTGTTCACTTTAGGCAGATTGGATTGGCTTCTCCTTGCTGTACTTCTAGCTAGATTAACTGTTAAACAAATATCTATTACTTATCTGTCATATTCTAGGCACTGTGCTAGGACATGAGAATGTTCAAGTGGGTAAGATACAGTTTGACATAAGGGACAAAGTGCTGCAGTCCAGAAGGAGAGAAGACAAATAATAAATAATTATTTTACAGGGTAATACATGCTATGTTATTATGTTATTATTCTATAATAATTATGGGAGCACAATGGGTGAGGAGGGCACTGTGGGAGCCTGGGTGAGGAGCGCCAACCCACCCGGAGGCGCAAGGAAAGCTTTCTGGAGGAGTTAACACCTGATCTTGTAGGATGGGAAAGAGCAAGATATTAAAGATAAGTGATTCCAAGTCAAGTGGTGAGCAAGATCAAAATGACAGACACTTGACATAGCATGATGTGTGCAAGGAAACATGAACTAATCTGTATTATTAGTGATAACAGTTGAGGAATGGGGGGTGAGAGGCAGATGGAGGGGCAGGCAGGGTTTAGGGTGTGGAAGGCATGGTAAGCTGAGCTAGGGACTTTGTAGGACATTAACTAGAGTGAGGTGAATAAGGCCTATTTTAGGCACAAAATGTAAAAGGGCTTCAAGGTCTCAGTAACTAGGATAAGTAATATTAAATGCAATATTTTAAACAAAATTAATGCAAAAACCCACAGTGAAAAAAAAATAAAATTTTAAGATAAATAGTATTGAGTGAATTCTTATAATTTCATGTTGCTTCAGTATCCATTTTGAATATAACTTTAACTTTCTCATACCAGAAGCAGGCTTAGTCACCCTTGGTGCAGTATCCAGTTTTACAACTCCTCCTAGTTCCTTAAGGTGGTCAGTTCAGCTCTCTGGCTTATATAACTCGTGATAGTTACCTCTCCATGAGACAGCCAGATACAACTGACCTAATTAGCCCCACTGACCTCCACACCCCACATGGACTGTGCAGGTGTGCCACAGTGGCCACCTCTTAGTCACAGCGTGACCCCCATGAAACTAATGCCTGCTTGTACCACCAGTTAGACCTCCCCACAGGAAACCTGCTTGAGTAACTCCCAGGACCCAATAAAGAATTTGGCTTACAGGTCCCCTTCTCTCTCTCTTGCTCCCCACCTGCTGGCTGAATGCACGTGTCCTCAGTGGCTTCCCCCTTTCCAGTGACCCTGGGAGGCATACTGCCCCCTGCACTGTGGAATCTGTAAGTAATAAATATGTCTGTTATTTCATGCTCGGTGTTGTGCTGCCTCCTCCTGTGTCTCCCCTGACAGACAAACATGAGCCTAACTTCTTTCCTGGTCAGGGCTCTCCTATGGAGTGGCTATCTTGGTAGGAATAAACTAAACACAGCTTAGACAAGAGCCACAGGGACATCTGTGAATAAAAGCAAGTTTTCTGTATGGGGAACACCTGGCCATGGCCGGACACTTAGGCATTAGGCAGTCTACCAGGATAAAGATGTATCCCTTGAAAGGCATGCTGTAAACATCCAGAAACTGCCTTCCCTGGAGCCCTGTCGTCAGGGCAGGGCTAGAGTTTATAGCCACTCTCCAGGGAGAGACTTCAAGACCAAATTAGAAAGAATTTGTATCTTTAATATTTACAAAACACTATGTTACTGATTTTTTTCTTTTGCCTTGGGCATCAACATGGCTCAGCATAGCATTATTACTGAGTCTGTCTTTATTGCAATAAAATGTTACTTATCCCTTCAACAAATGGTGCTGGGACGACTGCATATCCACATGCAAAAGAATGAAATTGGATCCCTGCCTCATGCCATACACAAACATTAACTCAAGGTAGATCATAGACCTAAATGTAAGGGCTAAAACTGTTGAACTCATAGAAGGAAATGCCAGAGTAAAACGGTGTGGTCTAGGGTTTGGCAATGATTTCTTAGATATGACACTAAAACTGCAAGTGATGAAGGATAAGATTTTTAAGTTTTACTTTATCAAAATTAAAAATTGTGTGCCTCTAAGGATATCATTAAGAAAGTGAAAAACAACCTATCACCCTTCTGCTCTATTCTATAGCCATCTATTGCTCTTAAAATAAACTCCAGTCCTCCTGCCATGACCTCCCAGTCCTGCAGAGGACCTCTGCCAACCTCTCCAGCTCCATCTCATCTTTTCTCTCTCTGTTTCTTGCTCCACCAGCTCAGCCACTTGGGTCTCCTTTGCCAAGGAGTGTCCTCCCTCTGGAACTCAATACCAGCTCTTTCTTCTTCTGGAATCTTCTCTCAGCTCTTTTAAGGTTAGTTCTTGCTTTTTCGCATTTCATTACACTGTTACATTTTGTGAGACCTCTAAAGGGACCTTCCCTGCTTACAATCAATATCATCACTCAGTGCATTGGTTTTCTATTACTCCTGTAACAAAGTGATACTCACATGGTGGCTGAAAACAATGCAGACTTAGCTGGATGTGATGGCTCATGCCTGTAATCCCAGCAACATGGGAGGCTGAGGTGGGAGCTTCGTTTAAGGCCAGGAGTTCAACATCAACCTGGGCAACATAGAGAGACTCCATTTCTAAAAAACACAAATTAAAAAAAAAAAATAGCCAGAGTAGCTGAGGCAGGAGGATCTCTGGAGCCCAGAAGTTTGAGGCTTCAATGAGCCAGATCGTGCCAATGCATTCCAGCCTGGGTGACAGAGCAAGACCCTGACTCAGGAAACACACGCATGCACGCACACACACACACATACATTTACTGTCTTCAGTTCTGTATGTTAGAAATCCAACATATGTCTCAGTGGGCTAAAATCAAGGTGTTACAGGGCTGCATTACTTTTCATAAAGGACATTTCATTTCCTTGCCCTTCCCAGCTTCTAGAGGTTGCCTGTATCCTTGGCTCATGGCCCCTTCCTCCGCCTTCTAAGCCAGCAAAATTGTATCTCCGACCATTCCTCTGTAGTCACTTTGTCCTTGGACTCTCCTCTTCTGCCTCCTTCCTTCACTTTTAAGCACACTTGTGACTATCATGGGCCCACCCAGCCAACCCAGAATAATCTCTCTATCTTAGGGTCAGCTGATTAGCAACCTTAATTCCAGCTTCAACCTTATTTCTCCTTTGCTGCATAACCTGACATATTCAGAGGTTCTAGGTATGAAGACATGGACATCTTTAGGGATGGAGGTGTTATTTTGCTTATCACATCTGGCTTCAATTCTTCCTTAGCATGTCTGTGACCTTAATCATTCTGTTGGTTAATTGTTTGTCTTACCTGCTAGGATGTAAGATCCTGGGAATCTTCAGCCTGCTATCATAGGTAAAATCTTGAGTGTAGATAGGAATGTGAAAAATAGTGTTTCTCAAGCATGTCTGTCCATCAGGGGCTATTCATTTGTTCATGCACTTCATAATGTTTATTAAGCACCTACCTAGAACCAGACACAGTTCGACTCAGGATGCGTCAGTGAACAAGACAGACCCCAAACACTACCCTCATGGAGCTTACATCTTTGGTAGAGCTTTAAATAATATAGATGTCTGGGCTCCACCAGCCGCTCCAGAAGCCAAGCCACTTGGGTGAAGAACAGCTAATCATTAAATGGCAAGTTAGAATCATTTGAATTATTTTTCCCCACACCTTGGACTATTATTCCAGAGGGAGGGTTTTATTGGAACAGAGCTTCTAAAACCATCTTTGATAAAGGGAAAATTGTTTTCTAATTCCAAACCATTGTGGATTGAAACTTTTGTAAAATACAGTAAAAACAAATTACTAGAGAAATCTAATATTGCTTGGTTATCATGGCAGGGTTAAACACCTATAAAAGTTCTTAAACACTCTCAATTTCTACGCTAATCTCATGATAGATGGATGACAGACAGTTCTCAGAACAGCTCAAGTCCTGAGTCTCTGACTTAGTTTTAATTTTTTCATCTGTGAAATGGACATAATTTTATATATGGAGAGTTATTAGAAGGATACAATTGGGTAATATAAATAAATCACCAAAGTCAGCATTGGCTTAGTAACTGGTAACTATTAATGTCCATAGATGTTATGCTTCAATAATTCTAAATAATACTTTAATACTCAATTGTTGGTGTCAGAAAATTCAAACAAGGGTGGGGGGTATCCTCCAAGTCAGTCAGAAGGAGGCATCATGCTAGGTTGTCATAAAAACAATGTAGATTTTAAATATCTGTGTTTGGGATTTGTTTTTGATTATAAACAGAAACACAGGGAAAACATGCATCTGAGTACTGTTGATGAATAATAATCACTGAGAAACCCCATTTGCCTTTTAAACTCCAACCAGATGTTACCCTTCCCCACTGCAAACCAAGCCCACCCTCGGGCCCATTAAACAAAATGCTGGCTGTCACTGACTGACAAGGTCTGAGGATTGGCTCTTGTTAAATAGCCACAAGGTCATGGGGATTAAACATTCTCCAGGCAGTCACAGGAAAAGTAGAATGTCAGCGCTGCCTTTTCTCTGTGAAGATGGCTCAGTGACATTTTCAGAAAGGAAGGACTACTGCTACCTGTCAGCACTCAATGGAGAACACAAGGTTAGATGCAAAGCAGGAAGGTTACTCACCACCGGGAGATTGGCGGCGCAGCTGCAGCTTCCTTCTGAGATGCAGTGCTAATGGGGCAGACCTGGAGAACTCCTTCAAGGACTGGGAAGTGGAGACCAAGCCCAAAATGAGAAGCAACGTGGCACGAGGGAGAGCGCAAAAGCTTTGGCAGTAGACAGTTCTGGGTTTAAATCTCAGCCCTAGTATTTGCTGATCCTGTGACCTTAGGCGTGTCACATAATCTCTCAGACAGCAGAACCTCTCTTGAAGGACTGTCATGGGTGTTAGTGATATTGTGTGCGAATGCCTGGCACACATTGAGTGATCGCTGAGATTTAGTGACTGCCAGCTTGTCTCAGGTGCCCAAACAACAAGATCCAGTGAAAATGCACATATCCTCCTTTGCCTGTATACCACATCGTTTTTAACCTTTGTACATGAATGACTCTAGTTAACGCTCATGCATTACAGATACAATCAGTTCTCTCCACCACACACACTGACTGTTTTGTTCCATTATTATCTAGCTACAAAATAATAATCTTTAACAAGAAATCCAAATAAGTAAGAGTGTGTGTGTTTGTGTGTTTGTGTGTGCGGGAGCGCACATGGGAGTTTTTACTGAAGATTTGTAGCATCATTGAAGAAGGTTCTCTCTGTGCCATGCTCCTCATTCTACTAAAGACCCTTGTCTGGCACTTTTTATTTCCGGAGTATTTACTCTATCCACTAGGCTAAGATGGAATTAGAAAGTCCAAGTCTTTTTTTCAAGAAGAAAAATGTGGAATAAAAATTATGCAAGTTTCCTAGACTCAACTGAATGTTAAAAATGGACAATGATTCTTGCAGAAAGGAAATAATCTAATTGGACTGAAAGTATACTCAGCCATAAAAAACATTAAAATCACATTTTTTTGCAGCAATATGGATGAAGCTGGAGGCCATTATCCTAAGAAAATTAATGCAGAAACAGAAAACCAAATATCACATGTCCTTGCTTGTAAGTGGGAGCTAAACACTGAGTACACATAGACACAAAGAGGGGAACGGTAGATACTGTGGCTTACTTGAAGGTGGAAAATGGGAGGAAGGTGAGGATCAGAAAACTACCTATTAGTTTCTATGCTTATTATCTGGATAATGAAATAATCTGTATAACAAACCCCAGTGACATGTAATTTATCCATGTAACAAACCTGTACATGTACCCTCTGAATCTAAAGTAAAAGTTAGAATTTAAAAAAGAATGCAAAAATCACAACCTTAAACACAGGGCATCACAGCCTTACACTAAAACTACTTCTACAAGGACATCTGCCCAATAACTGCCTGTTCAACCCTGGACTGGCATCAACCTTGTTATTTCTCTCTGTAGCCATGGATAATTATTTCAAAATGATTATGCTGCATTTTTTTTTCTTTTAAAACCTTTGTCTTCCTTTATCTCCCTAAAACACACATGCTTTAGCATGGCATATGTATTCCCATTGAATTGCTTTATTTCCAAATAAATATATTTTCTTTAAAAAAATTTGTTTACAGAGGTGGAGTGCTCTGAATTGCCTTCTCTGTGGTGATGAGGGTGGAAGGATTCAAGATATTTATGACCCAGTGAGTTAATCAAAGCACATGGTTAGCTGGGTCATCAGCTTATGAAAAAGGTATCAGGAAAATTAAATTGGACTCTTCTCTGTGCTCTACCGCATGTCGGAGGTTAGATAAGGACTTTCTGAACTCTCAGAGATACCAATTAAAAAAATAAACCTGGGTCTGTTTTTGCTGGCTTGTAGTCTGACATTTCAACCTGAGGACTGTGATAGTTCCAGTATTTGTGAAACATAGTCTGAAGCGTTAAAGTCATTGGCACATCTGTTGGAGTATGTTATGCTTTGGCTCTGTGACTCCACCCAAATCTTATCTCAAATTGTAATCCCCGCCTGTTGAAGGAGGGAGGCGACTGGATTATAGGGGCGGTTTCCCCCATGCTGTTCTCATGATGGTGTGAGTTCTCATAAGAGCTGATGGTTTTTTGTGTTTGGAAGTTCCTCCTTCTCTCTCTTCTCTCTCCTGCCACCTTGTGAAGAAGGTGACTGTTTCTCCTTCCGCCATGATTGTAAGTTTCCCAAGGCTTCTCCAGCCATGTGGAATTGTGAGTTAGTTAAACCTCTTTCCTTTATGAATTACCTAGTCTCAGGCATTTCATAATTGCAGTGTGAAAATGGACTAATACAGTGAATTTATACCGGGAGAGGGGCACTTCTATAAAGATAACCTGAAAATGTGGAAGCAACTTTGGAACTGGTTAATGAGCAGAGGTTAGAACAGTTTGCAGGTCTCAGAGGAAGGCAGAAGATGTGGGAAAGTTTGGAACTTCCTGGAGACTTGTTGAATGGTTTTGATCAAAATGCTGATAGTGATGTGGACAATGAAGTCCAAGCTGAGGGGGTCTCAGATGGAGATGAAAAACTTCTTGGGAACTGGAGCATAAGTCGCTGTTGCTATGCTCTAGCAGATACTGGCGCCATTTTGCCCCCACCCTAGAGATCTGTGGAACTTTGAACTTGAAAATGATGATCTGAAATTGGAACTTATGTTTAAAAGGGAAGCAGAACATAAAATTTTAGAAAGTTTGCAGCCTGTGAGTCTTTCCTTTATAAATTACTGAGCCTTGGGTATTTCTTTACAGTAGTGTGAAAATGGACTAATACAGAGCTGCCATATTCATAGATTCTGAGAGGCCATATATAAGACATAACATTCTTCTCCTGGCCTCCAAGAAAGAAAATAAAAATAAGGCATTGCCAATTAATATTAACTCATTATCAGTTGCAAGGTGAATCTGAACTGTAGAGACATCAAAATGTGAAAAACATGCATCTTGGACTGGATGAATGACTGTAGTGTTAGCTTATACATTGCCACTTAAGCTATGAAAAGATCTCACTAAAAACTTACTTGAATGTAACCTCTCTGTTAAAATTTTGTAGATTCCATTTAGTTCCTTAGGTCTACGTTTTTACCCACTCTGTAGCAAGTTGCAGGCAGATGGAAGCAGTGACTCTACTAGTTTGAATCTAAATGTTAGAAGAGGTGTCATTCACTGAATGCCCATTGCCTGTGGGATTCCCTTCTCTCTCTTCTCCAACTAGAGCAAAGCCTCAATCCCTCTGCTTCCTGGGTTTTCTTTGGGAGAACTGCAAATTCTTCAATTCTTTATTAAGCAGAGCCTTCTCATATTGTGTTTCCAGATTTCCAGAGCCAAGAACGAGCAGTTCAACAAAACAAAATTCCCCCATCTAGAAAAATTTCCCTTCCTTCCTTCCTCTCTTCCTCATTTCCTTCCTTCCTTCCTTCCTTCCTTGCTTCCTTCCTTCCTTCCCTTTCTCCCTCCCTTCCTCCATTCCCATCTCTCTCCCTCCCTCCTTCCCTCCCTCCCTCCTTTCTTCCTTTCTTCTCTCTCTTTTTCTGTTTTTCTATTTTTAAAAAGCCTATTTTCTTTTGAAGGCAGCACAGCAAGCATCTATTTTTAATTGTGCATGATCCTTGGGGCCTCATGCTTTAGCTGAAATATCTGATCTGCAATTTCTTCTAAAGCAAAAATTCAGAGCCTTTCACAAAGGAGATTTAGCTGAGCTGCTAAGACAACTTTTCCCTGATGTTACTGTCTATGTGTATGAATGCTGTGTATATATGCGTATAACACTACAATTATCAGAGAGGTCATCTATGCTCTCCTGGGGCTGAAAAGGCAAGGCTTTCCTGTATGTAGTGAGGAGAATTGTGTCTGAGGAGTAAGATCCTTGGTTGTTTTAAACTCCTTTTCTAAGCCAAATAGAAGATGCTTGCCTGGAAGACAGAAACTGGACTATAATGGGAGGTCCTTAAGTCCGGTAGAAGATTTGAATTTGGGCAATTTTTGGCTTGACATCCTACTTGATAAATGCCACTAGCAGCTAACATGAATTAAGTACTTTCTGTGTGGGAGGCTTTGTGTTATGCAGGTAGAAGCAAATTTATATGTCACAAACCAGAAAATGGAGGCTCAAGGTCGTTAAGTAACTTTTCTCATGTGGAGAGAAATAATTATGATGATGATGACAGTGATCATTTTGGTCTTTGAAGACAGTTCTCTCATAATATAGTTTGGGTAGCTAAGAAGGCTTGGGACTCTTGGAAGGTTGTTGTGAAACAAATTTTGGCCCAATCCCAGAATAATAAACTACTTCAGGAGACCTGTGCAGCAAATTGAATCTCAGTGGTAATAGCTGCAGAGTGGAGAGGCTGCCCTGGCTTTCTCCCTGCTCTGGGAACTGTGAGTTGGAGAGAATCACATTGACTTTCTCATGAACATTTTTAACACTTTAAATTTCACTTTCTCCTGCACAGCCTAGCATACAACACACATAAATCCTTTCTTTTCTTTCACAACTATGGCATATCTTATAATTTAGCAACTGTAAAAATGAATAAGTACAATTAACAATGCAGAGCGAAAGACAGTAAGCTTATAACTGGTTATAAGTCAATTGAAACTCATTATTAAGGAACAAAATGATCCTAATTAATATCCCAGTTTTCTGGTCTCTCCATAAATCAGTAGGCCATTGCCTAGCTAGCTACTTTGCATTTGCAGTTTTTAATATCATGACTTGATTCAGGGCTAGTTGGAGTCCCCTTTGTTCTTTCTTGACCTTTGTCTTCACATTGACATTAGTCAAGGGATTCTGTGGTGTGGCAGAAAAAGAGTAATGGGACAAAGTCAGACCCTTTGTCCTGGCTGAGCCCCTGCTGCAGACATCCATGTGGCCTTTGGGATCAGTCTTGGGAACTGACAGGGTCTGATGGCCAGGGGGCTTTGGGAATAAGAATGAGGAGGAGTAGAGCTTGACTTTGACCTGGGAAAATAGGCTGTAGGTGGGCTTTTTAAAGAGCTGACAAAGGAGGAGCAGCAGATTTGGGGCCAAAAAAAATCACAATTTTGGGTTTCAGAACCTGAAGTTTCTGCAATTTTCATGTGCAAATGGATAATCAGCACTGGATCTTGGGAGACGTGTTTAGCAGGGCTCTTGGAGACAGATGAGGAAGAAAAGGTGATCTTGATAGAAGTTCCTGCTTAAGGCCTCTTACGGTCTCATGCTGAAGCTGGATACATCACTTAAAAGGCTGAATAGTGTCACCTTCTGCAGTCACCTTTGCCTTCCAGAAAAGACTAAAATACACATTCAGCACAATAGCCCAAGTCTTGTCCCCAAGGATCTACATGTTGTACTACCCGCTTTTCTCCTGTCAGGGAAGATGGCCTGTTTGCTTAATCAGGAAATCTGTACCATTCGCTCATTTGCCTATAGACACTAAGCTTCAGGTAAGATGTTGCTATCTCTCTGATGTTTCTGTTACTTCTAAATATACCCAGCTATTGAAATGTGTGCCTATGGGGAAAACATGTGGGTTAAGAAGCACATATTATAGAAGACAAGCGTAAAGTCCAAAATGACTTAAGACAAAGTCGGGCAATTGATTTACGATTTGTCTGAATTGTGTGTTAAGAGACTTAATAAGAACGTCAAACAGCTTAAAGGTGAAAGGGCTTTAGAAAAGGGCGAGGGCTGCCTTGCCTCCCCCAGCAATGCTGGTCTCACAGCTGTCTCCTACTGACTTCCCCACCTTTGGTAAAGACTTCATCATGATCATTAATGCCAGTAATGCCTTACACTTACAAAGCACTTCCTGTGATTTCCATGATTACATATTCCATAACAGTCATGGTAAGAAGACCTGGCAGGTCATTATTAATCTCATTTTACAGAGGGAGAAATTGAGGCCCAGAGAGATTCAGTGTTGCCCAAGGACAGGCATTTAGTAAGTGGCAAAACTGATATCAGTATTGTGACACCCCCTCCTCTGTACCCCAGGGCTGTTTTCCAAATTTGGGCCACATTCTTTCTTATTTGGATCATTATAATAGCTAGCTAAATGTGTCCCCATTTCTAGTCTTTTTCCTGTTTAATTTTTGATTTACACTGTAGTAGAATCGTCCTCCCATAACAAGGCTTAAATCATGTCTACTTTCGTCTTTAAAAATCTTTAATGTCTCTCTCCATAGCCTATCCACAAAAGCCCAACATCCTTCCAGTATGCTCAGGGCCTGTGATACTCTGTCTCAGACAGTGCACCCTGAATATTTTAGCACTGTTCTACCCGTCATTAGCCAGATCTACCCTCTACCTTCTCACATCTCCATGCATTTGCTTATGCTTTTCTTCATGAAGCACTTTTCCTTTGTTCATCCATTATTTAAACCCTGCTCATCCTTCAAGGCTCACTTCAAATGCCCTTTGTTTCACAGAATCGTCCCAGATGGCTGCAGCCAAAATCAACAGCCCTTTTCTTTATTGCTGTACATCCTTATAGAACTTGTTTTACTATATTTTGTGTTACAGTTCAAGTGCCCAGGCCTGAACCACCCATCCTACACTTTCAGGTCTTTGAAGGATGTCAGGAGTTTTGCCTTATTCTTCATTTTCACTCATGGTACATACTGAGCAAACATTTATTTAATGAATAAACTTGTTAAAAGGAAACATATTTAGTGTTTCTAGAAAAGCAGACCATTTGGGCTCTACAGAACAGTGATTCTCCAAATTACTTGTGTCCTTCAGGCATCTTTCTGGCTAGCTACATAAAAATTATCCGGACCACTTGTTGAAAATACTGAGTCCTGGGCTCTAACTCCAGAACTTTTTGTCTGGGAATATGAAACTTAGCACATTTCCCAGGTGAATTGTATGCTAACCCATGCTTAGGAACCACTGGTGTAAAATACTGTGAACTTCAAAAAAATTTGTTTAAATTTACAGAGATACCTGTATATATATTAATTTAAAAATTTGTTTAAATTTACAGGGAAACCTGTATATATGGAACAACATGATGTTTTGAAATATATGTACATTGTGGAAACAGTTAAATCTAGCTAATTCACAAATACATGATCTCACATAGTTTTTTTTTGTGTGGTGAGAACATTTAACATCCACTATCTTTGCATTTAAAAGAATACAATATATTGTCATTCAATATAGTCACATGCCGTACAATGTATCTTTTGAACTTATTCCTTTTATCTATAATTACATATCCTTTGGCCAACATCTCATCTCCCTTCTGCCCTAACCACCTCAGACTCTCATAACCACTCTCCTACTCCCTACTTCTATGAGGTCAACATTTTTAGGTTCCACATAAATGAGATCATATAGTAGTGTTTTTTTTTTTTTTTTTTGCACCTGACTTATGGATGTTTTGATCTATAAAATCAGTCAAGTTGGCTGAAGTTGGGCTAAATTCACTCATGACACAGGGGACTCCTATTTTTAAATACTTCCCTTTGTCACAAATTTCTCAGGCTTACAAGTGAATTTCAGGAGTGTTTTGTGTCACTGCAGGAAGCATATCAGTAGCTTCCTGACTGGGGCAGGAGGGTGCTTTGATTTCGGTCTTCTTCCTGTTTTGACATTTTTTTTTGTTTTCTGATACTCATCTAATCCTTTCGATTTCTTGTGACTTGTTGGTTTTTCACTGCTTATCATGTTTGCACATCCCTTTTTTTAATCCTCAAAATACCCCTAAACTTCTTATTTGATGAACACATCTTCTTCCTACTGTATAAAGAATCTTTATTTTTTCACTCTGGTTTCATATTCTTGCCTTTTCTGTTTGATCCGTTGTTATCCAGGTCTTGGTATTTTTCTTGGCATCCAAACATTGTAGAGCCAACTGTATGAACCCTCATCTGAATATATTCAGAGTAAGTTCTGCTGAGACCATTGCTTCATAATATTAAATACTTTACCTCAGAGGTAGATAGAGCAATCTGTCAGGGTAGATATCTATGGGTGTTTTGCCTACTCACGATACTAGTGTTATAAATTGTGTTTTCCTGCTACTAAAAAAAATATGTATCCCTTGCTGATATGATTTGGATTTGTGTCCCTGCCCAAATATCATGCCGAATGGTAATCCCCAGTGTTGGAGGAGAGGCCTGGTGGGAGATGATTGGATCATGGGGCCAGTTTCTAATGGTTTAGCACTGTCCCTCAAGTGCTGTCCAGTGAGAGAGTTCTCCCAGGATCTGCTTGTTTAAAAGTGTGTTGGACCCTCCCTGCCTCTCTTTCTCCTGCTCCAGCCATGTAGGATATGTCTGCTTCCCCTTCGCCTTCTGCCATGACTGTAAGTTTCCTGAGGCCTCCCCAACCATGCTTCCTGTGCAGCCTGCAGAACCATGAGTCAATTAAACCTCTTCTCTTCATAAATTACCCAGTCTCAGGTAATTCTTTGTAGCAATGTAAGGAGGAAATAATACATTTCCTTTTATATACTTAATAAGATTGACCATGAAGGATCATCGGCACTATAAAAAGTACAAAAATAGCATCAAGAACTGTAACTCCTTTTATTATTAGCATTTCTATCAGTGTTATTACTGGTACTACTATTACCATACATTATTTATAATCTACTACTATAAATATTTCTGCTTCAGCTGGCCCATGTGCCATTCTGATGTTACCCCACTGCCTGTTGCCTTGCAATGGTTTGCCTTGGACATCTTCTCCTCTGGGTTGCTGCATCTCCTACCCCTCCACTTTATCTCCAGAGGACTCAATCACCCCAAGATGGAGCAGGAACCCCTCTTGGGTATCTGCCAGACACCCACCTCCCACCAAGCATGGAAATGAAGGAAAATCTGAGTTTTTTTCAAGGGAAATTTCAAGTACCTAGTTACCCCTGAGAAGTAAATGCAACTTAATAAGCAAGAAGGTAATAGTAGCTTAAAACAATAGCCAAGGAAGTTGGAGTCATGGGATGTATGGTTCCCTATAGAAACCAAAGTTCACATCTTAACATATGTCCCTGAGTTGTTTTTTAAAAACCTGAACTGCTACCAACCGGGTCTGCTGCACGTAGACCTCAGATCAGAAGGAAATGAAGACTGAACTCTGATCACATTTCTTTGTTTTAAATTTCTTCTTGAGGGGCCTGGAGGAAGTTCCTAGGCCAGAGCTAACATTCTTTTCTTCCTATCCCAAATTTTTAGACAAAGGTTTGCCTCCTGAACCAATTGCAAATTAGAAAACCTTCAAACCCACCTATGACCTAAGGACCCCCTGACTTCCCCTCTCAAGATGTTTTGTCTTCTTACAAAACCAATGTATTTCCTCCATGTCTTGATTTATGACTTTGCCTGTAACCTCTGCCTCTCTGCCTTTACAAACTCTTGCCTGTTAGCCATGTGGGAGTTTTGTTCTTAAGCAGGAGCTGTCTGATTCTTCTTGGAGCCCTTTCTCCTGCTGCAAACCTTGGTGCAGATGTTTGTCCTCACTGTTCTGGGTGAGCAGAACCCAGTTCGGTTTGGTTACAACCGTCTCCTGCTCCTTGGATTCTCATAGTTCTTATGCTAGTTTGAGAGATACTTCAACTTTCTTTTCCTTATTTTGGGGATTTTCAGGGCTAAGTTTGTGAAGGGAGGGAGCCAGCAATCTTTGCTACCTTTCTATCTTGTCAGGATCTAAATGCCAGGATTCCCCCCATGGTTTTATAAATGAAAACCACATGGGAGGGGAACTGATGTTTATTGCAGACCTCTTATTGTGGAGGAGGAGGTTTAAGCACCATAATAATGACAATGATGATGACAACAATGCCTCCTCCTCCCCCACCAGATATAAAACACTGTATTCACTCCATGCCAAATCCTCACTACAATTCCTGCAAGGGAGGTAACATTATTGTTTTCTTGCCCATGGGAATGCTGAAGGTCTGAGAGGTTAGGTAACTGGTTCAAGGACACAGAGCAGAGAAGTGGCAGAAACTAGCTGCAATCTTCTGCTGCAACAATCAGACTGTTGTCCTTTCTCCTGCTCTGCTTGGGAGTCCTCTGGGTATGAAATGCTGCACTCAAGGCATAGAGTGAGCCGGTGACAACCCTGCCACCAAGCCCAGCCTGGTGGCTCTGGATCCTCTGCTGTCTTTGCCACCTGTTCGACCCTCATGCCCTGCTCTCTTCCTATTCAATGTCCAAGGATATCAACCAGTCCTTGAAATATGGTCTGGAAGCTACGAGTGGAAAAATACCATGAGAACCTAGGAAGGAAAAAAAAAGTGAAGAGGAGAGACAAATACCCTATTTATCCCTCTTGACTTCATTACAAAAGATCTGCAAAGCTCACACAAAAAAAATCAACCTGCAAATCATGTTATGGTTAATAAAGCAGTAAATTAAGCCTTCCTGGCTCTACCTGCAGTATCCTGAAGGTAGTCACAGTGCCCTTTCTGTTTCATTTTAGGGCCCAGTACAAAAGGTTTTCACCTTAGCATAATTAACTTTTTATCATTAAGATTCTGAAAAATTGAATTGTGTTGGACACAGGTCACCGTAATGAGAATTTAATGGCGACGTATTACAATGCTAGCTAAGCTTTGAGTGCGTGCTAAAGGCATCACATTGCTACTGACCTATGCAAATTTCCATCTCGGTGGCCCTTAGTTTTCCCCACTGTGGCTTCCAGCCCCCTCCTCACTTTCTCCTCATCTCCTTAAACAATGATTCCCTCATTTTCATATTAATTGCATCACTTAACTGAGATAATGCTCCCTCTGAAATGAGCAAAGGGATGAATCACTGAAACAGGCCATTATTCTTTTTGCTTAACCAATTTCACAGGCCCCGCACAAAGCACTGCCTTCATTTGGCTTCCTATAATTGCTTATCATTAGGCCCAGCCGCCCCACGAAGTACCTTTTAATTTATTTAAGTCTCATCTCTGATGGATGGAAAATGAGTCACTTGCATATCTGAGAAGCCCAGGCTGTTCTGTGACCAGGCAAGGCGGTGGTGGAATACCCAGGAGAACTATGATGGCAGAATATCAAGGAGAAGCCACACCGGTGGGTGGCTTCACCTGTTCCCCTTTCCCATGGAGATTCCACTGCCATCAGGTGGTCCAGGGGCATCCAGCAGCAGCTGCATCAGCTCCCCAAGGCTGAGAGGAGAGAGGGCTTAATTCAGGGGATGACGGCAGCTTGGTGCCCATAGCGGGGTGTGCAAGGCTACCCCAGGTGTCCTCATCACCAGGGGCCACAGCATCCTACCTGTGGACAGGTGACTGGGGCAGGTGGGAGAGTGTACCTTGGCCTTGGCTTAATATTCTGGGTGCATCAGCATGATGAGATGGCTAAAGGAACCTTGTAGAAGATTGTTATTCATTCTTTCTGTGTCTCTCTGTCCTTTAGGGGGCATATGATGGTGAATGAGAGGGAGAGAAGGAAAGGACATTTTTCAAGGGAAATTATGTTGTTATCAGCCACAGCCACACTCAGAAAGGCATTGAGAGAGAATGGCTCCCTTGCCATGAAAAGGAAATATTCCTATGAGCCTGTCAGGACATCTGGGCTGAAGCCTTCCCTGGAGGTTTCCTCTGAGCACACCATGTGCTTTTGTTCCTGCGGATGAAAGGGTCTGTCAGGGAGCTAGCTCTCCATGGCCTTGTGATCTGTCCCATCATAATATTGTTTCCTGGATATCGCTGCTGTGACTCACGCAGCCTCTCTGTTTGGTGGCTGCCTCAATATCACCCATCCCTCTCACCCACCTTTGTGTTCAGCCCTCCCCAGGTGCTTCAGCTCTGGACCTCCACCCTCACAGGACCTTGTCAAGAGGCTGGCCAGGTATAAATAACTTCTTTGAGAAGAAAGTACAGTTTCCTGACTCTTCCCTTCCATTTTGTGTGATGTTCCTGGGAGGACTAATGAGGACTGAGACCCAGCCTGGAGTGACACATTCCCTGACATGAAGGGAGGTGACTTTGAAAGATGCCTGGGGCATGGTGTTCACAGCAGGGTTAGGATAAGGTGGGAGTTCTTAGAATGTGGTCCTGGAATCAGCAGCATCGGCATCACCTGAGAACTTGTTAGAAACTAAATTCTCAGGCCCCAAACTAGACAATCAGAGAATCTGAGGGTGGGCTCCAGCAATCTGGGTTTTCACAGGCCCTCTGGGTGATTCTGATGCTCATTATGTGGGGGACCGCTGGCCCAAGACACTGTATTTTGGTTTGGATGTTTTGTTTTTTTCATAATTCTATCATATGTAGCATCTCACTGAATTCTCACCATGATTTTGGAAAACTAGCAGGAGAAGGCAAAGCTGGTTGGGGTTATGCCCATTTTACAAATGAGAAGGTAAAAATCATAGAGGTTACATGACTTGCTCAGTAGGAGATTGATAAGGAGTGGTGAAAAATAAGGTTGAGGGCAAAGTAGGGCCAGATCATAGATGGAATTCTTGACAGACAGAGTAAAAAACAATAGAGAACCATGATAAGTTCTTGAGTTTGCAAACAGCAGAACAAAGTGGTGCTTTACAGAAAATAATTTGAAAGTGATGTTTGGGACAGATTAGAGTAGGAGAAGCTAGAAGCCCTGTTATATCTGTTGGCAGTCCAAATTACCATGCTTTTAAAATTTCAGTAGTGCATTTTACTCCAGCAATGATCTGTAAATGCAGACAGGCTAACAGAGATGGGCCTTCCTTGTGCTCCTAAATCACACCATGTTACTTACCTCTCTGGATGTCAGTTTACTTGGCTCTAAATGGGAATTAGCCTATTCCATAAATTGCCCCTTTTTACAGGGTGTGACTAGTTTTTCTTTTTTTTGGATCAAACCATGCCAAACTTGGTGTATAGTTGGTGTTCGGAATCACTGAATTTTCTTGATTTAGAGTTGACATGATGAAAGCGATAGTTTAAGAGAAATTGTAGAGTGGTGGCAGAGAGATATTTTCATTACTGTGAACAACATATTATTAAAATAAACAGGTTGATGTTAAAGTTGACATATGTTTTAAAAATTAAACTGCTGAAAGATGCTTAAGAAAAACAATTCTTTACTGTTACGGAGTACCTTATCATTTGTATTAGTTTATGTGGGCTTAACTCCTACAAGAAAGAAGCTAAAAGTGTGGTAGTTCAAAACAATGGAGGCTTGTTTCCTTCTCACCTAAGAATCTAGCAGGGATGTTGCAGGTCAGCAAAGGGTTGGAGGTTGGCAGTGAGGAGCAAATTTCTGTTCCACACCGTCTTTCAGGGACTGAGGTTGACAGTGGCTCTATTATCATTAGTGTATGGCTTCCAAAGCTTGCTCACTTATTATTATTGGCTTCCGGTCATGGAAAGGAGACGACTATGCAAGAGTCTGGGCATTTTTTAGGTTAGGTCTTCATGTGACACTCAACACTTCCACTCATGATCCATCAGCTCAGACACACCAAAATTTGGCCACACCAAATTGTAGAGGAAGCTGGAACATTCAGATTATCTCTGTACCCAGGAAGAAAGGAAGAATAGATTTTAGTGGACAATTGAAATTATTTCCAGAAAGCCTCTATTTTACTGATGAAGATAATGAAACTCTGGTTTGGTGAATTCTTTTTGAAAACATTGGCGACCAATGCATGGACCTGGGAAAAAATCAAGGTCATTTCATTACCTCCCTATATTTCAGCCAAAATGAAATTACGTATAAAACCAAGGATTTAGAGAATATCTACAACATGCCTAGGTCTGTCTGTGTCTGTGTTACATGTTTGGAATTCCGTGGTGGTCATAGTTCTACTGGCTTTGTGATCAAAGAGTAATTTCTGCATATGTTGAAGGATTCTTTTACCTTTGATCTTTAAGCACTCTTTGAAACCCTTAATCATATACCCTATTTCCAGGGTGGATTAAATTTTTTAGATAATACACATCATGTATTAAAAAGCCCTACATGTTCATAAGGCTATAAATTTCTCAAGAAGGGATGGAGTGAAATTTCTTGCTGTTTTATAGAATTTATGTAACATCTAGCATGGAGTTTTAAAATCAGACCATGAGGAGTTTTACTCTCAGTTACTCATCTTTAGCCAGTTCATTTAACAATGTTAAAAGAAGTCATATTGTTTCCTTCTTTTTAAAAAAATTCTATATGCTGTATCTCCTATCTATCTATCTATCTATCTATCTATCTATCTATCTATCTATCTACCTACTATCTATCTATCTATCTATCTATCTATCTATCTATCTATCTATCTATCAATTCTGTCTGTCTTAGAAGACAGTTGGGGTAAGTAATATGAGATAATAAATGTAAAAGGGATAAGAAATTACGAAATTTGATGCAGAGACATAGAATCATTATTACGATAATCCATCAGTACTCTGAATTTTACCAGAGTACTGAATACACATTCACTGTCATGGAACATTTACAATGTTGTATGTGAGGTAGGTGCTATAGACTGAATGTGTCCCTTTGAAATCCTAATCCCTAAATGGTGGCATTTAGAGGAGATTAGTTGATAAAGACAGAGCCCCCCTGAATGGAATTAGCGTTTATATAAAGAGAGCTCCCCCATACCCTCAGCCATGTGAGGATACAGCAAAAAGATGACCATCTACGAATCAAAAAGATGACCATCTACCAATCAGGAAGTATGAGCCTTCACCCAACACCAAATCTGCCAGTGCCTTGATCTTGCCTGTTCCACCTTCCAAAGTGGGGAGAAATGAATTCCTGTTTTTTGTTTTTGTTTATTTTATTTTATTTTATTTTATTTTTTTTGAGATGGAGTCTCGCTTTGTCACCCAGGCTGGAGTGCAGTGGTGCGACCTCGGCTCACTGCAAGCTCCGCCTCCCAAGTTCACGCCATTCTCCTGCCTCAGCCTCCCGGGTAGCTGGGACTACAGGCACCCGCCACCACGACCGGCTAATTTTTTGTATTTTTAGTAGAGACGGGGTTTCACCGTGTTAGCCAGAAGGGTCTCAATCTCCTGACCTTGTGATCTGCCCGCCTAGGCCTCCCAAAGTGCTGGGATTACAGGCGTAAGCCACCGCACCTGGCCAAATTTCTGCCCAGTCTATATTAGTTTGTTATAGCAGGCCAAACTAACTAACACAGAAATTGATATGGGGAGTAGGGTGTTGCTATAACAAGGACCTAGAAATGTGGAAGCCATTTTGGAGTTTTGAAGTGCATGTGAAACAAAGCCTACATTGCTGTGAACAGACTGTTAAGGGTAATTCTGGGAAGGGCCAAGAAGGAGAGGAGGAGAGCTGTAGAGAAGGCCTCAATATTCTTAAATGTAGAGTATCTAAGTGGTAATGAACAGAATGTTGGTGGGAATATGGACTGTAAAGGTCATTCTATTGAGATCACAGATGGAAATGAGGAATATGCTATTGGATAGTGAAACAAAGACCATTCTTGCTATAAAGGGGCAAAAAAACTTGGCTGAATTGTGTTTATGCCCTGGTGTTTTGTAGAAGTTAGAACTTGTGAAATGGGATATTTAGCCCAGGAATTATCTAGGCAAAGTTTGGGAGGAGCGACCTGACTCCTCTTGACTGCTTATAGTAAAATGTGAGAAGAGAGAAATAATTTAAAGATGAAATTGCTAATCAAAAGGAAAGCAGAATGTAAAGATTTGGAACATTCTCAGCCTATTCTTATTGAAAAGAATGATAAAACCTGTTCAGGGAAGGAACATAAAGGGTGTGCCCAATCAACTTGATAAGGAGATTAGTTTAGATCTGCCATCTGAACAGAAGTTCAGGGCTATTCTCCAAGACAATGGGAGAATGACCGTGAAGGCAATTTAGAAATCATCAGGGCTGCCACTACCATCGCAGCCACAGAGTGGAAGAGCCCTAGGAGTAGGATGGTTTTGAAAAAAGGACCGCTGCTTCCTCTGGTGCTGTGCTTCTTTGCCACCCCAGGCAGGGCCACCCCTGCCACTCTTTGGCAGGCTCTAGTGCAACACAGGCAACACACAGAATACTGAGGAAAGAACATTGACTCAGGAGGCCAAATACTTGGATTTGAGGCCTACTTCGGATAAATATTAACTATTTGAGATAGGAAAAATGACTTTTACCCTCTATTTCCTGGGAGATAGAATAATAGCTTCTCTCCCTTATAATCTCACCGGGTTATTATAGGATCATAACATCTATATATCAAAAATATCTCAGAGTTTTTTTTTTTTTTATGGGTTTGATGAGTCAATCACTCTTGGTTCTGTCCCTCTAAAGCTGCAAGAGCCATGCCAATGGAGCTTTATGTTACAGTTTGCTTAACATTTAATTGAGGTCTCAGGTGAGGCTGGGGTGCCTAAGATTCAAGCTTTTAAAAATGGATTATTATGCTATGGACTATTTTCCCTCTCTCTCTTTTTTTAAATTTTACTTTAAGTTCTGGGATACATGTGCAGAATGTGCAGGTTTGTTACATAGTTATACATGTGCCATGTGGTTTGCTGCACCTATTTACCCATCCTTTAAGTTCCCTCCTCTCATCCTCCAACCCCCAACAGGCTGTGGTGTGTGATGTTCCCCTTCCTGTGTCCATGTGCTCTCATTGTTCACCTCCCACTTATGAGTGACAACATGCGGTGTTCGGTTTTCTCTTCCTGTGTTAGTTTGCTGAGGATGAAGGCTTCCAGCTTCATCCATGTCCCTGCAAAGGACATAATTGCATTTCTTTTTCTGGCTGCATAGTATTCTGCTGTGGACTATTAATGTTGGAGGCTTTTAATGTTTAAAGTAGTACAAGCTGCCATCAAACCTAGAACTCCACTAGATGGTATCTTTGAAAGATTGTCTTCTAGCTTTAATTGTAATAATTCCAGCAATGAGAACTAACTGACAAAAAGGCACATTTGATCTGAATACTTGTTTTAACTGTATTTACTGAGGCAGGCATGATGCTAGTGAGCTAACACAGAAGACTGGATTGTCAAATCAGACTTACACAACTCGGAGATCTTACCTGGTGTCAATGTTTACTAATAGTTTCATGGACACATACCACCAAGTGGCACAGGTAAAGCTGACAGCAGTCCAGAGCATTTGGTGGGACTCCACAGGTCTTTCCTTCCAGAATCAGATATAGAATCTCTGGCCCAACGTAATGGAGAAGGTCTCTAAGTGAGGTCTGTGAGTTCCTGCCCACAGTGGATTGTCTAGATTAAGAAACATCTCCATTTTATACCCCAGAGTGTGGTATAATCAATGTGACATGCTCTGGGAAACTATACCACATAAATCTTTAGATTCTAGGTCTATCTACCACAAGTGATTCTAAACCAGGAACATCCTGCTAAAAAGATTGCATAAATAATTACCCACTTCTAGGAAACATCATGATTTCATTTGCCAGGAGTTCCAGTTATCAGCATGTTTACAGGAGGTTAGATTGGGTTAGCTTCCTTTTTTCTTTCCCTAGACTATTCTCCTGATAACTGGGAGAGAAATGGATTACTGGCCAGTTATTTGAATTTCTTCCTCCCTGGCTAAGTAGGGGAAATACAATGGTGAACACAACATACCAGGTCTCTGCCTTTGACTAATTCACTGATTGGGAGAGAAGAAGCAATCAGATGGGTTTAATAGAACCAGCTAGTCTACTGAGTACTGATCAAGAACACTTCTCATCTATGGTGGAAAGTTACACTTGTGAAAAACAACTCAATTTTAAACCAACAATTTTGATTTGGAGTGTCCATCCTTGTGAGTTTTGATTTGGGATTCATATTTGAAGCTGTCATTGTTTTTCTCTAGTCATAATATTTAAATCTATATGACACACCTGTCACAATTTATAGTTTTATGTGCTTTTCCTTGCACCTCAGCTTCAGATGCTCTGGACAATGACTGTTTGTTTGTAAGTGTCAACATGCACACCTAAGTAAATGTTATGTTTACAGCATAGTCCATTTTTGAATATAGACTATTCCATAAGGAAGCAACTTAGATGAAAATCCATTTAGCTCTTTTCAACCATCACAGTAATAGATACACTCTCAGAAATTTATTTTAGTTATATGCATACAGAAGACCAATGATGGAGATCTATATAGCATGTTATGGGAACAGATAAGAGGGGCAAGTTCTCTCAGTTACATGGGCAGAGTCTTAAGGCATAAGAGGAATATAAACAAATCAAGAAGGGACAGGACATTTCAAGCAGAAGCAAGGCACTGAGAGAACAAACAGCTTGGTATGTACTAAAGTACAAGAAGTTTGATCTTTGTTGAACATTAAATGCCATGCAGAAGCGGAAGATATCGGAGCTGGTGCAGCAAGCAGGAACCAGATGGGTCATCAGAAATCTCTAGGAGCCATTAAAGAGCTCAGATTTTCTCTTGTTGACATGGTGAAGTAGGAATGCAATATAGTGGTTCAAATGACAGCTGTGACTGTTGGAAATGCATTTTTCTTTTCCTCCTATTAAGATTAAATCCACAACCCTGTTATTATTTCTGTCTGTTGTTTTTAGCCCTGGTTTTAAAACTAGTGAGGAAACATCTAATTTCTCCTGACAGTCCTCAGATATTTGAAGATAGAGCCTATGTTCCCTGAGCTTCTCCAAGGGTAGTATCTTCCTGGTTATGTGGCCTCCAGACATCTTATCATCCTGTTCTTCCCTTGATATGAGCACCTCCCAAGTGCCAGGGTTAAGGGATTGGCAGAGGTATGCTGTTTTTAGGATTGAGTGTGGGGAAGCAATTCAGCCTCAGATGCCAAGAAATTGGATGTTTCGCTCATCTCTGTGGAAATTCCCATTTTCCATTTGAAATTCAGTTTTTTGTTCCTTTCGTATCCAGGTATGATTTTCTTAAGGCTTCACTGATTCCAAAGAAATGTTCAAAATTCTCCATAAAGTTTCTATATATTTTCTGGAATTTACTTCTTATGAAGCTCCTCTGTCTCATATTTCTGCAGTTATATGTCTTGTCTTTTAATGGCTATGTCAACTTAGTGCGTAGAACAGGATGTGGTAGGTGCCCAATAAATATTTTTTGAATGAATAAATAGACTCAAATTTATTCATTGAAATGAATAGATTCAGGTACAATTCAGCATTTTCATTGGCTTCTTTCTAGCTTTAAGCGTTTTTTAATTTAAGAGGAATTTATTGAAGATTGATGGTCTCAACAGAGTAAGGCTGCAATTTTCTACTTTGTTCCTTTTCTCTATCCCTGTTCTCAAATTCTTTCTCCATTGTTCCCTGAAAGCTGCAAATTCTTTTTTCTCCATAATGGGTAATAATTCAGGTCTCCCTAGCTCCTATGGTTGTAACTATACATCTGTTAAAAAGGGTGCACTGATGAACGCCTAACAACTTGCTTTCCAAAAATTATCACCGTGGATGATTTCAAACTACTAATGCAAAGTCAATGAATATTGCATCAGGAAGAGATTGAGCTCTTGAGAGCTATGATGAGCTGGTTCCAGTCCTCCACTGAAGGGCTCAAAAACCAAAGGATCTGTCCTCCTCAGAGGATGGTTGAGATCACATACAGCTACTCTTTTTTCTGTTGTTACATTAAAAAAAAAAAAAGCTATTCAGCATAAACTAGACTTTCTAAACTTGTAAACTAATGGTAATAAACTGGGAGGAGTGCTGCCCCCAAGAGGGGATTTGAAAATTCTCAGGGCTATCTGGGGCTGTAGCAGTAACTGGGATACTACAGACATTTAGTGGGCAAAGGTCAGGAATGTTGGGTATTCTTCCACATGAAAGACAGTCCTGCACAACAAAGAATTGTACTGACCAAAAAGTCTATGGTGAAATCCTTGGAAAATTCTGCTCTGCACCATGCTTCCCACAGGTTGGCTTTCTGCCGGATCATAGTCCTTTATATTCTGCTAAACTTTTGTGAGGGAAATAATCACACCCTGCTGCTTACAGGAAAAGGAAGTCCTATGCTTAGTGACAGATGCTTATTTTATTTCTAAGTGATTGAAATCAAACGCATTGGAATGAAACTTTTTTCCCTATTAACCTTTAGCAGCATTTATAATGACCATGTTAAATCAAGCCTCATTACAATGCCATGGGGCCTGACTGAAATACTGCAGGTATGATGCTGAGTAATTTCATAAATTATTAAGTGGTAATTGAAAGTAATATGGCAGAATACATTTTACTCCTGAGGGGGATAATACAGAAGACTTTGGAAGGAAATAAAGTTGGTTAAAATATAGCATATAGGAAAGAGTTGGAAGCTGGGTGGAGAGGAAGGGTAACAGAAGTCCCGGACATATCATTTAATTTTTGGCTTTGGGTGAAAATATGTATTTTGGATACTGGGGTTTCACTGACTGCTTAAGTGGTTAAGGCCCCTGCTTGAGACGTTGCAGACACTTCAACTCCTCTCTGACTTCCTGTGCCCAGGCAGTCATCAGAGCAAAAGGATCAAACTCAAATTATTTTTTTATACCAATTGTTTCTCCATGCCATGTCTTTATTTCAGTTACGATTCACTTCAAGTCCTCACCTCCCAAAAGCTTTTCAGAAGCTTTATTCTAACAAAAATCCCCAACAGTGAAGCAGTTAATGCTTGTTGTGAAAAACTAAAATAATAAAGAATATAGAATTACAGCAGGGAAAGTCTCTTATTGTCACACACAGCCTTTACTAGAGGCAATATATTCCTCCAGATCCACACATATAGCACTTTAAAAGCTTAGTTTTCTAACAAACACTCATACTATATGGACTGTTCTACAACTTGCTCTTTTTATTCAATATTATAGCTTAGACATCGTTTTATGTCTACACATTTAGATCTAAACTTTAAAATATTTTTAAAATTATAAGCATACTGCAAAGCATACATAATTTTTGTGATTTCTATTTTTAATCACAAGTGAATATACCTGTGTAACCTCTACTTACCACTGTCCTTGAATTCTCCCTCACATCCCTCCCAGTCATTAACCCATCCTTCCTGAATGTAACCACTATTCTAAATTATCTCGCCACAGAGTAGTTCTGCCGTTTCTTGAGATTAATATAAGTGAAATCATTCAATATCAACTCTTTTGTGTCTGGATTCCTTTGCTTGTTATAGCTATGAAATTTTTCCACATTATAGCATGGAATAGTGGTATAGTGGTTCATTTTTATTGCTATATAGTATTCTATTGTGTGAATGTACCATAATCTATTCATTTTCCTTTAGTTGACTTTTAGATTGTAGTTTTGAGTTGCTCTGAATAATGACTGTTTACTTATGTGTCTTTTGATAAATACACACACACACACACACACACACACACACACAAATTTTTCTTGAATACATACCTAGGAGTGGAATTGCTCTGATGTAAATAATGTGCATATTCAGCATTAGCTGCTGCCACCAAGAGCTTTGCCAAAGCAACTATAAATAATTCGGGTGTTCACAGGCTATGTGTGAGGATTCCAGTTGCTCTATATCTTTGCCAATACTTGGTATAGTAGGTTTTATTTTTGTTATTTATTTATTTATTTCAACAGTTTTTGTGGAAGAGTTGTGTATTAGTCTGTTTTCATGCTGTTGATAAAGACATGCCTGAGACTGGGTAATTTATACAGGAAAAAGGGTTTAATGGATTTACAGTTTTATGTGGCTGAGGAGGCCTCACAATCATGGCAGAAGGTAAGGAGGAGCAAGTCACATCTTACATGGATGGCAGCAGGCAAAAAGAGAGAGCTTGTGCAGGGAAACTCCCCCTCATAGAACCATCAGATCTCTTGAGAGTCCTTCACTATGATGAGAACAGTGCAGGAAAGACTCGCCCCCATGATTCAATCACCTTGCACTGGGTTTCTCCCACGACACATGGGAATTATAGGAGCTACAAGTCAAGATGAGATTTGGGTGGGGACACAACCAAACCATATCAAGGTGGTTTTTGGTTTTTGGTTTGGATCTTCATTTTGAAAGATATTTTTTTAGTTACTAGCAAAAGCATTTTAGACTGATAAGTTATTTTTGTCCAGTATTTAAACATTCATTATATTGTCTTTGGCTTCCGTAATTTCTGCTAAAAAATCAGAGGATATATTTTTTTCTCTCTGCTTTTAAGAGTTTCACTCTATGTTTTTTAACAGTTTGTCTATGATGTTTCTTTTGTGTTTTTTTCTTTCTTTCATGTTTCTTTTTTCATGTTGCTCAAGTTCTGAGATACTCTTGGATCTGTGTCTTTTCACCAGTTTAGAAAAATTCTGAGCCAGTCTGTCTTTAAATACTCATCTGATCAATTCTCTCTCTCTTTTTTTCTGGGACTCTAATGAGACATATGTTAGACATTTCCATTTATGTTCCAAGTATCTTTTACTTTTCCTCTCTATATTCATTTCTCTACTTGATGCATCAATGTAAACTCTTTTTGTTTTTTAAAAATTATAGATTTAGGGAGTATAAGTGCAGTTTTGTTACATGGATATATTGCATAGTGGTAAAGAAAGCTTCTGCACAGCAAAAGAAATAATCAACAGAGTGAAAAGACAACCTGTAGAATGGGAGAAAATATTTTCTAACTATGCATCTGACAAATAACTAATATCCAGAATCTACAAAGAACTCAAATATTTTAACAAAAACAATAAATATAAACTTTTTTTAACTGATCTGTGTTCCAGTTCACTAATTCTCTTTTTTTGCTTTCTTTAATCTGCCTTTGACTTTTAATTTAGTTATTATATTTTTCCATTTTAGAATTTTCCTTTTTTTTCAATATTATGTTTAGATGGTAATACTTTTCACCCTTTCACATTTTATTGAATTCATTAATCCTAGTTTCTTTAAAGTCCCTATGTGAGAACTCAATTGTGTGATCATCTTTGGGTAAGTTTCTATGGTTTATTTATTCATTGATTTTTGATCATTTGTCCTTTTCTATTGGTATGACATGCATTTTTTGATTAAATGCCTTACATTATGTCGGCATTAGAAGCTCTGGATATCATTACTTTCCTGAAGGAGCATTTACTTTTCTTCTGGCAGTTATATAAAATATGAGAACTCCTTGATCCAATTAAACCTGAGTTTCTGGTTTTATTAGGACTTATCTGTTTATGAGTTCCCTTCCTCTTGGGAATACCCTTTAAGCAAGCTTGTCTAATCTGTGGCTTGTGGGCTGCATGCGGCCCAGGACAGCTTTGAATGTGGCCCAACACAAATTCATAAACTTTCTTAAAACCTTATGAGATTCTTATTCTTCTTCCAATGTGGCCCAGGGAAGCCAGAAATTGGACACCCCTGAAGTATTCTCAGTGGAAGGTCTGGGTTTTCTATCAGGACCTTTCTTCCATGATGGACTCTGGACTCCAGTTTTCCTCTCCCCATCACCATGAGACTGCCTAAATCTCTCCATAGCTTTTTAGCTTCTTAGCAGCTGATTTCTGCCTTACTTTTCATTAAGTAGCTCTACGACTGTACAGTTTAGGAATCAGGAAGTAATTTAATGACAAATAACATGTGTTCTTTTGGGCTCACTTTTCTTCAGAGCTCTTTTCTCTGTGATCTGGGCTCCTCTATCCCTGGCTGCTTTAGTTACCCTTACTTCCAATTCTTACCTTTCTATTTCAGTGAGACTGCTGCAGACTCTATGCCATTGCTTTCTGTTTGCCTTCTGTGCTCCTTGCTGCAGATTAGCAAAACCCCAAGGAAAAAGCAACTTTGGAAGGAGGGCTTATTTTAGTACTTTTCCTTTTTCTGGGGAGTATGACCCCTCAATTTTTATATGCCTTGGTTGTTCTCTGATACCTCCAAAAAGTATTGCTTTTTTCTCTTTCCTTGCTTAAAATAGACTTTAGTTTTTTAAGAGCACTTTTAGGTTCACAGCAAAATTGAAAAGGAGGTACAGAGCAGCAAAGTTGAGCACAGTTTTAGGTTCACAGCAAAACTGAGCAAGATGTAGAGATTTTCCATGTATCCCCCACCCCCACACATGCACAGCCTCCCTCATTATCAATATCCTACACCAGGGTGGTACATTTATTACAACTGATGAGCCTACATTGACACATTATCACCCAGAGTCCATAGTTTACATAAAGGTTTACTCTTGATACTGTACATCTTGTGGGTTTTGACATGTATAATGATGTGTATTCAGCATTATAATGTCATACAGTGTAGTTTCACTGCCCTAAAAATTCTCTGTGCTCTGCCTACTCATCCCTCCCTCTCCACTAATCCCTGTAAACCATTGGTCTTTTTATTATCTCCATAGCTTTGCCTTTTTCAGAATGTCATATAGTTGGAATTCTATAGTATATAGCCTTTTAAAATTGGCTGCTTTCACATTATTAAGCAAGCATTTAAGTTTCCTCCATGTCTTTTCATAGCTTGAGAGCTCATTTCTTTTTAGCACTGAATAATATTCTATTTTATGGAATAATTTATGGATTCATTTACATACTGAAGGATATCCTGGTTTCTTCCAAGTTTTGGCAACTATGAATAAAGCTGCTGTAAATACCTATGTGCAGGCTTTTGTGTGGAGATAAGTTTTCAGTTTCTTTAAGTAAATACTAAGGATCATAAATAAATGTCTTTTAAATAAATATATTATCCAACTTTTAGGTTGTTCTCAATAGGAGGTTTAGTATGGCACAAGCTATTCAACAACGGTGACTGCTTTATTCATTTTGAAGAGTACATAGAACTTCAAATCTATTTGTATATGTATATGTACATGTATATGTACTATCAATTAATTGTTTAGTCCCCTTTTTGACTTCTGGTCTTTTCTCTATTATGAACAATGTTACATGAACATTCTTGTGATACGGCTTTGTGCAACTGTACAATTATTTCTTTAGAATCAATTGCTGAGACTGGAATTTCTGGAGATGGCCTGCATCAATTTGCCCATTGTCTATTAGCCAGAACTCACCTCATTTCAGGATAGACTTGGAAATGTAGAACTTTTCTAAGCATAGAATGAGGAAATGATGTAAATGCAGCATTGTTTTTGCTACTAATTACTTTCTAACTAGTTCTTCTATATTGCTTTATCACTTATCCAAAAATACCACATAAGTCACCAACAGATGAAAATCTTTTAGGATTTTTCCCTTTGAATGAATTTTTGACTTCTTAAAAATGTATTAAGGGATAGAACCTCAAAGGAAGACAGTTTTGTTTTGCATTTCTGAATCTAGTTTTCTTATTTTCTTATCCTGATAGTTACTTATTCCTTTTGATTGAAGGAGATAATAGGAGGGGTTCAGAAGGGCTCTAGTTCACAATTGGCTAGAGATGGTCATACTTACTGAGGCAAGTTCTCTCTAAACACTATTGCAGCTCACATAGTAGCGGCAGGAGAGAGACAAAAATAGGGATGGACATTGGTTTTACTACATCTTAGTAATATGACTTTGGGTGAACTATGGAACCTTTCTGTACCTCTGTGGTTTCAGTGGTATAACAGCTTTGATGATTGGATAAAATGGATTCCGTCCTATTGTGCCTCATCAGTCTCCATTTTAAAAAATCACCAGAAAACATAGGGTTTGATTTTGAGACAAGACAGGAGTCTGAGCCATAAGGGAGCACTAGGTTTGTGTGTGTGTGTAATCCACACTCAATATCTCAGGCTAGGAAGCAGGGCACACATTCATCTCCAGCTAATTTTTATTTATTTGGAACCATTCAGATCAATCTTTGTAGAATCAGCAAACACTTCAGGTACACAACTTTAGGTGTTAAGTGCCTCCTCTGCTTCCTGCTAGAAGTGGGTCTCTTGAGAGTCATCTGTTTTTAATCTGCAGGAGAGGAACGACTCAGAGGGAGCCGTGCCTGCCTGGCATTTGAGCTCTCCTCCTTAGGAAATGAGAGTCCTCAAAGTCCATAATCTGGTTTTGTTTGAGTCACTCGGTTGCCTGTTTACAAACGGGGTTAATGAGCTCAGGGGTAGAACCCTCTTGTGGGCATAACCCCTGAGTACCTTCTCTGAAATAACACAACATCAACCAGAATAAAAGTCATTGCTGTTGGTAATCCGACTACCCTTGGTTTGAAAGTACATACCAAGAAGCAAATAGCCCAGTTAGGATTTGATCTTTGAGATTTATTAGCTCTGTGAGCTGAGGAAAGTTGCCTAAACTATTAATGTCTCAGTTTCCTTGTATGTAAAGAATAATAGTACTATCCCTACAGGTCCTTGTTAGGATTAAGTAAGATAATTTATGAAAAGTAGTCTGAATAGTGCCTAGGACATAGTAAGTCCTATAAATATTAGATAGCTTTGTTATAAATCATTATTGTTTTCCTTCATTTAATTTATACAATACCTCTCTAAAGTAGATGTTTTATTATTTATTTATTTATGTAAGGTAGATATTCATTTTATTTCCCTTTTACAGATGAGAATACTAAGACAATGGTCAAGTGACTCACCCAAGCTAACCACATTTAGTAAGTGGTTGAATTGGAATTCAGAACCGGCAGTTTGGATAAATATGATCAAATAATGAGAGAAATGTTACATGGCCTCAAGGAGAGTTATATTACACAGTAATTGAGAGGTAGATTATGATGGCTCATGCCACATGATTGTGGTTTCTGCCTAAGTTTTCAGCTTTATAAAAGTATGTGGGATTGATAAAAGCTACATAACTTTGGGTTAAGGGTTCAAGGCCTGGGGTCAGACAATTTTTGGTTCAAACTCAAATTCTCCCTCTTATTAGTTGTGTCACTTTCAGTGAGTTACTTAAGCTGTCTAAGCCCAAGTTTCTTGATCTGCAAAATTGTAATAATGCTGTTGTATATTAATGAATATAAACTACTTAGCAAATATCCCAGTGCATCATAAGTCCTCAAAAAGTGTTGGCTATTGTGGTGGATTCCAAAATGGCCTTAGTTCTTCTCTTTCTCTGTATTGAGGCTTTTTGTTGTTGTTTTTTTGTTTGTTTGAGACAAGTTCTCACTCTTTTGCCCAGCCTGGAATGCAGTGGTGCGATCATGGCTCACTGCAGCCTTGAACTCCTGGGCTCAATCAATCCTCCTGCCTGAGCCTCCTGAGTAGCTGGGACCACCGGTGTGTACCACCATGCCTGGCTATGTTTTTAAAAGTGTTTTTGTAGAGGCAGGCTCTTGCCATGTTATCCAGGCTGGTCTAGCAATCCTGGGATAAAACCATCCTCCCACCTTGGCCTCCCAAAGTGATGGGATTACCGGTGTGAGCCACCTCACCAGGCTCTATATTGACACTGTTTACCATGTAACTTTGAAGTGCCTTTTGCTCTACCTTTAGACTCAGCCACATGAGTTGCTTTAGCCAATACTATGAGGTGGACATAGCAGTATGCCAGTTGCAGGTCTCTTTCATCTTGGTCATCTCTGTGAGAAATTTGCACATCCTCGCCTGCTGGGGAGATAAGAGATGTGTGGAGCTGAGTCGAGTCATAGAGTCTGATGCAGATCTGGGGTTTGAGCCCAGTTCTATCTGACTTGAAAACCAGAGGTCTTGTCCACTCTGCTAGTCTTCACAGTATTATTATTGCTGTAGGTAAGCTGGAGGCAGATATAAGACAGCACTTTTCTTTGGCATTAGATTGGGTTACCTAGAAAGATTGCAAAATCAGCTGCTATTTAACCAAGATGTAATTACAACAAAGAATAGTAACAGTGAGAGAGAGGGGAAAAAATTTTCATTATAAGAACAAAATAGGTTTTCTAAAATGTACGCAAGTAATACAGGACAGCACCTCCATAGTGGTGTCTAATGTATAACTTCCTTTGTCATACATGAGCCCAAATTTGGTAGAGTGTGACTTCTTGCTATGACTGATGCCTTTGAGATCCCTAGGCTGAAATGAGCTAGGTGGAGTTCTGCTGGCCTCTAGAGAATTGGTATTTCATAACAAAGAATTTGGCCTTTGTCTCTAGTTTCTGGGAAGGGGACTCTAAATCTTTGGAATTTCCTAAGATTGAGTTTAATTATGTAGCCAGTTATTTAATCAATCATGACTGTATAATAAATCCCCAATGAGAGCCCTAGACATTGAAGCTTTGTGGAGCCTCCTGGTTGTTGAACACATTGATGTACCAGAAGAACAACATGTCCTGATTCCACAGGGAGAAGGCAAGAAGCTTTGCCTTTAGGACTTTCCCAGACTTTGCCCTGTGTGTCTTCATTTGGCAGGTACTGATTTGTGTCTGTTACAGTAAAACTGTAATGATAAAGATAGCACTTTTCTGAGTTCTGTGAGTTCTAATAAACTATCTAACCTGAGGGGTGTTTTGAGAAGACCCCAGATTTGGAGTCAGTTGATCAGAAGGGCGGGTAATCTGAGATCTCCGAATTTGTGGCCGCTGTCTGATGTGAGGGTAGTCATGTTGGGGACTGTATCTTTAATTTGTGAGGTCTGACACTACCTTCAGGTAGTGTCAGATTGCATTGCAGTATTGCAATTGACTAGATGACCTTACATGCTTTTTCTTTAAAAAAATAATATTCCATTACATGATAATAATGTTTGCATATTCTTACTAAAAGTGAAATTTTATAGATGTCAAAATCTTCTTTGTCCATTTCCTCCCCAATCTAATTTATCTTCCCTTCCTCTCAGAATAAACCACTGTGCTTCTTTATTATGTAATTTTCCGTCTGTAGTAAGTGCATTTACATATATATACATCTCCAGAGACAATATAAAGTGTTATTTTGTGTTTTGGTTTTATTTGACATGAAAAACATTATATTTGCGTATTTATCTGAAACTTATTTTTCTTCAGTGAATGCTTTTTTGTAGATCTAATACTTATAGAGCTACCTCATTAAACACAAAATCAAGCAAAATACTCCTGTTTTTCAATTTCCCTATTGAAGTAACCCATGTAGGTTTCTTTCTAATTAGCTATCTTTTCAACTAAGGTTGCAATAAATGTCCTTGAAGATGCTTTTTCAGACCCATGTAGGAGTACTTCTCTAGGGAGAGTATCCTTGAAAGTACCTGCCACATGCCTTTGGAAATTTTAGTGTTGATTCAATTATTTTTGACCCTATTGAAAATCTATTGACACTTTGCTGATTTAGAATCAATGCCTAAAAGTTCTTGCATTTGTGCATTAGGTGATGATGAGGAACTATTTGGTGGTAGGTGGATTATCTGTCAATTGACCACCAAGGTCACAGAGATTTTATTTTGGCTGAAGGAAAACAGTCTATTTTTGCTTATCATAAGTTGTAAGCATTCAGAAAGCATAATTCCTTCAGGAAGAATGAATAAACATTTAGTGAATGTTGGTAATTTTGCAAGTGACAGTCACATTTGCATGTTTTATCTATGAGTGTGTGTGTGGGATCTGTGTATGTGTGTGTGTGTGTGTGTTTACCTGCAGGTGCACTTGCATATATAAGAAAATGATTTTAACTTAAAGATGAAGTTCCATGTTCCTGAATTTCTTCCCCAATCCTGGCAAGTGCTAGTCATAGAATAAGTGTGTATTGGTCAGCTCAGGCTGCTATAACAAGATAATGTAGACTGGGTGGCTTACACGACAGATATTTAGTTCTTACAGTATGGAGGCTGGGAAGTCCAAGATCAAGGTATGTGATTTGATTCCTGGTGAGGGCCCTCTTTCTGGCTTGCAGAAGAATTCCTTCTTATTTTGTCCTCACATGGTAGAGAGAGAACTCTGGTAGATACTTCTTTGAGGGGCACTTACAGCTCTTTCTTCTTTTAAGGGTATTAACCCCATCATGGGGGCCTCGCCCTCATGACCTCATCTAAACCTGATTACCTGCCAAAGGCCCCATCTCCAAATACCATCATATTTGGGGTTAGGACTTCAACATATCAATTTGGGGTGGGGGTGGGATACAGACATTAAGTCCATAACAAAGTGGGGTTACCCCATCTTCATCCCAAATCCTTAAGAGAATGGCCTCAGCACCTCCTTCTATAACATCTACCCATATATTTACTTCTGGGTCGCAAACTTGTAGTTAATGATTTACTGACAGAGTTCATATTTTGTCCAGTCTCCTTTTCCATCCATTATAGTTAAAAAACAGTGTTCTACAACCATCTTGGGATTTTCTTCTTAAGGCTCCAAAACTATGTCATCTGCCAGATGGTTCAAATATTCTGATTGGATCTCAGGGCATTGATACTTTAATTTCTAAACAATTACAGGTAGGAATCACAGCTTTGGACATCAGGGCAAGTTTTCTCCATCTTTAGGCTTATCACAGAACATAATTTTTTTTTTTTTTTTACACAGGACCCATTCTCATGAGAGGGAGCTTAGAGTTCTCCTGGCCCTTCATTCTTCTCTTTGACAAGTAATGCTCAGTTTCTTGCCTTCAGGTAATCCTCAGTACAGTTTTCTAACCTTCCACATAAGAAAAAAATATTCAAGGTTAAGTCTTGGGTTAGTAGGGGAGAGGCTTGTGTAGTTAGCAGTGTCTTCCTTGCATGGGGGAAGGAGAGGTTGGGGCTCTGGGTGTCGTATATTTGCCTCCCTGCAGAGATATTCTCTTCCTCCTCTTCTTGATACTCTGGTGACATATTCTCTTCTGCATTGGTATATTCTCCATAGTTCTTCCATCTTTCCTGTCTTCCTTCTTAAGCAAGAATCACCACACATGAAACAAGATAACATCAATAACCATCGTTTAGACTAATAGCTAACATTTGTTAAGTATTTCCCTGTTACTAGAACTGCATGTTTGCAATTAATTCTCACACCAATCCTCAATTTATCTCCCCTTTTTATAAGTGAGAAAACTAAGGCTCAAGAGAGGCTAAGAAATTTGCCCAAAGTCTCATAGCTAGCAGATGGCAATGCTAGGATTTGAATCCAGGCAGTCTGACTCTATTCTTTTAATTACTACCCTGATCTTTATGAAACAAGACGTTCACTTTACAATGAACGTTATTGGGTTCTCATACCACTATTTCCAAGTTGGGATGATAAAGCCTATTTTTCAGATGAGATCAATAGCTTTAGCAAAGTTATTTTGTCCAAAGATCAACAATAAGTAAGTAGAAGAACCAGCCGAAATCCCTCCTCTTCATCATGCTGCCTTAATTTAATTCTTGCTTGTTGCATTGCACTGAATTGAAGTCCCAAGGTCCTCTGTCTCAAGCCAGAAAATGAACTATGAATTGTGGAATGCACCTGTTTCATTGATTTTCTCTTGCTCTTTCTTGTTTTTATGACTTTGCGGGCCCTGTTGCTATCACCCTTTCATAGAATGTGGTTCAACAGTGTCCTCTTGCAGCCCTGTCCCCTGCTTCTGCCCCCAAGCTACAGCCAGACCAATCTACATTTTAAAGTTGTCTCAAAGTATATTCAAATCTCCAGATTTGAATATACTTTCTATTCAAATATTTGAATATACTTTCTATTATAGCCTTAAGCAGCATTGGATCTAATTTTTAAAAGATTTATTGTTGCAATTTGTGCTAATATCATTATAAAACTCAAGATCTGATTAATTCAAATGTATTCATTTATTTTGGATTAATATGCATCCACTGACTAACCTCGGTATTCATTTATACACAAGATTAAAAACAGATTATTACTTCCAAACAACTACCTACAGCAGGCAGCTTAAGTAGAATTGCCCATTTCCAGTACAAGAAGGATAGCTTGAGAATTGTTTTTGCAATCCTGAAAGAGTCAAGGAAAAGAGTATCACATCTGGTGTATCATTACAGCAGCAGGTCTTCAGTTTCTGACTCACACTATCATTGCTGTCTGCACTGCCTCTAGGCTCACTGACACTTTGTCAGCTTTAGTTTTCCAATCTCTGGAGACACAATGAGCACTCACTCATAAAATTATTACTACATGCCTGATCCTGAGTTGGACTTAGGACTTTACATATGCTGATTTAATCTTTGCAGCACCCCTTGGAGACAGGTACTGATATTATGCCATTTTTCAGGGATGGAGGGAACTGAGCATCAGAGAGATTAAGTAACTTGCCAAGGTCAACCTAATAAGTGTCAGAGACAGGATTTGAACCCCCAAAAATCTAGCATCTGAGTCCATGCTCTTAACTACTCTGCTGTATAACTTTAGGATCTATCAGAACTATGCAAGAATTAAAAGGATCTTTGGATTTTTGCTCATCACATTTCTTATGCTAATTGGTGGTCTAGACATTCTTTACATATCAAGCACTTCCTAGGAAATCTCAAGACATCCAGTTCAATTCTGGACAAAAGGCAGTTGCTCCATAGATATAACTTTGAAATCACTATTGATTATTATCTCTCCATAATGGAATATGGAGAAAGGATATTTTTAGGATGAAGTTATTGGATTAATACTCTAGAATTTTACAGTTGAAAGATGTGAGTTTGGCTTGTACTTCCTTCAATTCTTAGTTCAGTCACTATGCTCATAAGTCCTGGGGAGCCTTAGTTTCCTGCTTGATAAAGTGGTAGTTTTATTTCCTTGTCTGACTTCTTTAGTCTGAGCCGTGAACTCCCATAACACATCTGCCCAATACCATGGTGCAGCTTCCTAGGCAGTTCAGGCCCTCATTAGCCTGGACCTGAGGAGCTAATCCACTGCAATTTTCTCCAAGTGCTTCACTACTGAAAGAGAGTCCGGAAAGCAGGTCACCTGTTTTCAATCTGTTATAACTTTACAGGCAAAGGTATTGGGTTGACCTTAACCACAAAATACAATTAATGAGTTGAAGTACTAGTGGAATGTTGGCCCTGAAAAAAACACCTTTCGTATATATTTCCAAAAAGGCCTTTCTTATCTAAGACCTCAAGTTTTAAATAACATTCCTAGGTCGACTTTTTATAGCCTAAACATATCTGTTAGCTATCTACTGTGTGAAAAACATGTTGCCTCGTGGGATAGGAATGGCAGTAACAATAATAACCGTATTATAAATTTGTAGAGCAGATCTTTGTCAAAGTATTTTTAATGTACTGCATCATATTGAAAGAGTGGTGAAATGAGAGATCAAGGTTGAATTCAGGCTTTATCATGACTGACTGACTTTAGATAAGTTTCTGTCCTTCTTTCTGCATTAAATTTTTTATATAATTTGGGAGCTTGATTAGTTGACCCAAATTTTGATTTTCTATGATGCTTTGATACTTTGCCTTAAACTAGAAGAAATAGTACCTCACAGGTTAAAAGGTACACTCTAGGGACTCAATAAATAATTATTGAATGAACTAGAAATACACTAATTGCTTTGAATTACAGGCTCTGGCATAATCAAGTTGTGAGCATTCAAATCTTGGCTTAACTATTTGTGTCTTGGCAAATTCCTTGATCTTTGTTTCACCATATGTAAAATGGGAATGATCACAGCACTCATTTCACAGGCAAAGAGTAAAGGCAAATAGTAAATTAGGTAATAAATGTAAGGTGCTAGAGCAGTGCCTGGTTCCTAGCAGCTGGTCAGTAAATTGTTGGTTAAGAAATTTGAGGCTGGGTGAGGTGGCTCATGCCTGTAATCCTAGCACTTTGGGAGGCCAAGGCGGGAGGATCACGAGGTCAGGAGATCGAGACCATCCTGGCTAACACGGTGAAACCCTGCCTCTACTAAAAGTACAAAAAATTAGCCAGGCGTGGTCGTGGGCACCTGTAGTCCCAGCTACTCGGGAGGCTGAGGCAGGAGAATGGTGTGAACCTGGGAGGCGGAGCTTGCAGTGAGCCAAGATGGCGCCACCACTGCACTCCAGCCTGGGCGACAGAGTGAAGCTCCGATTCAAAAAAAAAAAAAAAGAAATTTGAAACATACTTGCACATGAAATGCAGACACTGATGTTTACCCATGGTTTCAGTAAACCAAAATTGAATGTAGGACCCGAAGTAGAACTTAGCGGGAAACTGGACCAGACTTAAGAGTTGGAAAAAGAATCCTCTGGACCACTAGAAGAGGTTTCAGCTTTATCTGGGAGATAGGCATGTTTAAAGGGCAGAGGGAGAGGGGTCGGGTGAAAACTGGCTAAACATGTTGGAGCCCAAGAACCAGGTCTCTGGGAAGAATTTTATTCATTCTGATAATCCCAATGGTCAAATTTATTTTTTTTTAAACTGACTTTTTTCTTTTTAAAAGCATTTGCGTTTTCTTGTCCAATGGCTTGATTTTCCAGCATTTTACAAATTTGCAGGGACCTTATTGTCATCCCTGATGGACACTGGCCTTGCTATCCTTCCCCCATTCTCTCCCTTAGGAAAAGGTTCCGTCATCTCACATCCAATCAAACACCAAATCTTATAAATCTTATCTTCCAAAATTATCCATCCATCTGCTCCTCTCTTTCTTCACTTTCAGGTCAAGGTCCCTTTGCTGTCCCTGGTGCTGTTACTATGTGATAATCTCTTGCCTTTCTCTCTGCCTTTGGGATGGGAGCAACTCCTGGCTGGCTTCAGAACTTGCACTCTTAATACCTTTACTATGCAGTGGGAAAGAGCACAGTCTGGGATGGGTTTGCCCAGATTGTTTTCAGCTTCCGCATATGTTTTTGAGATAAGTTACTTAATTTGTCTGGCTCAGTTTTCTTATCTGTCAAATGTAGATTATAATAACAATACGCACCTCACAATATTGTTATGAATATTAAAAGCAATTATCTATGCTAAGCAGTTAACACAGTGACTGACTCATGGTCACCCTCGAAAATCAATAATTTGCAGTCACCACCACCACCATCAACATCATTATCATTGCAGTCACCACCACCACCATCAACATCATTATACCATCAGGGAAGTAAGGCTGGAATAATGGGCAAGTTCTAGGTGTCATTCACATTGCTGTTATCAGGGCCAGCCACTCACTGGCACATTGAGAGATTCCTGTTGAATCATTAAGACCATAAGACACCTGAAATCTAACAGATGAGAGTTGTGAAAAGAACTAAGGTTACTGAGCCTGGTGAAGCAATGTGGCCCATGGTCACATATTTACAAGTCTGTGGAAGAGGTGTTAGGAATAATAATATTAATAAAAATAATGTTATAACAGTAGTTGTATGACTATTTCCACCACTACAACTACTGCTATTACCACGATAGGGAGACATTATGAAAAGTTAATCATGAGTTCACTCCCAGAGCTGAAGATGGAGAGCCAGTGGAAGGAAATGGTATGGAACAGACCACATTGCCTCTCTATCTGGCTTAGTCTTCCCAACAACCCTACACTACTGTTTTATTATCTCTCTATTTTATGTCTCACAGAGCTGAAAAAGGCAGAGCCCAAAATACTTCTAAGATACCATATTCTTTCCCTAGATTTTTGCTCACCATTGAAAACTCTTTCTAACAATATCACACATCCAATGTGAAATGAATGAGCTGCCTCAGGATGCCGGGAGATCCCCCATAGGAGTTGTTCAAGCTGAAATCAATGTGTCAGGAGAATTCAGGCATTAGAAGGAGCTGGGATGCTATGACCTTTAAGGTGCTTCTGAAGTTGAGAGTCTTAGACTTTGTGAAATACTGCCTGTGGCTGACAACCTTGGAGCATTATAGTTTTGTTTTTCTATGAAATTCTATTTAAAGAGCTCTCTTTCGTCCCTTAGAGACCCCATGCCTCACCTTAAACAGCACCTCTGGTTTGTAAGAACATACTTAAAAATACACTGTGTAGCTAGTTAGTAACCTCTATCTATAAATCCCCTCAATGAAATTCCAGGGCATTAATCGGCCATAAAGCTCCACAGAGAGGCATTTTCCTTAGCTAAAGTCAGCATTTTCTAACTTCCTGTAAATATTCTCTCACATGAAGCGGTTAATAGGTTTCCTCATGCAGAACATTCTTGGTCACCAATGGAAAAGTTCTCTAAAAGATGGATTGCTTTCCTGTGGCCTCAGGACAAATGCTGATCAGAATCCTTATGCTGCCTGACACCCCCAGTTAATATCAGAACTTGAAGCACTGGTTCTAGGGCCAAATGAAGATGGATCCATGAGCAGAATTCTTGCAATCCTTCTGCCTCAGCCTCCCGGGTAGCTGGGACTACAGATGTGTGACATCACACCCAGCTATTAATTTTTTTTTTTTTTTTGCAGAGATGGGGTCTTGCTATGTTGCCCAGGCTTGAATGTAGTTATCTAAATTTACATTTATTACAACTATATAAAATTAAAAATTCAGTTCTTCAGTCTTACCCCAGTCACACTTCAAATACTCATTAGCCACACATGGTTAATACTCATTAGCCACACATGGCTAGTGACTATTACATTGGACAGTGCAGATCAGAATACTCACATTGTCTCAGGAAGTTCTTTTGGACAGCATTGACCTGGAAGGTCACTTAAATTTTAGAACTGGGATTAAATGTTAGGCCTTCAATGTTCTTTGTACATTATCATGCTCCAGAGAAAGCAGTGTGTGATCTATAGCAGATGCTCTTGAACTCCTTAAATAGTTGATGAATGAAACGAGCGGGAACATCAGGGTGGATGTGTGAGTGTTGCGGGATAGTCGGGGGTGAGCACTTGAAATAGGCCTTCTGGCTGGCCCCAGATGTTAACCAAATTCACATGGTTAATGAGTGTCAGGGCTCAGACCTGGGTAAAAGTCCACAACTCTTCCCTTTAGAACGCCATTCTGCTTCTTTCTGTGTCTTTAAAGCACAGTGAAATCCCAACAGAAGTCAAAATCATTTCAGCCAAATCATTACAGATAATGCGCACATCTACTGATCATGGAGCATCTCTGGAGCACGATAATGTACAAAGAACATTGAAGGCCTAACATTTAATCCCAGCTCTAACATTTAAGCGACCTTCCAGGTCAATGCTGTCCAAAAGAACTTCCTGAGACAATGTGAATATTCTGATCTACACTGTCCAATGTAGTAGTCACTAGCCATGTGTGGCTAATGAGCATTTGAAGGGTGACTGGGGTAAGACTGAAAAACCGAATTTTTAATCTTATACAATTGTAATAAATGTAAATTTAGATAACTACATTCCAGCCTAGTGATTTTTTAAAAGTTATTTTCTCAATTTTGTAGAACTGATCAGAGATTATGCAGACCCCCAGCAGGGATGACTCTTGGGGGCAGTTCTCAGAACCCCTCTCTACCAGGGTCTCCTCTGAAGCAGTAGCACATGATTCTGCTGGAACCTTCCTAGCAACAGTTCTGAAGCTTCGAGCAGTCTCCAAACTACATAAGAAAAGCAGACGGAATATTTAGTGCAGTTGCTGGAGCCATAAAAGAAAAAAATTAACCAAACTTATTAGGCTCCCTGTTTCTTTTCATCCATAAAGCGAGCAATTGGCAATAAATGCCATTCTGCTTTTGAGCAGATGAACAGCCCAGTTGTGATAAATTCACCAGCATTTTCTGGAGGAAATATATTTTACTCCAGACAGTTTTAGTAGCGAAACTATATTTTTCAAAGGAGTTGTGAGGACACTTCAGTGAGGGTTAAACTTTTTAAACCAGTGTGAGGGCTGGGCTGTGGGAGACCCAGCACTCTTGGGGTTTATTTCAAAATCAGCGGAGAGGCTCATTTTTTTGCAGCTCTTTCCCTCTCGTCAGCATGCTGGCAGAATCTCCATCTTTCACTGCCTCTATGTTTTTATTTGATCCTACATTTCATCCTGGGATTAGGGAGTGTACCTATATTACTTCTGGGTTTTTAGATAAGAAAAGTAAGGCTCAGAGGTAGTAACTAGTTTGCTTGAGGTCATATACCTGGTGGGTCAGGAATCTGGGATTTGAATCCTAATACTTTACCTTTCTAGTCTATTCATTCAATTTAGCTCTTGACTGGCAGAGAGAGTGTGAAGAAAGTGCAATGGCCTAGGAGGTAGAAAGCCTGAGTTTCAGCTATGGTTTTGAAACCAACAAGCTCAATCACCCTGGGCAAATCTTCTTCCTTTCACGTTATTTCTTATTCCCTACACAGTGGGTTCTGACTTGCCTCAGACTGACAGGTTTTCTGTGATGTGGGACTTTTAGCTCTAAAACCAGGAAAATCCCAAGCAAACTGGAAAGAGTTGGTCATCCCAGTTTTGGTCTTGAACAATTTTCATTCTCTACAGTCAAGTTCTTAAACTCCTGTGTTTTCTTCCCAGCATCTCCCCTTTACCGAGGTCCACTTGCTGATGGACACACAGAGTTATTTACGCCTCTGCATGTCCCAGGCAGCTCTCATCCTCTCCCCTTGCCATTCATTCCCATCCCTGCTTCTCCACCTGCGTTCCCTATTGGAGTCAGTGGCACTATTGTGCATCCCATTACCCAACTAGCCATTAGAAGTGGTCTTAGAATGTCTCTGCTCTCTCACCAACATCTTATTAGTCTGCAGATATTGCCATGAGTTCAGACCCTCATCATCTCTTGCTTGGACCATCACACCTGTCCTCAGGCTTTCAGTATTGTTCCCTTCCCCATTGGTTCCACCCATCATTTTATTTGATCAAGTAACCTCCGACTTTTTCAAGAGTCTACTTTTTTGATTGGGGGCACAGCTCTTGGCCGTGCCACTCCAACCCTGGCTCTCCAGTCCTCTCTAAAATTCGATTCACTGTTAATATCCATCAGTACATTCCTTTTCTGTGTAAAGTGGCCAGTGTCTGTTTTGGTTGCTGGCATCCGAGAACTCTAGTGAATATAGTATGCAGTGATGAGTGGTGAGGTTTGTTCAAAGAAGACCCAAAGCAGAATAAGGCTCAAGGTGGGAGACTAAAGTGAGAATTTGTCTTCTGAACGGACATCTGAAGACCAGGAAGAGACACGTGCTTGGCACAGCAGAGCTGAGAGTACTTAGTTGACTTGAGGAGGAAAGTGTCCTTTAGGCATTTCCACATATACACAGCTGGAGTGGTGGCGAGTATTCACACAGGAGTTTTGAGTCAGGTAAGCTACTGACCTGAGCTTTGCTCCTGGTAGGTTGATGCTTTATGTTTATTCAATTAAACAGCTCTTTGGCTAGTCAACTAACTTCCCTAGCCTTCACTTCCCAAATGGCACTGAGAAACTGATAGGTATGAAGGACCTACCCTTTGTGGTGTGAAGTGAGAATTCCTATGTAGAATCAGGCTGCAGTAATTTCTGCATCCTGAGGGTCAAAGAGGGCAGTGACAGAAATCATGCTTTTTATTATTCAATGGGCCTTTGATCATAAAAGGTAAGGCCTCTGGGCCTACTTCGGAATGAATGAAGAGATTAATTAATTTTAGGGGATCTAAAATTGTCCTTTGTAATAAATAATACAATCTTTTAGGTTCTTCCTGGGGATCTTAGAAACTTGGAGAATAGGTGCCAGTGAGCTGGGTGAGGATAATGGTTGGAACCTGATTATTGGGGTTTGGGGCCAGTGGTGTGAGAATCTGTTGACAGAATGCAGATCCCAGCAACATAACAGCAGGTGCGTGTCCAGGAGAGAGATGGCTTGGGAGGGCTTGACTGATGAACCACAGAAGCAGCAATGTCTGAGACTGAGTTTCTTTTCTATCTTATGCTGTAATTTTTTTTTTCTGGTTCCTAAGCTTTCAGGAAAATCTGTCTCACATAAAAGCGTTGTGTTTGAGTGCTTTGAGGAATGAAGGGGAGAGGGCTCTGTCCATGCTTGGGGTAAAGACATACAGCGACAGGACAGGAATTAGGCAGAAGGGGCATAAATGAGATTCCCAGATAGGAACCAGAGAGGAGGCGTTTGGAATACGAGGTGAGAGGCTACCATCAGGAGTCTACACACACGAGAAATTCCATATCACCCAATACAGTCCAGACATATTCAGGAGGGGTCTTTCTTCCCTGCAGAATGCAGGATGGGGACTTGAGTAATCTAAAAATTAGAGGAAACTGTGAGTTTACAAGGAGGAAATTTAAGTTACATTCATGCCAGGCAGTTTACTGATCTATTTACAAAAGGTGTATTGAGTTCCCACTATGTGTCAGATACTTTTCATATATTACTTCATGGGATCCTAGCCTAGCAGGTAAGGTTGAGTGTTATGATGAACACCTGACAGATGAGGAAGCTGAGCCTTTGTGAGATGGGGCATTAATCCTGGTCTTGCCTCCTCACTGGTGAATGGATGGATCATTTTTGATAATATGTGAAAAGTTGCTTGGTTGCTGCTAGGCCCTGGGAAAATGCAAGGATTTATTGCCATTTTTAGATTTTCCAAATAAGGAACCAGAGCAGAGAGAAGAATGGCAAGGGAATTGTGGCCTCTACTTGGCCCAGTCAGTTGGAGTGTTAGTACCACAGGACTCCAAAGCTCATCCTACTGCTTCTTCACTGCAGCTGGCTCCAATTGTATTAAGTGCTTTACAGGCACTTTTATTGGGTGGGCCTTGGCTAGTGTGGTTTTCATTTGCAGCTGAAATGCTTGAGGCTTAGAGGTGGTCCATCCAGACCCTTCTGCTTTGTATAGGCTGAATTGCATCCTCAAAAAAGATACACTGAAGTCCTAACCCTTGTTATCTGTGAATGTGACCTTACTTGGAAATAGGGTCTTTGCAGACATAATTGGGTTAAGAAAGATCATTAGGGTGGGCCCCAATCTAATATGGCTGGTGTCCTTTTAAAAAGAAGAGACAGAGACACACAGGGAGGATTCTGGGTGATAACAGAGGCAGAGATTGGGGTGATGCAGCTGCAAGCCAGGGAGCACCAAGGCTTGCTGGCCCCAGTCAGAAGCTGGAAGAGGCAAGGCAGGATTCTATCCGAGTTTACAAAGGAGCATGACCTTGCTGACATCTTGATTTTGGACTTTTACTCTCCAGAACTGGGAGAGAATAACTTCTGTTGTTTTAAGCCATTCAGTTTGTGTATTTTGTCACAGTAGCCCCAGGAAACTAATATACTCTACGAAATCACCATAGGATGAAGTGCTCAGCTCTTGGATCTCTCATGCATGCTCTGGAAAAATCATTCTTATTCATTCATTCATTCATTCATTCATGTGCATGGCTGTTCTGGGCATTTTATAAGAAATACAAACGAATTCATGTTATCAAGTTAACTTCAATCTGGGGAAACAAGAAATTTGCAGCAAGAGGTAGATTAAATACTGTGGCAAACAGAATGAGTCTCTGGGCCAGTCCTTAGCACTTGGTGGGTGTTCGGTATCACAAGGTGTTATTGTGAGTAACAACAGGTGAAGTGGTGGACCTATTACAGACAGTAGAATCATACTGGTTGTGTGAGGGTGTCATCCTCTCCAACCTCTACTCACTGCCTCTCTTAGAGAGTCTCCCTCCTCTCTCACTCCAGTGTTCTAACACATTCTCCTATTTATTTTCTTCATGGCTTGTAACACTCCCTGAAATGATCCTATGTATTTATTTGCTTATTTACAGTAGGCCTTCTCCACCTTGGCACTGTTGACATTTTGGACCAGACAATTCTTTGTGGTTGGGGCTGTCCTGTGAGTTGTAGAAAGTTTCACAGCATCTTTGGGCTCTACCCACTAGATGCCAGCAGCACTCCTCCCAGGCATAACAATAAAATATGTTTCCAGACTTCGACAAATGTTCCCTGGGGGGAAGAATTACACTGTTTGAGAGGCACTGATTTTAGGCCTGAGTCTTGAAGCAGGGGTTGTCTATCTTGTTCTCTTTTGTCTCCCCCGCGCCTGGAATAGTGTGCTTACACAGTGTCACTAAGTAAATGTACGTTGGCAAGTAGACTGAAGAGCTACTGCAGAGCTAAGTTTGCTGTTTTGTAGGAACTCAGAAGAGAAGTACCCCATCTCTGGTTGGAAAACACTCCAGGAGAGGCAGCTTCAAGGAGATGGCATGTGGATGGAAATGTTTAGCAAGAGCAAGCTTTATCCTGGTCAGGGGCAGTCAGTGGGCATTCTAGGCAGAGGGAGTGGCCCTGGAAAAGGGGAGAAGGTAAGATGGGCTATGGGATGTTGGTGTAATGTTGTGGTGGTGAGGCTGGGGGTACGAGGACCAGCTCAGAGAGGCTGCAGGGACATTGGACGGAGTCCTAAGGGCCTGGAAGAAGGCAGTGGCAAAGAGATAGAGTTCCACTTGGAGACGTCTGATGAGTAAGAGAAAGTTACTCTGGAGTCATTAATATGCCTGATTATTCCCTTGATTTGTTCTCTTCACTGACAGATTAGTGTTTCATGAAATGCTATTACCCCTATAGCTCATATTTCTCTGGATTTACTTTTACTCAGCAACTATCACTTCTGATTATTCTTACATTAATTGTACATAACACTGTGTTGCTTTAAATATATTATTTTAAAACATTTTGTTTTGCAATTCACTTTACGGTTAGAAATTCTGTAGACAGTGGTCATAAATCTCCCTTGAAAGAAAATGGAAGTTGTCTGTTTTAATTTTCTATCAATTCCTTACTGCTTGGGAAAAAATAATAGGGGACAGAAAAAAAAAAAAAAACCCACCAAAACCCTTTTTTAAGCACTTGCAATTGTCCATGTCTTATTTCTACTAGTGGGTTGCTGTTTTTAAGCTGAATAGATTACTTTCAAAATGCATGTGCTTGAGATTAGGGTTTGAAGATGTTTTGAATAGAAATAGCAATTTAATTTTGAGATGTGACCAAAAAGATGGCAGCAATGAGATTGAAGAAATAGCACAGACTCTGGATCAAACAGATTAGCTAGAATTCTGGCTCCTGTGCTTACTGGTTCTGTGATCCTGAGCAAGTCTTATTTATTTATTTTGTTTTACCTATACAATGGCAGGGGAGTGTAACTGGCCACCCCTCAAACTTAGTGCCATAAAAGATCAACAACGATCAGTTATTTTGTACACAATTATTTTCTTTTGGGCAGGGCTCAATGGACATGGCTTGTTTCTGCTTCTCATGGCAACAGAAATAGTCATGAGATTGGAGCTGGAGGATGCATTTCCAAGGTGACTTGATCAACCTAGCTGGTGAGTTGATGCTGACTGTTGGCAGGGAGTTCAGTGGAGTCTGACAACCAGAATGCCTCCGTGTGGCCACCCCAGCTTGGTGGTCTCAGAGTAGTTGTGTTACCGGTGGAGGGTGTCCAGGTTCTTGGCATTTTGAACAAAGAATTGGACAAAATGCACAAACAAAGCAATGAAAAAAAGCGTAGATTTACTGAAATGAAAGAACACTACAGAGAGTGGGAGCAGGCTTGAGCAAGTGGCTCAAGAGCCCTGGTTACAGACTTTTTTGGTATTTAAATACCCTCTAGAAGTTTCCCATTGGTTACTTGGTCTACACCCTATGTAAACGAAGTAGTGGCCTGTGATCAGTCTGATTGGTTATGGAAAGCCATCCATCAGAGGCTGAAGTGAAGTTACAAAGTTATTCCCTATGCAAACGTCTGATTGGCTGCTGAAAGTGACCAATCAGAGGCTGAAGTAAAGTTACAAAGTTATACTCCTCTGCGAATGAAGACTTGGCCTGCAATCAGTCTGATTCGTTGCAGGAGGGGACCGATCAGAGGTACTTTCAATTTTTCATCAGCCAGGCAGAAAAAGTGCGGTGGCAGTGAGTTGCAAAGGGAGTAGCCTCTGGTGGTTTAGTTACTTGTGCATGAAAAGTTGGGATTTTCCTTTTGATTTAGTTCTAGGAAGTCAGCATGAATTGGCCTTAGGTTTCCTGCCTCCAGACCTTACTGTCCTGCCTTAGTTGGACCACTTACATGGTCTAGCTTTTCCCAGAATAAGAGTTCCATAAAAACTTATCAGAAGCTATATGGCTTTTTATGACTTAACCTCAGAAATCAAATAGCAACAGTTCTAACATATTCTTTAAAAGACAAAACAAAACAAAAACTTAAAAAAAGTCAAAAACAGCCAGTTTCAATTTTTTTTTGGAGGTGGGGTCACACTCTGGTCCATGCTAGAGTGCAGTGAAGTGATCCTAGCTCACTGCAGTCTCAAACTGGGCTGCATGATCCTCCCTTCTCAGCCTCCTGAGTAGCTGGGAACACAGACATGCACCACCACACCTGGCTAATTTTTTTTTTAGAAGGCAGATACTAGTGACATCAATAGAAAAGTGACTAAATAAACCATAGTACATATCTATACTAAAAGAAACACACATACATAATAAAAAGACACACAAGCTTTTAACAGGGATTACTTCTGGGGAGTACAGCTGAGAAATCACCTTAGGACTTTAGTTTTAATTTTTAACCATGACTACATATTACATTCATAATAAAGACAAAAAATGTAAGAGATAAACTTATATGGAAAGGAGTCCAAGAGATAGAAAGGAGTCCAAGAGATAGAGGGAAGATAGAAAAGCAAAATATACCATTCAAAAGTAGAGATGAAGGTCTCATTATGTTTCCTAGGCTGGTCTTGAACTTCTGGCCTCAAGTGATCCTCCCACCTTGGCCTCCCAAAATGCTGGGATTATAGGTGTGAGCTGCTGTTCCCAGCCATATTCTATTTTTCCATTTTAATTTTATTTTTCTTTCTTATTTGTAATCTCCATTTTATAGATGAAACTGGCATATTCTATTGATAGAAACAGTCACCAGCCTTCCCAGATTTAAGAGCTGGGATGTAGACACTACTTCTTGATGTGACTAGGGCATGGTCACATTGCAGGAGAGCATGTGAGATGAGAGATGTTGTTGGGCCTTCCTGAGAAAACAAAGTCGGCTATGAGGATTATGATAAAGTACAGTGCATTATATAGATTCTGTCCTATATTAAATGCTTAGCAAATGGTTACTATATCTATTAATTATAATTAAGAGTGCTACTTAAATCAATTTTAAGTTAGGATTACTTCTGTCTTTGAAGTTCAAACTCTTTCTTTTGTACTAAAAGGCTCCTCATTCATCCTGTTATACCCAGATACTTAGAAGTCATCCCTGATACCTCCCTCTGCCTCACACCCCTTTGTTCCACAACATATATTTGATTCAGCACCAAGAGTCATTGAACCTGCCTTTCAGAAAGCTCCCAAACCTGTCTCTTTCCTCCAGCTTCACAGCCTCGACCCTAGCCTAAGACACTGCCATCTTTGAACTGCAATATTTGTTTCTTTGCCCCCACCTTGTCCTTTCTCCCATCACTTCTCCACATTATAGCATCTACTTAAAAGCAAATCTGGTCCTTTAATCACGACATCATAAAACACACCGATCGCTTCTGACTCTCGTTAGGATTAAGACTAAAATCTTAAGAGGACCTACATGGAGGGGTCTGGCTCCCCTCTGTCTCTCAACCTCATCTTGTATGATAGTTCACCTGCAGCCCCTCCCTCTAGGCTTCTGCCAGGCTGGAACTCTTTCACTTCCTGGAACTCCTGGACAGAACTCCATTTCCTTTTGCCACAGAACCCTTCCACATTCTATTGCCTCAGCCCAGATGCTGTTTATCCTGAGCTCTACAGCTAGACCAGTTACTCCTATTCATTGCTTTTTTGGCTTTAATACTTAACATAGGATGGTGTGGGCTGAACTATCAGAAACCAGACTTAAACCGGCTTATATAAGAATATGCACTATCTGACATAACAGTAAGCCCAGGGGTAGAAGGACCACCGAGTTGGTTGTTTCAGTGGCTCAGCAATGTCACTCACTGAATTGTTTCTGTAACCAAATTCTTTGGGTTTTTCCATGATTTGTTCCCTACATTACCTTCAGCCTAAAGCAGGTAATCCTCCTGCTCACAATATGGCTGCCAGCAGCAATGGAGCCAATATGCACCCGTGTTTCCATCTCCTTCTACCATGGAATATAAATATAAATGTGTTACTTCAGTATAATTGGACCAACATGGTTCATGTGCCCAACCTATCCTCAGATGCATAAATTGACAGGGAAGTGTCATGGTGTGATTGGCTTAGACTAATCAGAATTCACCAGTAGAGGTGTAAAGGTATTAGTGTCTCCTGAGTCATATGATAATGTGGAGAGGAAATGGACTTCTAAATAAAATCTAGGTAATATTAGGAAGGAGAGAGTGGGAAATGGATGCTTAGAAGGAAGAAATAGTGCCTACTAAAATAGCTATCTGCTTCTTGGTAGCAGTTGCCTTAAGTTGTGATTTTTAAAACATTTTAATTGTGGTACAATTAAATGTTACATGGTAAAACACATATAGCATAAAATTTACCATCTTAGCTATTTTTAAGTGTACAATGCAGTGACATTAAGTACATTCACATGATTGTGCCACCATCACCCCCACCATTCATACCTATGGAAGGCAGGGCATCTTGTAAAACCGAAACTCTGTATTTACTAAACAATGTTCCTACTCCTCCCCAGCCCCTGGTCACGACCATTCTACTTTCTGTCTTGATGAGCTTGACTACTCTAAACACTTGGTATAAGTGGAATCATACAGTGTTTGTCCTTTTGTGACTGACTTATTTCACTTGGCATAATGTACCCAAAGTTCATCCATATTGTAGCATATGTCAGAGTGTACTTCTCTTTTAAGGCAAAATAATATTCCATTGTATGTTATACACATTCCATGTATGTTATACCACGTTTTGTTTATCCTTTCATCTGTGGATGAACACTCGGGTTCCTTCTGCTTTTGGCTATTGGGAATAATGCTGCTATGGACCTAGGTTGTAATTTATAGGTATTCCTGGGTGTTTACAATATATGTTCTGTTTTCCTAGGTCTCCCCATGCTGTGAGCTCCACCAGGCAGTAGCTGTACCTTTTGTTTGTCCTCAGCAGTGCCTCTGTAAACCCAAGACAATGTCCAGCAGAGTGTAGACACTCAAATATTTGTTGATGGAGTGAACAAACATTTAATTTGGGATGAATTTCAAATAACCTTACTTCTCTATGATCATATTTTCTTTCCTTAAAAAACCTCATAATTATGTGGAAATATATATGAATGTATAACTGGGAGCATACTCAGAAAAAAAAGAAGTTTTGCTAAACCACAATACTCTAACCAGATGCTATTTACCTGTTTTTGATCATTTGCAGCAATCATACTTTGATTTTTACGGTTGAGTAGGATCATATAGTTTAGGAGTTTATAATGAATTTAAACTCAGAATTTTGTGAAGATGATACAGGGACTGGAATGGAAATTCTACATTTTGTTTTACTTTAACTTTCAGCACAAGGGCCCTCTAGTTCTGATGTCAACTCTGAGCCCTCTTCATTAGGACACTGGGAAGAAACTGTAGCCAGTTCCATGAAGAAAACCATTGACTCGGAGTGGTTTCTTCTTCACTTTGAGCCAAGTTCAGTAGTACTTTTGTCTAATGCGATTCATTCTGAGGTTGGTTAATGTTTGAAAAATTATTATGGAAAATTTCAAACATATAAAAAAGTAGAGATAATAGTATAGTAAATTCCCATATATCCATAATCCAATTCCAACAATTACCAATTCAGGGCCAATATTATATTATCTGCATCTCCATCCATTTCCTCCTTCTCCCTGGATTATTTAGGAGCAACTTCTAGACATTATATCATTTAATCTATATGAATTTCACCATGTATTTTATAGGTAAGTACTATTTATGGAAATATAATAACAATACTATTTTCATATCTAAATAATTAAAAATAATTACTTATAATAATGAAATATTGAGTCAATGTTCAAATTTTCCTAATTATTTTATATTTTTAGTAGTTTTTATCAGTAGCCAAATAAGTTTTATATATTGCAATTGTTGGATGTACCTCCAGTCTTTTAAAATCTCTTCTCCTTTTCCCTCTATTTTTTTTTATATTTCCCCTTGCAACTTATTCGTTGAAAAAAAAAAAACCAAAAAAACAAAAAATGACTCATTTGGCCTGCATTCTTTCCCACACTCTGGATTTTGCTGATTGCATGCTTGTGGCATTGTTTAACATGTTCCTCTGCAACTCTATTTCCTGCAAGTTGGTAGTTCAGTCTTGAAGCTTGATAGATTCAGATTGAAGATCTTAGCAAGAATATCTCAATCTTTAGATGATGGTTTATTTTTCCATTGTGTCTAATGGACTCCTTTTTGTGATGATAGTAGCCATTCATGGACATTCCTTGATCCATTATTTTACTAAAGTTCACAAAATGTGAGTTTCTAATTTTATCATTTTTTTTTTTTTGAAGGAGTTTCTCTCTTGTTGCCCAGGCTGGAGTGCAACAGCACAATCTTGGCTCACCGCAACTTCCGACTCCTGGGTTCGTGATTCTCCTGCCTCAGTCTTCCGAGTAGCTGGAACTACGGGCATGCACCATCACACCTGGCTAATTTTGTGTTTTTAGTAGAGACAGGGTTTCTCCATGTTGGTCAGGCTGGTCTCGAACTCCTGACCTCAGGTGATCGGAGGTCACCTCGGCCTCCCAAAATGCTGGGATTACAGCCTGAGCCATGGTGCCCGCTGATTTTTCTTAAAGCTGGAATGCTTCTGTGAAGACAACCCCCCTCAATAGTCCATTGACTACCCTCAGGTATACTTGGTATAGAAAAGACAGAATTAATGCTTATGTTTTACTTTTATTTACCAATTTTTAAACCTTTAAAAGTTACAATGAGATTTTTTCCCTACCCTTTTCCCTTTATTCTTTCATTTTTTCTTTCTTCTTTTTTCTTCTTTCTTTCCTTCCATCTTTGACCTTCTCTCTCCTCTCTTTCTTTCTCATTATTAGCTCATTCAAACTATTATTAACTATATTTATAACAAAAACATCTTAATGCATTTAACTACATTTAACTAATAATTTAAATGTATTTGATGGGCTTCAGTAGGATTTGTAACTTTTAAATTTTAGAACACTTGTTTCTATTTGAAGAAAATCCTTATATACCACTCCTTGAGTAACACTTTCTTTAAATGTCAATTCTTTGTCAACTGGTTTTTATCCAGACTGTCCCTGCAATATGCTAATGAAGATACACAGGCACAAATCTGAATGAGGCTTCCAATTAAGCAAAAGCTTTTCTGACAAAAAGAAAGACAGATTCAGTTGATTTCATGCTTTCTGCCCTTTATCTTTCTTCTTCCTACTTGGCATGTGAATGCAATGGCTAGAGGGGTAACAGAGATGATACCGCAAAGAGGATGAACACTTAGATACTCCCTCAGATGGTGGAATAGAAATTGAAAGGAACCCAGTTCCTTGATGATTCCCTTCAAGAATTGTTCCATCTCAAGATTACCCAAATTCTACTTATTTAAGAAAACCCCCTAGTTTTTTAAAGACACTATTTATTAGCATTTTTGATACTTGCAGCCACATGTCTTCACTAATATATTTGTCCAAAGTCATGTTCACAATAAGTGAGAGAGGTTGGTTTTAAATTTAGGCTTCTTAATATCTAAAACTTGTGATTTTACTAAATAATGTAAAGAACCATGGGCAAGGAATACAACTGGATACTTCTGTATAGAGAACCCACTCATTAAGTCTTTAATGACCCTCAGATATGCTTTGTACAGAGAAGGCGGCATAAATGGCTGATTGGTAAGCCAGCTTCCCCATGTCCAAGGCTGCATGGTTCCTTGACTAAGAGCCCAGGATTACCCTACATTATCAGCATCTCCTCAGGCAGGGAATGAGATGCTTCTGGCCTGGTGTAATGAGCTGATGAAATATACAAACTGTCTCCTGCTTCTTGTCAAATGATTTCCAACCTTTCTATAGCAAGGTGTCCTTTTGTTTTTTATTAACTTTGCAAAGTACAACATGTTTTGAAAGATTTTTGTCTAAAAAACTACACTTAACATAAATATTGAATCACTTTCCCCTCTACATTTAATCAAATGCACATATAGCCTCTAATCATAGTTTCCGATCTCCGTGTCCAGGGTTAGCTCCCTGAGTTGGTTCTAATTTCAGTAAAAAATAAGAATACTTTGGTTCACATGTGTATCCTCAATGTCTGTTAGTATTTTAAGGATAATAGTAATGTCCCATAGATTCCTGGGTTGTCTTTGAAGCCTCCTGTGAGTCTGGGGACTCTGCTGGGGACCCAGGCTGGGCATACCTGCTCTAGAGTTTGATGGTCCATATTCCAGGAAGCTGGGTGGTTGTCCCACAAGAAAAGGTTATAGAAGAGGCTTCTAGGCAGAAGACAGGGTTGATTCTGCTGTGGATTCCTCTTAGTGCCCCATGTTACTTTTTAGCGAGGCTGACCCCATGATAGGCTGATCTTTGTTGTGCCAGGCCTATTTGGCTCCTCATGCTCACACCTCCCACTTGGACTCAAGCCAGGCCTGGACCCTGAAAACCCAATCATGGAGCATTTTATGAGCCCCATCTGCAAAGGTAAGTGGGATCTAGAATTGGTCGTGCTTAGGTATCCAACCTGCCCACTTTGTGCCCTGTGGATTGCTCTGTAGCTTTCCCCTCCTGCCCTTCTTATGCTTATCATGTTCATGATGGTTGAGTTCTGTTGGAAAAACACTCACTGAGCTCCTGCCATGATCCAGCATAGCACTAGATGCCAGTCTATAAAGATGAGTAAGTTCCCATGTTTATCATCGAACTTCTGCCTTGATTTCTGGTTGGTAATCAGGTTTTCCTCATTTAAAACTTAATGTAGAAGGATTTATGAGACATGACATAGTTCATGCCAGCCTCCCCCTACCTTCCACTTGAGTTAGACCCCTCTTGTTCTACCCCCCACTGCTGATGGGATCCTGATACAGCCCAGGTAGATTATCTACCATCTCAACATTGTAGATCCTGCCTTTCTGCAGGATGGGGCCCTGTTGCCACATCCTTCCCACCAGATCGAGTTCCTATGTTTCCCTCTCCTATGTGACTGTCTCTCCCATTAAACTATGCACTTCTAGAGGGCAGGGGTATCCCAGCACCATGCTCAGAGCACAGTGAGTAGTAGGTACTGGTAACTATTTGTTGAATGATGAATGGTGAGTGCTGCATGCAGAGGGGAGATGAGAAGCTAGGACCCTGAGAAGTCTGGAAATGGTGTAGGTTGGCCACTGTAGATGACCGTGATGTCACCTGGGGTGGTGATATGGGATGAAGGGAAGACTGTGGACCAGATACCACTGTCATCATCAGACTATCATGAGAGTGAGTACTAATCAGGTGGTGGTTAGGGAAAGCAGCGGCGGGGTGGAGGTCCGTGTAGTTGGAGGACCTGAGACTCAAGAGGGAGAGAAGCTTTGACATAGGCAGCTGGGACTGGTGCTGGGGGCCAGCATGCTGAGAGCAACTCTGAGGAACATGGAAGGACAGATTGAGAACAGGCTGACTCCACATGAGAGGACTGCAAAGGAATCAGGTTACCAGGGAAGAGCTGATTCTTAGTTAGGGCCAGGACATGGTGGGGAGTCTCAGGAGGAGGTTGGGGGTATATGGTATCAGTGAATCACATGGCGAAGGTTGTATGGATGGGCGCCTTAGCTAGATGAGACCCCAGGATGGGTCTCATGCATTCTCCTCCTCCACTGAGTCTCCGCTTGCCTCATGTGAGGGTTGATGGCTTTGGCTTTACTCCAACTTCCTGCATCTTCTCTGACTGTGTCCTGATTTTGACCATGAGCCTTGTTCTTGACAACTGCCTTGTCTCTGGTCCTGGACTCCTACCAGCCCTCCCTCCTCTGAGGAAACCAGACCTGAGCAGGCAGCTCCTGCAGCTTTTCACCTCGACTTATCTCCCCAGCCAGAACTTTTGCTTAATTTGCTTACTGACATTTCACACTGATGTGCGGGGACTCATCAATTGAGTTCCAAGCATATGCATGACTCACATGCATTTGAAGAGTATGTGGAGGAGGGAGGGAAAAAATGAGAGAGAGAGGATTTTAGTCATATAAGTCATCAAAGAGCCTACCAGGCTTGCTTTGGTTTTGTTTGTTTTAGAAAATGACTGGAGGCCATAATGTTTGAACTTTTTTATTGTGAAGTCTGCTGAGAATTCAAGCAGGGCCAACCCCAGATACTTCTCTTTCTTCAGTTCCTGAGACAGAAAGAATGAGTCTGAATCTTATTAAGCAGATCCGCAGGACTTGGATTGAAAGAAATATGAAAACACAATTTTGTGTTCAAGCCTGGGAAGGAAAAATAACTTCAGAGTGAGCCAGACATATTTTGGAATTCTTTCAGCATCTACACAGCAAGACCTACACAGCATAAGATTGTGAAAGTTTGTGTGTGTGTGTGTGTGTGTGTGTGTGTGAGAGAGAGAGAGAGAGAGAGAGAGAAAGAGAGAGAGAGAGAGTATGTGGTCATCTTCTGGCTGGCAAATTGGTTCCAAAATTTGTACAAGGAGACAATTTCTTTGCTACCAAACTGACTGGTAAAAACATATCACATAGCCTTTAAAGATGGAACTTACTTGTTATGAAATTGACACATTTGCTCACCCCTGATTCCTACCAGGAAAGTGCTTTCTCCCACTAGCAACTGAATCCTACTTGTTCTCAGTGTGTGGCCAGGATCTGCCCTGTTTCCTCCAGCTCACAGAGCATTCCCTCTCTCTTCAGAAACCCCACAGCCCTTATCGTCTCTGTCACTTAGTCAAACACAGGTTGCTATAGCAAAGTACTGTAAATTGGGTGGCTTATAAACAACAGAAACTTATTTCTCACAATTCTGGGGACTGGAAGTCTCAAATCAGGGTGACAGCATCATCAGGTTATGGTGAGGGTCTTCTTCCAGGTTGTAGATGGCTTGCTTCTCTCTGTGTCTTCGCATGGCAGAAAGAGGGTGAGAGGATTCTATCATCACCTGGAGGGTAAAGATTTCAACATATAAATTATAATAAACAGTCTATTTTCAGGTTGCTTCTGGCTTCCTCAAGCCTGACTTTCCTCATAGCTGTGATTTTCTTCATATTGCTTTCCCTTAAACACAAGTCAGGTCTGTCCTTTAATGTTCTATAATGTGGTTTATAAAACACTATTGAAGACTTGTGGAATGAGAAAGGAATGACAATGCAGATGAGTATTACCAGATACAGTTGCTCCTAGCATCCTCAGCTCTTGCCTGTCTTCCAGTTGTGATGCCCAGAGTAGCACCCGTATGGTTTGGCTGTGTCCCCACGCAAAATCTCATCTTGAATTATAATCCCCATAATTCCCACGTGTAAAGGGCAAGACCAGGTGGAGGTAATGGGATCCTGGGGGCAGTTTCTCCTATGCTGTTCTTATGATAGAGTCTCATGAGATCTGATGGTTTTATAAGCATCTGGCATTTTCTCCTGCTTGCACTCACTTCATCCTGTCACCCTGCGAAGAAGGTGCCTGCTTCTTCTTTGCCTTCTGCCATGATTGTAAGTTTCCTGAGGCCTCCCCAGCTATGTGGAACTGTGGGTCAATTAAACCTCTTTCCTTTATAAATTACGCAGTCTCAGGTATTTCTTCATAGCAGTGTGAGAACAGACTAATACAGCACCTGTAGAGGGAGTAGGCAAAATTAGTGCATTTCTCCTACCCTAGATTCAGGCCCTTGGCTTTCTAGATACCTTAAGGGAGAATAACCAAGGTTCCCTCTAAACCCTGGGCCTGGTCTGGCCACCCAGTCACAGATCTTACAGACACAACTGAATTTTTATTGTTTTAGATCTCTCTGTTTCAAAAGGGGCTCTTACTTTACATTTGTCTAATTAAAATGCCCTGTAAGTGTGTTTTCCTAAACAAGGCCTCTCTCTTCCCTCATAGAGGAATCTAAGCCACCTCCTTGGAAGAAAGAGAAGAATTGTTGGCAGCTTTCAAATGTCAGGGGCACGCTTCTAACTGTCAAGATTTCAAAACATGTGTACAAGTAGTTGCAGCTAGATCACCCCAGAGCACATTAACTATCTTCTCCTTCCCTCATCCTTATGTAGCTATTAACATTTTGCGTTAGTGTAGTACATTATTCTTAAAACTGATGAGCCAGTATTGGTATGATTATTAACTGAAATCTGTAGTTTTCATAAAGGTTCAGTTTTTGTGTTGTACAGTCCTATGGGCTTTGACCAATGCATATTTTCAACTATCCACCATTACAGTATATAGAACAATTTCATTGCCCTAAAAATCCCCTGTGCTCCACCTCTTCCTTGCTCTTAAATTCTGAAACCCCTAGCAACCTTTGATTTATTTGCTATCTATATAGTTTTGTCTTTTCCAGCATGTAATAGAGTTGCAATCATACAGTCTTTTCTGACTCGCTTCTTTTACCTAACAAATACTTTTGAGGTTCCTCCATGTCTTTTCATGGCTTGATAGCTCATTTCCTTTTATCACTGAATAATGTTCCATTATATGGATGTACCATGGTTTATTTATTCATTTGCCTGTTGGAGACAACTTGCAAGCTTCTAGTTTTTGGTAATTACAAATAAAACTGCTGTAAACATTCATGTACAAGTTTTTGTGTGGACATAAGCTTTCAGCTCATTTGGGTAAATACCCAGGAAACATGAGTCCTGGATTATATGGTAAGAGTATCTCATGTTTTGCAAGAAACTGCCAAATTGTCTTCAAAAGTGGCTATACCATTTTGCATTTCCACCAGCAATAAATAGCAATAAATGAGAGTTCATATTGCACCTTATTTGCATTTGGTATTTTAAATTTTAGCTATTCTTATAAATGTATAATAGGATCTTATGTGTTTGCTCCTAGTGTTTTAATTTGTAATTCCCTAATATGATTACTAAACCTATGCTTATTTGTCATTTGTACATTTTCTTTGGTAAGGTGTCTGTTCAGATCTTTTACCCCCTTTTTTTTTAAATTGGGTAGTTTGTTTTCTCATTCTTAAGATTTAAGAGTTCTTTGTATATTTTTGGCTACAAGGTGTTTATCAGATATGTGTTTTGTAAATATTTTCTCTAAGTCTGTGGCTCTTATTTCCATTCTCTTAACAATATATTTTGCAAAGCAGAAGTTTTAAATTTTAATTAAGTCAAATTTGTTCATTTTTCTCTTTCACAGATTGTGCTGCTCATGTTGTATCTAAAAATTCATCACCAAACTCAAGGTCACCTCAGTACTTTTCTTTGTTATCTTCTTAGTTTTGCACTTTCTTTAGATCTATGCTTCATTTAGAGTTAATTTATGTAAAAAGTATAAGATCTGTGATTTATGTATTTATTTTTGCATGTAGATGTCCAGTTGTTTTAGCACCATTTGTTGAAAAGACTACCTTTTTTCATTGAATTGCCTTTGCTCTTTTGTCAAAGATCAGTTGACTATATTTGTTTGGGCCTGTTTCTGGGCTATATATTCTGTTTCATTCACCTGTTTGTCAATTCTTTTACCAAAACAATAATGTCCTGATGGCTGTACAAGCTTTACCGTAAGTGTTGGAGTTGGGTAGTGCCAGTCCTTGACTTTGTTCTTCTTCAGTATTTTATAGGCTACTTTGAGTCTTTAGCCTTTCCATATAGTTTAGAATCATTTTCTCAATATCCACAAAATAACTTGCTAGAATTTTGATTAGGACTGTTTTGAATTTGTTAAGAAGATTGACATCTTATCCATGTCATCATTGGGAAGAATTGACATCTTATCATCTCCTATCCATGAACATGGTTTATCTCTCTAATTACTTAGATGTTTGATTTCTTCTGTCAGAATTTTATAGTTTTCTTCATATATATCTTGTGCATATTTTGTTAGATTTATATCTAAGAATTTTAGTTTTTTGGGTGCTATTGTAAACGGTGTTCTATCTATAATTTCAAATTCCAATTGATCATTGCTGGTATACAGATTTATTTATTCCTGTCAGAAAAAAATAACCCTCCACACAAGCTTAAATTGCCCTAGTGCAAATAACACCTCACCAGAGACTGAAGGTTAATTCTCATCCAAAGTCTGATTCCTTCAGTCCCATCAGGAGTTTATTTATCCTATGCTTAAATATTGTCTATGATGAACCCTTCACTCTTTCTCAAGGTAATGCATTGTCTCTAGGACAACGTTGTTGTTAGATGGTTTTTTTCTTATACCTGATTTCTTGAGGATAAGTGATAGCTTAATTATAAAACAACAAAGATAGATGTGTTCCATGTAAACCACTTAATCTTCATCCTTATATCTCCTTCAGATAACATCAAGTCAAGGCTCTCTTAGCATTGGTGAAGCAGGGGAGGCTGCTGTGCTGTGGGGTCCCATGAGCTGAGTTATCATATGTTGGCTACTAACTGCAAGCCAAATGCCTGACTTTAGGTCTGAATTTGTCACTCATTAGCTGAGTAACTTTGGGCAAGCTCCAACATTTTCCAGTTTCTTGATTTTTAGAAATGAGAAAATTAATACCCTCACAGGGCTGTTGTAAGAAAGAAGCAACATAGTGACCATGAAAGCAGTTTTTAAACCAAACTGTTCAGTGGAAGCATAATTTTAACTCATTATCCTCTACTTCACAGTCACCACTCAGAATCATAAATTATCAGATGTACAGAGTAAGAAGGGTAGAGAGGGAAGGGCAGAGAATGAAGTAGAGTTGACATGCTCATAGTGAACCCAGAAAACAATATTCCCCAACTTTGAGTGTCATAGCTGAAGAAAACTTAAACATTATGTAATTTAACCACTTTGTTTCATAGATGAGAAAACTGAGCCCTGACGAGGGAAACAAATTGCCCAAATTCAAGAGCCAGGCTATTTAATTGCTGAACTAAGAAAGGATCTATTCTGACTCTAAGACCAGTGCTTTTTCTCCTTGTTCACGTGACAAAAGAAATGCCTGAATGTTCCATTTCAGACTGCGCCTCTTACCATACCCTCCTCTCTCTTCCTTGATCATGGAACATATGGCTTTCTCACCAAAGCTCTCATTGTAAGAAATTGGGAAATGGATTACATGATAAGTATGCCTTCCCCACAAAAACCAACCAGCTGCTCATCTTTGAGAGAGAGGCATTCTTTTAGGCTCAAGCAAGCCAAGAGGAGCAAAGGCCCTCACATTGTACTTTAATTTCTACTGATCAAAAGAAAAAAAATTTACTTAGGTGGACAAAGCAGGATTTCTTAGTTATGATTGTGGGATAAGAGATACAAATGCTTTATGTAAATTAAAATTCAAATATTCTGAAAATAAATAAAAGAATTTTCTGAAATGGAAGGGGCCAGGTTCCACATGTAGTAAACATTTACTTTATATTTCTCACAGCCTGGTGTTGTAGACTTCTGCATTTCATAAGCATCTACCTCCAAGAGCTGTGCAACCCCGGGCTTGATGCCTGTGATTTTACCATATCTATGATAGTGGTGATAATGATGTGTACCTGTAGATTAAATGAGAAGACACCTACAAAGCCCACAGCACAGGGCCTTGTAGAACATGAGGCATGGTGCCATAGTGAATCCTGAAATGGGGATTTGTGAGCTCATAGGCCTCAAGCTCTGGAGTCAGATACATATGGAATTATGGGCAAGTGTAGCAGACACTGTTGGTTGCCTTCCTAGAGATATCAGTTCTCTCCACTTCCTTCTTCCTCAACCGTGTTCTGGTACCTGCTCTCTCCTCATCATGTGCTGTTTTAGGAGGGATTGCACACCTTTTCCAGGCCCTAGGGTGGGTCCGAATTGGTCTAAACTGATCTTGGTGGTTCCCATTCCCCTGGGCAGTGATTAGCTTAGGTCTGGGCATGTGATGCAATTTTGGCCAGTAAGATCTAAGAAGTTGGCTAGGGGACTTTCAGGAAAGGGTTTCTAGCTCTTAAAATAAGACATTGCTGTGGGTGGAATTTTGTCTTTCCCAAAAATGTGTTCAATCCTAACCCCTGGTACCTGTGAATATGACCCTATTTGAAAATAGGGCCTTTACAGATGTAGTTGAGTTAAGGTAAGTTTATTCCAGAGTAAGGTGTGGCCTAAATCCATTATGATTGGTATCCTTATAATGAGAGAAGAGACAGAAGGACATACACGCAGAGAAAAAGCAATTGGAAAGAGATTGGAGTGATGCATTTACAATGCAAAAAACGTCAAGGATTGCTAGTCATCTCTAGAGCCTAAGAAGAGGCAAGGAATCTCCTTCTCTAGAGGTATCAGAGGGAGTCTGGCCCCGCTGACACCTTGATTTCAGACTCCCAGCTTCCAGAATCATGAGAAAATAAATTTCTGTTGTTTTAGGCCATCCAGTTTGTCCAGTTTATGGCACTTTGTTATGGCAGCCCTAGGAAACTAATACAGGCACAAAGAAAATATGTGCCCTTGGTCTCTCCCTTTGGATTTTTTATGTCTGGATGAAGCTCTTGAAACTTCCATAGCCCGGTTGTAGCTCTGTGGACCAAACTTGAAGATTATGGTGACTCTCTGGGGCTGGCAGGATGAAAGGTTGAAAATAACCCAGGTGTGAAGTCACTGAATTCACAAATCCTAAAGCTGTCTCCCTCTGTTCTTCCTGTTGTGTCCGATAATGCATCTCACTCATTGTTCGAGCCATGCTGAGTTGATTTTTCTGTTACTTTCAGACAAAATAATTCTGATTCAGAAAGTTATTCTCTCTCTGTCCCTCATTTCCTCATCTGTAACATAACAATGCTATAGTACCTAGTCCATAGGATTTTTTGTGACAAATAAATAAAATAGAGAATCATCCAGGTATTTTTCTCTTTATCTAATTTTTGCCACAGTGCATGATAAATTCAATACCTGCCAGCTACTACTATTATTCTGTTTCTTCAGATTTAACTTGTAGTGAACATTCAGTAAATATTTGTTTTTGAATGAATGAATGAATGAGGTCACTGTAATGCAAAAGGGAATATAGAGATGCTAATAAGGACAAAGCAAATTGCAATATGAGAGATGGAAAGATTTATCCTGGACCCTGGCTCCAAATCAAGACCTGGGGGCTACATATGGCCTGGGTCAGGTTGGTGAGGACTCACTCCTGGCAAGTCTGGCATTTTTATGCAGGGAGCTTTGAATTTAAAAATACCTATTGGGGTTTGCAGATAATCTAGGTTGTGGGATAGGCAGGAAGAAGTGAGGCTCAGAAACTGCCTTCCAAAGCCCCCCAGGTTGAGGCCTCAGCCCGACTGCACAAGGATTAAGGAGAAAGAAGTCAGGAGCTTTGTTACATCTCCGAGTTAAGGAAAAGGGCTTTCATTTTGCCTGAGGGAGAGCAACTGACTGTTTCTCCCAAAGACCTTGTTTGAAATTAAGGTCTTGGAACACTGGATTCAATTAACTACCAGTTTAAGAACCTTGGGGAATCTAACTTGCCATGTGCTTCATTTTCCCTTACAAATCACCTCCTGTTTCCTTGCCTTCATATTTCTCCCACCTGCAGAGAATTCTGTACTCAGGACTAGGTCAAGACCAGCTTCCTTTTCCTGAGTTAAAAGTGAGGAATACTGGGCAGGCTTTGCCTTCAGTGTCAATTTTACTGTCAGCTTGGCCTATAATCAAGTTCTTGAGGAAACACACATACACACACACACACACACACACACACACACACACACACACACACACACACAAATCCAATCTGGGACTATGCAGAGTCAGAGATGGATTAGACAAAATCTTTGTCCTAAGGAACTCACAGTCTAGTGGGAGGAGAAAGAAAGATAAATTGATAAATGCCTCATTATTGGTAGATGCCATAAAATAATCATAGTACTTGTTAAATCAAGTTTAGCCTGAAGCTGCCTTCTTACATATTTTAAGTTCAGCCCAAGGTTTTCTCTGTACATCGTGAACTATAGCAACAGATGGTAGCCTACGCTTGTGCCAATCACCAAGTTTTGGCTAATCAAATGTAGCCAACGGTTGCAACTGTGTTCAAATAAGGCAAATGGTGAGCTGCAACCAATCCAGCTGTTTCTGTACCTTACTTCCATTTTCTGCAGTCACTTTCCTTTTTCTGTCCATAAATCTTCCACCACGTGGCTGCATTGGAGTCTCTGAGCCTACTCCTGCTCGGAAGGCTGCCTGATTCCTGAATCATTCATTGCTCAATTAAAATCCTTTACATTTAATTCAGCTGACATTTTTCTTTTGACATACTGAAGTCCACATGAAAATTGGAGAACACTGAAGAGAGGCTTAATTAGGAACTGGATGGTGTCAGGACAGGTTTCACAGAGAGGTGGTGCCTCATTCTGCTAAATTTTGCAGTGAGAGCAGGAGTTTGTCAGGTGCAAGTCTGGATAAAAATACGTGTCAGCTGGGAGTTAACTGAGATTCTACACTGTGAGGGGCACAAAATATCTCTAAAGCAAACGGGAATGAGGTTCCAGTTGGCCTAGGCTTCTACCTGTGGTTCCTGTTGTGCTTGGAGGAACGCACCTTGCTTTTCCTCTTATTTGATGAATATAATGAAAGCCTTATTTTGCATTTACTATATTATAAACAATTAGAAGTTCTGTTTTCTAGTCAAAACACAGTCTTCATCCTTAATATGCTGTGTGGCTTTTGACCCTTGAAACAGTATTAAGAAGTGGGAGGTAAGCACATTTAGGGTAGAAGAACAGACAGAGCTCATTAATCTGCATTGAAGAGGCAGAGACAGATCCAAGAGGGCTGCCGTAGTGGGAACGGGAGCTGGGGAAGAGTTGGGAGAAGGCCCAGCATTGCTCTGGCTCAGAAAATATGCCTTCAAGGAGAGACTTGTGGAATGGAGCTATTTTCTATGACATGCGATGTTCCATGTGACATGAATGCCCTCCTCCATCATCTCTGTGATGTTGAGTAGATTCTCCTTGGTCACCGATACACTTATAGGAGTGGTGTGTTTCAAAGGAGCTTAAATAAGAAAGTGACATAGTAATTGATATGTTATTTACTGACCTAAGAAAGAATGTATGTACTTAACATTTAAGTGAATAGAAAAGTATTTTCTCTTCACTGATGCCAAATAGATATTGAAATATGTTTAAGAATAGCAGCTTACAGTAAGGCCAGCCACCTATTTCTTTTTTCCAAGTGCAGGGAATAAGATGCATGAAGGCCCAGAGGTGTGGCCCTCCCTTTGGAGACTAGCCCGTGGTTTGGTGGAGCTGGAACAGTGAATGTGAGTTTGAGTGGGTGGAAGGTGATGGAGGAGAGATGGGCAGGAGCTGGATCATGAAGGTGCATGAATGCCTTGTAGAAAGGTTTCTGTTTCTTCCAGTGGACTCTCATAGATTGTAAAGAGCTACTGAGGAGTCTCTATTTATCCAATAGAGTCTTAGAGATCATGGGAAACTATATCAGAAGCAGTATAATGGGATCATTTGTACTACTCAATTTTTTCAGAGGGGATTTTGAGGTCTGAGAGTGGACATATTTCTGCCCAAGGTCATTCAGTGAAGTGTGACAGAGTTAACTTATATTGAGCTATATTTGTTATGCCGTAGTTCCTCCCTATCTCTTCTCTAAGGTAAATAACAGAAAAGAGTGTAAGGCCTACCATAGTGAAGGTGTGGCCTGGGGAGCTAAAAGATAGTTAGGCTGATATGGGTTTGAGTTCCAACCCATCACTTGTTGTTAGCTGTGAAACCTCAAGTGAGTTTCTCAGTCTTTCTGAGAACCCTGAATAATAGAGATTTTTAGCTGAAAAATGAGAATGGTAATGCACATAATACTGTGGAGATTTTGTGAGAATTAGAGAGCATCACACATGTAATTATTTATCACAATGCCTAGTACATAATTCATATGGATTTCAGTCTACCTATTTGTTTGAATTCTTTTCTTTGGAGTCACAGTGTCTTTCTTTGCATATGAACATATCTGAAACACCGGAACACAACATTTGCCCTCTCCATTCCCACTTCTTACTCTTCTCTTACACAGTCTGAGCATCAATTATGGACCATATAACTGAGTGTGCACCCTCTTCCCATTGAAAAGTCCCTTCTCTCCCTTAAAGTAGGAGCACAGATTGAGTAACATAGTGCCTATTGGGGACTAATCCATGCTGAGTTAACTCAAAGGCTAGTTCTCTCATGTATGGTGATACATAAAACAAGAATCTGCTGAGCAGTGTCTTCCCCCCCCAACACAGAGGCTCTAGGAGGGTCAAATAGGTCTCAGAGTGTTGTCCCATGGGCACAAAGGAAGAATACAGTGGACTGGAGACACATTGTGAATACAGCACTATTATTATTCTCTGCTCTGGAAATGAACCCAGTAGGCGCTTCTTTGTCAGACCCTATAGGCAAACCTTCCCTGAAAGAAGAGCCTTTCCTCAAATTTCTTGTCCAGACTTACAGAGCTGTTATTATCCCAACAGTTTCTCAAGATAAATAGAAGGACTTAGACTCCAGAACGACTGTGTTGCTTGAGTCTATTAGCCCATATTTAAGATGGTGATTTTTAAATGGGCTTTTTAGAGTAATGCTTTGTCACTCATTATAGTGAAGCAAATACCCTCATCAAGTGTCAGCACCTGCTTGGAGAATGTATTTTAGCAGAGTAAATGTTACCTGTGAAGGTACTCAGAGAAAATTAGTATCACATACACACTTGTCTCAACTTCCTGGTCCGGCATTTTCCCCACTATCACTCTTTATATACGTTAATGCTCCAATCAAACTAAACTAGTTGCTCTCTTTGACAACTTTTGCTTTCTTTCATTTGTGGGTTACTGATACAGTTTTCTTAGCTTAGAATGCCTTTTTGCCCATTGATGCTTGTTCAATTCTATTTGTCTAGCATGAATCATCTCAAATCCTACCATTTCCAAGGAGTTTCTTTCTCAGCAAAGAAGAAATCATTTCTTCTTTCCCTGAACGTCCCTGATACTTTTTCCTGAACCTCTGTTAAGGCACTTACATGCCTCAGCACTCCTAAAGTGTAAGCTCCTTCAGGCCTGGACTTGCATCTTAACATCTGGGTGTTTTGCATCTTTGCGAGGCAATATAGCAGGAGGTCAAAGACATGGAGCCTGGGGTCAGGCTCCGGGATACACTCTGGGCTGTACTACTAACCAGCTGTGTGATCTTAGACAATTACTGGCATAGCATAATCACTCAACAATGTAAGCATTAACTGTTTATATTCTTCATAACACACAGGAAAGTGCATGGTATATCCATTCTGTGCTCAGTAAATGTTTATTGAATGAATACATAAAAAGGCAAATGAAAAGTAGTTCATCCTTGAATGTTTGTTGAATGAATGGATGAATGAATAATTTAATGGATTTGGAATAACATTTCTCAAGCACACTTCTTTCACAGAACCAAAAGAAACTGCTCTTTCCTAAACTCACTGTCCCATTAAATATTCCTCCCTTAGAACCATCTACCAACAAGATGATATGGCTTGTACAGTATTCTATTTTTATTTGTTTTAAGAGTGATTATGCTAAAGGGCTGCTTCAAACTTTTGCAGATTGAAGAAAGAGGATTACTTTCCTTGCCTGTGAATAGGGTTGGTTTCTCTAGAAGAGCAGAATGGAAGCACCTTCACCATTCTATACCAATGGAATTTCTGAGTGGACAAGCTGAAATTCAGTAATGTCTCCAAGCACTGTGGCTCTCCTTTCAAAATGAACTTCGAGGCTGCCAACCCTGCATGACATAGCCTACAGGCCACTCCACTCCCTCCCTGTTCTCATCAAACAAGAGAAGTTGCACAAGCTGGAGGGGCAGCTGGATCACAGTTTATGCTGCCCCCAGGATGCATCTTTCATCCTAATGGTGCTTATTCAGCTGTGGGGATGCATTGGTATCTAGCTGATTTTTGAAAAAGTGCAAAAGTCCATTTAAAAACACAACCAAATCCTCCTTTTGAGAGAGGCGCCTTGTGTGGGGGTGGGGAGGAAAAGGATGAGAAATTTTTCCGTCTTATTTTCTGATATTCTTTGCTTTGTAGGCGAATACTTACAGAGATGCCTGCAGGCGGTTTTCCAGAGTCCGTTTCTGACCAAAGTCAATAAAGCTCTTTCTCTATGTGGGAAGGAAGCTCTCTTTTAGACTACTTTCTTACTTTGTGCTTTCTTATGTAGATAAGTCATCTAAAAATCACACAGCCACAGGTCCTTATCTGTCAGGGCCTGGTAGCAGCACTAGTGGCATTTTTTTCATCCAATAAACATGAATTAAGTTATTTCTATAGTGCCAGGCACTGAGACAGCTATAAATTGGGGATAGAGGGATTCAGAGGAAAAGCTGCCCTTTCTATTTTTGTGTGTGTTTTCCTACTATGTGCCAGGTACAGTAACTTTTGTGTAATAGTAGTGAGAAAAAGCAATTTAAAAATCATTTCCATTTTATAGAAATTTAGAAGTGGAAACTCTGAGAAGTGAAATAATTTGCCTAAGATCATTCAGGAAGGTATTGAGTGTTTGAGCTGAGCTTTCTGATATTGGCCAGTAGAGAGAAGTGGAATAAAGAAGAAAGGGCACCTTGGGAAGAATTATTGGTATAACAAAAGCAGGGGGTGGTGATGGGGAGATGGGAGGGCCAGATCAGGTTCTGCAAAGAGTTTTGTGCATTGTCGTTTGAACCGTAATAAGAGAGAAGTTTGGATTGGGAGGAAAGCTTGATAACATGAAGCAAGGTTTGGAATATCAAGCTCTGCCAATGAAATTCATTCTTAAACACCTGGATTTATTCCTGTCAACAACAGTAATAGGTAAGACTGAGTTAATAAAGATAATCAAATAATCCATCAGTGATTTTTATTGTGTTTCTCCATGATAAAACCAGTGCGTACTCATTATAAACATTTTGGGAGTGTCAAAAAAAATAGAAAGAAAAAAATTGACCTTTGAGTTATTTCTCAGTGCAGCTACTATGCACCATTTTGTCTTTTTCCTTTAAGTTTTTTTTTCTTCCCTTCTAAATGCTTGGGTTGTTTGGTTTACATAATTATCAGTATAGTGTAAATAAAACTTAGTACCACTTTTCACTTACTTTGTAACATGTAACTTTTTTTTTTTACATGCTATAAGGTCTCTAAAATTTACATTTCATGATTATAATCCACTCATTGAATATACCACACTTAATATAAACAAGGCTTTAGAGTTGGATATTTAGTTGTTTTGTACTTTTCACACCTGATCAATAACATTTTGATGAAAATGTGCTTCAAGTTTTTCTAAAAATTCAAATAATTTATATAAGATGATTTTCCAGGAGTGCTGCTACTAAATGAAAGATCACATGTACTTTTCAGCTCTTCTGTCATAAAACCAATTTAAGTGTTTTGTTTTGTTTTGTTTTTGTTTTAGAGTACCAACAATTTGTCTGGTTATCTGCTAGGCTGACTCAAGAATCTTCATTCTAGTGAGATCGCTAAAAACAATATGAAATATCATAAAGTGCTGGTGATGAGGAATATTAGGAACCTGCGTCACGTATCATGATGAATCAGACTTTCTGCATCACGTATCGTGATGATTCATGACTTTCAGAGCTGGAAGGACCCTCAGAAAAGCATCCAGTCTTGGCCCAAAGCTGCAGATGGGCAAAGCATTTTACAGCAGGCAGCAAAGGCCAGGACAAAGCATGTATTGAGTAAATGGCAGAGCAGTTTTCAGATCTCTAAAATCATCACCTCTTGGTCATTTCTAGCATAAAAGTTCTATGGTACCAAGACTAGTCCTCTGGCTCTATCTGCTTAGACCTGGAATTCTTAGCATTTGATACAGCCCCATTTACAGGAGTATGGCACACTCCCTCAAATAAGTCAATCAATTCAGAGACAGTGTTCCGTCAGAATTTCCAATGGGAAGAGTTTGGTTTGCACCATGTTTGATAGGTTTGTTTTCCCACATATCCCACTCCCAATGTACCAAAAAATGTATCTACCTAGTCAACAAATACTTCTCCCTCTTCATGCTTTCCAAGCCTTTCTTGGGGAGATCACAGCCTCCCTCTATTCACTTCTTAGTAATCCAATCATAGTATCCCAATTATGACCAATAAGATATGAGGGGGAAACCTGCTGGGAAGCTGTTGGGAATACTTTTGTTCATAAAAAATTGTTACATGGAAAAGATATCTTCTTTTGCTGAATATTTTTGTGTCTGCACGTGGTGTCCAGAACTGCAGCAGCAACCTTGTGATCCAGAAGACAGTTAGGAAAATCTGTTGGGATTTCGTAGTAGAATAATGGGGGAAAAAACTGAGTTTCAAATGATGTCTTTGAGTTGATAAATTATATCTGAAGCCTCCCTACACCTCTTGTTATGTGGCAGAATTATTCCTCATTGTTTAAATGAGTTGATATTAAGCTTTCAATTATTTAAATCTCAAAGCATCTTTACTGCTATAGTATATGTGAATGATATCCTCAATCATGGGGCCAGCTCATCTAGATTGCCAGGGTACTGCATTAACAGCTTCTACTTTGGACAGGTGTGTGTTAAAAAATGCTCAGCTTTGCTCTCATCGCCTCAAGGAAATCTTTCTCATCCTCTGCCTAACCTTCAACTCCATTTGGTTTGGATGTTTCTCCTCTGAGCTTTCATAATAACCTCTTTGGTTTTATTGTATTAATGTTGTTTCTGTCTTCCCACTAAGCTTTGAGTTCTTTAAGGACAGCAACTGTTTTAGTCATCTCAGTAGCTCCACTCTTAGAATTCAAAATGGAAAACAAAATAAGTAAGTTATTCACCAGATTGCTGTGACTCTTTTCATTAAGGTATTAAGTGGTGTGTATGTGTGTGTGTGTGTGTGTGTGCGCGTATGGACATCCACATATGTGTTCATATCATTTTTATTAGAATTTGGTACCTTTACTCACTCATATGCCTGCTGTATTTTCTTTTCCTATCTCATTCACATAAGGCAGCATCTCTCATAAATGTAAACCAAACCTAGTTGACATGAAACTCCTATGCCCCCAAGGAAGACTTAAAACTGCTTGGAGTATCTTTTCTTGCTGGAAGGACAATTTGAAGAGTGTGTGGGTCATTGAAAGCAGGAGAGGGATGCCTGTTCATTCTGCTGAAAGACTTCTCATTATGCTACTGGCCACAAGGTGTCCATCTCTCAGTAGGAAGAATGCATAGCTTCTGGAGAGTGTGTCTTCCACCACCCCCAGCTCAAGGGACTTTGAGAAGTTGTTTAAGGATTGTGTAGGTGGCTTGAGACTCTATCCAAAGGAATAGGAATGTGTGATCTATAATAGTTACTCAATGACTAAGCTACAAGCATCACAAGGCCTGCAGATGACTAATAATTATTCTCATTCTACAGGGTATGGTTTGCAAAACAAAGTAAGCAAGGCCTCTGCTCTTTTGTCCTGTGAGTCATTCCTGTAAAATGAGTACCCTGGGCTCCAGTGGTAAGGTGCAGAGAGTACCAGGAATACTAGCTGGTATTTTCCACTTTTCTCCCTGCCTGCTCTATCCACCTATCTCCCCTACAGTCGCAGTCCTTTTGGGGCCACACTTCCCCTTGAAAGCCTTGAGGGGAGGCTGTGCTGTGCTGGGGTTAAGAATCCGACTTTGACTTCTAACATAGAGGCTCACATCTGGACTCCCTCATTCCCAGATGTGTGGCTTGGGCAAAAGACTTAGCTTCTCTGAGCTCCAGTGGTTCTCATTCTTAGGTGGAGATAATGAAGTAAGTTATAGAATTGTTATGGAAACTAATGGATATAAAGTGCTTAGTATACTGCCTTGGTGCAGACTAAGAGCCCAAGAAATGGTAATTATTATTAAGATTAGCTAAAAGTTTTCCTCAGGCTGTCTGCAAAGAGTGAAATAGCTGTACAATTTAGGGACTTTTTTAAAAAAAAAAACTTCTCTAATCTTTTGTTTACTCATCTTAAAAACCAATTATAATAATCTTTACCTTGCAGTTTTGTAGGCGAAGTACAGCAGGACATGGCAAAGTGTATGGCATAATGTAGTTCCTTTACACATACATATTTTTTCTTTTTTCTTTTCATGGTGGATGGAAGATTCCTTTGGTGTGTTCAAATTCCTAAAGTAGCTCTTTCAGGCCTTTATGGTAGAAGGTGTTAGTTCTTCAGCACTAACCCCAGAAGACTGGTTTCCTAACACTGGCATATACACTGATGCTGGGTATTTATCTGCCTTGGAAGATAAAAGGGGTTTGGGGTTTCTGAAAATGGCAGAGGCCTGGGCACTGTTGACATGTATTACCCTGGATAGGGTGTGGCCAGGTGCAAACCCACAGAGGCCAGACCCTGGGCAGTACAATTTAGAAGTAACATAGACAAGGTGATGTCTACAGGGCTCATTCCCAAATGTTCTGGGCCAGGAACTATGATGGTGTGCTTATTTAAGTGTAGAGAGGAGGAGGAGCCCCTCACTAATGACATCCACTGGGCTTCCTGCCATTCTTCCCACTGTGGGCTCACAGATGAACTTTACTCGATTTCGACTAATAAATGATGTGGCATTTTTTGGATGCTAATGTGGAATAAGTTCAAATTGAGTATATCTATAAGCAACAAGTAAGGTAGGGCCTACTCAGAAAGGCTTAATAAATGATAGCTAATATTATTCTTATTCTCTCTCAAAGAGAGATAGGGTTTCAGGCACAAAACTTGAGTGTGGATTTTGGAGTCAGAAGCAAGAATATCATTGTTGGCTCCATCAGTTACTGTCTTTGTTCTCTTAGGCAAGTCGTTAAACCCTCCCTTTGCTCATCTATATGGTTCAGATGTTAAGAGTCTCTTTCACAGAGTGTGGTTGGTCATAAGAGTTAAATGATGGAATCAAGTCTAGCTTGTATAATTGATTGATAGTTGTTATTATTAACACTACCATGATTGTATAGTAGCTGTTGAGGGAAGCTTTGTGCTTTTCACATTACAGTTCCTGAAGATCAGTGTAGAAAGGTAAGAGTTCAAGACCATCAATTCCAACTCTATTGTGCTTATTAACATTCACTCTAGAGGATTCTGGGATGCTTTACAGTGAATATGTAGGCTTAGAAAAACATCTTTTGATAATAGCCATGCATTTTCATGTTGATGGTCCTGACATTAAAAGCTCTGCATGGTTGGAAATGACCAAGGACAAAGGTAGGGTGATAGGATATTTTGAAAAACTTTCAAGGCAATAGTTTTTTCTTTGGGAGTAGTGTTAGAGTGGAAAAAAAAGAGTAAAAATTTTGGGAACATGGAAATATTGCAATTTCATCTATAATGCCCTTTGGAGATATAAATTAACTTTATTCTTTTAGCAAAATAAATCATTTGTCATAAACTTTTTTTTTTCCCTTTAAAGATCTAAAGACCTGGTGTGGGATGAAGAGAGAAACCTCTAAACATTTGGAGGATGTTTTTCTTTACTGCTTTTCGGAAGTTATTGAGAGTAAAAACAAATCTTCTTTAAAATCACCTGCCACATTTTGTTTTGGGAGACTCTTCGTCCTGGATTTAGTGCAGACTAATATTACACCTCTTTTTTTGTTTTCTTTACAGTTCAATTCAATTCAGTATATTTTATTTCCATTTAATTCAGTGTAGCTTAATTAATTTATTATCATTGACTATGTGTTTGTACCTAGTCTTAACCAAATGGGGAAAGAAAAGAAACAAGTGGCAGAACCTCATATTTCCCTGGGAATTCTGAGTGCTTATGTAAACCAAGAGAACCTCAGTTACAAGTGGGTAACACTGAGGTTCTCTCAGTTTACATAAACACTCAGAATGCCCAGGGAAAACCCTACAAATGCAGGTGGGAAGGGCCCAAGTGCATAATTCTGCCATTCTTACTCCACTTGATATTCTCATTTATTCTCTAATAGGTTTTCAAAGAAAGAGAAAATTGAAGGCCTAGAAGAAAATTGAGTGTCATGGAAAAATGTTGCAATCTATTTTTAAGTGAAAGCAGTCAGGTTGTAGATCTATATATATAGTATGATCCAAATTTTGTATGTGTGAAGGAGAATAGTAAACATAACTTATTCTATCTTCTCAGATTTGACTCCAGTGCCCAAACTAAACAATAAGTGCCCAAATCTTCTCATTTTCTAAAATGATGTGCTAAGCCATCAATTAAGCATTTGCAAGGAAGACATCACAGAGCTGGTTGTCTCAGCATCAGCTCATCACCCACCTCAATATAAAGGATGCTGAGAATTGATAGGAGATTGGATATCTGGGAAAATGACCTGGGGAGAATTACTGGAGGCAAATACTTCCTTCTCACTTCAGTATAAGCAAAGTGTCCCAGTCAGCTATCACCATAATAATGCTGTGTAACAATCTCATAATCTTATTGTTATTAAAATAAACATTTATTTTCATGAAGTTGCAGGCAGGCTGCAGTTTGGAAGATCTAAGCTGAGCTCCTCTTGGCAGCTCTATTTCAGACTGTGGTTTTGTCAGTCTTGTTCCTAGATGCAGATTGGGTTTCAGTCTGTTCCCTGTGTCTTGTTTTTCTGCAACCAGTGGTTGCCCAGGACATGGTGGGATAAATACAAGAATTAGCTGAAAGATGTAGTGTCTCTTAAGATCTTGGCTCAGAATTGGCACAGTGTTGCTTCTTTCTGTAATTGATTAGCCAAAACAAGTCAGATGGCTTGCTCTACATCAATGAGACTGGAAAAATAAACTCTACCATGTGGGGAAGATGTATTTACTAAACAACAATTTGCCAAAGAAAACTAACTGTAGAACTTAATATGTTTCTGTTGGTATTTGGGGAACATAAGCACCAGTAGCTGATCTTGGATTGAAAATGTTTATAGAGGACTATGTTGAGAAGTTATGATAGTTGCAGAATTTAGTTAGCCTAAGATTTATGTGTGTTCCTGGTATGCCAGGAGTGAACTTTATGGAAGGGAGCTAGTTATAGGCTGCACTGTAAAAGTTTTCTAAGAGGATGCTACCTGGAGAGATGAAGTGACCAAATGAGATAATGTGTAAGTAGAAAGGAAGGCAGGGCCTGAAAGACTGTTGTGCATGACCAGCTACTGCAAGCACTGAAGCAGCAGGAATTGGTTCTTCTTTATCAAGAAATATTTATAAATTTAAAGAGTATCTTTATTGGATGCTCTTTATAATTGAGTATCCATTAGGGCTCAATCAGAGAAGCAGAACCACTATGAGTAGGAATTAGATCTTACACTGTTATGGGAGCTGGTGGGAATGTCATGCAAGACTAGTGGTCTGTGTCTGATGTTGAGCCTGAAGTCACTATAGGTCACCCAAGCCAGCAGCTGAGAGGGGAGATGGACAGGTATTTGGGAGAACAAGGGAAACCCATGAGAGGTACTGGATTCCACCATAACAAGCTGAAGCATTTGTCTGTCTCCCACTGCCTCCAAACTTAATGGGGAAACAGGTACTCTTCACATGGAGTTGCACATATACCTGACCCAGGGCTTGAAGAAGCTGAAGGAAGAGATCCAGGGAGAGCTAGAGGAGCTACAAGCTCGGGAGCTGCCCCAAAGTAGCAACACACTCTAAGAGCTGTAAGCCCAGGTCCTGCCCCACACAGCAATGCAATGTAGGAGCTGTAAGCCTAGGTGCTGCCCCATACCAGCAACACAAGCTGGTAGATCAGTGAGCTGCCACATGCATGCACTGCCAGTGTCTAGCACCCTACACCAAACCTGAAGGTGCTAAGCATGGCTGTTTCTTCACTATGGTCTTTTATATCTCGTGTACATTTTTCTAATAGCCTCTTCAACCTGGAACCTCATGGAGATGAAACTCTGGGAATTGAGTTCCCGCTTAGCTAAGCTGACATGTTACAAAGCCACCGTGCCCTTTAATCTCTTTAGAGAGTTACAAACAACAGTTAGAAAGTGAGGGACAATGTGGATTGAAGAAGCAAGTGAGAGTGAAGAAACCTGCCTTGAAACCACAATGTCCTTCCTCGCTCAGGTTCCCAGCCTAAGGCATGTATGCACTGTGGAGTGGAGAAGAGCTTTAAGTTGGTTGAGAGAGAGACTATGAACTTTTTTATATGTGAAAGTGAATAGAGAAATGATGGAAATTGCATGAGATTTCATGCAAGTGCTGAGAAGCATCAATCTTAAATAATGAGATTCAGAAAATATGATTAAGTACAGAGTTTATTCAAGTGCAAAACTTCAGGGTAGCAACCCAGGAGGAAACACGGATTCCAAAAGAATGGGTCAGTGTTCCAAAGTAGGGAAATTAAGGCTTTCACTTACATAGGCAGAGATGGAGAAATTTAACAGTCGCAATATTTTTCTTATAAGACCAATACATATGTTACAGTGATTTCATTGGTTACAGGTTCCTACATTCCAAGGTAGATTGCTTTAACATTCCATAAGGAGGGGTAATAGATTCCTGGGGTCCTATCTCTCATGCCTTTTGGTCTTTCCTAATCGTCCTATCTCTCATGCCTTTTGGTCTTTCCTAATCTTCTATAGTACAAGAATAAGTAAGGGAGTTAATCTATGATTGGAGAAGCAGAAGTTGCAGCTGTATGCTCCACATGACCCAGGCCACATAGCCACATTCCTCTCAAGGCTCAAAATAATATAAAGTTCCACCAGGTTTAAGTTTAAATTCTTTAACTTCACTGAAGGGAGGATCACAAGGTCAAGGAAGAAAGGCAGGGTGTGAAAAAATAAAGTGGCTTTTGGCTATATTTTACTTTGACTGGATTTTAAAAATTGTATATGTATATGCAGGTGTGTGTGTGTGTGTGTGTGTGTGTGTGTGTGTATGTGTGTGTATTTTGGGTTTATTGAAGTATATAAACTTGCTGAGTTACAAACATCAAAGGATTTTTTCCCTAGTCCCTGTTCCCAATAATGCTGTATTAAATCTCTCACTCATAGTGTAGCAGATTTCATAATTTCCCATTCCCCTTGGTTGCACAAGTTCTTCTGGCTTAAGAGACCAGTCTCATCTTTTCCTGTCACTCCAGTGCTATCTGGGCTTGAGGCTTGGGGGAGGTGGTTGGGAGGGACCTCATCTGCTCTTTACCCTTCCTCCTGTATCCTTTCTCTGGGAACAGTCCTCCTCAACCCCTTGTATAGAGATAGGTGCTGCAGTGTGTGGGTGAGTGGAGGAGAAAGAGGCCAAGGACAGGCATTGCTTATTTAACTCATGGCAGGCACAGTGCACTCTATTAGTGGTTTTCTTTTTCTGGCTCACACTGAAGGTCCTTATAGCCCTCTCTGGTAGGTTTCCATCTCTGTGGCTCCCTCGTGGTCAGTGCTTGGTCACTTTTCTGAGCCCCCTCCCAACTGCAGAAAGAAGATGTAACTCCAGATCCCAGCCCTCTCTCAGATGCCTCCTTGTGGTTCATTCTCAGCCTCCTGCTGCTTGGGTTCTCCTCCTTGGCAGCCCACATGCTTGTGTGAGTCTTTTCTTCAGTGTCCACTTGACCTCCAGAAGGTGGGCTCCTCTCTACCATGACAATGAAGGAACAGGCTGCTCCATGGACAGTCTCCCTCTGCCCCGCTCTCTCAGTGAGGCTCTATTTTCCTACTTAAGTAGGAACAGAGCAAATCAACGAGGCTACATTCTAATCAGGTGCTCAATGGTAATGAGAAATCAGCATTCCCTTCTTGAAAGTCTTCCCAATCTTTATGAATTATTATTTAGGAAGACCATCTGTTTAGCTCTCAGATGTGCTCTAGACCATCATTTCCACCCTGCAATCATAGATGGCCCCTTTCTCCAGTCTACTTTTACAGAATGTAAGGTGGTGGTTGGTGGTGTTGCTGAATTATGGCTGCAGGTAGCAGTGAGGTTCAGCCACCTCTTTTTAAAAACCACTTTATTGAGGTATGATTGACATGTAAAAGGCTGTACATATTTAATGTTCATAACTTGATGAGTTTGAGGATACATATACAGCTGTGAAACCATCACCACCACCAAGGTAAAAGACTGACATATCCATCACCTCTCAAAGTTTCTTTTAGTTATTTTTACTATAATAATAATTTTTTTTTTTGGTGGTAGAACACTTAAAGTAAGCCTACACTCTTAGCAAATTAAAAAATATAATATTGTATTTTTAGCTATAGGTACTATGCTTTACATTAGATATCCAGAACTTATTTATCCTAAATAACAAAACTTTGTCCCTTTGACAGATGTCTCCCCATTCCTGCCTGCCCCTGCACCAGCCCCTGGCAACATCATCATACTCTCTTCTTCTATGAGTTTGGCTATTTTAAATTTCATGTTTAAGTGAGGTAATGCATTATTTGTCTTCCTATGCCTGACTTATATCACTTAGCATAATCTCCTACAGTTCCATACCTGTTGTCACAGATGGCAGGATTTCCTTCTTTGTTAAGACTGAGAAATATTCCATTGCATGTATATACCACAATTTCTTTATCCATTCATCCCTCAGTGGACATAGAGTTTCCATATCTCAGCTATTATGAATAATGCTGCAGTGAACACGGGAGTACAGGTATCTTTTCAAGATACTTTTTCGATTGCTTTGGATACATATGCAGAAGTAGGATTGCTGGATTATATACCTCATGGAAAGACTCAAGGAAGGTGTTTGGCTTTATTTAGAATGTGTAGCACTTAATGCCTCTTTGTTCACAGTTTCATTTGTTAATTCTGGAATAACAGAAAAATTCCCACTTTCTTTTTACATACTTACAACACACACACACACACACACACATACCACACCCATACCCCATGGGTGTGAGAGAGAAAGTGTAGCAGGGGCTTTGCTGAAATATTAACAGTGGCTGCCATTGGGCTGTAAGATTAGAAACTGTTTTTCCCATCTTCTCTGTGCTTTACTGCTTGCTTCACCTTTTCTCCAACAAAAGTACACCCAGTGTGTCTCTCTTAAAATAAGAAGATGAAGTACAATAAACATGATTTTAAAACTGCAGCACCATTCCACTGATAGAACAGATGTGAGAGGCAGGGGCTTGGGTTTTCTGACCTCCCAGGGCTCTCTGCAGGCTCATGATTTTACGAAACATCAGCTTTCTGAATTCCTGCAGCACCTGCCACAACAAAAGGAGGCCTTTTGCTGAGCATACTAATGCAGTTGCACATGCCTTCATAGAACAAAGAAATCAAAATGAGGAGTTCATTAAGCATCCTTTGGACACTGTCCATTCTACCCTGGCCTGAGCCCTCCAGGGGAGGTAGAAATCCACCTGCAAGGGAAGATGTCCTATGTCGAGTGAGTCCCCACCACCTCCCTTTTGTCCTCTCTGGTGATCTCCTCCCTCCTCTTTCTGGTCCTTTGCCTCCCATTTGGCTCACACCTCAGCTACTGCCTCATCTGCAGACCCCTCTGGCATCTGCTCCTCTAGCTATGCCTCTGAATTCTCTCATGGACCCAACTTTGCCCCCACACTTTACAGCTGTGCCTGAAAGACAGGTTGGCTTCCCAGGAGGCAAAAGCTACAATGAATAGGCTGCCCCTCAATCCTATTAGCTTGTTCCTCTCTGCTTTCTCATACATCTGGCGGGTTTTTTTGTAGTCTTCAGGATTAGCAACACTTCCCTTGGCTTTGCTGAGAGATGCCATGCTGATGTCCATTTCTTCATAGTATAGCATCTTTTCAAGGTTTAGGTGACTTCTGCCCATCCTCTTCATGGGAGGGATGCTGAGGACGAAGAGTATGTTCCTCTTCCTACACCCTCGTTCACTCTGTCTCAAGGAGGGAGGGATTGCCAGTCAGATTGATCCAGACTTAGCACTTTCTGGGACATGTTTATTAGTGAGTGAGTTCGCTGCACTTTATTTTTTAATTTTAATTTTTTTTTTTTGAGACAGAGTTTCACTCTTGTTGCCCAGGCTGGAGTGCAATGGCATGATCTTGGCTTACCACAACCTCTGCCTCCTCGGGTTCAAGCAATTCTCCTGCTTCAGCCTCCCAAGCGGCTGTGATTACAGGCATGTGCCATCAAGCCTGGCTAATTTTTGTAATTTTAGTAGAGATGGGGTTTCTCCATGTTGGTCAGGCTGGTCTCGAACTCCCGACCTCTGGTGATCCATCCACCTCGGCCCCCCAAAGTGCTGGGATTACAGGCATGAGCCACTGTGCCCAGCCTTCACTGTACTTTAAAAGCAGGATTCTAATCTCCACTTCTTCTTGTGCTTGAACATAATCGGCTCTCTTTCATCTTTTTTGCCGACTTAGTAAACATTTCATACTGAGGATTCCATCCAACCTCAGTGTAAGTCAGTGCCCACTGAACTCCCTCTTGAGTGGGGTGAAGCAGGTTTTTCATTCTCACCTGTACAGTCTTCTGGCTCAGTGAACCAAGTTGTGCTGTTGACTGGTTATATATCTTTCTTCTCCAGCATGCCTAAGCTTGCTCCTCGCAGGGCTTTAAACCTAAGCCATGCTCTTGAATCCAACTTTGATTAGGGATCTACAGTGGAACTGTCACAAGCCCGAAAACCTATAAACTAAGCAGTAGATTTCCATTTGACCATTGTTCGTTGGGTGTAAATATCAAGCGGAGGTGAGGAGGGAGGCTGGACATTACTCTGTCGATGCTGGGGATTGAACAGACAATCTGTGGGAAATTTGGTGCTCTTCTATGGCTTGGCTTTGGAATAAGCTTCCATTTATTCCACTGCGTTACATTCTCCCATTGGTCCACATTAAGGTGCTGCTGTAGGAACTTGAAGCTTTTGCAATAGTGTGGATGGAATTCTTATGCTTCTCTTTCATCCAGAACCAGCCTCCTTCTGGACCTGGGATTATGCAAAGACAGATAATATGCAAATGAGATCATATATTCCATTTCTTTTTGGGCCAGTTGGATTTAACCTAGTGCATGTTATACCAATAAGCACCACTAAGTCTTTGTATAATCCCTCTTCCTCCTGATGGAATCTATGATCTATGATCTCATTGGTACTAACTCTAACAAGCCTAGGATATTCTGGTGGAAACCGGTAGAAGTTACACAAGACTGAAAACTTAATGACCTGCCCTTCCCACCCTCCAACCTCTTCTCTCTAGGGGAAAATAATTCAAATTGTTGTGGGAACTTCAACCCTTTTTTTCCAGTGTCTCATAGGAGGGGACTGGGCAGAATATCATGATCTCTTTGCTTTAAGGAAGTAATTCTTTACCAATGTGAGCATAATGGTTTAGTGAAGTAGAACTACTGGTTTAAGGAAGGGGGAGCATAGCATAGTGATTAAGGACATGGACTTTGCATTCAGATAAATTAGGGCTGAAACCTGGCTTGATTAATAACTAGCTGTGAAACCTTGGACAAGTTATTTAATCTCTTTCAGTATTGTGAATATTCTTTTTTAGCGGTAAAGGAGGGATAATTATAACTAACTCATAGAGTCATTATAAGAATTAAATGAGATAATGTAAGCAAAGTTCTTCAGCACAGGCCCTGACACGTGGTAAGCTCCCAATATATGGTAGCTACAATACTGTCTCATCATTGTACTATAAACACATTCTGTCTCCTAACGTGATGGGTTAAAATGGAGCAGGAAGAACTAGGGCAAGCAAGGACAATGGATCACAGTCAGGTGTCAACCCCAGGTAGGGCCTGGGTGAAGACCTAGGGTCAAAGAGGGGAGGACGTTCAGGACACAATGAACTATTCTCAGAGAGATATCTGCATCTTCCCTAAACTCACCAAAGAGCCTTGTTCAGGGGCTGGGTGGGGATACACTTGGATACTGGAAAAGGCAATAGATTTCATTTGAGAAATGGGTTTTCATTACTGCCTTTTGTCTAATTTGCTGGGCTCCTGTGGCAGATTGCAAAGGTGGTTTCAATTCTTAATTTCTTTAGCCTTGTCTCTGCTATGTGACTTTGCAGATCTTCATGCTAAAGATGGACTCTTTTACCCATGTCTTGAATCTGGGCTGGCTCTGTGATTTGTTTTATCAAGTCACTTCAAGAAGTCATGGTTTCCTAGTTCCAAGTCTAGACTTCAAGAGGCCCATGTGTTTCTATTACACTTACTCTCTGTCTCTCCATCCTGGCCATAAGAACATGCTGGCTGTAGCTTGCTGAAGGATGAGAAACACATGGAGCAGAGCTGAGTCATCCCACTGGACCCAGCAGAAGCCTGAACTGATCAGTGGACTGTGAGCCATTTCTGAGCTATTTGGCTGATGAGCACAGATGAGCAGAGCCAACCGGCTTTAACATCCTCGATGCATGAACAATAAAGGCTTATTGTTGCATGAGGTTTTGTGTGGTTCATCTTATATAGCATTGCCATGAAGACAGATAACTGAACAGTTGCAATATTGCTTCATTTTATTTATCATTTTGAATTCACTCATTCACTCAACAGGCATCGAGTATCTATCATGTATCAACGCTGGGCTAAGCGTTGTTGGGGAAACATTGTTTGGTGGTAGCAAACAATAATAACAAAGCAGACAAACAACTGTCTCGTTTATTCACCAATATATCCTTCTGACCTAATAGAGTAAGTTGGCACTTAGTAGATGTTCAATAAACATTTGCTCTCTTATGAAGACATAATGATGCAATAAACATATGTTGTTGTATGTGAGTGTAGTATGTGTGTGTCTGTGTTCCAGATAACTAATTAAATGTGTCATTAAAATATCAGGCCCATTTTCCTTGCTGTCCTCTGGAATGGCAGAAATAATTTCCTATTCTTTTCTCCACTGTCTTTTTTTTTCTTTTTCTTTCCCCTCCTACATTGTCAGCAGCAGAAACTGCAGTGTGCTGTTAAACTTATCTCTGTAATAGAATGTAGATGTGTAAATCAAAACAGCTTCTAACGGGTTGTCTGCAGTAATAAATGCTACGGAGGCTGCCCAACTGGCAGTGTAAGAGAGATTATACAAACTGCTGCCTGGAGAAAACATAGCATCATGAATAAACTCAGCCTTGAATTATTTATATATTTTAGGCGGTTTTTTTCTCTCCTCAATCCACAAGGCCTGGGAATGATTTTCACTGGGAGCTGAGTGTCTGAATTTGGCTGTAAAAGGAAAACAGTTGCGGTATGTCTTAGTCCAAGTTTCAGGGTGAGGATAGCATCATGTTACGTGAGGAGTCAGCAAGGCTGGCAGTGCAGTGCAGTGAGAAGATACCGCTGAGAGCTCAGAAGAGGACAGTTCGAATCCTAGGAAGTTGTGTCTCCAGGGGCTTGTGGGCTTTGTGGACCACCTTGGACCCACACAATTGGATGGAGGGCCCCAGGGCCCACCTCCAGCACTTCTACCAGAGGATGCTGCGTCATTCTCTTTTATGAGGTAGATTTCAATCTAAGACTTTGTTGTGGAAAAAAAATGGTTTTATTATAAAAGGAAAAGTTTGGAAATCAATGGCGTTACTAATCTTTGAGACTCTATACAAGTGAGCTTCACCTCCTCCTGCCAACTAGAGACTCTGGGGACCCTTTAAAAACTGTTAATGCCAGGGTTCTAATCTTTATCAATTAAATTAGAATTTCTGGAGATGGGGGTGGACATCAGGATTTTAAATGTATCCAGGCGACTCTGATGTGCAGCCAGGGTTGAGAACCTCTACTTCACACCCTTCATTCATCTAACAGGACAAATATTGAGCACCTGCCACCAGCCACGTATTCAGCAGAGGATGGAGGATAAAGTGAAGAATGGGACAGGCCCAATCCTTGCCTTCATGGATTTCTCCATTTAAGTAAACACACAGCTGAAATTTGGAGGGATATATCTTGATACAGGAATATACAATACTATGACAGTAATAGCAGGATTGATAATAAGCATTGTGATAATATTTATTGCTGGGAGAATGTTGTTTTAGTCTTTTTAAAGACTCACGCATTGTGCTGAATGATTTGTGTGAAGTATCTTATTGGACTCTCATTCCAAGTCTGTAGTTAGGTACAGTTACTATCTTTGTTTTACAAATAAAGTACATGAGGCCCAGAGAGAGTAACTTGCCCAAGTTTATATAGCCCATAAAGGTGGAGTCTGGGGGAAGGGGTGCCCTGCCCCGACTTAGCAAATCAGGATGATGTCTCTGTACTTCTTGACTCTTTGAGTACACTTTGGAGCTGCAGAGATTGGGGAGCTGAGTGGATGTCAGAGTGTATGTTGTAGAAGAGAAGCTGATGTTTTTCAAAGCATTGCATCAGCATAAAGCAGGGCCTTGCACGCATACATGTGTGCACACACACACTCAAAAAGTATTACCGGCAGAAAAGATTATGAGACAACACTTTTATTTTACAAGTGAGAAAACAGAAGCAGAGAGAGCTGATGGCACAGGCACAGGCTTTGCCATGCTGGGGATGAGATCCAATTCTTCTGATTTCTTCTTTGAGGGCTCTTTAACTCACCCCGCTGTGACTCAGCTTTCACAGGGTGCTCTTCTGGCTTACAATCCCAAGGTTCGAGGGAAATTCCACCCGATTTCACCAAATACATTTTCACCTGACGTTGCATAACGAAGTCACCTGAGCTTGCAGTGATTCACTCTGCAAGTACCTTGATTCACCCAGCCCACACCTCAAATTTTTGATGCCCCATTTCTTCCCATAAGCAGGCATTGTGCCTTCAGTAGGTGGTGGAGAACTTGTCATGAGAATGCTATAATCCTTTCCACATGTTTGAAATTGGTACTTTTCTAAGTTCCTTAGCAACCATTGTCTCATACAATCTTTCCAAGAGTCCCGTCAATAGGCAGGAAAGTTGCCATTATCAACCCATTTGGGAGATGAACTTAACTTGGGCTCAGAAACGACCTGCCTCAGGCTCCTCCTGGGAAGTTTATGTTATTGTTATGGTAACAGGATGATGGTCACTACTAAGGAACTCCAGCCACATCCTCACTCGCCCTCACACAATGTCTTCACAGTCCCATCTGCATTTGCTCCAGCTGTGTTTCCACCAACAACCTCAGTGCTGGTTCCTCCTTGCTGAGTCATTTAGGCTGACTCATCTTCTGGACTCCAGAGATTCCCTAACTGCATGCTTCAGTTAGGGAAAGGTATGTTTGTGTGTGTGTGTGTGTGTGTGTGCATGCATGTGCATGTGTGAGGTGGTCCTTATTAAATTCTTATCAGAACACTTCAGAATATTTGAACTGGCCACGACCTGATTGCTTACTGATATCTGAGTGTCCCTTTTCCAAGATAGAAATGTAGTTCCTTGCTCTTTTCCAAATCTGATTTGCAATAGCTGCTGCTCCTATAGATCCAGTCATTTTCCCCTTTTTTCTCTCTTTTCATTTATTGATTCCTTCTTCTTCTAACCACCACCAACAGTTTAGCCAAGATAATGTAAACATTTCTCTAGAGTCTGGCCCAGTCAATTCTCTTAGAGGCTCATATTGTCCTTAAAATCTAAATGATGCAATGAAAGAGAACTTTGTTTCTGAGCAGTTCCTTGAAGACTATTGCTTGAAGACTTCATCCAAGTTGAAGCTTTGGAGAACCAAACTGCTCTCCTGAGACCCTCTCCCTCTCTTCAGCAAAATCAGAAGCTCCCATTGCCAGAGTCAGGATGGGTACAGCAGCCATTCTACTCAGCAGATCTCATGCTTAGTAGGGTGAAGGCCAAGAGCTAATCAGAGGGAATTTGGGGACTTGGACTTGGGCCAAATGGGGGCTTTCAAGTAGCCCTGTTGGGAAGAAAACATACATACCAGGCTGTGTAGAGAGTCAGCAAATAGTTACTCAGAGACCCAAGGTCAATGCTGGATCCAAAGAGATTGCAAGGAGTGAGGCTGATTGGCAGCAATTGTCCTGGAACTAGGCAGGTTTGAAAAATACTCTGTTCATTTTATTCTGTCCCGTTAAACTGAAAGCATTTTTAAGCTTGTGGTTTTGAGCAGCACATCTGGCATGATTAAAACCTGGTCAGTGTATGAATGGGCTTTTTTGGAGGATTTAACCCTCAATGAATATTATCTGATGGGAAAGTCAGGGAAAGCTTCTCTCTGTGTCTTCAAAGACTTTGGTAGAAAGAGAAAGGAGCAGACAATCTTTAGGTTTTCAGATCCTGGGAGGACCCTTTCTGTCTCCAACCTTCCCATCCCCAGATCTTTTTAAGGACAAAAAGGGGCTGTTCCTCTATCATGAGGCTCCTAGTCTAGGGGGACAGGGCCCTCAGAAGGCAAGCCCCTGAGAACAGTCCCCTTTTTGGTGGGAAGGAGAGGTGTTGAAACTCTCTAACACTTACACGTCATGATTTTCCCTTCTCCTGGGTAGCACGTGAGATCAACTGATGATGTTTTAAAATATATATTTTTACAGAAACATTTAGGGAGAAAGCTGCTGCTTAGTGTTCTACATGAGGGAATTGAGGTGTACTCATAATTTCTGCCTCTCTTTTCTCTCTTCTATTACTTGGAACAGAAACCCTGTGGGGCTGCAGAGCTTTAGCTAAACTCACCAGCAATCCCTCCATGGTGTGCCCTTAAGTTCTGAAACCCAGAACTGTTGGCATGACTGAAAAGTCTCATCTTCAGACAGAGAACTGGGAGTAGTATAAATAGTAACTGGGTGCTTTTTCAGCTCTTTTGAAAGAGAATAAGGGGTGTTAAACCCTCTCTGTCGGTGCCCTGAAATTTCATTTTGCTGTGCCGAGAAAGGAATAAAGTGCTGTATTCATTTTTGAGAGATTCCTTAACGAATTGTCATAAACTGAGTGATTAAAAAAACAGAAATGTACTCTGTTACAGTTATGAAGGCCAGAAGCCCCAAATCAAAGGATCAGCAGGATCATGCTCCTCCAGAAACTCTAAAGAAGGGTCCCTCCGTGCCTCCCTTCTGGCTTCTGGTGGTTGCCACCTATCCTTGGCATCTCCTGGCTCCTGCACGTGCTACTTCAGTCTCTGCCTCCATCACCATGTGGAGTTCTCTCCGTGTGCCTCTGTTCATTTGTGTCTAAATGTTCACCTTCTTATGAGAACACCTGCTATGGTTCTTATAAGATTAGGGGTAGCCCCTAATCCAGTATGATCTCCTCTTACCTTATTACATCTACAAAAACCCTATTTCCAAATAAGGTCACATTCACAGGTACTGGGAGTTAATGGTCAAACATAACTCTTTAGGGGACATAATTCTAAGCATAACAAGTACACTCTATGCTAGATAGGGGAAGCGGTCCATGGTTTGGCAGTCCCTAGACAACTATGTCAATTGTGAACTCATTCAACATCATTCCAAAATGTATTTACCAAGTCCCAAATATTTCCCATGCATAGGCTGAGCACAGGGATAGGGAATGCAGCCAGTTATTCTCAGAGTCACCAGCTAGGACACTATCTGCTTGAACAGCTGTTATAAGATGTATAAGTAAGAAAACTGACATAGAAAAAGTGAGCCTGGTACACAGCACAGAGTAAGTATTCAACAACTGATAGCTGTTACAATAGGCAGGGTTCTGGCTACTTCATGATAATGATGACCATTAATAAACGCTAAGTGAGAGGTGATGCCAAACACTTTGTATCATCTCATCCCATGGCATCAGCAACTCCATCAGGTGTGTTTTCATCAGCTCTGTTCTCCAAGTGATGACATTGAAGCTTAGAGAGGCTAAGGAACTTTCCCAGGTCACACAGTTAGTCACTTTCAGGACTAGGACTTTTCAGAATGCAGATTAGTCTAACCATGCTATGCCAGTTTTTTCATTGTCTCTCAAAGGATGGTCCTGAGTCAATCAGTGGCAATTTCTAACCCCTCCCTTGAGGCTTAAATTTTATTTTACATGTTATTACAGTACAGGTCTTGCTTGGACAGACCTGGAAAGCGGACAGCAAGCTTCAGCTGACCCCAGGGAGGCGTGCCCCTGAAGCAGGCACTAGCTGTGAAACAAGCTTCTCCTTCTTGAATTTGGAGGAAGCTGATGTATCTGAGTGCCACTTTTTAATCAAGAAGACCGTCTATCTCCCATTGTCACTTGATCTTTCTTGAAACAACAGCTACAAATCTCCAGGCAACACAGACATGATGCAGACAAAATGAAAACAGAGGAAGCAGCATCTTTCTCTCATTAATGGGAGAGGAGAAAAAGCACAGCTCTGCCTCAAGTGTTTTGGGAATGTGTTATTTTTAGAAAAGGACATTTTGTGATTTTAGTTGTTTGATTTCTGAGAAGGTTTTCTTTTTTAAAGAAATCAAAAGTGAATAGTAGATTGAGCAGTAACAATCAATCAGCAAAAGAATATTGTGCAAGGCATGGCGGTACAGACAGAGAGGCTGTGAGGTTTTATTCCTGCTCTTTAGATGTTTAGAACCTAATAAGCAAGATTTTATAGTGCTGTCTGTATAGAGCTCGGAAAATAAGGCAATCTGATCTATTGTAGTTCACAAAAGGGAGAATAATTGGAGAGGTAAAAATTGAGGAGCCCTGAAGAATGGATGGAGTTGTTTACTCATTTGTTGATTCAATGAATATGTACTGAGCACCTTCCCTGTGTATAGCAGGCACTGATAAAAAAAAAAAAGCTGAATGAGACCTTGTCTCTAACCTTGAAAAGTTTATAGACCAGTGGCAGACAGAGAATTATACACCAAAAAACATGATGAAGTAAATGATGGAAATGTGAACAGATAACATGGGGCCATAGGGGAAGAAGAGGTAATCAATTCTAAATAGAAGAGAGAAAGAGAGCTGAAGACTTCATGGAAGAGAGATGGGTAGCTAAGGATGGAGATGAGTTGACCAGAAGGAAGAGCAGGAGAGGTAGTTGAGGCAGCACATGGGTGAGGCTCTGCTTACAGCTGGGAGTGGTAAGATCTTGCAGGTGTGGAAGGATTAAGCTTGCAAGGTGGCTGGGAGCACCCATATTTGCAGGAAAAAGGGAAATTTTTATTTTTTATTTATTTATTTTTTTCATTGGTGAATTTTATTTATTTTATTTTATTATTATTATTATTATTATTATTATTATTATTATTATTATTATACTTTAGTTTTAGGGTACATGTGCACAATGTGCAGGTTAGTTACATATGTATACATGTGCCATGCTGGTGTGCTGCACCCATTAACTCGTCATTTAGCATTAGGTATATCTCCTAATGCTATCCCTCCCCACTCCCCCCACCCCACAACAGTCCCCAGAGTGTGATGTTCCCCTTCCTGTGTCCATGTGTTCTCATTGTTCAATTCCCACCTATGAGTGAGAACATGTGGTGTTTGGTTTTTTGTCCTCGCGATAGTTTACTGAGAATGATGATTTCCAATTTCATCCATGTCCCTACAAAGGACATGAACTCATCATTTTTTATGGCTGCATAGTATTCCATGGTGTATATGTGCCACATTTTCTTAATCCAGTCTATGATTGTTGGACATTTGGGTTGGTTCCAAGTCTTTGCTATTGTGAATAGTGCCGCAATAAACATACTTGTGCATGTGTCTTTATAGCAGCATGATTTATAGTCCTTTGGGTATATACCCAGTAATGGGATGGCTGGGTCAAATGGTATTTCTAATTCTAGATCCCTGAGGAATCGCCACACTGACTTCCACAAGGGTTGAACTAGTTTACAGTTCCACCAACAGTGTAAAAGCGTTCCTATTTCTCCACATCCTCTCCAGCACCTGTTGTTTCCTGACTTTTTAATGATTGCCATTCTAACTGGTGTGAGATGGTATCTCATTGTGGTTTTGATTTGCATTTCTCTGATGGCCAGTAATGGTGAGCATTTATTCATGTGTTTTTTGGCTGCATAAATGTCTTCTTTTAAGAAGTGTCTGTTCATGTCCTTTGCCCACTTTTTGATGGGGTTGTTTGTTTTTTTCTTGCAAATTTGTTTGAGTTCATTGTAGATTCTGGATATTATCCCTTTGTCAGATGAGTAGGTTGCGAACATTTTCTCCCATTTTGTAGGTTGCCTGTTCACTCTGATGGTAGTTTCTTTTGCTGTGCAGAAACTCTTTAGTTAAATTAGATTCCATTTGTCAATTTTGTCTTTTGTTGCCATTACTTTTGGTGTTTTAGCCATGAAGTCCTTGCCCATGCCTATGTCCTGAATGGTAATGCCTAGGTTTTCTTCTAGGGTTTTTATGGTTTTAGGTCTAACGTTTAAGTCTTTAATCCATCTTGAATTGATTTTTGTGTAAGGTGTAAGGAAGGGATCCAGTTTCAGCTTTCTCCATATGGCTAGCCAGTTTTCCCAGCACCATTTATTAAATAGGGAATCCTTTCCCCAGTGCTTGTTTTTCTCAGGTTTGTCAAAGATCAGTTAGTTGTAGATATGTGGCATTATTTCTGAGGGCTCTATTCTGTTCCATTGATCTATATCTCTGTTTTGGTACCAGTACCATGCTGTTTTGGTTACTGTAGCCTTGTAGTATAGTTTGAAGTCAGGTAGTGTGATGCCTCCAGCTTTGTTCTTTTGGCTTAGGATTGACTTGGCGATGCGGGCTCTTTTTTGGTTCCATATGAACTTTAAAGTAGTTTTTTCCAATTCTGTGAAGAAAGTGATTGGTAGCTTTATGGGGATGGCATTGAATCTATAAATTACCTTGGGCAGTATGGCCATTTTCACGATATTGATTCTTCCTACCCATGAGCATGGAATGTTCTTCCATTTGTTTGTATCTTCTTTTATTTCATTGAGCAGTGGTTTATAGTTCTCCTTGAAGAGGTCCTTCACGTCTGAAAAAGGGAAACTTTTAAAGCATTGGATGTAATGTGGCGACTTATCAAATCTTTGTTTCAGAAATCAAGGTCACACATTAGGGGCCAGACCACTAAACAAACCAGTGTAATAAGTACCATAAGGGAAGTAGTTTGGATTCCCATAGGAATTCAAAGAAAAACCACTTTATCCAGACTGGGCCTGTCTGCAGAAGACTTCTTGGAAGAAATGACATCAACAGGAATTAGCATGATGAAGGTGGGGGTGAGCGAGGGGAAGACAATTCTTCAAGAAAGACAGAGTAGATTTGGTGCATTGCAGACTGCTCTGTTTGACTGGAAGATAAGGCAACTGTGTGTGCAGTGAGGATGGGCACGAAGCAGGAGTGGGTGGATTTGTTCAAGCCCTGAAAGGCCTCCTCAATAGACCATTGAGACTTGAAGGGCTTTCAGCACTGTGAGACCTGATCAGATTTGCCTTTTAGAAAGGGCATCTGGCTGCTGGGTGGGGAATATATAGGAAGGATGCAAACAAAGAGAAAGAGGAACCTATCAGGAGGATGTTTTGTATTAATCAAGGGGAGCTTAGACCAGAGTAGAGACAGTAGAATTGGAGAAAATTAAAAGTGCATTAAATGAGCACTTATTTAGGAGGTGAGAAGAGAGGACTTGGTGAGTGAATGGCCTGGAATTCTGTGGGGAGATAGAAGGCTAGTGATGGAGAATAAAAATGGAAAACTGGGAGAATAGTGAAGACAGTTATAGAGATATAGGACACAGGAGGAGGAACTGCCTGGAGTAAAGCAGACTACATTATGGAAGACAGGTAAGGACACAGCTTATGTTGCCTGGGTGTGTAGGGAGTTTAAGGTGTGAGGAAGTGAGTGAAGAACGAGCAATTGGAATGTCAATTTAGCAAACATTAATTGAGCTATTACTGTGCCTCAGGCTCTGGGCTATATGCTGGGACCAAACCCCATGTGTAGAATATTTTCAAGGAATTCCGAAGTCTAGTGAGAGATGGAAGAGGGTGAATAGATAATTTCAGGATGATGTGTCCATGTGGCAATAGACCTATGCGCAAGGTTCTAGAAGAAGATTACTTAATTGGACAAATATTGGTGAGCACCTACTCTATGCCAGGATGGTGCTAGGTGCAGTGGACTTGGCAGCAAGCGAGTCTAATAAGAGCCTTTCTTTCAAATAGGTAGCATTTTACTGGGGGACCTAATAAACGAATTAAAATAGACAGAGATTTGGATAAGTTCCAATGTGCTAGTTTGGGTTCTGGGAGATCGGAAGTAAGATACAGGTTGGTGAGGGAACATGTGGAAGATGCTGAAGGAGCCTGGAGGAGCCACCAGACTTCAATGCTGGTCTGACTCCATGGTGCAGGGAGGGAAAGTAGGAAGGTTGCGTGGGAGAAGTCTCCGACAGCTGTGCAGTCAATGGAAGTTTCAGTGAAGACGATTGTGGGTCCCCAAGCCAAAGTTGCCCGTCAGAGGAGTCCCATATCTTCCAGGAACAGGCTGCCTTTTTGTCGTGCCCTACTTAGCCATTGGGTGGTAGCATCTCATGGGAAGTATGGCTTTGGAGCATGTGAATGGGTGGATTACAAAGCACAACAGCAAAAGCCTTTGGACAATTACGCTTTGGCATTTGGAAGGCTGCAAAGCATTTCCTGTAGCCGCCATAAATATGGAATAAGTAATCCAGTTGCCAAGAGAGGATAACCTGGGAGAGTGAGATTTACATGATCAGGGATGGATGATCTCTCTGAGGAGATGATGTTTAACCTAAGACCAGAGGATGAGAAAGATCCAGCTATGTGAAAAACCTTGCAGAAGCTTCGTAAGTGGAGGGAACAACAAATGCAAAGACCCTGTGGTGGTATCTGAGGGTCCCTCAGAAGTCCAGCATAATTTGAATGTAATCAAAAAAGGAAAAGAATTGCAGAAGATGTAGGCAGGACCAGACAGTCCAGGGTTTTGTAAATCATTTAGAGGAGTTTAGATTTTATTCTGACTCCACAGAGTGGGGAATTTAAGTGGGCAGTGATAGATCTGACTTCTATTTAAGAAGACCACTGTGACTACTGTGTGCCTATAAGGTTTTCAGGAGTGGAGAGGAGTTAAATGGTAACAGACGATGATGATGTACACGGTCAAGGCACCCTGGCCCAGTCTGGGGTTACAGGGGGTTGCTGGTGTGGTGAGAAAAGGCTTCATGAAAGAGAGGGCACGTGAGCTGGGTCTGAAATGGATAAAGTCTTAGAGCAAATTGCAGAAAGGAGGTGACATTTGAGGTGAACTTCACTGGCTCTGTGAAGGAAGGAGCAATCTTGTAGCACTTCTCAAAATCACTAAAACGCAGAGCCAAAGCAGTCTTTAATTTAGTGCCTTTTATAGGAGAGAATATGGTTCAGGAGTAACCAAGGACATTTACAGGTGAAAAGTACTTAAATCAAAGCGACAGCATAGTTAGGGAAAGGAGACCAACCATTTCTTTTTTTTATGGCAGAGAACATTAACTGAATACGTCAGAGACTCTGATCATGTCAGAGACCGAAGCAGAGAAACAGAGAACACTCATCTTCCTTCTCAACCTGGCTCTGGATGCCAACTGGCAACGCTGTGAACCAGTTTGGGCTTGGAGGGCTCAGAGGAAGCCACTTTTGGAAGGCATTGGAAGCTGGTTTTTCAGAGCCTACTCTTTGCTACCCCTTTCTATGTTGAAAATAAAAATGTAAAGCCTAATTCATAGTCACAACAACAATGACACCAGGAATAAATCACAGACCAGAGTCCAAACATCTGGTCACGTTGCTCATCTACCATCTGGTGGGTCTCCTCTCAGCTCTGTGTTCTGACTGCCAGTCATCTCCCTTCTTCTCTGTCTTCACTGGCACTATTCTAGGTTTATAGTTTTGAAATAGGTTCCTAACTGGTTGCTCTGCCTCCAGACTCTTATACTGTATACAGGTCCAGTGACAAAACGATGGTTTGTTTTACAGTCCACAGATACATTTTACTTATTTTTTTAATGTCCATAACACTCTTTGGAATAAGATTTAAAAATTGAAAAATCAGATGATTTTATGTAAAAATCCATATTTCCTGTTTATGCTAAAAAATTGAATGATCTGACCTCACTGGTCCACACCGAGCAACAACTGGGTAAATCTTGCCATTTTGGTTTTTTTTTTTTTTTTTTTTTTTTAGCTCAGGCATCGGATTTTTGTCCAGTTCATCACAATCTCTCCTCTTTACTATTGTTTTAAACCCTTCTTTTTTGTTACCTGCCTGAGCCTGGGAGGTATTTGAACTTAAAGACATTACTTCAATGCTTTATACAGACTCATTTCTCTGAAACACGAATTTGATCATGTCACTCTCATGTTTAAAAACCTTCGCCAGCCTGCTTGCCTGGTGGATAAAGTTCAAACACTTGACCCTAGCATAGAAGGGCCTCCATAACCTAATCTTTTATCTCTGTGGCTCTTCCTAGCTCACACTCTGCCCAGAAGCCATGCTGAAAGGCGGTGCTCTGTTGTACCCCTCTGTCCTCTGCCTGCTCTAATGTCCTATTTTTAGCTGAATATCTTTTCTTCAATTTTTCATCTGGTAAATGTCTTCTCCTTAGTATCAGCTCATACTTTAAAAAAGTCCTTCTCGAACTTTTGTGCTTTCATTACCTGCTTCTTCTTCACTTTCTGAGGACCTTGGACCCTCCTCTATTGCAATGGTATTGCCAAGCCAATTCTTTCTCCTTCTTCAGACTGTACAACCCTTAGGGCTCTGAGCCATCTTTGCCTTTGGGAATTTATTGCAGAGTAGGTGAATGGTGTTCACTGAATAAATGTTTCAGATTGGAAAATTTGATCTTTCATTTCCTTACCTATAGGATGGAACCGTAATACCTTCTGTTCACATACAGGAGAATCATTGTGGGGATCAAATGACACAATGTCTTTTGTAAAAATGTTAACAAAGCACTTGGAAACTGCAAAGTAATATATGAGTAGATGGAATTAATATAGAAAATGTTATGTTCTCAACTTGCTTAAAATAATTTAACTGTGTTATTTCTAGCAAGAACAGTGATCTTGAAGGCAGGGCTATAGTTCTTGTTTATAGTTCCAATTTTATTGCCAATTAGTTGGATGACTTAGGGAAAGTAATTTTGCCTATCTAGACCTCAGTTTCCACAGCTGAGCTCTGGAAATTTTAAGGTATTTGTTATGTCTTTCATGTTTTTCTCCAGTCTTCCTAGAAGTAAAACATTTTTCTTGTTTTCAAAGACTTTCATTCTTCCACATTTGGTATGGTATATTAACCGTAATACAATAATGAATATGCAGCCATTCGTTTTTTCATTAAATATGCAAATCATTGAGAATAGCTATTGTGTGGTGCTGATTACTAACATTTTCTTAACCTGGAGTTATTTTCATTATTTAATCAACATTAACAAATGAAGGCTTCAGAGCTCAGAATTAAAAGATCTTAGCAGCTATATTACAATGCTTCACTCAATCTTATCTAGTCTCTTGCTCTAAACTCACATGGCAACCTCATCTTCTTCCCATATCACTCTAAAGTCGCCAATGTGATTGATAGTTTTGGGTAGAGGAGTTTAGAGTGGGGAGAATGTGGAGGAAATGAGGACTTTACTTGGAGGGAATAAAAGCTCTATCCTTGTTTTCTAATTGCAGCTTATAAAGTTGATTCACTGACTGCTGGTTTGAAATGGTGTCTGCTAACAAACAGTTGCTGGTACAGCTTCTCTGTAATGTGAGGTAAAATACCTATAAAAGCTTAGAAGAAGATGTAAACTCAGAACACAGCCATAAACTTGGACTGACAATCCCCTGAAGACTGGATCTGGGAGGACTTTTTGCCAATAGTACTGCCAATGAAACTGAAAAGAAAAGAACATTCTATGGGTGTGGGTGTGTTACTGAGGAAATGCTCTGTAGGCAAGAGGTAAGAAGGACTATTATTTTCATTGTGCATCTCCTGGATGGGGATCCCCTGGATGATGGGTCCCCTCAATTGTGTATACTTGAATGGATTCTCTGGTGAAAATTGATGACCACCCAGAACTTTAGTATGTGCCTTTTTTTTTTTTTTTTTTTTTTGTAAATACCTTATCTGCAGATACAATGGATTAAGATTTAAAATGAGACCATACTGGGTAGGCTGGATCCTGAATCTAATGAAAGCATCTTTATAAGGGACGGAAAGACACATACAGTGACTCACAGACAGAATATGTTTCAGGCCACATGAAGACAGACACAGAAACTGGAATGGTGGGGTCACAAGCCAAAGAATGCCAGGAGCCAACAAAAGCTCAAAGAGGCAAGGAAGGACTCTGTCGTAGAGACTTCAGAGAGAGCATGCCCCTGCTGGCACTTTATTTTGGACTGACCTCCAGAATCGTGAGAGGATATATTTTTGTTGTATTATGGGCAACCCTAGGAAACTAATACAATGGAAAACTCAAGTTTATGCCAAGTGTTGAAAATGGAAATGCCTAAGATAATGAAAATGAGTGGGTTGACCAGGGAGGCACAGAGGTGAAGTTGAGAGGCCACATGGTCTATGAAGACACATCCAATTGTTGTCTTCTAAGAATGCAGACATGGACTTGCCAAATATTTTTACAGTTCAGAAGAAGCTAGAAATTTGGATTTCATTTGTGTGCTCTTTTTTTTTTTTTTAACATTGCCCTAATTTTATTTCAAATGTGGTACTAACCGTGTCAAACATGTTTGAGAAAGTCATGGGTAGCCAGTATGGTGCCTCCTGTCTGGGTCTGTATTAGTTTGTTCTCATGCTGTTGATAATGACATACCCGCAGCTGGGTAATTTATAAAGGAAAAGGGGTTTAATGGACTCACAGTTTCACATGGCTGGGGAAGCCTCACAATCATGGTGGAAGATGAAGGAAGAGCAAAGGGACATCTTACATGGCACCAGGCAAAAGCGTGTGTACAGGGGAACTCCCTTTATAAAACCATCAGATCTCGTGACACTTATTCACTGTCACATGAACAGCATAGGAAAAACCTGATCCCATGATTCAATTACCTCCCACCGGGTCCCTCCCATGACATGTGGAACTATGGAGCTACAATTCAAGATGAGATTTGGGTGGGGACACAATCAAACCATATCAGGGTCCCTTTTAGCCATCCTTGTCCTGTGCATTTTCCCCATTTTATAAGAGGGAGAATTGTGTTCCTCTCCTCTTCCATTATTTATTTTCCAGCCTCAGAGAAGATCCTGCTCCAAAGACCACAGGGCAGGGGTTGGAAGGCAGAAGCAGGAGGGTTTTTGTGGCAGTGATGCATAGCATAATTGCCTGATGGTTATTTCCACTCATTAACTGTCTGTCTTATCAGAAGTCCAGGAAGAAGTTGCACAGAATACTATTTTAGTCTACCAGAACCACGGTTAGTAAAGCCTGCTGGAATGTGGAGCTGATCTAGGAGCTGTGGGCATTCAGCTGGTGAGTTATGAAATGGGAAAAGTTCCCTTATCCCACTAGCAGGGTGTGTGATGGGGGGAGTGACTCGTTTCTTTGGTGCCTGCAGCTCAAACCTCTAGGGGGAGTATGCAGATGGGCAGATCGTGGGGATCATGGACTCCAACCCCACAGCAGTGTCTAGGGTTGGGTGTTTACAGCTCTGGAAGCCCCAGTGTGTTACAGTGTGCTCTTTCAGCTTAGATATCTGCAGGCGGCTTGTGTTAATCAGCTCAATCAGACCCTCTGCCTTATCACAAGGACATAGGGCTTTCTGTATCCCGGGGTTCTTGCAGTAGTGTACTGGAAAAATCAGATCACGTGTTGGCATGGAGAATGAGTGCAAGGTTTTATTGAGTGGTAGAAGTAGCTCTCAGCAGATGGATGGGGAGCATGAGAGGGATGGAGTGGGAAAGTGGTCTTCCCTTGGGTCAGGCTGCTCTGTGGCTGGGCTATCCTCCAACTGTCCTCAGCCAAATTCCACGTCATCCCACCATCAATGGCCTGCCAGTGTCTGTTGGTGTGTTCTTCTGCCTGTGTGTTTCTCTTGACATCCACACACTTGTGTGTATGCCTGCTAGGGTCTCGGGGGCTATATAGGCACAGAATAGGGGGCATGGCAGGCCAGAGAGATCTTGGAAAATGCAACATTTGGATCTGAAAACAGGAGTGCCTGTCCTCCCCTGGGTTCGTGAGACTCAGACAATTTATTTCCTGATTATTGATTGGGGGTGAGTGGGAGAAGGGAAAGTATCTGAGGACATATTCTACATTACCAAAATTGATTACAAATGAAGAGGCCAAGAATGAGAAAGGCAGGGCCTGAAGAGCCTGATGGATCTGCCTTCACTCAAATTGGACTCCACTCTCAGGATTTCAGTCATGGTGCAGTTGTGTATCCAAGGGCAAAGCTTGGCCTCGATGTGATACCCTCATTGGTTTTGCTCTTCCTCCAACTTTCAGGGGAATGTGTTTCCAGAATCCTTTATTCCACCTTTGATGTGAAAATTGGGTCCATGATTACAAATGGCTGATCCATGTGGGGCTTAATGCCTAGGTGACGGGTTGATAGGTGCAGCAAACCACCATGGCACACGTTTACCTGTGTGGAGCCCTCACTGGGGACCCCACCCTTCTCTACCCAGCATTTTCTGCCCCCCTCCCATATCTGTTACACCTTGAAACAGAAGATTTGACCAGAAGGAAGTAGGGTCAAGGAACATTCATCCTTGAGGTCTTCTGGTAAACACTAGACTTTGATACATTTTATTTTATTTGGGGATGAGAAAACTACAAAACATGAAGAATATGAGCCTCAACAAGGACAGCAATCACAGTGGAGAAATATTGAGCACTGGTCATCCAAAATTATTGTGAAAGCTCCCAGCAAGATCAAATCCTTGACACCCATCTGCTGAAGGAAATAGATTTTTGTTTTAAGGAAATTATTTGGAGTCCTGAGATTCAAGGACAAACCTTGCATCTCATCTCTTTTGGATTTCTGTTGGAAATAGGACAAATGTTTCAAAGAAAGAACAAAATGTCATGTAAAAAGAACTGGATAAGATAAGGAAGAATTTATAGGCAGCCAAAAGTGCAACAGCAGAATTACATTAGCATTAACAAGCAGTGGAAAACTTAATTGAGATTATGGAAAATCATATTGTATTATAAGGGACAAATTTTAGAACTCTCCTAGAAAGTATGGGACAGAGATGAAAATGATGAGAGAGCATGTGTTTGTTTAAAAAGTCTGAGATAGTAGCTTTAACTTAAGAATTATAAGTCTTTCTACTTGAGAGAGAAAAGACAAATAAAAAATACTTCCAAAAAAATTCCTACTTATAAAAACCAATGTATAAATGTTAAAATTGGTTCTTTAAGTTACAAGTAATGTTAGTAAAACAAGCAGCAAAAAAACCCCAAAAAGATTACTGCAATATGCAATTGCATGTAATTTTTCTTTATTTTTAATTATAAAAATTATAAAATATTCAAACACCTCAAATGGATATAATGTAAATAACAAAAGCTTCTCTTTGCTTCTCCTTTTCTGTTCTCCAGAGGTAAGAGTGTTAGTATTTTGCTGAAAAGCCTTTCAGATCTTCACTCTGCATATACCAGCTCCTACAAATATTCATTAGTTTTTTGAACAACAAGATTATCACAGTAAACTTTCTGCACCTAGCTTTTTTTTTCATTTAGCAATATATTGTAGATGTTTCTTCTTATTAGAACATGAGGCTCTAGTTAATATTTGAAATTGTTGAAGGGATTTTTTGTATAGATGCACTGTAATTTATCCAACTCAGTAAATGTTTCCTTTTTATTTCTCAACTATAAAACTGGTACTGTGAATACTCTTATCTTTGCACACTATTTGTAAATAGTTTTTGCTAGGCTGTTTACAGAATACGTTTTTTGTTGTAAAATTACTCTGGTGAAAAGTTTGACCAAAGTATAAAGACAAAGGAATCCTACAAGGATACATGCAGGCACGAAATGAAACAAACAAAACTAAACCCTCAGACTGGTTGTTTACAAAGAAACAGAAATCAGGAAGGCTTTGGGATTTCCTTCTGCAGCACTGAATGCCAAAGTGTCTTTGAATAGAATTGCATCTGCAGAATTTTTAAGTGGAAAAGCAATATTGTGCACCAAGAATTTTGTTCTCCTCCAAGTAATGTTTTGTATGAAAAAGTCATTCCCTGATAAACTGAGACTCAGACAATTTATTTCCTGATTACTGATTGGGGGTAAGTGGGAGAAGGGAAAGTATCTAAGGACATATTCTACATTACCAAAATTGATTACAAATGAAGAGGCCAAGAATGGGAAAGGCAGGGCCTGAAGAGCCTGGTGGATCTGCCTTCACTCAAATTGGACTCCACTCTCAGGATTTCAGTCATAGTGCAGTTGTGTATCCAAGGGCAAAGCTTGGCCTTGATGTGATACCCTCATTGGTTTTGCTCTTCCTCCAACTTTCAGGGGAATGTGTTTCCAGAATCCTTTATTCCACCTTTGATGTGAAAATTGGGTCCATGATTACAAATGGCTGATGCATGTGGGGCTTAATGCCTAGGTGATGTGTTGATAGGTGCAGCAAACCACCATGGCACACGTTTACCTGTGTGACAAACCTGCAGGCTCTGCACATGTATCCTGGAACTTAAAGTGAAATTAAAAAAAAAAAAGAAAGAATTTGTGTCCATGATCGATGCCCATTTTAAACAATAATTCCTACTATTCTCTTCAAGTACTTGATAAAGATTGCTAAAATACTGAAATGTTTAAAACACCACTGAGAAAATTAATAGCAAAACAATCCATTTCTTCTCTATAAAGTGGAGCTGCAGAGAGTGACATATGACCATTTTCAATGCCACAGAACTTGAATAATAATTTTCTGCATCTTTAAAATTTATAGTAAAATCAGAAAAAGCCCAAGTTTTTGGAAAGAAATAAACCACCCACTGGCAGATATTATCTGTCATTAAGCCACTCCATTTTATCTTTCATCTAGGAATTATGAACATGTCTCAGTTCTTTACACTTAAAAGCAGTATGGAGGTCATTATTTCAAGCACATTAAAATGCATAGAAAAAGTGGAGGACATAAACAAAAGTAGTTATTTCTGGTTATCATTAGTTATATACTTCATTATATATGATAGATTATAATTATATATGATTGATTATACTGATCACTGTTTTCATAAAGTTAAATTGTGTCTTATATATTCTTTGTGTTTTTTTATTTTTAAAATTTTCTACGGAAAGAAGTTTGCTCTGCTTAATGAAAAGTAAGTGGACAGTATTAAAAATAGCTATATTTAATTTTAACATACCATAATATTGCAATGAAAAATATACACATTATTCAGATAGAAGAAAGTATTCCAAAATATTCACAGTAGTTGTCTGGATAGTAAAAGTTGGATTTTTTGGTCTTTTTTTCATATATTATAAAGAGCTTTCTTTTTTTTTTCTTTTCCTTTTGAGACAGGGTCTTATTCTGTCACCCAGGCTACAGTGCAGTGGTGTGATCATGGCTCACTGCAGCCCTCAACTTCCCAGACCAAAGCAATCCTCCCACTTTAGCCTTTAGAGTAGCTGGGACTATAGGCATGTGCCACTCATTCAGCTAATTTTTTTTTTTTTTTTTTTTTTTTTTTTTTTTTTTTTTTTTTTTGTGGAGACAGGGTCTCATAATGTTCGGACCCAGGTTAGTCTCGAACTCCTGGGCTCAAGCAATCTTCCTACCTAGGTCTTCCAAATTGGTGGGATTATAGGCATGAGCTACCATGCCCAGCCAGCCTTATTATTTTCAATTATGGAAATCAATTTAAAATTCTAGGTATAAAGAGTGCATTTAACAAAAATTCTCATAACCTATTGTGTGAAAGGAACTCTGTGGTTAGACAAATAAATGAGACATGCCACCTTATGCCAGGAGTTTCCATTCTCCTGAGGTACTGCTTCCTTAATTGTCCATATAAAAATAAAGTAAAAGAGAAGTCACTTTTTATTCACAGAGAAAGTTCATATGATGGGCTTCTTGGTTAATTTTGGTCAACTTGGTGAATTGGCTTAGAATAATTTTTGGTTTGTTAAACATATCTTTGTGAGAAGCATGATGAAGTTCAAAAAGCATGATCTATTGAATCAGAGCCATTTGGATTTAAACTCTCCTTCATTGCAAGTTTGCTTCATGAACCCAGGTGTTAAAATATCTGGGCCGCAGTTTCTGTTTTAAAAACGTGAACGCTTATATTGAACTGGCTAAGTCATTGGGAACGAAGTATGGAAAACTGCATATCACAGTGATTATGTAGGGGTCCCTGATGTATGGGAAATTCTCTCTTTGCCTTTTTCTGCAGGATTTAAAATTTACATTAAAAAGCTAGTGCCTCATATTTGAAGCAGTACTTTAAAGGTTGTAACCCAATTTCACACAGCCTATCCTTATTTCTCACTAAAGCCTACAGGTATCAAGAACCATGTCCAGGGCTCTGATGGGATCAAATAGCAGCCCAGCAGGCTGCAGGTTGTGCTCCCAAGTGGGGTGACCAGCAGGCTCATTCTCAGGGTTCACAGTGGCATGTTGAACTTTGGACAGAGCCAGGTTGGGCTTGATGGCCAAGGGTCAGCCAGGGGGCAGAGTAGAGTAGTTTGAATTTTCCAAAAGTTAGAAGGGACCTCAGATTTGCTGAACGACTTATCTATGCTGCTGTCATATTGAGAGATTTTCCTGTATTGTCTCTGTAATTCTCATAATTGTCCCGCGATCTGAACAATACTTCCATTCACAACTGAGAAAGCAGAGACCCAGAGGGAGTGAACTTGTTCAGGACAACTCTGATGGGAAATGAAGGGGCTGAAATTTGAACTGAAGCGCATTTGACTCTATACCATCCTTTTCCAGGTACAGAGTGGCATCTTGGTCCCTTTTGGAATGGCAGTCATCAAGTAACTGGATTTGTAGAGGCAGGGTTTAGTCTCTATAGAGAGGAACTTGACACAGTTAAGTGGGTTTTCAGGACTTGAGTTCCAGTGGACCTCAGGTCTATTCATTGTGACAGATGCCGAATCCTACAACTGAGTATGTGCAAAGGGGCCACTGAGAAAGACTTCGGCTTAATAGCTCCCAGCAACTCAGATCAGCCACTTAGTCACTCTGCTAGTGACTGCCAGACCAAATGTAGACTCTACCTGATGAGAAGACCCCACTTTAAAATTCAGAGGCACTGCAGAATCTTGATTGCAGAATTGCTAATACCTACCGCTCTGAAGGGCTGGGACAAGCAGAGCTATAATTAAAGTAACTAGAAAAGGAAGTGTTCCAATTCCATTGAGGAGGAAAATTGCAACTCACAGATGCTCTGGAGAGGCAACTCAAGAACAGTAAAGTCAAGCAGTCCTGATTTTTCTTTGGACTTTGATATCTGCTATTATTTTTTACTTCTCCCTGCTTTTGCTGTTGATGATTATTTGACCAATGAGTGCAGATGCTTACTTGCTCAACAAAAGTTATGTGAACTTATTGCCAGGTATTCTCTTATACTCTTGGGATTCAGCAGTAAATATAGCTGACAAAAGTTGCACCCTCATGGAGCTTACATTCTAAAGGAGGAAGACAAAATAAAATAAAATATATAATGGAATGTGTATGATAGAAGGTAATAATTGCTATAAGGAAAAATAAAAAGGGAGGGATGAGGGGATGGCCTCAATGACAAGATGGCATTTGAAGAAAGACCCTATAGAGGTAAGGGAGCCAGCCATGTGGATTTCATGGGGAGAAATGCTCCAGGCACAGGAACAGCCACTTTAAGAGACCTGAGATGGAAGCATGCAGGAGAGTTTCTGCAATAGCAAGAGGCCATTGTGGCAGGAAGAATGCGAGAAGAGGATGTTGCAGAGGTAGCAGGGTGACAGGTCCTGTATGTCTTTATGGTTCATTGTGAGGACTTTGGTTTTTATTCTGGGTGAGATGGAGACCACAGGAGGCTCTTGAGAAAGACATTGATAAGATCGGACTCACATGTTAACAGGGTCACTCTAGCAGGTGCTCATGTAGGCTTGTGTGGGGCTATCTTTATTAGACATTGCTTTGGGAAAACTCTCAGACCAAATTTTTCCTCTGCTCTCACACCACCACCACCACCACCACAATAAACGACACAAAAGAAGACTTTTGTGACCAAATGTGTGGGGATTTCTCCCCACAAACTAAGCAGCAGACACCAGCTGGGTGGCATTCTCCCTGGAGGCATTCTACCTGGAGATAGTGTCAGATTCCACAGGTTGAGGCTTCAGTCTCCAAGACTGACCTCCGATGTCCCCAGATACCAGTAACAAGTCCAGGCCTATGGAACTCCTGAATGATTGGCCTCAAGGTGGGGTTCCCAGGACCCCATCTTCGAGTTCAATTAATTTGCTGGAGTAGCTCACAGAACTCAGGGAAAACACATGCCTGCTTTACTGGTTTATTATAAAGGATATTGCAAAGGATGCAGATGAAGAGATAAATAGGGCGAGGTATGGGGGAAGGGATGTGGAGTTTCCATACCCTCCCTGGGTGCACCACCCTCTAGGAACCTCCGTATGGTCAGCTATCTGGCAGCTCCCCAAACCAAGTCCTGTTGGATTTTTACTGAAACTCCATGACATCCACACTCTTTCTTCAATGCTAAAGGGCAGGAACCTTTCTGGGGAGGGCCTTAAGACCCACAATCAGAAAGGTAGGAGAGATTTGGAGCAGGTGAAAGAAAGGCAAAGGAAGGTCAGAGAGATTGTGTTTCCTGAGGCCTGCCCCTGAGTTCTAACACACCCAACATTGTAACAAAAGTCTATAACAAGGGCTATGGAGGTTATGAGTCAGGAACTGTGGACAAAAACCTATATATATGATATATATATCATACATATCATATATATATGATATATATATCATACATATCATATATATATGTATGATATATGTATATATCTCACAGACATGTGGATATAAGAAGTTCACTCATCCCTCAGCTTCAGGCTGGTCGAGTCAGAGGACACTGGACTTGGGACTCCAGATGGGTTCCAGACTTCACATGCCAGAAGTGTCCAGGAAAGAAAAGGCCTCAGGAACTCAAGAAGAAGTATTTGTCTGTAGAGGAAGCCTGTCTTGGGAAAATCGAGCTGTGTTTCCAGATGGTAGCTTCCATGCCATCTTGGCTGCATACCATGAAGCACACCTGGATGTTGTTGACACGACTATAACCACTAAAAGCTGTGTCTGGTGGCCTTAAATGGATTCTCTTACAAAGGATCCCTCAACGTAGTGGTAGCTTTGCCAGGCTGCTTGGCATGAATCTCTAAAATCAAGTGCTTCCTCATGGGATAGGACCAAGAAGGCTGTAGCAATGCTTCATTTTGACTTTGAAGGATCTTTTTAGGCAAAGTATCTCAATTATCCTTGGTTTTTTTAAAAAATAGCCTGAGATGTTTCTGGATCTATTTTAAAAATTAACTGATCTTATTAATTTAGTACAATTTTCATTTAACCAAGCATTTATCCAAACATTTATTGAATGCCTCTGATGTCCCAGGCACCATGGGAAAAAGTAAACAATAAAAAGAAAGATTACTCCCTGCTATTGATAAATTTGGTCTAGTAGGAGATTAAGGTGACTAAATAATAATAGCAGAATTGTAACACATTCTTTTAGGGGTATATATTATGAGGCTATGGAAGCTCAGATGAAGAAACATTTAACTCCATCAACAGGGGCAAGGAAAGGATTTCCAGAGAAATTTAGAAGTAGAAGGTTTTTACTTTAGGGAGAATATAAGCCTCTGTGATATTTAAAAGTATTTTTCTTTTCCCTTACCCCATTCTTTCTGCCTCCCTTTCTTCCCTCCCTTTCTTCCTTCAACAACTACTTCTTGCCTGTATCAACAATGTGCAAAATATTTGGGATTGATTACATGGTCCTGCTCTTGCAAAAATAATTAAGCAAGGTAGAAAAGTAGAAAAGTACGTTTAAGAAACTACAAGAACAGTTCAGTTTGGATGGATAATGATATCCATGTAAGTAGGCTTGCCAGATAAAATACAGAACATGTAGTTAAATTTAAATTTCAGATAAACAAGATATAATTTTTTAGTATAAGTACATCCAAATATTGCTTGGGACATACGAAATGTTATTAACTGGTTTTCTTTCTTTCTTCTTTACTAAGTCTAGTAACCCTATATGTAAGGGAAAATTAGGAAATGGGGATAGAGATATATCCTCATTAGACAGTGATAAGGAAATTTTAAAAATCATCCCAAAGAGTTTGAATGTCTTGCTGTCTATAATAGAGAACCATTGAAGTATGTTGTGCAAGATTGCAGTTTATAAAGATAATTCTTGCCACAGTGAGAAGAATGCATGGGAGAAGAATGGGATTAGGGGCAGCAGGACCAGAGAGTGCTGTTTTGTTAAGGTCAGCTCATCTCCAGTCTCTTAGTGCTGCTTGGAATAATAATTATTTCTAAGAATTCAGTAGACTCCTGACACCCCACCCCCATATTTCTGAGCACCTGTGTTAGTCTCCAAATATTCAGTGTTCAGTCAACTAATCTTGTATTCCATCTGAGAGATTCTCTTTTGCACATCAGACCTTCAGCCCAGTGAGCTCAAATTTATGCTTGTATATGATATCAACCTTGAAGGTGAAATCCTTAGACATTGAGATTTTATGGTTTGCTGAAAATGAAATAGAAAAGTCAAAACTTGCTAAAACAAGTCGTATTTGATCTTCTCTAATGAATAGATAAGCAGCAATTGAAATTTTAAATGTCTAAAGAATGCAGATGGATGCTACTAAAGCGTGCTTTTCACCAGGCCTGAAAAGTTTGCATTTTCTTAAATATTCTAACTACATTAATGCATTTATCTCAAATCTTGTTTGCTAATAATTTATTTATTTACCAAATAATAACTTATTTACTAAAAAAAGAGTCTCAGGAAATTAGGAAAAAGGATATGTGTGTGTGTGAATGTGTGTGTGTAAGTATAAAGTATACTTATGCACAAATACATATAACACTAGGCTTTTAAATGGATAAATACAACTGGATAAAAGAAAGGAACAACTGTAAACAGCTAAATGACTTAAAAAAGTGAAATATAATGAGTGAGGGCAATTAGATGTTCTTATAAGAGACTGCTATTATTAGGACGATAATATTTGAAAAGAATTGACTCATGACTTTGCAGCAAGGCAGGAGAGGAGTAGGAGGGGCAGGACACTGTGTAACAATTCAAGGTAAAATGGTACATTAGCAAAAGGATTAAGATACAGTAGCAGTGATACCAACAGTATAATTCAACATCTGAGAAGGAACAATAAAACTCTCATTTATTAGCAGGGGAAATGGATGGTCTGGCTGAGAGCAGCCGAAAGGTCTTATTTTATGTGTAGTTGGGGAAAGGAGATGGGAAAGTAAAGAAATGAACATTTACGGAGCTCATACTGTGCATTATCGACTGTGCTATGAACATATATTAGCTCATGCGTCCAGCTCACTGAAACCTCTCAACCAACCACGTACTTCAAGGACAGATTTTGTCATCTTTACTTTACAGATGAATGAAGAAACAGGGTTCGAAGGATTAAAGAACTTCGCTCTTCATCATAAAATAAGTGACAAAACTGAGATTTGAATTTCGATTTCTGTCTCCAAATGTCTATGCTTTTTCTATTCCACCAAACTGTCCCCTGGGGTATATAATTAAGATTATTGTGTTTTCTCCTGACATGGCATTTCAACCGTTGCTCTGTGAGGGCCCAAGATAAACATTTTAAATTTTATTATTCCTATATTCTTCTGTTTTGGACAATGGGTTGGTGACTTAACTAAGGTCATCTGAGAGCCAAGCATTTGCCTGATCTGTTTCTCTTTGCCATTAGACAACAGTCCTACGCCCTGAAGCCTATGATATATTAGGCTTCAAATCTCTGCAGAAACAGCCCTGCAACATCACATTAGTCTTCACTGAAGTCAGTGCAAAATGTTTTGAGATAAAGTTTATTTAAATAGGGAAGGCTAGGCTGTGTGTTGTGGCTCATGCCTGTAACCCCAGCACTTTGGGAGGCCGAGGTGGAGGGATCATTTGAGCCCAGTAGTTCGAGCAGCCTGTGCAACATGGGGAAACTGATTCAGAAGTGCTGGGAAGGGAATGGTGTGGTCCCTTTAAATAATACAGAAGCGGGCAGGGAAGTGCTGGGTAGAGGAGGGCATGGTTCTGGCTAGGGCTCCACCCTTGGGCCTGTGCTCACGAACCTAGGTGAGGACAGGTATTTTTGTTTTCCTGCCCATATGTTGCATTTCCACCCTGGCCTGCCACGCCCCTATCCGGTGCCTATAAAAACCACAAGACCCTAGCAGGCAGACACAGAAGTGCTGGATGTCGAGAGGAGCATATCAGCGGAGGAACACACAGATGGCTGGATGTCGAAAGGAATGCACCAACAGGCACTGGCATGCCGGCAGGTCACTGACTGGCAGAACGACACAGAGTTTGGCTGGGGCAGTTGGAGGAGAGCCCGGGCCACTGAGTGAACTGACTCTAGGGGAAAACCATCTCCCTTCTGGCTCCCCATCTGCTGAGAGTTACTTCCACCCAATAAAACCTCACACTCATTCTCCAAGACCACGTGTGATCCAATACTTTCCGTACACCAAGACCAGAACCCCAGGATACAGAAAGCCCTCTTATTGCAGGGCTTATTGACCCCTGCCTTATTGCAAGGACAGAGGGCTTTCCCAAAATCCTGGGGTTCTTGTCTTGGTGTACCGAAAGAATTGGATCACACGTGGTCTTGGAGAATGAGTGCAAGGTTTTATTGAGTGGAAGTAGTTCTCAGCAGATGGGGGAGTCAGAAGGAAGATGGTTTTCCCCTGGAGTCAGGCCGCCCAGTAGCCCAGGCTCTCTTCTGACTGCCCCAGCCAAACTTCCCATTGTTCTGATGGTCAGTGGCCTGTCGACATGCCAGTGCCTGTTGGTGCATCCCTCTCGACGTCCAGCCACTCGTGTGTTTTTCCGCTGATGTGCTCCTGGAGCTTGCTTTTTTTTTTTTTTTTTTTTTGAGATGGAGTCTCATTCTGTCGCCTAGGCTGGAGTGCAGTGGTGCAATCTCGGCTCACTGCAACCTCCACCTCCTGGGTTCAAGCGATTCTCCTGCCTCAGTCTCCTGAGTAGCTGAGATTATAGGCACACACCACCACGTCTGGCTAATTTTTGTATTTTTAGTAGAGACGGGGTTTCACCATGTTGGTCAGGCTGGTCTAGAACTCCTGACCTCATGTTCTGCCCGCCTAAGCCTGCCAAAATGTTGGGATGACAGGCATGAGCTACCATGCCCTGCCAGGTGTTGGAGATTTTATAGCACAGGATGGGGGTGTGGCAGGCCAGGGTGGAAATGCAACATTTAAGCAGGAAAACAAAAATATCTGTCCGCACCTAGGTCTGTGGGCACAGGCCTGGAGGTGGAGCCCTAGCCAGGACCATGCCCTCCTCTTCCCAGCACTTTGCTACCTCTTTCCATAACATTTAAAGGGACCATGCCCTTCCCTTCCCAGCACTTCCATAGCAAAACTCTGTCTTTACAAAAAGCAAAAACAAAAACCATCTAGGCATAGTGGCACACACCTGTGTTCCCAGCTACTTGGGAGGCTGAGGTGGGAGGATCACTTGAACCTGGGAGGTGAGTTTTGATTTCACCACTGCACTCCAGCCTGAGTGACAGTGAGACCCTGTCTCAAAAAATAAATAAATAAAAAAGAGGGGAGTGGGCGTGGTGGCTCATGCCTGTAATCACAGCACTTTGAGAGGCCGAGGTGGGTGGATCACTAGAGGTCAGGAGTTCAAGACCAGCCTGGAAAACATGGTGAAACCCCAACTCTACTAAAAATGCAAAAATTAGCCAGGAGTGGTGGCAGGTGCCTGTAATCCCAGCTACTCAGGAGGCTGAGGCAGGAGAATTGCTTGAACCCAGGAGGTGGAGGTTGCAGTGATACTGGGCCATTATACTCCAGCCTGGGCAATAAGAGTAAAACTCCATCTCAAAAAGGAAGGCCAGGCTACATATTGCATCTTACATGGCTAAATATCATGTCTTATGTCTGAACAATGTTGTTGTCTTACTTGTCTTCAACATTCAGAGATGACCTACTTGTGTTTCAGATTGTGCTTTATGGTTTACATTTATCCTCTTAAGCTTAAATTAATTTCATCTGATATCTTTATTTTAAAAACTAAAACCAACTATTTAAATATGTCTAATGCAATTTCCAGGATGTAACATTTGAATAGTCTGTAGAGGGGGCTATACAGTCTGTGTGGCTTTCCAAACCCAACCTGCGACATATTTTTGTAAATACAATTTTATTGGAACACAGCTACCTAACCCATTTGGTTAGCATTGTCTATGACTGTTTTTGCAGTACATGCCAGGGATGAGTAGTTGCAACAAAGACAGTATGACCTACAAAGCTGAAAATATTTACTATCTCACTCCTCAGTAAATGTATGTTAGCCTCTGGTCGATAACAACAGGAGATACTTCACTCTTAATTTCTAATTATGTTCTATATATGGCATTTTATTTTTTCTCTCCCAAGAAAAGCAATAAAGCGCTTGTCTTAATTAGTAGCATCTAAATTTGCTAAGGCATTTTTTTTGTCACAAAATAGTTATTTACTTCTACAGGGAAATTATTCTTTCTAAAAGAAGGGGAAATATTTCTTTAAAATACTCACCAAAACACTGTGATGTAGATGCTAAGATGTTATCACCATTTAGAAAGAAAAAACTATTTAGCCATAGAGACAGCATTTATTGAAAAAAAAAAAAAGTCTGGGCATTAATTGTGTGTCAGGTCCTGAGCTAGGTGATGGAGTGAAAAGAAAGTAGGAAAGTAGGATTGCTAGCATTGAAGAATTCAGTCTGGACTGCATAACTTGCCCCAAGTCACGCCCTTAATAAATAGCAGCATCAAGTTTTGAGCTCAGTTTGAATGGTCCTGAAGCTCTTCTCATTCAATTCATGCTTTTCAAACTTAGGTATGTAAGGCCTACCCCTACCACTTAGATCATGAGCCACAGATAGACAAAAATACAGAATAACATGGCTTCAATTTTACTAGATGCTATATGACTTTAAACAAAATTTTATGTTAAAATAAGCCTGGCTGTTTTAAGAGGGAGAATGCAAATTTCAAATAAATGTTTAAGATAACACAAATACTTCAAATAAATGAAAGCTTTCAGTGCCCCAGCCCCTAGGGGTGAAATATTCTCTCTGGCATACTCTTATAGTAAGAAGAAAAGAGAAAAAGAATAAAATCTTGGGGGAAAAAATGCACAAAGGGAAACCTTGTAATAGGCAGAATTTAAACATAAAGAAGAAAAAGAGAAAGTTTGAAAAAGAGAGCCCTCAGAGGCAAACTTGAAAATGACTTTCACAGAGTGTGGTTGGTCAATCTGCCACCGAGAAGCCTAATTAAGACATCTGCTAAAAGGTACCAATTGATGGTGGTCTCACTGTCCCACCCTTTTAATTGACACGCTGTGATTTCATTCCAGATTAACTTCATAAATGGTTCTCCTAATAGAAAGATCACTTAAATTAAAAGTAGACTGTAAATGGGGATTTGTGATGTTAATAGGCCAGTGTAACCTCTGCATCATTTACATACATTTCCATTTTTTCCAATGCATATTTGCATATATTGGAGGATGTCACTGAAGGCTTTGAATGGGCAACATTCATATAATAATGAGCATCCGACTGGCACAGTGTCCAGAGTCATTTATTTGACCTCTCCCTAGCATTAATTTTGGAGATATTTTTGCATCTGCAACATTAATAACATAAAACCCTTGTTCCAGAAAACCCATGTTCAGCTTATTTATCCAGGTGCAATAAATGTGTGGGAAACAGAATTCTCTTGAAGCATGGAGATCTCACAACATTTGAACAGTTGCTTAGTTCTTGAAAAGGTCATACATTAGTGATGTTCAAAAACTCTTAAAAGCCTTGGCACAATGTGGTAGCCCATTGATATTCATCACTGTGGTAGCCTAATACAACAAGCATGTGATCTGGGGAGTTTAGGGAAGAGATCACATTCAAATGGGGTTCAGAATGGAAATTTCAGAAGAGGGGCACTGACATAGAAGTGAAATTGGAGCCTACCAGACCAGATTCCAGCTGTGGGTCTGCCCCCATCTGACCTTTATCCCTCTGAGTCTCAGTTCTGCATCTGTAAATTCTGTGTAATAGCACTTACCTTATGTTTGTGGTGAAGATTGGGATAATAAATGTAAAAACAATTGTATGTAAAGTTTAAGAATTGAGGACAAAATTTGGTCTCCTGGTAGCCAAAGCAAAAAAGGGGACATTGTACGATTCAATGTTCTGTAACTGGTTCTGAGACTCTCTTCAGTTGCTGGGACTGTATATGGAGCAGTGGCACTGGCAGTGACACTTCCAATATGTGTTTTGAAAAAAAAAATTGAGCAAATCAAGTGTAACTATGTAATGAAACCTCTCCTTCACGTCACCTTTCATGTTACTTGGGTATCATATTCCATAATGGCAGATTTAAAGTACCTGGAAAGCTTGAGTTTAAATACTGCTCTTTCTGGGTTCATAGAAATGAGCTGTATGGTTCTTTTGTACAATTTTAACAGTCATCATTTCTTTCTTGAAGCAGGGTGACCAACTCTCCTTAGTGGTCTCCGTAATCATTGGACTTTCTTCTTCATCACCTCACTTCAATTCCCATGTCCTGCTCCTCAGGATGCATATTAAACTGACTCTCCCTAGTATATCTCCACCAGAACCAATTCTAAAGGAATGAGGTTTATACAGCAATGTTTTTCCAATTTTTGCAGTTTATCATTCAGAATCATCTCAACTTATTTTGAGCGAAGGATTGAGGCTTTATTATGTCTCACTGTCAAGAAAGCCTTCCATAGGATCTTCATGAGTAAGCAACAGAATCTCATAAAATCCATATCCTATAGACGACACTGGGCCACAGGATGGGGCAGACACAGTAAGGGATTAAATACCTGGGGGCATCTTGCTTATGGACTGTGGGAATTAGGGATGAGACTGTGTGTTCCCAGGTTTTCAAATGCTGGGAGGATTGGTAGAGGCAGGAAAAGTAGCAAAGGGGCAGAGTGGCTTCAGAAAGCCTTCAGGACAACTCTGAACTGTGTAGAAAGCATTTCTATGTCTCATCAGTGGCAATACCTTTGAGAGTTTTGGGAGGCTTACGTAAGATGTAAAGATCTTGAAATTGTCCCATTTTATTATGATAGAAGACAGTGTTAGTCACATTTGTGTGTGTGTGTGTGTGTGTGTGTGTGTGTATCCAGCATGCTTTCTAACACTTTTTCATCTGATTCCTTTGGGGAATCCCTCCCTCCATCCATGCAGTCTTGATAGAGTATAGACATTAATTTCCTGTCCTTACCCCTAGCTCAACAGAGGGCATATGACCTTAACTGGGCAGAGCATCCCATCCATCTAGGTAGAGTGATTGGCTTACAGGTGTTCATATACTACCCATGCAGGCCTAGCCAGTGTCTTTCTTGGAATTAACACATGAACTTTGTCAGTAGGATTCTTTTTCCATTGGCATGGAAGAACTAGGAAGATGTGGGTTTAGATATGCAGGCAGGCTTCTGAGGGAAATCTTTTAGTAGATGAAACCAAGCAGGGTTGAAACATGAAGAGAAAGACATATTCTAGGATCTATCCATTTCTGAGCTTCCTAGTCATATGAGCCAAAAAATTCTCTTTTCACTTCAACCAGTCTGAGTCAGGTATCTGATACCACTTGCAACTTAATGCCAATCAAGTCTTAAAAAGGGAGGAAAAGAGAGATGTACAACCAAAGGAATGAAATATTTTGGCAAGAAAATAGAAATCATCTGCTTACGAATTAACCTATTCTAGTTTTTCTTTTGTGAACTTTGTGCCTGCAATGTCTTATAAAAGCCCTAATTATTCTGGGGCAAGTGTCATAATTCTTAGCATCAAACTCTCTATCATGTAACAAAGTCCATCCTGTGGTACCATGCAAGGCTCTCCACTTTCAAACCCTGTTAATACAATGTGAAAGAGATTTGAGAGAAAGAAGACTGAGAAGCAATGCGATGCCATGTAAAAAATAGTGGACTTTAAATTAGGGCCTGAGATTGGAATAAACATTTTGACACCCCCCGCCCCCCCTTGGGAGTATTTGCTTTGTTGCCCTGAGCTTTAGTTGCTTTAATATGGAAAAGGGATGAGAATAATGATAATCCTTACTGCACATAGTTTTCATGTGAATTATGCAATATACTGTAAATAATGTAGACTGGCCAGCACTGAAACCAGCTTTGCAAAATTATAACTGAGGAAATTATGACAGCGAAAGAAGTCAGACCTAACTGACTCTATCTTGCCTCTCACCCTTAAGTTGTCCTTATTTATTCCTACCTGTAGGCCGAACTAACTTTGGGAAGGAATTCAGTTCATGGTTTGACTCTGAAACAAAATTGATAACAGCCCTTTCCCAAAAAGAAGCCCCTTCTTGCCTGGGGTCCAATCTGCCTTTGCAGGACTAACAAATTAGCTACAAGATTAGAAATTACAATTTAAAGGTCATGCAGCCTCTGGCTCCAAGAGTCTGAACCTCCCTAAATTGCTCTCAGGTATAACATCACTGTTGTAAAACCTAAGATCAGTTCTTGAGATATTTTGCCGACCCTGCACTTGATGGATCAGCTGACACCACCAGACTAGTAATCCAGCTCAACCAGTTCTGCCATCCCACCCAAGAACAAAAGACAGCAAGAAAACCTAACTTCGACCCCCTGTGATTCCATCTCCAACCTAACCAATCAGCACTCCCCACTTCCTGAGCCCCTACTTGCCAAGTTATCATTAAAAACTATGATTCTCGAATGCTCGGGGAGACTGATTTGAGTAATAATAAAACTCTGATCTCCCGCACAGCCAGCTCTGCGTGAATTACTCTTTCACCTTTGCAATTCCCCTGTCTTGATAAATCAACTCTGTCTAAGCAGCGGGCAAGGTGAACCCACTGGCCAGTTAAAGCACTGACAGCAGTAGGTTGTCAATTAATTATTTATGTCTTGCTTTTAGATAAAACAATGTTGATGGTATTTGTTGATGGTATTCAAAGAGAATAGAACAACTACCTCCACCCCCACCCCAAAGCAGAGGCAGAAATCCTTTCTAGGAGCCGGAAAGGAGTAGAGATATTTATTGATTGACTTGACTCTGTATGTGTGTGTGTGTGTATACATATACATATATGTGTGTATACATATACATATATGTATGCATACATACATACATATACATGTGTGTATACATATATGTATACACATAAACATATACGTATACATATATATGTATACACATATAAACACATACACATAAACATATATACATATATGTGTGTATATATGCATATATGCATACACATATACACATATACATATGTACATGTGTATATATACACATGTACACACACACATATATACATATATTCACATATATACATATAGACACACACATATATTCACATATATTCTCACATATATATGTATGTGTGTATGTGAGAGAGAGAGATACATTTTGGAAGACAGTTTTAGGATCATTGTGGGGGCCTTTTGGATGGACTCTCTGGGTGCTGTCTGAAGTACTTTCTTCTTGGGAAATTCCTGTAATTTAGTAAGGTCTTCTCAGGCAAGAAGAAACAAGAAACCCAAGGCTTAAGGCTGACTCAAAAGGAAAACTCTAATTGCAACAAGGAGACCTAATAGGTAAATCTCCTTCTAGGCTGGCCTATTTCTCCAGGGTCAAAAAAGATTCAGTTATCTAGGGTAGAGTCTGTCCAAGGGGTAAAGAAACTCACACACATTATTTCTATGTTGTTCTAACCCCAGCACCATCACTTCCACTCGCAGCAACTATCAATCAATGAGAAACTTCTAGACACCTTGCATGTGTTAACTTATTTCATCTTTTCAGTGGCACTCAAGAAAACCTCAGATGTAATAATATTTCAGTATATAGAGGAGAAATGAAAGTCTTCAGAAGTTAAGACATTTGCTGGGGACACACAGCAAAAGTGAAATCAAGTTCTGTGTGATTGCAAAGTGCAGTCTTCCTATCACCAGACGCCACAAGGCCAACATAGATGCATGAGTGCCAACGATCGAAAAATGGACGGCCCGCGTCATTACATCCAGGGTAGGGTCTTACCAACAGTCACATCCTGAGAGAGTCAGGGCTGAAATGTTACTTTTCCTTCTTTATCCTCTAGATGAAGGAAGTGGGGTAGAAAGGAGGGGGGTGGGCTTAGGGAGCAGCTTGATTGCCGAGGGTAAAGGTGGCCTGCAGTCCTGGAAACTGAGTCCTGGGACTTTCCTTTTCAGGCTCTGCTGGAGTTTGGCTACCAGCTCTACTTGTCTGGGGGATGTGTCAATGAGCCATTTGCATGATGCTTTACAGAGTTAAACCCATTATTTGGCCCTTCATGCTGGTTTTAAAAAAGCCCTGGCAGATGCAATAGGAATACATAAAGTGTCCACCTGCTGGGTGCCTTCTTAAAAATGAGAAGTTAAAGTCTGAGAAATTTCGCAGTCAAAATGTAGGGAGTTTGGCTGAGGAATGCCAAGTATTAAAGGAAAGTGGCCCATGGTATGTCTGAGTTTCTCTGAGAGTGGGGCTGGCTGGAGTTCCTACCCACCAGCAATAGACAGAGGGCACCAGTTAAAATGTAGGGCTGGCCCCAGGCAGAGGAACACACTCCTCCCCGAGTGACTATTCCCTTGACTGAGCACAGCTTATTTCTGGGAGGTCAAGAGGCCAGCCTCCTGAGGACAATGCTGAGACGGAAAATCATATGAGGCAGCAGATGCTAAGAAGGGAGAGCTGAACCATCAGAGTAAAATCAAACTTGGTCAGGAAGTAGGGGAAGCACCCATCAGGGATGTGGGAACCCTGGGCAGTTGTTCTTACCCTGGGTGATTTTACGCCTCCTAAGCGACTTTTGGAAACTATTGGAGACACTGTTGATGGTTAAGACACAGGGAGGAGGATGGGTGTGCAACTTGCATCTCTCCAGTAGATAAAAGCTAGGAATGCTGCTCACCCTTCACAGTGCACAGGACAACGCCACATCAAAGAATAACCCAGTCCCAAATGTCAGTGGTGCTGATGTTAAGAAATCCTGCATTAAGACCAAAAAGCCAGATGAGTTTGGAGTCACTAAGGAGAGGTGCAGGAGAGGCGGTAAGTGTCCTCCACAGATGGAATGCACAGAGGACAGCGCATCCTGAAGCACAGCGACACCGTGCCCTCCGGGCTGGGATTGCTGCTGCTGGCTGGCTGTACTGGGCTCCCTCCCACTTCTAGGCTCCTGGCTGCATACTGTGCCTGCTTATTTGTGTGTCTAACAGACTTTGATGTTACAGAAGCTGACCTGAGAGCAACACAGAATGGAGACATGTGGAGGGGTAACACTTCCTTAGTCTGAGCATCTATCCTAGAGACTCGTGTTTAGATCTCAGCTCTAGAACTTACTGGGTGTGACTTGCAGCAAGTTAAAGAATCTCTCTTTTTCTAACCTGTATCCTGAGGATCATGATACCTATATTTTGAGGTTGTTTTGAGGATTCAATAAGATAATACATGAGTAGAATCTAGAAACCTGGTAATTGTCTTAAAAGTAATATGAGTTTGCCAGCCCAGTAGTCCTGGGTATTAGAGCTGAAGGGCAGCCCAGAAGTTCTCAGTCCTGGCTTCATAGCAGGGCAGCTTTTACAGAATTCCTCCAAGGATTCTGGTGTAATTTTCTAGGACTCTGTAGGTTGTGAGAACTCCCCAGAGGATTCTAGTGGGTAGCCTTGCTTGAGAACATGGATCTAGTACTGCCCCTCATCTTGCAGGTCAGGGAATTGAGACTGAAAAGTAAATTCCACAAAGATATATAGCTATTGTTTGAGGAGCTAGAATTAAAATCAGGTCTCCTCACCATGCCCTGGAGTCTTTCCTTCTATCTGTCAGTATCTTCTTTGTTTGAGTGAGTAAAGATGAAATAGTAGGTAAGCAGGTCAAGACACCAGACCTAAGTTTTACCTGAGTTTGTCCAGTGGCAAGCATGTCTTCCTTCTAATTAATCTGCACCTAATAATGCCTTCTCTTCCCTTGGCTTTATAACCAGTATAGCATGGGGTCCTGGAAATAAATGGTAGAAGGGAAAGAAAACCTAATAGACATCCAGCAGCTTCTATAAGCCAAAATTGTTCTAGGTGCTTTATTATGTTTGCTTAGTTTATTTTCACAATAACCCTAGGAAGCTGGTATTTTTAGGTCTGTTTCAAAATGATGAAAGGGGCTCAGATGGATTTGGTCAGGTGCTCAGGGTCTCACAGTTGATAAGTGACTTGTGCTTAGTGCATAACTTTCCAAAGCCAATATTCTGTCAGAGTCCACCAGAATGTAAGTGCCACAAAGGCAGGGATTTTAAACATCTGTTTGTTTTTTGTTTTTGTTTTTTTCCCTGCTATTGCTTATAATACTGATAGCACATAGTAGGCACTCAATAAAATTTTGTTGAATTGATGAGTGACTGACACAAAACTATACTGGCTGTACTAGTCTGTTCTTGCATTGCTGTAAAGAAATACCTGAGACTAGGTAATTTATAAGAAAGGAAGTTGAGTTGGCTCATGGTTCTGCAGGCTGTACAGAAGGTATAGCGGCTTCTGCGTCTGGGAGGCCTCAGGAAGTTTCCAGTCATAAAGGAAGGCAAGGAGGGAGCAGGCACGTGACTGAAAGCAGGAGCAAGAGAGAGAGTGGGGAGATGCTAAACACTTTTAAATGATTAGATCTCATGAGAACTCACTATCATGAGGACAGTACCAAGGGAGATGGCGCTAAAGCATTCATGAGAAACCGCCTCCCCTCATGACCCAAACACTTCCCAATGGGCCCCACTTCCAACATTTGGGATTCCATTTCAATATGTGATTTGGGCAGGGACACACATCCAAACTATATCACAGGTCTTAAGACCTGGAGACTAGAGATTTTTGAGTCCCCCAAAAATACAACATAGAAGGAAAATTTTCCAATTTAATATTTTGTAATCCACTAGCTTTCAAAACATCTGCAAGGGAGCACAGTATATTTAAAACGCCTCCTCCAAGCTGTCCGATGCCAGGTGTTGTATATAAAGTGAAAGCAATATTCTAAGAATATGAGAAGTGTGTGTACGTGTGTGTGTGTGCTGTTACATTGTTAAGGGTATTTTTTTAAAGTTGTAGTTAAGGGGAGAAAAAGCAATTATATCTAGCAATTGTATTTTTGTTTGTTTGTTTTGAGACTGAGTCTCTCTCTGTCACCCAGGCTGGAGTGCAGTGGCGTGATCTCAGCTCTCTGCAACCTTCCAGGTTCAAGCGATTCTCCTGCCTCAGCCTCCCGAGTAGCTGGGACTACAGGCATGTGCCACCATGCCCAGCTAATTTTTTTGTATTTTTTTTTAGTAGAGATGGGTTATCACTGTGTTAGCCAGGATGGTCTCAATCTCCTGACCTTGCGATCTGCCCTCCTCGGTCTCCCAAAGTGCTGGGATTACAGGTGCGAGCCACCGTGCCCGGCCAGCAATTGTATCTTATAGAGCAGTTGTCCCCAACCCCCAGTCCACAGACTAGTACTGGTCAATGGCCTGTTAGGAACCAGGGCCACACACCAGAAGGTGAGCGGGGTGGGGGTGAGTGAGCATTACTGCCTGTGCTCTGCCACCCGTCAGATCAGTGGTGGCATTAGATTCTCATAGGAGCATGAATACTACTGTGAACTGAGCATGTGAGGGATCTTGGTTGTGAGTTCCTTATGAGAATCTAATGCCTAATGTTCTGAGTGGAACAGTTTCATCCTGAACTGCCCCCCTCCACAGTCCACGGAAAAATCATCTTCCACGAAACTGGTTCCTGGTGCCAAAAAGCTTGGGGGCCACAGTTATAGTGTATTCCAGCACACGGAGCGCAACCACGAGATGTGCCTAGTGAGAGAAGCTGACTGGGCATTTGGAAAGTTGGGACAGGCAGATTGCTTCTCATCTCACTGGGACAGAGCTAATCTGCAGGCTAACTAATATCCTTACATCCACCACTTTCCAAATCACAGCAACTTGCCCAGAAACGTACCTTTCTCATTCCTGCCTCTTCAGGATATGGCTCACGTAGGCACCCCAGAAATGCCTGCTGAGTGAAATGATGATGTGTCCCTATAGAAATGATATTTTTCTCTGCAAGTGCACATGCCCCAGGTATTGCAAATCTATGATCTTCCCCCAAGAATAACCTCTGGTTCATTTTGGGTTGAGTCAGGATGTAACTAATTTTCACTACTTTTGCAGTTTATCACATCCTTGCTTCATCCTTGCTCCGAACAGTCAGCTAAGATATTATCTCCATGTTGCAAGTAAAGCAAAGTAGGCTCAGAGAGCCTGAAGAATCTTCCCAAGGCCACTCAGCCAGGAAGTGGGAGCAGAAGGATGTTAGCCCTGCTCTACTGAACTTCAAGATGCGACCAGTTCTGAACAGTAAAGGACTAACCTTGAGCAATGAAAGGTTTGGGCCTTGACTGTCTCTTGGGAGATCACCTCTAAGCACCTGGAATATCAAATATCATTTTTTGTTTGTTTGTTTGTTTTGAGATGGAGTCTCGCTCTGTCGCTTAGGCTGGAGTGCAGTGGTGTGATCTCGGCTCACTGCAACTTTCACCTCCTCGGTTCAAGTGATTCTCCTGCCTCAGCCTCCCAAGTAGCTGGGACTACAGGCATGAGCCACTGTGCCCAGCTAATTTTTGTACTTTTAGTACAGAGGGGGTTTCACCCTGTTGGTCAGGCTGGTCTTGAACTCCTGACCTCAGGTGATCCATCCGCCTCGGCCTCCCAAGTGCTGAGATTACAGGCGTGAGCCACCATGCCTGGCCCATTTCTATGCCAATAATGTGATTTATCATGGAGACCTTGGGCCACACTGTATCGGCTGGACCTCTGGAGGGACTGAAGGCTAAGGTCAGCCATGTGGGCAAGCAGTCAGGTCTATGGAATCGACCTAGACACCAATGTTCAAGCAAGCTCCCTTTGTTTTCAATCCTCTGTGCATGTTGCCATGTATCATTGCTGGACAACATGTATCATTGTTGTCCATGTGACTTTCCTGGGAGACAACAACCAGATTCTTGCACCTGGAACTCTCCCAGACCTTCCTGTATGTACCTTTTCCTGTTGCTAAATTTAATCTGTAATCTTTTCTCTATAATAAGCCATAACTGAGTCTCACAGCTTTGCTGAGTTCTGTGAGTCCTTCCAGTAAATTACAGTGATGACCTCCTGCACTCCCAACTTTCCATAGTTTTTCTCTGCAACCCTGATGTGAGGGACAACAAGAAGGACTGATGGGGAACAGCTTACTGTTCAAAGACCAAAGGGTGTGGTTTGGATATCTGACCGCTCCAAATCTCAGGTTGAAATTGAATCCCCAGAGCTAAAGGTGGAGATTAACAGGAAGTGTTTGGGTCACGAGGGACAGATTCCTCATGAACATCTTGGTGCCATCTTAATGATAATGAGTGAGTTCTTATTCTATTAGTTCCTGTGAGAACTGGTTGCTTAGAAGAGCCTGGCACCTCCCTCCCCTTTCTCTGTCTCTGTCTTCCTCTCTGGCCATGTGCTCTCTGCACACACCAGCTCCCCTTCACCTGCCACCACGAGTGGAAGCAGCCTGAGGCCCTAGCTGGAAGCGGATGCTGGCACCATACTTTTTGTATATCTTGCAAAACAGTGAGCCAAATAAACCTCCTTTCCTTATAAATTATCCAGCCTCAGGTATTCCCTTATGTGAATAACAGCACAAATGACCTGAGATGAGGCCAGACCGAGTGGCTGCAGGTTGTGACCAGGGCGTGGGTGTGGGGTGAAAATGACTTTCCAAATAAAAAGAAGTTTGAGCCCAGTGGACAGCATATCTAGCTTCCTTTCTTTGCTCTATCAGTAGCAGGGTATAGCCCAAGAGACCTGCCCACCATCGTTGCCTGAGAATCAGTCCCAGCACATAAATACTGAGATACTTTCTGCTGTGTCATATGCTGTAAAAAAAAAAAAAAAGTGAAGTGGGTTTCCTGTCAAGTTACCTGTCATCACAGGGTGTCCCTCTCTTCTGCTCCCTCCCCGCTCCTCCTTTTTCTTTCTTTTATATTTGAGGCCAGTCTAAAGTGTATGAACTTTACTGTTTTAGAATTAGGACAGTTTCACGGGACTGGGATGAGGGGAACTTGGCTCTGTCGATAACTCTGATACCTGGATTTTCTCCAAGAAATGAATTTCTTCGTCACCCATCTGCTGCCCCCAGACAGCATGACATTACATAACCTTACATAGATATTTATCACCTAAAACCTGCAGATGAGGGGGCCAGGACTGCCTAGGATTCCTGTGTCCCAGAAGACCACATCATTATTCAGGGCAACATTTGGAGCCCTTCTTGATCTTGGTTTTTATTTTTTATTATTTCCTCAGCTCTATGAAGATATAATTGACAAATAAAAGTATAGATATTTAAGACGTACAGTGTAATGTACAAAGATATATGTATACATTGTGAAATGTATACCACAGTCAAGCTAATTAACATATCTATTGCCTCACATCGTTTCCTCCTGGGACAACATGCACGAAGCCACATGACATTATGCTAAGTGAAATAAACCAGAAACAGAAAGACAAATGTAAACTCTCTTCTATGGGGAATCTAAAAACATTGAACTCCTAAAAGCAAAGAGTAGAATGGTATTTGCCAGGGTGTGTGAGAAGGGGGAACAGAGAGATGATCAAAGGGTACAAAGTTTCAGTTATCAGATGAGAAAGTTCTGGAGATCTAATGGATAGCATGGTGGTTACAGTTAATAATACTGTATCATGTAGCTGACATTTGTTAAGAGAGCAGACCTAGGTGTTCACTACACACACACACACACACACACACACACACACACACACACAGACTTATCTTGGTTTTAACCTTGGCTGCATATTAGTGTTCCTGGAGGAGTTTTTACAAAGTCCTGAAGCTCATCTCCATCTCCAGAAATTTTGATTTAATATTGGTGGGTGCTGGCACAGTAGTTCCTGTAAGCCCCTCAGGGGTTCTTTATGCGCTGGTGTTTGACAACCACACCTTGCAGCTTCATCCCTGGTTGCTGCCCTCCTGCAGACACCGTGCCTTTTCCTGTCTACATAGCCTTCATCCCTGACTACCTGGTGCACTCTTCCTTCTTTGTCTACCTGGTGAGTACTGGTTCACTTTTTATGACCTGACTCAAGTGTTGCCTTTTTAAATCTTTCTAGGCTGTCTGATGCCAGGCAGAGGTGGTTGCTGCCTCATCCGTGTTCCTGTAACACTTTCCAGACATTTGAAAATTCTACAGAATTACAGTCTTTTGTTTATCAATCTGTTCACTTGAGAGTTGGGACTTTATCATAGTAATCTTTGTCTCCCTTTCACCTGTAGAGTCTGTGTCTGGTGTGGGATAAGCACTCAGTGAATTTTTAGTTTGATTAAATAGAGGTGCTCAGAATAGCTATCATGTCATTGAGGCTGAAATAGCTATTTCTTACAAGGCTGGTCTCTCTGCTTTGCTGTTACAGTTACTGCTTGGCAAATCAGTGTACCTCATTTGTGCAAATGCCGTATCCCCACTTGAGTGTTGAAGTATTTTGTTAATTGCATGATTGCCTGTGGCCACAGTGTGTTGTTTTGTGGTATACTAAGCCAGAATTTAAAACCAGGACTGCAAGGCCTATCGTCATTGGTCTGCAACAAGTCTGAGTATACACAAATGCTAAAATGAGTCCAGGAACTCCATAGGTGTATACAAAAACCCAGAAGAGAGATTCTGTCTTGCAGTCTTCCCTAAGGTGCTATGATTTTAAATTAAGGACAAAATCCATTATCTAATTGTAATGTCTCTTTTTTGTTCCTGTTGATAGAAAGTTTCAACTACAGTGCTGTTCTGTGAAGGGGAATGGGTGCTGGAGAGCTAAGCAGGAAGCAGGAGGCAGGAGGGACTGTCTGCAGCAATCAGCAGGTGTACACTGATGGCTGGGCTCCTACTGAGGGCAGTGGAAGAGGTGGTTGCTTTTGGTGGGGCCCATTCCGATTGCTCATTGCCTGGAAATTTTCAATTGTAAATATTTTCAGTGTTGTTCCTGTCAATAGGTTCTTGGAAGAACTGTTTGAGACATGAGAAAACTAGAAGCAACATGTTAATCAACCAAGCTAGTTTTTAGTCTCCTTCCCTCTGATCAATCTGAGCAGTTTGGTGACAGATGTGGGTCAGGTGGAATGCAAGGCACACAGGAAACAGTCCCTGGGTAGCCCATGACTTCCTGGAGGACAGAAGGAATGGAGGTTGGGCCAATGCTGGGCATCTCTGAGAGATGACTGTGGACCAGAATCGGAAAGGGTTCACCAGTTAACATTCCCTTTGCCTACTACAACACAGTCACGCCAGATAAAAGCTTTTTCTCTCTTAGGTAACTGAGTATGTAGGTAGCCAAGTATACCATGTCAGGCTGATATGGAAGTTCTTATTGCTCTGCCAATGTCAACATGCATTTTTCACCTTGTGGTCTAATACAGTGGTTTAATATAGATAGTGGTCTAACATAGATAATGGGAGCTCCCACTATCGAGTCCACATCCCAGCCAATAGGAAGTCAAGAAGAGAAAGGGAACCTAGGCTTATTGTATGCCAAGGGCCTGACTCAGAAGTTACAACTCAGCACTTCTACTCCATACGATTGACCAGAATATAGACACGTGTCTACACCTAGCTTCAAGAGAAATTAGGAAACCAACCCTTTGGCTGAATGGCCCTATGCTTAGCAAAAATATTTATCATCTGGGAGAAGAGATATTGGGGAAGTAACCAGCTATCTTTGTCTCATAGATGTTTTCCTAGCTACTGCCCAAACTCAGAAAAATAGTGAAATTCCAGAAGTACTTGAGAGTAAAGACAGAAAAAGACACATCTCCATATCTTAGATGCCATCTCAGAACAAGGAGGCAATAGTTGATGTTAAACATATTAGCATTCTGAGGTTGCCTAGAAAATCTCAGCATCCATAAACAACGTTCCCTGTGTGATGCATGTATCATACAATATTTAATGTTTATTTAACTTCTTAATATAATTTTGTGGTGAGAATGTTTGCCCAATATTCCCCAGAGTACTAGGAAGGTAGTGTGTATGTGGGAGAGGTGCAGGCAGGAGGAGGATTGTATATTTCCATAAAATTAATTACCTGGAAGAAGACATAAAAATTGCACGAATGGAGATGCTTTATGTATAATTAACAGTTCCTATTTTTAAAAAGCCTTCATGATTTTATGTTTGTGTATAAATTATTTTGTGTATATCTATATATGTGTGTATATATATATATATATATATATATATATATATATATATACTCACCTGTACTTAACATGATCCTTGATGTAGTCATGTGATGTAGTTGGGGAAAGCGTCATTTCCATTTTATAAAAATTTGGTGATTAGACCTTGAACTTAAAGCTTGATGTTTCTTTTGAATATGGTTATCCCCTAACCATATGCAGGGGATTGGTTCCAGACCCCCTAAGCATACCTAAATCCACAGATGCTGTGTTCCTTTTATAAAATGACATTTGCATGTAACCTATCCACATCCTCCTGCATCCCATAAATCATGCCTAGATTGCTTAATTTTTCACCAACCCAAAGCTTTTGTAAAAGTAAAAATAAAAAGTAGGTTATTAAAATACCTCATGTGTTGTAAAAGCTAAAAAAAAAAAGCTTGAGACTGTAGTAATAATAAATGAAACTGCTTGGTGGTGGGAGATGTCTTCGAAGCATAGGAAGGTAATTTTTATGTGGAAGGAATGTAAATGTGTGCAGCTAGAGGATGGACTGTAGTGGTTTTAAAACAGGTCTGCAAATTCATTGGCATTTCTCTCATCAAGTGATGGAGTCCAATTCTCCTCCCCTTGAATATGGGCTGACCTTAGTGACTCCATAATACATAGAATGTTGTGGCAGTGACCCATCAAGATTTTCAACATTAGGTCGTAAAAGGCTATGTAGTCTCTGCCTGACTCTCTTGCAATGCTCACTCTTAGAAACCAACTGCCATGCTGTGAGGAAGCCCAAGACGCGTGGAAAGGATCCAGTATGTGTTCTGGCTACAGTTGCTAGCGTGGTCTTAGCCAATAGCCTGCATGAACCAAGAGACATGTGAACCAGCCTTCTTAATGAATCCAGGCACAGACACTGCTGGGCTTCAACTGCCTGAGACACCCTGAGTGAGAACTACATAGCTGAGCCCAGTAAACCCTCTAACAAGGAGATGATAATAAATGATTATTATTCTATGCCTGGGAGATTGGGGTGGTTTGTTTCACAGCAATAAAAAATAGAAACATATTTGGAAGCTCAGAAATAGTGGAAGATGTGGAATGCTAGGCATAACATTCATTGGCTGTCAAGGTTACACAATTGGCCAAGTGACAGAAGGAGGGTTTGAACCTCCATTTTATGATATTTATTTCAGATTTTTTTTCCCACTTCTCAAAAGTTTCCTTCTTTGAATAGCCATTTAAAACTAGAACTCATTTGAGCTTCATTTACAGTACTTTTGGGATAAATCAAAGGTGTGGTGGATATTGCAAGCAGCAATGGCAAGCATTCTAGAGATTTTGTTTTGCTCACACATGTACACCAGGCACCAGAGTGTGCATGCATACACCTTTGTCCTTGCCATACCTAAGTTACTTTCCTGCCCTTGCTTCAAATCTTTGCTTTCACAAGTCACAAGATATTGGCCTGAAACTTTCTCTCCTTTCCAGGAGGAAGGCTCTTCCTCAACTAGAATTGCATATAATTAGACATGCATATTAAGTACCATGACCTCAGGCCAAATGCTCTCATCTTTTCAACCATTTCACATATGTCATAGTTTTCAGATTGTTTTTACTTTTTTTCTTTGATTTTTTTAATTGTAAAATATATGTAATATTTACCATTTTAATCATTTTTAAATGTACAATTCAGTAGCATTAAGGATATTCACAATGTTGTACAACTATTACCACTATCCATTTTCTCTCTCTCTCTTTTTTTTCTGAGATACAGTCTCTCTCTCTGTCACCCAGGCTGTGGTCATAGTTCCCTGTTTGCTGAGTCCTCTTAAAATCTGTGTACACTGCTCCAAGGATTTGATATATAATATGTGCTTAATTATATGTTCAATCAAATTGAAGTCTGACCAGCACCAGGAAAGCAGGACCAACACTTTCCTCACTTCAGATACTTTTATTAATGCTTTTCCAAATTTCATAAATAATTTAAAGCTGACATCTTAGTGCTGACATGTTGACTATATATTTGTAGGTAAAGCCATAGTCAATAGCCTAATTAATTACTTCACATGCTCTGATGTCTCATCACATAGTAGATGAATTTTTAATCATTTTTGTTGTTTATTCATCAAGCGCTTACTTTGTGCTAGGGACTATGCCAACATCTTCACATGTCTGATCTTATGCTATCTTCTCAGAAGAGTAGACAAGAATTGTTTTTATTTTCTCAGCATCCCTTTCCCCCCCTTTTTTTTTTGGTAAAAGCATCACAATTTTCCTCTGGTTAAGTACCCTTTCCTCATTGTTTCTGGATGTGTTCATGGTGGGAGTGTTCATCCAGTTTCTCTGCAAGAACTCCGCCTGGCCCTTCCAACACTAGCCAAGGAAGTAGGCACTGATCCAGGTTAGTTTGTTCAGACTCTTTCATGAGAACGGAAACTTGAGCAGAGCCTTACAGTGATGGCAGGCACTGGAATTTGAGCATACAGCAGTTATGTCCTGAAAATGTGCTCATTAGTTTTTGCAACCACATCCATCACCACTGGATGTGGTACATTTTTAGTACCTAGAGCAATTCCAGGTAATGCAGGCACTCAAAAATACTTGTGGAATGGACAAGCAAATGAATGAACCAATGCTCAGAGTATCTCTGGTTCATGTATTGTCCAAAGCCTGGTTATCCAAATCTTTCTTTAATTTTCTGAACTCCAGGAATGTTTCCGTTAAGTTAGGCAGAGTCTATTTCACCTGTTTTATAGCCAGGATACTCTAAACTGATAAAAATGGATGCCATTGACTCCTCTTATTGATAGGGCTTTTTTTTTTTTTTTTTTTTTTTGGAGTAGAAAAGGAGGTATAGGTATTGCCTATACAATTGACCCTTGAGCAACAGAGATTTGAGCTGTGTGGGTCCAGGTATAGGCAGATTTTCTTCTGCCTCTGCCACCCCGAGACAGCAAAGACCAACCCCTCCTCTTCCTCCTTTTCAGCCTACTCAACATGGAGACGATGAGGATGAAGACCTTTATGATGATCCACTTCCACTTAGTAAATAGTAAACATTTTTTCTTTATGATTTTCTTAATAATATTTTCTTTTCTCTAGTTTACTTTATTATAAGGATACAGTATATTAATACATATAACATACAAAATATGTGTTAATGGACTGTTTATGTTATTGACAAGGCTTCTGGTTAATAGAAGGCTATTAGTATTTAAGTCTTTGGGGAGACAAAATTTGCATGTGGATGCTGGACTGTGCAGGGTTTTGGAGTCAGTGCCCCTAACCTCCATGTTGTTCAAGGACCAACTATATCTACTATTTGTTGGAGCCCCTGTCCCACTTGTCCTTGTCATGCATTACCTCATTTGTCCTTCTCTGTTGAATGTTCCATAATTGCACCCTATCAAGCATGGATGTTACATACTAAGTTATCTTTTGGGAATCAGTGTCAACATAAAAAAAGAAAGAAATGTCAATGTCAAGAAAAAAAAAAAAAGGAAAAATCAGCTTGTCCCCAGTATATGTTAGCTTGGAAGCACAAAACTCCATTTGATATTTTCAGTGGGATGTCATGGTGGCGGCGGTCTGCCAATATTGGCATTTGAGCTTCCTATTTCTACCCTAGAAGTGGAGATGGAAATCAAACCAAACCAGCAGGCTAGTGTAGCATAGGACAGTGTCATTCACCATTTAGTAAACAATCAAGTACTTATTGTAAATATGGAACTTGCACTGGGGATTGGTCTGGAGCAGATGGGGACAAGCGGAAGCAACAGAGTGATTGTAATGATTACAGGGAGGGTTACAGAGGCAAGGGCCTGGGCATTTTTTGAGGAAGGAATCATTGGAAGTCATCTGTTCACTTGGTCTTTAGGAGATCTGAGCTCAAAAGGTGGTTAGAATTTCTAGTAATGAATAGCCCATTGCCAAACACCTCTTTAGGCACACTGGACACCTCAATATCTCCAAAGATATTTTTTCATAATTTATTCATTTTATTCATGCTGTGACCTCCTCCTGAAATGGCTTACTTCATAATCTGTTTCTCTGAGTCTTTCAGGGCCCAACAAAAAAATTAAAAAAACTTATATCAGGGGTTTCATCTTCTCTGATTTCTAAGAAAGCAAATTGCATAGTGCAGGGCAGGAGACAAAGGCGCTGGCTTCAGACAGATAACGTTGTGAGCCCAGGCTCAGATGTTTTATATGCTGACATGATAGTTAACTTTCCTTAGTCTCAATTATCTCTTCTGTAATATGGGGATGACGGTGATAATAATATCTTTTAGGGTGATGGCCAGGATTAGAGAGGTACTTCTAGTAGCTGCCATATAATGGGACATTGATAATTGATAGGTATTTATGGGACATTGATAATTGATAGCTCTTTTGTATCAGTGCCGCAGTCCAGCATAATTTCATTCCTCAGGATTCCTTTAATGGCATCATATAAGTTGCAGTCATTGTAACTTTTACTAGACTGACCTTGCTTCCTGATTTCTAGTCTCTATCTTAAGTCATAGCTGTAGTTACATCTATATGTATCTTAATGTCCCAAGTTCCTAGATGGCAGAGATTAGCTTTAACAGGTATTGTGCAAAGGTACCCAATAAATGAATGCCAAACAAAATAAAAAAAAGAGAAATATCTTTAAGTGATTTTTAGCTCTACTGGTTTTGTAGTTTTATAAGGTTTTAGCAGATAAATTAAAGCTTATTTTTATGATTTTTAATTTTGCTTCTATAGAGCACTTCTAATAGATTCTTTTCCATGACATCATTTTTTTAATATGCACAAACATCACCTCATTTGATCTCCTTGGTTCCTCTACAAGGCAGATATTATTGGTATTTCCTGATTATAGTTCGTGAACTGAGGCGCCAAGAGGCAACAGAACTTCCCAGTCATAGCATGGTGTACCGGGAAGCAGGCATGAGAGCTGATGTCTGTGCTCTGCCCTCTCTCCTGAGCTGGGCTGACTCCCTCGAGAAAGTCCTAAGAGATAATGGATGTGAAAATCCTCTATAGACTCTAGAGTGGAATATGAATGTAGGGGATTATTGCTATTATTTCTAGGGCAGGCAAGCTATAACCTCTTGTGGAACCATTTATCAACCAGGAAATCCTGTTGCTGTTCATTGAATTGTACCCCTGTGACCCAAAAGATAATGTATTTCCCAATGTAGTTAACTTAATACTATTGGCTGACCTGTACCTTCAACTGAGCTGGGTGAGTAATATTTAAATGCGGAGCCTGACAGCTCATAACCCACGGCGGCTTACTCCCCCTGTGGCAAGCTGCTGAGCCAGGGAGGGAAGAACTGTGGAATGCGGGGATGAATAAGGAGAGAGGGATGGTGTTCCTCCAAAAACAACCCATGGCTTAGATTTGTTTTTGATAGTTTGATGAAAGGAACATGTTTGTTCCTTTTGGTTATCAAGAGTGCTCCTTGGGCTACCTCCCACAGATACCCTTGGATTGTCAATTTCAGCTGCTCTCACACTGGGTCAGAACCATTCCATGTTGATTTAAAAACCCAGTGGGGGATCCTCTGACTGGCATTTGATATCATGGTTCAACAGCCTGCTGGATCCTCCATATGCCTGCAAAAAGGAAAATGCTTGCTGGACACTTCTGCAGGCCAGAGGCAGTGGGAGGGGAAGGGAGAGTTTTTTCTGCTTTAATCTCTTAAATACAGAGCTGAAAGTACAATTGAGTCATACAATTAAGAGTATGTTTAAAATAGAAGGGAGTTTAGACATCAATGCAAAGACCCTAATTTTATAGACAAGGAAATGGAGACTCAGAAGGGTGAGCAATTTGCCACACAACTTGATGCCTAAATTCACCAAATTTAAATGAATGATTCATCTAAATCAGTTAGATGAGACATTTCTTATTCCCAGTTTCCAATTCTTTTTGCTCTATCATGCTGCCAACTACTAAGGGTGACATCTGCCCAAGCCCATGTAAAAGTGACCAAAAAGGGCAGTCCTTGGAGAATTATTTTCTCTTTTGTGTTCTAATAACCATCAATCAATCAATGAACAGACATGAGCTTTACTCTGCACCTGACACAGAGCTTGGAGCTGTAAAGGGGAACCTAAGATCTTCTCAGTGAAGTGACAACTTCAAGTCATGCTAAGATAAACTAGGCATGGTGACTCATGCCTGTAATCCCAGCACTTTGGGAGGCCAAGGCAGGTGGATCACTTGAGGCCAGGAGTTCGAGACCAGCCTGGCCAACAAGGTGAAACTCTGTCTCTAGTAAAAATACAAAAATTAGCCAGGCATGGTGGCAGGTGCCTGTAATCACAGCTGTTCAGGAGGCTGAGGCAGGAGAATTGCTTGAACCCGGGAGATGGAGGATGCAGTGAGCCAAGATCACACCACTGCATTCTAGCCTGAGTGACAGAGTGAGATTCTGTCTTAAAAAAATGATAAAAAAATGAAAAACATATTAAGAGAGTGACCAACTACCAGTATAATTGTTGAATAATGGGTGGAACACACTATATTATTTGGGTATTAATTTAGGCCATTGCTTCTCATGTTTTTCAAGGTTGATACAAAACCAAAAAGAGTGCTTTGTTTCTGGACCTTTGGGTAGAGAGGGCAATAACTAATCATGACTGATTCTCTGTGGGTTCTGAACCAAGTAAAAAATAGCCCCAGGAACCAGATAATAATTCTAAGGAAGCCAGTTTTATTGCCAGCAAAGCTGCAGTTGGACAGTTGAACTTGGCACCACGGCTGAAATGGACCACGTTACCCAATGCAGGACCTGGAAAAAGCATATCCCACGGGGGCAGGATGCAGAAGACAGCTCACATGTGACCCTGATGAAGACAAAGGTGGGAATTAGAGAAGACACAGAGTTTGGGCTCCAGAAAGGGAGAGGGAAAGAAGAAAGGAAGAGATGTGTTGTCCTGTCCTAGTAAGACAAGCCTCACCTCCTCGTGAGAAGTGGAAAGGACAAGGAGAGGATGAACATTCCTATTGCAATGGCCAAGGAAGGATCATGCAGAGAGGAAGAAATGTTCTCCTATAACTTTAAGAAACAAGAGTGAGTGCAAGCAAAATGCAGACACAAAACTACTGAGTAGGTTGTGGAATCTATGCTGCAGAGATGGAGAGAGGATATAGGATCCTCCATTTTTGTTTTCTATTTTAACTTTATTCTTGCCTGTGGTAAAATACATATAATAGAAAATGTACCATCTTGACGCTTTTTTAGTGTACAGTTGACTAGGATAAAGTATATTTCCGTTGTTGTGCAACCAATCTCCAGAACTTTTTCATCGTGCAAAAGTGAAACTCTGTATTTATTAAACACTAACTCCTCATTCCTCATTTTCCTTAGCCCTGGTAACTATCAGGTCTCTATGAATTTGACCACTCTATGTACCTCTTATAAGTGTAATCACACAGTATTTGTTTTTTGGTGACTGGCTTATTTCACTTAGCATAATGTCCTCAAGTTTCATACATTTTTTAGCGCGTGTCAGAATTTTCTTCTTATTTGAGGTGGAATAAAACCACATTGCATGAATAGGCCACATTTGGTTAATCCATTCATCCATCAGTGGACATGTGGGTTGCTTCCACCTTTTGGCCATTGTGAGTAACACTGTTAGAAATGTGGGAACATAGGTATACAAATATCTCTTCAGATCCTGCTTCCAATTATCTTGCATATACACCCAGAAATTGAACTGTTGGATCAAGTCCCCGCAATTTTGACAAAAAAGCTTGATGTTCTCAAAAGATTAAGTAGAATTTGGGGACCAGAAATCTACAGGTTTGCAGAGTAAGAATGGATGTGCTCTGCTTTCCCAGGGGATGAGCGACCAGGTTTTATTTATTTATTTATTTATTTTTGAGACAAGGTCTCACTCTGTCGCCCAGGCTGGAGAGCAGTGACATGATCTCGGCTCACTGCAACCTCTGCCTCCTGGGTTCAAGTGATTCTTGTGCCTCAGCCTCCCGAGTAGCTGGGAATGCAGGCGCATACCACCATGCTCAGCTAATTTTTGTGTTTTTAGTAGAGATGGGGTTTCACCATTTTGGTCAGGCTGGTCTCAAACTCTGAGCTCAAAGGATCCACCCACCTCTGCCTCCCAAAGTGCTGGAATTACAGGCATGAACCACCATGCCGGCTGTGACAAGGTTTTAAATAGCAGTAAGGAAGGGTTAGGGAGGCAGTATGGTCCTTACTATGGAGTAGCCTCCAGAGGTTATGAAAAGAGCCTGTGGCCTTGGCTGGTATGAGAGTAGGAGGGAGAAGGATTCCTGCCTCTCTTCAGATGGCAAGGGATGAGAATGTGGTGAGGACTCAAATTTGTACCCAGGAGTGTGTTTTGTTTTTAATTCTTATTCAAAGTAGGGTATACATTTGCTTGCAAGTGAAGGGTAGGGATATAGGATGTAAAATATCTTTTGTTTAACACAAAGAAAGGAGGGGCCCAGGATGGTTCTAAACATTCCACAATGCACAGGATACCCCTACAGCAAGACTGAAAAAGTGGGATTTGTTATGTTTTCTGCTGAAGGTAAAACCTATTTTCCTTTTTACAAAGACCTGCTAAGATGCCTATTCCTGTCTTATTTTATTGATTAGGCATGTGAGAGGTGGCTGTCCTGAATGATTTAACTGACTGCCCAGAGATTTAGTGCTAAGATCAGGTGTCCTGACTCCTAAGATTATTTCCTGTTGTTCAGATAAAAAGAGGTCACTGAGGATCAAAGTTACCAATAAAGAAGGAGAAAGAATGAGTATGTATTCTGTGCTCGCTGTTCTGGGTGAGCACTGTTCTGGGACCAGCTCTTTACTGCAGTTTGGTAAATTGAAATTCAGAAAACCAAATAGCCTGTGAAAGATCCCGTTTGAACTCAGGCATATATTCAACTTGGCTCTCATCTTTAAAACTCACTGCTCCTTTTTAGAAAATGAGTGATTAAAAATTAATTCAAAAGCTTCAATAATAAGACAGCAATATCTAGACACTCCAGTCTTCTATTTATTCACTGAAAGTAGTATTTTGAGCGCCTACTCTGTATCACATGCTGTGCTACGGGCTGAAGGTACACTGGTCCTCTAGACACACTCTCAGATCAGTTGAGCAGGGTGAGTCAGGTTACTAAAATGCCATTGTCTTACACTCCAAATATCCCATAGACACTGTGTGTGTGTGATTGTGTGTGTGTGTGTGTGATTGTGTGTGTGTGTGTGTGTAAGAGAGCTCCCTCATGTTTTGATGACTGAGCACTGTTTGCTTCTTTACTTCAGCTGTTTACCTGCAACCTCTTGATCTCAGGCATTTTGACATGAGTCTGTGAGGATGATCAAGGGACAATTCTGAGTGCAGCACCATATTAGGCAACAGAGTTGCTGTGGCTCGACAAAACTTGTGTGCTTGTGTCCCTTCCCTGAAACCAAGTGCTTTCCCTTAGGGGAATAGGGGAGTGAAAAAGAAAACAAATACTGTTTCTTTTCTTTACTCATTACACTTTACTTCTGGTCACCAAAATGTGTAGGTTTTTTCTCACCCACATTAAGGAATTCTCTTCTCCTCAATGGGCACTGACTGTGTCCTAATTTAACTCAGTTCTGATTCTGTCTCTAGATAGCATCAGATTCCACCAAAAGGGGTAAGCTTCACAAGACTGCACCCCATTTCAGACGCCAATCTCAAGTGGTGGAGCCCCAGGTTATCCACAGCTCCTGTTTAACTTGGCTATGAATGAAACTAAAATATTGCACCCCAAAATATACTGCTTTGACATATTTTGAGATGGCTGTTCAGAGAGTATGCAACCAGAAGGATCTCTGAAAAAGCTGTCTTTCGCGGGGGAGATTAGCACCTGGGAAAATATATCTGCATTGATGCTGCCAGGCTTTCTTTGAGGTCCTCCCTTTTCCAGGTCCAGAAAATATTAACCAATAGCCTGACACCTTTAAAGGTCTCAAAGACATGTTTACCAACTATTCTCTTTGAGGGCTGCTACCTGTGAGGTTTCACCTACATAACAAAACCACCTTTGCTAGCCAGGCCTCTCTTTTCTCCCTCCCATAACCTATATTGTTATTATTACTCAATTTACCACCATAACCTGTTTTTGGCCATGCTACAAGCCTCCAAGCCTCCATTCTTTCTGTATCCTCAAGATAGTAGATAAGCCTCCGTAACCAATTGTGGGGTTGGGGTAATCATTCTATGATTCTTCCCGCTGCATGTTAATAAACGTGTATGCCATTTCTCCTATTAATCTGCCTTTGTCATGTTAATGGAAATCACAAACTCTGCAAAAATATTTTTTAAAAGTTATTTCTGAGACAATAAGAATGACCACAGGCCTGGGAAGCAGGGTCCTCAGGCTCAGGGAATACTGAGAAAGTGTGTCCAAGGCTGTTGGATTACAGTTTAGTTTTATACCTTTTAGGAAGGTGAGAGTTATAGGAAAATATATAAATCAATACGTGGAGGATATATATTGGTTCAACCAAGAAGACGGGATGTCTTGAAGTAGGGGCTTATACCTTATAGGTTCAGACATTCTTTGATTTGCAATTGGTTAAAGGAGTAAGGCTCTGTCTAAAACTTGGAGTCAGCAGAAAGAAATTCTTAAGATAAGGATTTATGTAGCAAGGGTGATGGCCTGTGGATGTGACTTAACCCTTACCTTGTGTGGCCTTAGGTCTTGTTTATAATTTGGTATCTTATTGCCACAAATAGTCTTTTTGTCAGCCTTATGATCTCTATTTTAACATCAATGCTGGTCAGTTGTTATGTCTAAACTCCAAAAAGGAAGAGGTACAATGAGACATGTCCAACCTCCTTTCCATTTATGGCCAGGAGCTCAATTTTTTAACGTTTCTTTGGAGTCCCCTTGGACAAAAGCGTGTCTGTTCAGTTGGTGGGGGGCTTAGGATTCTATTTTTAATTTACAATCAGTTGACTTTTAGTGAATCTTTAAAGAGCAAAGGGGAAGGTTTCTCTTAACCCCTAGAGCTCCCGAACAGAGGTTCCCATGATGCCCTCCTTGTGTTCAATCATTTGCTAGAACAGCTCACAGAACTCATTAAAACACAACATATTGGATTACCAGTTTATTACCAAAAAATACAACTCAGGAACAGCCAAATGAGGGGACATGTAGGGCAAGGGATAGGGAAGGTGTGTGGAGTTTCTGTGCCCTCTCAGGGCAAGGCCACCCTCCTGCACCTCCACGTGGTCACTAAAAGGAAATTCTGTGAACCTCTTTCTTTTGTCTCCTTCTTGTGGGTTTTTTGGAGGATGCACTACACAGGCATGATTTATTAAATCATTGGCTAATAGTGATCAATTCAACCTTCAACCCATCTTCCCTCTCCAGAGGTCAGAGGGTGGGGCTGGAAGTTCCAACCCTGTAATTATGTGGTTGGTTCCCCTGGCACCCAGACCCCATCCTGTAGTTGTCTCTGGTTTTTCCAATAATCACCTCATTCACGTAAGCTCAGGTGTGTGTGAAAAGAGTTTGTAATGAATAACAGTAGACTCTACTCTCACCTTTACTGCTTAGCTCACTTAGGAAATTCCAAAGGTTTTTGGAGCTCTGTACCAGGAACTGGATGAAGACCAAATACATACTCCTTTTTATAAATCACAATATCCTATGGAGTACTGAGGTTAAGCACATGGACTCGCTGATCAGACAGGCCTGGGTTTAAATCCCCCATTTACTACCTATTTGGATTTGAACAAATGGCTTAACTTCATTGAGTCTCTGTGAAACTGTCTTTGCAAAGATCATGACAGTGGGGGAAACCTAGCATGGCTGACTCCATTTTGCCTCTAGCCTCACAGCCTGGCTGTCTTCACTCATTGCTGGACATAGGCCAAGCTAACTACAGGAGAAATTTAGTTTACAATTTAACTTTGAAGCAAGGATAATAGCAGTCCCTCCCTAAAACTGATCCCCTCTTTCTCTGGGGTGCTAAAACCACCTCTGTAAGACTAATAAAAGGCTACTAGATTGGGATTATGGGAGGAGCCTGAATCCTGCTAAAATGTAGTGATAGTTTCCATAATCCCTTACTGACCAGGAGTCATGTGGCCAGAGGTCACAAGATTTGTGACTTCTCCAATCGTTACTATAAATAGCATCACTATTGGGGAACCTAAGATTGATCTTTGAGCTATTTTTCAGACTTTTGCATATCAACTGCTGATTCCACCTAGATTTGTGACTCATGATTCAACTTATCTTGTGGCTCCTCAACCCAGAAGCAGACTCAGTACAGGAGGACTGTTTTCCACACCTCTATGACTGCACCCCCAACAAATCAGCAGCACCCATCCCCCACACCCCTGCCCACCAAACTATCCTTGAAAAACCCTAACCTCTGAGCCTTCAGGGAGACTGATTTGAGTTACAACTCTAGTTGTTTCATGTGGCTGGACTCACATTAATTCAACTCTTTACTGCAATACAATGGTCACAGTGAATTGATTTGGTCTGTGCAGTGGTCAAGAAGAACCTGTTGGGTGATTACATCTGCTTCTTCATATGTAATGCAGAGATGTTCAGAGTTAAGACCATGTCAGGGTGCTTATGGGAGGCCTAAATGAAGTGATGTAAGAAGCATTCCACTCCAGGGTAACTTGCATTGACACCATGGGGCCTGAGGTGGGCATGGAATAAAATGCTTAACAGAAATAGTACAAAAACAAATACCAGGGCCTTTAGCAGCAGTTTCCTTCTCTGAGCCAACAGGGGAAGGGGCGGATGGAACCAGCCATGGGCATGAGAGGCGAGAGTGAAATGTCCAAGGGATCTTCAAGGACAGCAGAGGCATTGCGTAGGGGCAGCCTGAGCAAGTCCACATTAGAAACCTTCTTGAGACTGTCCAGAGGGTAGGGGACACACTTTCAGTCAAGTCTTGTCTTTCAGCATGGAGTGAGCCAGAAAAACAGTGATGTCTTTTTCTACCCCTAGGCCAGGGAAACCACAGTAAACATACGCATCATGTTATGGCTGACTGAGAGTCAATGCTAGCAATTTCAGACAGACCCAATGTTATAAATTTACCCAAGACTATTTCAGGGGCCCTGGGATAACAGTGGTAGAAAGTGAACCCAGAGACAGATGGGCAATGGCTTCAAATATTACTTTCAACACTAAGTAGCATATTTGGAAAGTCACGTAACCTCTGAGCCTCAGTTTCCTCATCTACAAATTGGAGAAAATACTGTTTCATATGGTGGCTGTGGGTCCTAAATATAATCAAGTTTCCAAAAGCAGTTTTCAAACTGTCAATCCCTGTGCAGATTTGAGAGGTTGTTATGTTATTTCTAAGTAGGCAGTGCTACTGTGGATTTTAGTTTAGTGGAAAGAAATTCTACTAGTTCATGCTCTACATGGTAGAATCTTTGAACCTTATATTCTCACTCATCAAACACCTTAAACTGTGGAGGTGCCTAGAGTGGCAGAAACAGAAAAATCTATCATCTAATTCAAAGCATCGTTTTCTTTGTAGCTCACTGGAAAGGGAGTGGAGAGCACTTCTTTTGTTGGGTTTGCTTAATTCAAGAGGGAAAAAGAAAGTCACAAATGAGAAATGCAAATCTAGGAAGACATCTAGCTTCATGCCTGGCTTTAATAATTGCTCAAATAAGAAAGTCTAGTATCCATCCATACCTCTCCACACATTCACTCACATATTTAGGGTCTAAGTTTCTGTTCAGTGTCACTGATGGAAAGATCCACCTTGGACTTATTCTATGACTGCTCTTTGTTTATTTTTCATTATTTTATCACTATTTGTTTTACTTCATTTGGGCTGCTATTACAAACTGCCATAGAATGGGTGGCTTATAAAAAACAGTAATTTATTGCTTACAGTTTAGAAGGCTGTGAAGTCCAAGATCAAGGTGAGTGCAGATTCGGTGCCTGGGATGGTCCATTTCCATCAGGACATCCTTCTGATTCACAGACAGCTATCTCCTCACTGTGACCTCACATGGCGAAAGGGGAAGGGAGTTCTTTGGGGCTTATTTTATAATGGCACTAATCCCATTCTTGAGTATAGATGCTAATCTACCTCTAAAACCCACCTCCAAATACTATCACATCTATATTATGTCCCCCCACATTTGGGATTAGGTTTAAACGTATGAAGTTTGGAGGCACATAAACAGTCAGTCTATAGAACTATTTGAAATTATCTTACAGTTTTATTTATTTGTTTGGTTGAGTACTATATTTTTGCCTAGTGAGGACAACATGGAATGATCCCTAAGGTGGAGCAGGAAGCTGTCAAGAGAGGGGAAAAGGTGAAGGATTCCTGGAGGCTGCTCAGCAATCCATCTAAGACAAAATGCAAAAGAACCTCTTAAAGATCTTTCCCTACACTGGTGGCCTGGGGAACAAATCACATTTGGAGAATTGAAGAAATCTTAAAATGCAAGCATATTAAGCCCTTTTCCCCCAAATCACTTAAGGTATCTAATACTTATTAAATAATTATATGTGCATGTATCAGGCATTGGACTCAACACTCTACCCACATTATTCCATTGAGTTTTCACAGCAAATGTGTCCTATTGTATTCCCATTTTACACACGGAAAAACTGAGGCTCAGGGAATTGAATGGACTTGCCCAGATTGTTAAGTGGTGGATCTGCGAAGGGAGGCCAGTGAGCCTGACTCAGAATTTGGTGCTTTAAACTATCATTGGCAATTGCACATGAATTGTCTACCTTTTCTGACAGCTTCATAGAGACATGTAAAAATATTGGTGCTCCTCATGGATCTATCTTGAGCCCACTTTTATGATTCTTACCTTACACACTTACAGGGGGGTTGATCTGTTATTTCCTCTGCATGAAATTCCATGTTTATGTTTTTCAGCTTCATATTTCTGTATCCAGCTACCTGCTGCTGTCTTTATCTGCTTCCCTATTTAAACTTCAACTCAACATATTCACAACTGAATTTACTCCTTTTTTTGTAAATCTTCTTTCCCTCAAATATTCCCTGCCATAGTCGAATGACGCCCTCAACCAGCCAGTTGCCCCAGGGGGAACCTGAAAATTATTCCTAAAACCTGCTGTGTTAGGCTGTTCTTGCATTGCTATGAAGAAATATCTGAGACTGGGTAATTTATAAAGAAAAGAGAATTAATTGGCTCACAATTCTGTAGGCTGTACAGGAAGCACGATGCTGGCATTTGATTGGCTTCTGGGGAGGCCTCAGGAGGCTTACAATCATGGTGGAAGGCAAAGGAGGAGCAGGCATGTCTCATGGCAAAATTAAGAAGCTAGCAAAGGTTGTGGGAGGGGTTGCCACACACTTTTAAATGATTAGATCTTGAAAGAACTCACTATCACAAAGATAGCACCAAGCCATGAGAGATCTGCCCCCGTGATCCAAACACCTCCCACCAGGCCCCACCTCCAGCATTGGGGATTACAATTCAACATGATATTTGGGTGGGGATAAATATACAGACTGTATCACCTCCCTCCCTCCCCATATCTTGGAATGTGTTCTTCTTTAGTCTTGCTCCACTATATTTTGTCCATTCTGGTTGACATTGCCTGTTTATTATTTTTGATCATTGCAGCTGTTTTTAAACTGTTTTTCTTATCTTTATTATCAGTCTCACAAGTCTACCTCACTTAGAGCTACTAGAAGTTGTTTTATTAAAAATTCATACTTAAATGCAAATCTCAAGGCACAGAGGCACTGTGGCTGGACCATAGGGCTGGTGCCACCATGCTGGTCACCAGGAAGACTTTCTGTTGGCACTGGGATAACTCAGAGTCAGAGGAAGATGAAGATGATGCAGAGGAGGTTCAATTAAAACTTGAATAGACCAGAGAAGTACATAATAGAAGGAAGAGATTCAACGGGTGCTGTGGCCCTGCTGTTGGGAAAGAAGAGACCAATCAGATCCCTTTCAGATGAAGATAGGTGATGTGGATATGAAGAAACTGAAGGAAAAGAGCAAAGATAAAATCAGTAAAGAGGAAGACTTTCACTTGGGGACATCATTTTCTGCAGAAACCAACTGAAGGGATGAGGATGCAGACATGATGAAGTACACTGAGACAGAGCTAAAGAAGAGGAAAGGGATTGTGGAACATGAGGAACAGAAAGTCAAGCCAAGGAATGCAGAGGATTGTCTTTATGAACTTCCAGAAAACATCCACATTTCCTCAGCAAAGAAGACCAAGAAGATGTTTTCCAACCAGATGCTGAGTGGCATTCCTGAGTTGGACCTTGGCATCAATGCTAGAATAAAAAATATCATTTCTTCAGAGGATGCCAAGGTCCATCTGCTGGCAGAGTAGCAGAATAAGAAAAAAGACAGTAAGCTATCCTTCATGCCTACCAACATGTCTGTGAATTACGTGCAGCAGAACAGATTTTATCATGAGGAGCTCAACGTTCCCATACAGAGAAACACAGAAGAACCCAAAACCAGACTCTTGAGGGTAGGCGACACGGAGAAGCTAGGTGACACAGAGAAGGCAGAGGCTGAGAGGTCCCCTCCTAACCACAAGCATCCTGATAAGCAGAAGGCCACTGATGACTATCGTTATAAAAAGGTCAAGAAGATGAACAGGCAGTACTGAGCTGTGCAGAATGGGATGTAAATATTGCCTTCCTCTCCCTCTCTCCATTCCTCCCATGAAAAATGGCTTCCTGGACTGAGAATGCTCAGTTGCTAGCAGAGAGTTCCAGAAACAGACTCTATTAGGCCTGCTGCTTACCTGTTGGATTTTTTAAGCACTAAATTGGTAACTTTTTGAAAAAAGCAATGCATAATGTCTCATTTGGGGGCAAACTCTATTTTTGTGAACATTATTAAATCTTGTTTGTAAATACATTGACTTTCTCTTAATATTTTCTCCAGGTCAAGAAGAAACAACTCTGTATTCCTAGTGTGATAATATCCTTTAGATTATGCTTTTATTATTATATATGCAATCATGTCTTCTAATTTCACATATTTGGAATGGGGTCAGAAATGCATTCTTTATTAATTAGAGTGGATCCAGTTGACAGAAAAATCTAGGATGAGATCACAAGGATACTGGTGTTTTCTGACTTTCACAAAATCACCTGTTGCTTTTCGTTAAAAAGAACAAAGCAAAAAGAAGAAACATATCAAATGCGAACCTCGTTGTGTTACTTCTGTATGATTTCTTCTTACTCTGAATTCCCATAGCCTCTTAGCCCTTGACACATATTTTCCTACTTTATAGTTTAAAAAATGCCACCTGTGTATCTTGTCTCTTTCTTTCTTCTCTTCCTCTCTCATATCTTTTCCTTGTGCCTTCCATGAATTTTCTGTAGCCTCTTCTATTTTTTTCTTTTAACTTTTATTTCAGTTTTAGGGGTACATGTGTGTTTGTTATATGGGTAAACTCATGTCATGGAATTTTGTTGCGCAGATTATTTCATCATCCAGGTGCTAAGCATAGTGCCCTATAGGTATTTTTTCTGATTCTCTCCCTCCTGCCCTGTCCACCCTCAAGCAGGCCCAAGAGTCTATTGTTCGCATTTTTGTGTCCAAATATTCTTATTGTTTATCTCTCACTTTTAAGTCAGAACATGCAGGATTTGGTTTTCTGATCTTGCATTAGTTTGCTAAGGATAATGGTCTTTAGCTGCATACATGTTGCTGCAAAGAGCATGATCTCATTCTTTTTTATGGCTGCATAGTATTCAATGGTATATATATACCACATTTTCTTTATTTAGTCTACCATTGATGGGCATTTAGGATGATTCCACGACTTTCCTATTGTGAATAGTATGTAGCCTCTTCTTTATGCTAGACTGTGAAACTGACATTATGGGAAGATTTATACCATCACACCAGTTAGAATGGTGATCATTAAAAAGTCAGGAAACAACAGGTGCTAGAGAGGATGTAGAGAAATAGGAACACTTTTACACTGTTGGTGGGACTGTAAACTAGCTCAACCATTGTGTAAGACAGTGTGGTGATTCCTCAAGGATCTAGAACTAGAAATACCATTTGACCCAGCCATCCCATTACTGGGTATATGCCCAAAGGAATATAAATCATGCTGCTATAAAGACACATGCACACGTATGTTTATTGCAGCACTATTCACAATAGCAAAGACTTGGAACCAACCCAAATGTCCATCAATGATAGACTGGATGAAGAAAATGTGGCACATATACACCATGGAATACTATGCAGCCATAAAAAATGATGAGTTCATGTCCTTTGTAGGGACATGGATGAAGCTGGAAACCGTCATTCTGAGCAAACTATTGCAAGGACAGAAAACCAAACACCACATGTTCTCACTCATAGGTGGGAACTGAACAATGAGAACACTTGGACACAGGGTAGGGAACATCACACACCAGGGCCTGTTGTGGGGTGGGGGTAGGGGGGAGGGATAGCATTAGGAGATATATCTAATGTAAATGACGAGTTAATGGGTGCAGCACACCAACATGGCACATGTATACATATGTAACAAACCTGCATGTTGTGCACCTGTACCCTAGAACTTAAAGTATAATAAATAAAAAGCGTTGGGATTACAGGCATGAGCCAACACCCCCCCCCCTAAAAAAATAAGACATTAGCATCATCTCCTCTTCTTATTTCAAGATTAAAAAAACAAAACAGCCAGAAAAAAATTTATAATCCAAAAAATATTTTCATGTACATCCTCTAATTTATTTCCCACATTACTGTCAACAGGCAGATAGAATTATCTCTATGTTTACAAGTGGAGACATGCACTCAAATAAGTCAAGTGCATTGCCCAAATCCATAGAACCAAGAAGGATCATCCCTTGCACTGGGCCCTCCGCTCTTAAGCCCTGTAATTGTTCTGCTCTGCAGCACTGTTCTTTGAAGCAGGCACCCCTCATACTTTACACCTGCGTTCACCATTCCAACACGTCATAATGCATTGTCAGTACATAGAGATCTCTGATTCAATCCAATCAGGACAAGCTGTGTTCAACCAAAGTCTTTTGGGGGCAGAAACACATGGTATAATAGAGAGGAATCTACCAGCTGCAAACATTTAACATTTCTGAGGAGTCAGTATGCTTTACCCAATGAAGAAAGCCCTTTCATTGTCCTGGCTACTGGGCTAAGTGAAAGTCAGTGATCAGGGCTTCTCTTGTGGTTGTGGGTCTGTGTGACTCACTAGTCATGAATACCACAAAAGCAAATGCTGCTCCTCATTCTTTCTTGTGTCTTTACTACCTAACAGAGACATGATTGTTCAATATTTATCTATTATAGGGATTGATGCTTAGGGATTTAGAAGTAGATGGGAACTTAGTATCTTTGCAAGGGTTCCTAAACTCCAGTCATCTGTGTAATAAATGCATACAGCATATCTTTGTAATATATTATACATGTTTGCACATGTGAGTCCTATTTTTACTCTCATTTATTATTTATTGACTCTTTATTATTCATTAACTATTATTACCATCCCTGGTTTTACAGGTAAAGAAATTGAAGCTTAAAGTAATTAGGGGACTTGCCCAAGTCTCCTAGGACTGGAATTAGTTAAGAATTAGTGTCAGAACTGAATTTGAACATAAGCAGTCCGATTGTAGATTCAGGGGTGTGTAGCCCGCCCTTCCTGCCCTCGTATCTAAGGCTTTTTCTGCTTTTTGGGCGAAGGAGCCTTGCTGTAAGGATACTGCGGATGGGGAGATAACAAGGTGCCTGCAGCCCTTCGTGAGGGGAATGCCAGAAGCCTTGTGGGGGATGTTTCTGCAGTGCCTCCTGAACAGAAGGAGGGAGCTCAGGAGAGAAAAATCAGAAGAGTCTTCCTGGACTGAAGCTGGGAAGATGGTGGTGCCCAGGAGAGGAAGGGAAGCCAGACACATTTCTCTCTGAACTGAGCTACCACTGGCCATACAGTTCAAGTCTCTGTTTCCAAAGGAAAAGATATAATGCCCTCTTAAAACTGATCTGCCTTCCGCTCCAAAATGAAGGTCAGCAAGAGAGAAGTAGCATTCGAGATGCTAATGAAAGAAAACCCCAATGACTGCAGAAGCAATTTAAAGATTTGCCCGGATTTGTTTAGGCCCCCCTGGCTGTGACTTCTACTTGCAATTTCTCCTCAGCAGCCTGGATGGGGAGATAAATACATTTTTTAAAAGTCCAACATTCAGGCACTTTTGAAACTAGGGAAAGCGGAACCTGGGAGGCTTAAAATATTAATCATGTATCCAGGCTTGCCAGAGAAAAGAGGATGGCGTTCTGCAGGTGTAATACAGAGAGAAAATCCCCTCCAGGAACGAGTGATACGGAGGTGGATTTCACTCGTGTGCACCAGACACAGACGGAAAGCTTGATTCATACTTAATGCAGACCTAGATTCAAAGGCCCCCTCCTTAAAGGGAAAGCTGCTGGCCAGAAGCGTTCCTTCAGGACACTCTGAGACCTCATTAGACTATCATTAAACAGCTAACGAGAATCTGCTGCAGCAATAGGCTGAGTCCAGAAATGCAGATGAAAGGCTTTAGGAATGTTGGATTAAAAAACAAAGCAGGAACATTCAGAGGTAAGAGTTTAATGGCAGGATTCCCAAGTCCCTCGTCCACAGCCTAGGAAAGATCATCATCAGAACTTACCAGGTAGTGATTCCACTCGTGCATCTCCTTTGAACCCTAGGAGGTGGACTTGGCAGGAGTCATTTTTATTAACCAGGAGCCCCTGGGCCTATCACCTGTTCCTCCCCAGGGCTCCCTCTCAAGCCAAATCTGCCTCCTGTGCTCATTGCGGTTTCTTATCACCAGCCACAGACATTCTGTTTCTTCCTGATCCTCAAAATGGCTGCCACACACCAGTTTACTTTCTTTGCACACGAGTTAGAAATCTATTCAGATCCCTGTGTTTATGCTGCTAAGGACGAGCCTGCAAAGTCTTTTTTGACTTAAGAATTTTAAAGCTATGAAAATAGTGCAAGTAGCAACAGTGAGGAAACAACCAGGGTTCTAGAATTTTAGAGTTCTTAGACTTTAGTTATTGGTCTTTAGATTCTGTCTTCTTTCTGGATGTTTCTGGAAGTCTCAAGAACTCAATATTCTGTTTTTATTTCTAAAATTGTACATAATTTTCTTTTACCTGTTCCTCCCATAACTTGTACTTTATTCTTGAAGTAGAATAAGCAGTTTGCTTTTCTTTGACCTTGCCCACAGCCTGTTCAAACTTCTACATCCTTTTTTTTTTTTCTCTCTCTCCCTGCTTTCAATGCCTATGCCTGAAATGCAGAAACATTCTTCTCTTGATGAAGCCTTCCTCCACCTCCTGGCTTTCCCATTCTCCTAGAAGAACCTATAAGCACCTTCCATGAAAAAGTCCTGAGCAGGTGCTCACCCCCACCTAGGAACAACTATACTCTTCAGAAGTGGAACTTTAATCACCAGGACCTAACATGATTTCTTGCACACAGTAGGTGTCTACTTGTGAAGTGGTCAGTGGAGTATGCCTTTGTATAATTGTCAAGTTCTTTTATGACTGCAAAGTGACTGGGTCTTGTTGAAACAGCTTTAGACTTAGGGACTCAGGTTTGTGTTTCAGATCTGTCATCCACTGGCTGAGTGGTGGTGGATGCTTTCCTCCAATTTTCTGAGCCTTAGTTTGCTCACTTATAAAGTGAGATCAATAACACCTGCCTCACAGTTGTTTTGTTTGTTTTGTGCTTTTCTGCATTAGAATTTTTTTTCCTTAGCAAAAACATTTTCAGAGGAAATAGGGAGCACATTTTGGAAGATATTCCTAGAAACTGTATTTATTTGCGTAAGTTCTAAGACTGGCTCTGGTCTTCAGTTCGTTTGAAGTTTCAAAGAAGAGACTTCAGAGTGGTTGAGTGTTATTCCCAGAGGCTGGGCAGCAGTTAGCAAAATGACCTCTCGGTGTTGGTCTTGCACCAGGTAGAATCAGATCCTGGTTTGTCTGCATGCTGACTGAGGTCAGAGAATGGTACATGAGATTTCAGTTCTTTTGTAGCAGGTGTAAAGGTCTCTATGTTCTCATGAGGCTTATGTCACCACCCATTTTTGATCTTTAAATTGTTAGAATTGACTCAAGCTTCTCTCTCTGAATGCTTTTACTTATCCAGTTCCCTGTTCAGACTGTCATGGTCCTTTAAAGAAGGATAGCTTTGTTCCCCTGTGCCAAGTTTGACCACATGTGTCCTGGACTTTGGCTCCTAAGCCTCTGGCTCTCAGAGGGCCATTCTTCTCCAAAACCTCACTCCTTTAAAGACACCATGCTGGCACATGGACTGATTTTTTCTTTCACCAGGTCTCAAGAGATCATCTAGAAACCCTGCCACATTTATTCCCTCACTTCTGGCTCAACAAAGAAAATTCTGGAACAGCAACACGCATGTGCGTGTGTGCATGCACACACATGCACACTACATGCTTCATGTTTCTCCACCAAAAAGCTCTTATCCTATTCTCTCCTTCCATTTTTCTCTGATGTAAAGACCTAGAGAGTTTTGCCCATTTTTTTATGGGGTTGTTTTTGTTTCTTGTAAATTTGTTTAAGTTCTTTACAGATGCAGCACTGTTCACAATAACAAAGACATGGATGGAATCAACCTAAATGCCTGTCAATGATAGCCTGAATAAAGAAAAGGTGGTATATAGACACCATGGAATACTATGCAGCCATAAAAAATGAGAACATGTCTTCTGCAGGGACATGGATGGTGCTAGAGGCCATGATCCTTAGCAAACTAACACAGGAACAGAACATCAAATACTGCCTGTTCTCACTTACCAGTGGGAGCTAAATGATGAGAACACGTGGACACATAGAGGGGAAAAACAGATACTGGGGTCTGTTGAACAATGCGGGGTGGGAGGAAACAGAGGATCAGGAAAAATAACTAATGGGTACTAGGCTTAATATCTGGGTGATGAAATAATCTGTACAACAAAGCCCCATGACACAAGTTTGCCTATGTAACAAACCTGCACTTGTACTCCTGAATGTAAAGCAAAAGTTTAAAAAAAGACCTAGAGACTCTTCCCTCCCAGTCCCATCAGGTCCCTCAAGGAAGCCTCTTGCTGCAGTCTAAAGACACACACATACATGAAAGCACAAGTTAGTTAAGTCATTTGTGCTATATATTGATGAACAGCAGGACATACAATTGACACAGGGAGACGGAAAGTTTAGGTTCACATTTCTAGTTCTTTCTTTTCCTAGCAGACCTACATAAAAAGCCAAATTATAATCAGAACTTTGCCTGGTGGGAATAAAATCAGAGCAAAGGCTGTTTAATGGATTTGGAAGTATAGTAACATCATGGGACAGTCTGATATCTCCATCTTCCATTTGGGATGCTTTTGCCAAATGAGAATGAAACAGTGTTATTTCTTTCCTTCCTTAAAGATCTATGATTTCATAAACCTCAGTTGCTAAGATCAAGTTCTCAGAATAGAAGGGGTTAGGGGAAAAACAATTTAAATATTTTACTAAATACACTTAAAAGACAGAATGGATTGGTATTGTAAAAGTATTCACTTGCTTTGTAAGCCAGATTCATGGCTATGAAACCCTGCTCCAATAAATAAGCTTCTCCTGGATTGCTTTCTTCCTTGTTCAGGAAATATTACTGCAGCATTGCAATCTGCTGAGACCAAATATTTCACCAGCTTTATGTTGTGCAGTGTGTACCTCTCTTTCAGCTTTTTAAACCAGCTTTTTCTGGCATGGTATTTGTTGGCTTTTGCATGTGTGTGTGTGTGTGTGTGTGTGTGTGTGTGTGTAACTTTTTCATAGATCTCAAAAAAATGTCCAGCTGTTTCACAAGTTACAAACACATTGCCTGGCTCTGACTGTCTTTTGGATGGATTTTAGATAAGGTGGCTAGGGAAGACTGAATTAAATTTAAGCAATTAAATGAAGGAAGGAATCATTCAAAATTTGGGAAAAGAGAATCCCAGGCCAAGAGACTAGTCATTGTAAAAACAGAAAGAAGGCCAGGACCAGAGTGGAATTGCATGAGTTGGAGAGAGGTGGGGGATGAAATATACTGGGGCTCAATCACATGGGGTTTCATGGGTCATGTGAGGAGTGTGGGGGTTTGTCCTCAAGGTGATAGGCAGCTGCTACAGATTCCAGAGTATTTGATCATTAGCATGACCTTGGAGAGGGCTTGGATCACACTGTACTCAGCGGTTGTGTGGTTCCCTTTTTTATGTTTCCATGCTGGTCAGCTTACTTGTGGCCAAAGTATTTTTTTCTCTAGATACGTTAATGTCTTCATTGAGGTTAGCCTTCATCCTGCTGGCCTCGGGCCCACTCTGTTTCTGGGAGGTGACTTTGCATATCTCATTCTAACTGTATTAATTTTCTAGTTTAACTCTTTGTGGTACAATTTCTTAGTTCTTGGGGTGAATATCACTATTACCTTGATACCCATGTACCAAAAATATTATCATACACACAGTTGCTTTAGGAATTCAGGCCAACAACAGGTTTTTAAAAAATGCTGTTTGGAGTCCAGGTGTGTTGGGAGCTCTAAAAGCAAAAGCCAGACTGAAAACACTCAGCATTCTGAGAGAGAGAGAGGGAGAGTTAGAAATAGACACTTACGTCATCCGTTTATTCCCTGCATTGATGCAGTCCAGACGGATGATGGCCTAGCATTTTGGATTTGTCTGCTTTCCTTATTAATTCTCCTCTCAATTCTGCTTTTATTATCTACAATGACAATGACACACTATCCCTAGGCTGCTTCTAAAGTCATCTAACTGTCACTAGAGCAATATAGGCTGGCATCTTTTTGCACAGTAAACAAATTAAAGTGCTCCTGGTATCTGAACATCTTGATTAAAGCATCATTGTCATTCTTATGATTACTACTATTTTTTGGAAACCTACTGTGTACAAGGCATAGTTAATAGCTTTACATAAAATATTTCACTTAATTGTTGCAACAGTGCTTTAAAGCTGAGGGTCATTCGTTGAATATACAGAAAACGAAAGGAGTCCGAGAGTGCTAAAGCACATGTCCGTAATCAAAGTCTATTTCTAAGGCAGACCTGCACATTCATGCATCCCAAGCTTCACCCACTTTATTCTGTGCATCCCTTTAATTCCAGACTGTTCTCGACTACCTCCCTTCGAAAGGCTTTTTCTTCTCCCTGAGATTTCCATTCACCTTTGCTTTCTCTACTCAGAGCCTGTCTTCAAAATCTTTCAAGGTTACAATTACTCTTTTTTTTCTTTTTTTGTCTCTCTAATCTCTGACGTCACAGACTGTCATTGCTGCAGGAGGCCTTGGAGATTATTTTCTCTGGATGTTGCCAATCTTGAGTCTCCAAATAGTCGACTTCCAGCTGTTTTCAATATTCAGAAATATCTAGTTAAATCACAGCACTGTTTGGTTTGTACAACTCAAATATAAAGTTAAACAATTATTACTTGATGAGTATAATTTGTCTAGTAGAGAGACCCATGGTGGGGTAAGTGGAGAAGAAAAAAATTTTTTTGGTGAAAACTCAGAAATAATACCAATTTGGTCTTGTTTGCTCTTTTATAGATGACTCAACTGATGTCCACTGGGAGGAAAAGTGAATGTAGATTAAGGTTTACCGTGAATACAAATTAAGCTTAGGTTGCCTAACTATTCTATCTTTCCAGAGAGTGGCAGAACAATCATTCATGGAGAATTTATTGTTACTTCCAATTGAATAGCACTGGCTATTAAAAGTTTCTGCTTTTCTGTAGTTTTTAACCTTTGGTTCAAGTTCTCTGGAGCGTCACACAATGGCTCTTGTTACTATTACAAGTGATGCCTTTCAGCCATGGGGATATGAGAGTGATGGGCTCACTGTTAGATATGCCAGCACCAGGAAAGAGGTTATGGCCATCTTCATGCAGACCATGACTGATAAGTCAATTGTTTTCCTTAACAAGGTCTATGAGCCATGTGCAGTGGCTTATGCCTCCTAGCTCTTTTGGAGGCTGAGAAGGGAGGATTCATTAAGCCCAGAAGTTTTAGAGCATCCTGGGCAGCATAGTGAGACCCCATCTCTTAAAAAAAGAAAAAATTTAGTCAGGTGTGGTGTCATGTGCCTGTGGTCCCAGCTACTTTGGAGGCTGAGGCTGGGGGAATCCCTTGAGCCCAGGAGGTTGAGGCTGCAGTGAGCGATGTTTGTGCCACTGCACTCCAGCCTGAGTGACACAGTGAGACCTGTCTCAAAAAACTGAAAACAAACACACACACACAAAAACAACCCGCATGAGTCTCTCTGTCATTTGACGCTGTTTGCTGCTTCTGCCACATGTCTTAGAGCTTTGAATTGCAGATGTACTTAACTACCTGAACTTCTGCCTATGTCCTGGGTTCCTTCTTTCTAGAGTATTCTCTGTCCTACTCTCTTCCCCAGATTTACTTCCTCTGGGAAGCTTTCTACCACATAAAATGACTGGATAAGTTCCTCTAATACCTGCTTCAATTGTACCTTGAGTGTTTTCTTGTATATAACATCCAATTATTTTTAGCGACTCATTTCTCTCTCTTATTACTAGGACTGTGTGTTCCTAGTGGCCAGGAATGATATTTTACTCTTACTCTCTTAGCCTTAAGGTCTAGTGCTTGACTGAGATACATAATGGGTTTCTAGTGAAATGAATGACTGGATAAATGAATGAATACATTTTGCAATAACACAATTTTAACCTCCTTGTCTTTTCCTTCATTTACTCACCTAGAGCTCTGCGTAGCATTGCAAAGCCCCTTCCAGTGTCTTTTCCAAGCCCATGCATCAACTCGACTTATACTCTTTCATTATCATGGCAATAGGAAGTGGGAAGTTTAGAAGGAAGAGAAATGGGATGAGGGAGGGAGGAACAGAGAAGGAGTAGCCAGGAAGAGGTAATCACATCAGAATAAAAAAGTTTATTTCATTGATGAGGAAACTGAGACTGAGAAAGGAATGTGACTTACGTAAGTCACACAGGAGAGACCAAAACCTCGTTTTCTGGCTGCCGACCCTATGCCTTTCCACTGTATATGAATATTTCAGCAAGTGCATCTGCCACACACAGACAAAGACATACTGGTTCATTTCCAAAGACAACAATCTCATTGTCAGGGTCATGGGTTGAAATTTAAAGAATTATTCCTGATTTCAACACAGCCTCTCACTTGGAGCAATGACTCAGGCTAATTTTGCAGGCGGCATGTTTTCCTTTGAGATTTCTCACCCGATCTGTTCCCCATCTCCTAGATTGCATAAGGGTAATGATGAATTCCTTGACTGGATCCCAACTTCCCGAGGCTCAAAATAATCACTGTTCTGTTTTCCATGGGAGATGAAGATATATATTAGGATTTTAACATTCTTTGAATATCCACTTTGAAAACAGGAGACATCCGCGGCAGGTGGGGCTTGCAAATGATATTTCTAATCAGATGTTCATCCAGAAAGTAATTAACTTTAGGAAAGTAAAGGCCCTAGAGGCTTCTGAAAAGATTTCCTTACTCTCAATTCTCCCTGAGCATTGCTTGATATTTGCCTCCCCCTGAGCTGTAGAGCCCAAAGGGAAGATGAGAAGCAAGTCCTGCTGATATGGATGCGGATCACATTTGCGTGACTCAGAGCTGTGGGGTAAGAAGCCTTTCTTCCAGCTGTCCTCTCACCACCCCAACCCCAGAGCCCTCAAGGTTGTGTTTTCTCATGTTTGTGAATTGCTCAGAGCTCTGCCAGGCTTTTCAGTTTTATCTGGCCTTCTGCCTTGGCTGCCTTGCCTCTCCTTTTAGGAAATCCAAGGGTGGAGAAATGAATAATCTGTTTCTGAAGTCAGAGAGACATGAGTCTAAGCCCTGGGTCGCCACTTCCTAGCTGGGTAGCAGTGGGCGAGCTGCAGCCTCTTTCTGAGTCTCTGTTTCTTACTGATGACCTGGGTTATTAGAGGACCATTGAGACAGCCCACCCATAAACTCCTAAGAAAGCACTCGGCTTGATGCCTACTTCCTAGAGGTTTCTCAGCAGTGTTCCTATTATTGCTAGCTCCATCCTGTCTTTTTGTGATAAAACCATGTTTGGATAGAGTTTGGCTAGTGCGTTAGTTTCCTAGGGCAGCTGTAACAAAGTACCATAAAGTGGGCATCTTAAGACAACAAAAATGAAATGTCTCACAGTACTCAAGGCCAGAGGTCCTAAATCAAGGCATTGGCAGGGCCACGCTCCCTCTGAAACTTGTAGGAGAGTTTTTCCTTGCCTCTTTCTAGCTTCCGGTGGTTTGCTGGCAATCGTTGGCATTCCTGGGTTTGCAGCTGCTTAACTCCAGTCTCTGCTCTTGTTGTGACACGGAGATCTCCCCATGTGTCTCTGTCTTCACATGCCATCTTATAAGGGCACTAGGCATGAGCTCATCTTAACTAATTACATCTGCAACAGCCCAATTTCCAAAAATGGTCGCATCTGAGGTACTGGGGACTAGGACCTCAACATATTTTTATTGTTGACACGATTCAGCTTATACGAGGTAAATACTACATTATATGCTAAAATATTTTAGTCTATTTAGTCAGTGTAAAATACAAACTTCTGTCTTGATTAGATTTCACTTGGGAAATGTATAATTTATTTGGCTTCATTAGTCTACTTTTTCGTCTTTCTCCTCTATTCCAAGCCTCCTAGCCACTCTTCTCACTAATCCATGATTCGCTCAGCATCCAGTGTTCTCTCCCTAATATCTTCTCCTTTCTAGAACAATCATCTGTCCAGATCAGTCATCTTTTTTTTCCTAGGATGAAGGTCAAATTTCTCACCTTCACACAAATTCTCTTTCAGGAGCTGCCCCTCATTTACCTGTGGGGTGACTAACTGTCCCAGTTTGTCCTGGAATGCCCTGGTATTAGCATTAACATTTTTGCACCCTGAGAAACCCTTCTGTCCTGGACAAGCCAGTTTTCACCCTGTTACTTTTCTGCATGTTTTGGCTACAGATACTCTCCGGCTATTACAGATTTTGTCTTTCCACATGTGTGTTGCATTGGCATTAGCTGTTTGCTCATTGTGCTCTGCTGCCAATTACATGTTTCTTAGGGGATTGAAATCCAGACAAATCTGGGTTTGAATTTCAACTCTTGTGGCCTTAATAAATGCATACTTTATCAGTGTCCATCAACATCAAAAAAAAAAAAAAAAGCAAAAGGGGCATAAAACTATATATCCTTTGGTTGTAGTGAGGGTAAATTAGATATGATGAATAAACCACCTGGCAGAGTGCCTGACAGATACTGGGTATTGCAGAAATGGTAGATGGTTTTTCACTGGTTGGTATGTGTGTATACTGCAGCACAACTGTGTTCAGTAAGTGCTTTCTGAATGAAAGCTCAAAGCTCCAGAGCTCGAATCTCTTGAGCAATGATCTTCCTATCTGTCATTTTCTCTCTCTGACTTAAATCTATTCTCTCAGAGGTTAGCCTTACTAAAAATTTGGTTCAAAGCCTTGCCAAGTAATGTGAAATATGACAGATGTATTTCCTATGGATCTTTTACTCCTGGAATTTTCCATGTGTCAATAATTTCCTACCCTCCAGTAGATTTTGATCTAGCCAGATTCCTTGCCTGGTCCATGAAGGGAAAACAGAAAACTGAAAGACCTTGAACTCCTTCTTGTACTCCAGTTCTCATGAACTCAAAACACAAACTCATTTAAAGTTAGTGTGGCATCATCAGCTGAAAGCTGAGAGTAATTTAAAGGCTTTTCTTCTCTATCAGCTCCCTGAGCCCCTCCAAACAGAAGCATTTTAAACTGATGCCTCTTGAGAGTTCTGTGTATGGAGTGCTGAGAATGAATGAGATTGTCTCCCACCCCAGAGGGTAGCAGAAAAATTCTGATTGTGGCCAACTATCTTCAGCTTCTGGTTTTCCCTAAGATCCTTATTGTAGGGCCACTTGTTCTTTTTATCTAGTAGGTATTTGATGTCATGATGAGATTAATAATTCACAGAGTCTGGGCAGTATTTTTCCACTGAAGGCTGCGTGCAGAAAAAAAGCAGAGTGCTGGCAAAACCCGAGGGCTCCTGACGAGGTCAGATGCCTTGTGCTTCAGCAAGTGCTCAGAATCCTCAGTAACCCCTTCCTTGCTGAAAATGACACATAGAAAGGCAGGGATTTTTAAAGGACTTTTTGCTTTCTTGGCTGGGGTTAAAACGAGTTCAATTAAATAGACCTCTAGAGATGGCCGAACAACAACAGTGACAAAATGTAAATAAAATTTTAATTATCACTTCCAAATAATAATTTAAGAGGGATTATCAAATCATATATGATTAATTGTTATAGATGATGAGAAGGTTAGTAGGGGGAAGAGGAGGTGTGATCCATGACTCTTATTATTACTAGTGCTTATTGTGATTATTCCTAGCTACCATTTCTTTCAGTTCCAGGAATTCTGCATTGCATATGATATCTCCTCTGATTTTTACACCAATTTTTGGGATAGACAACATTATTCCCATCTAAAAAATGCAAAAACTGTGGCCAAGACAGTCAACAAGGCTTTTCAAAGGCCACAAAGGTGATAAGAGGTGGAGCCAGTGTTTGACTCTAGAGTTATATATCTTTGGACGTATATCACTGCTTTCTACATGTACTATGTCACCTTCCAGTAATAATTAAAAATTAATTGTCATGAAAAGGCTTCTTAGCATTTCACAGGGATATAAGAGTTTTGAGACCACTTATATCCTTTTCTACTTGCTTCTCACAGCAGCCCTGGGCAGGAACAGGTTGGGGATGACTACCTCCCACTGGCAAACGTAGAGCTTGGAAGGAGGTTAAGTGATTCCAAAGCCAACTAATTAGTGATCAAGACATTCCTAGAACTCAGAACTTCTGACTCCACCACTAGACTATTGTACTCTGTGTTTTAGAGAACAGAAGGGCTTATATCAGTGGTAGCTGTCATTTTTTTGTTCCAACCTGAGCCAAAGGAGATGAAGCTGGAAACAGGTCTAAACTCAATATTCTACCTTCGCTGATCTCTAAATCTACCTTGCTAAGCTCCTGTGGATTCCTGGGCAGCAGGGCTCTTACCAGACTTCTCATGGCAATGATGAGGTCTGCCATCTTTTGTTCCTGTCCGTTTTCAAACTCTGGTTGTCCAGCTTCCTGGTGATACTACGATCTCAAAAACCTTTTCATAAATTTGTTTCCTACTTAAATCCCCCAGAATCAGGTTCTGTTCTTCGTAGCTGAGCACTCTGACTGACACAGTGTTTCACCAACACTGTGTGCAAAGCAGCCACAGCACTGCTATGTAGTCTGTCTTCAAGTAACCCTGGTTCCTGCCCATTTCTCTTTCTTAAAACCATAGATTGCCAAAGTATGAACCATAGGTTTCATACTTTTGCTAACCCATCATCTCCAACATTTTTTATTGAACATGATTCTTAGAACTCCTAAGGGGCTGGTTTTAGGTTCACTCCAGGAAGGAGAGAAAAGCCTAATGAATATGGAGAAGGAGAATGACGGTGTTACAGCTTCAGCTGGTCAGGATTTCCTTAGCCAGTGTGCTGATTTTTCTCCTTCCTTTTCTCTTGCTATTTTCCCCACCATCTCTTTCTTCTCCTTATCTTTTTATGCCCATTCTTTTTAACTTTCTCCAAGTAGAAGAAAAATGAGAGATATTTAGATCTCCTGAAGTCTGAGCATCAACTTGAGCCTCTTTTGCTATGAACGTGTTCCACATTATTTACCACACTATTGCACAATAAACTTATTTAATCTCTGCAAGCCTTTGGATGGAGAGATTATTATGTTCTTGTTATGGAGCAAGGAGAGGGAGTATAAACTAAAGTTTGAGGCATAATGGGACTTGTTTATGGCAGGGTGGCTCCTAAGCAACACATTCTTCTTTCCCACAAGGTTGTCAGCCTCAGCTAAGGGACAGCACAACACAGGCATTAGAACAACAGACCAGGAAAGAGAAAGCTTTTGGGGTACTTGCTCTGCTACTTACCCAACCATGTATCCTGAACAAGTTACTCAAACTCTTCACATCCTAGACAACACCATGGGAGTGCAGGAATGGGAGTGCAGGAGTGTGCAGGCTGGACACTCAGTGAAAGATAAATAGAATTAAGGCATTTTGCCTGAAATGTTTCCTTTGCCCTACATTCAGTTTGCCTCCCTACAGCCTGCCTCCTGAGATATCCCTGGGAGGCATGCAATCTAGCTTTCTTTCCCAGCAAGCGGAGATGTCTGAGTCCCAGAGGGCTTATGCCACCAGATATATTCTCGTGGTCTCTTCACATAGGAAAGATGTGCCACCAGAACACAGAGTTTTGTCTTTTTTTTTAAGCTCAAGTTACCTATGGCTGTTTCTAACTGATCACATTTACTACTTAGAACAAAATCGGATGGGGACTAGGGTAGAGCACAATTATAATAGTAATTCTTAATTTTGTCTATAATTGGTGAGGTCTGGGAAGTCAAGGGTCACATTTCTGCCCCAGGAAAATCACTGACTATATTGTTAGGCTTTCAAATAGATTGCATGAGGCTCTATGGCATTGGGCACAGTTGGGATAAATTCTTGGTTCTGCTACTTACTCATCAGGGTTCTCGGCAAGATTATTTAACCATTCTATGCCTCAGTTTCTTCTTCCAATTTGAGGATAATAATTCTAGAAACTTCTTCTTGGAAATGGAATGGTTGTAAAGATTAAACAAGAAGATCTCTGTTAAGCAGTTAGCTCTGTGTCTGACTCAGAGAGAACCTTCAGTTAATGTTCACCATTATTACGTTCAGTACCTAAGACACAGTAGTTGATGATAAATAGCAATCATATTTCCCACTGTTTGGTTGTAAGGTGGCATAAGTCATGGGTACAGTACCCTAGTACTTTTTCTTCAGAGTAAAATTGAGAAATCTGCTCATCAGAATCAGGCTTCTATCTTAAGAAACTCAGTTGGCAGAAATAAGAGTTTCATGTGCTACCTTCACTAAAAAATGTAAAATCTACCATTGTGTTTTCAACCTAAAAAATATTGGGAAGTAGGGAAAGCTTTTTTTTTTTTTTTTTTTTTTTGACTTTTCCAAAATGACTTGCCTAGTGCTGGGGAAGTGGAAGAGAATGGATAAAGAAAGGTACAGGAGGAGGTGACGTGTTTGAAAGGCATTTTATAGTGTATCAAGAGATGAGTTCTGCTATTCATTTTTTTTTTTTTTTTTAAACAGAGTCTCACTCTGTCACCCAGGCTGGAGTGCAGTGGTGCGATTTTGGCTCACTGCAAGCTCTGCCCCCCAGGTTCAAGTGATTCTCATGCCTCAGCCTCCCGAGTAGCTGCGATTACAGGCGCCCACCACCACACCTGGCTAATTTTTCTATTTTTCCTAGGGACGGGGTTTCACCATTTTGACCAGTCTGGTTTTGAACTCCTGACCTCAAGTGATTCACCCACCTTGGCCTCTCAAAGTGCTGGGATTACAGGCATGAGCCACCGCGCCCGGCCAGCTATTTATTTTAAAACTCACTAGCTTTGTGTGTGTAAGCCTCGTTGGCTAGATTGCATATTGTATAGAGGTACAAATTGTGATTAGAATTTTCTTTGCTTTGCACATACATATTGTTCCTACGTACTATTTAAAATGTCTTTTTACCTATCTATACTGTGTGTGTCTTTGTTTTGTTTTCTTTTTTGAGACTTGCCATTTTGCCCACACTAGTCTTGAACTCTTGGGGTCCAGTGACCCTCCCACCTCGGCCTCCCAAATTGCTGAGATTACAGGTGTGAGCCACCACACCCAGTTCATACCGTTTCATTTGCAGTTTCTCCCAGTTCATGCCTCTGTGCTTTTGTCCATATTGTTTTCTCTGCCAGGAAAACATGTATCTGGCTGTTTAAGTCATCTCTCAAGACTATGCTGAAATGCCACATCCTCTGGAAGGGGGGCTGCTTCCACCCAAGGAAGGCTGGTTGATGCCTTGGGATTTCTCAGACCAGAAGCAAGACTACCCACTGGCACACCAACTAGAGAACAGCAAGTGCTCAGATAATCTGACACAGCCAGGACAAACAACACCATCAGTACTCTCAGAAAAAAGGTCTTTAGATAGTTTAAAGGTGTTCACTTGGCCAAATTGTCTTAATCCTATCTATAAGGATTTTAAACTGTTGTTTTCTTGAGCTTCCCATTACAAGGAACAGATGTGTGTTGTTTGGATAAAGAAGAGCCAGGGCTTGGCTCTTGGTTCGCGCTACCTCTCAGCTGAAGGAAAACTAAATTTCAACTTTCTCTTTTTTTTTCTTTTGAGATGGAGTCTCGCTCTGTCGCCCAGGCTGGAATACAATGGCATGATCATGGCTCATTGCAACCTCTGCCTCTTGAGTTCAAGTGATTCTCCTGCCTCAAGCTCCCAAGTAGCTGGGATTACAGGCGCCTGCCACCATGCCCTGCTAATATTTATATTTTTAGTAGAGACAGGGTTTCACCAGGTTGGCCAGGCTGGTCTCAAACACCTGACCTCAGGTGATCCATCTGCCTCGGCTTCCCAAAGTGCTGGGATTGCAGGCATGAGCCAGCATGTCCAGCCAACTTTCCCATTTTTTAAAAGGGATATAATGATAACTATTTGAAGGTGTGACATGAGATCAACTATGATAATGTATTTCAAGTATCAAGCATGCCTCTGGGAGCCAGTAGACACTGACTAAACAGTAGTTATCATAAAGTTCTCTGTCCTTACAGGACATTCTGGGGTGCCTTTCCAAGAAATGGCAGTTCACTTCCCATTAAACACACATGAAAACCTTTTTGTACAAAATGGTCCTTGATGTATCTTATCATAGAAACAGCCTAACTGCATGTGCTACTCCATCTTTTTGGGAATGATAACTTTGCCAACCACAAGGATCATATTCATGAAAAATATCATTGTTGGTAATTGTTACTAGTGAAATTGAGATATAATAAAATATATGGGTTTATGGGATAGACAATTAAAATGGCATTACAGGTATTTTTAAAAAGCAAATGAATGTTGTAAAGGACATTTAATTTCAAAACAGGTGATTCATTAAGATTAAAATCTTGCTTGTTTTCACTACAGACAGTGCTGTTATCACAATTATATTGATGAGGACAGGCTTAGAGAGGTAAAGTGAAAGGTGCAGTACTTGTTTCATTTCCCTTCATGACATTTTAATTAATTAATTAATTTCATTTATTTATTATCTTCAGAGAGACATGGTCTTGCTCTGTTGTCCAGGCTGGAGTGCAGTAGCATGGTCATAGCTCACTGCAACCTCGAACTTACGGGCTCAAGCTGCCCTCCTGCCTCAACCTCCTGAGTAGCTGGGACTATAGGCCCATCCCTGGCTAATTTTTTATGTGCCACCATCACTGGCTAATTTTTTAGTTTTGTAGAGATGGAGCTTCACTATGTTGCATGGCATTTATTAATTGTAGTTTGGGTGAACAATTTGAATGACTCTTCTGACATTCTTTACTGTTTATTTTTGTTATGAATTCTCCAAAAAACCAGCATTGAGTTTGATTGTTATTTTATTAGTACCATGACCAGGTATGTCATACTTCCAGAAAACACATGCAAGGTACAAGAGTGGAAGGGAAGTCATAGTGGCATGCTTTCTTTCTTCTTCTTCTTCTTCTTCAACAAATGTTCTATTTTAAACTAATTTTAGACTTAGAGAAAAATTATAAAAGAGTACAAACTGTTATTTTATATCCCTTATCCCATTTGCCCTAAAGTTAACAATATTAACATCTTACAGACTGTAGTGCAATGATCAAAACTGGGAAATTTACATTGGTACAATATTATTAACTAAATTATAGTTTTTTCAAAATTCACCAATTATTCTTCTTCTCCTTCACCTCCTCCTCCTCCTCCTTCATCTTCTTCTTCTTCCTCTTCAAGACAAGGTCTTGTTCTGTTGAACAGGCTGGAGCGTAGTGGCATGGTTATAGCTCACGTTAGTCTCAAACTCCTGGGCTCAATCAATCTTCTTGCTTCAGCCTCTGGAGTAGCTGGGATTACAGGTGCGAGCCATTGCTCCTGGTAATTTTTTTGTTTATTTGTTTTGTTTTGTTTTGTTTTAAATAGTCCAATTCAAGCTCCTACGTTGCATCTAGTTGTTATTTCTCCTTAGTTGCTTTCAGTCTATAATAATTCCTTAGTATTTCCTTGTCTTTCATGACCTTCACACTTCTAAAGAGTAATGATCAGTTATTTTGTAGAATGCCCCAAGGTTTGGGTTTGTGCAATATATTCTTATTTTTGAAATGAGGTTATGTATTTTTTTCCAAGAATGCCACAAAAATAACATGGTGGCATCCTTCTCAGTATAAAATATCCAGGGCTTCATGGTGTTGACATTTTTTATTACTGATGATGCTTCCCTCAGTCACTTGATTACGCTTGTGTCTGCCAAGTTTCTCCATTGTAAAGTTAGTATCTTTCCCTTTGATGTCGATGAATATCTTAGGTGAGATACTTAGAGACTATGCAAATCTCATTTCTTTTCTAACTCTCACACTTTAATTTGTGGATCGTGTCTACATCATTTATTCCTGTGGCATTTGCGTATTGGCGATTCCAGATTCCTTCTTTCCTTCTATATTTATTAATTGGAATTCTACTGCCTCTTCTTCCTGATTTTCATATTTATTTTATTTTATTATATCAGTAGAGTGTATTTGTGGAATTCTGTGGGTTAAAATCCAACACACTACCATTATTTGTTATGTACAAGTAGCATTCACTTCACAGTGGCCTTGACTAGGTTTGAAATGGCATTGGGAAAGATGAGTGGAGATGCAGACTAAGCTCAAGGCCTCAGCCTACCCCTCCATCATGAATTGAAATAATTATATATTTATATCAGCATGTTGAGTTCTGCATGTGGATATGGAGCATAAAAATATGAGACAGAGAAAGAGAGGGAGAGAGAAAAACAACAAAAAGTAACCAAAGAGCCACATGAAAACAGTTAGGAGAGAAAAGAGAGTAGCTCTTTCTAGAACGCTTCCTGAATAGAGGCAGGCACTAGCGACCCATTATGCTATTCTTGAGTAAGTAGAACAAGAAGTTACCTATTTATCTTGAGGAAGAGTGTGTACACCTTTAGGAAACTTGGTTACATTTAAAAAATGCAATAATTGAGAGTTCTTCTGTAATAAAATTTATCTCTGACCAAAAAGAACTCTTGTAGATTTTGTCTTATTTCAAAATATCTTTTTATGTTTTAACATAGGGCTAGTCATCAACATTGACTGAATCTTTTGTGAGACTTCAAGAGAGGGATTGAAAGAAGTAGGAGACATGAAATGTTCTGGAAAGACGTATATGTTATCTGGAATAATGAGGGGGGATAACTCTCCAAATTACTCAAATCCTGAATTAGAGACCAGAAATTCAAGTTCTAGTCTTGAGTTAGTATGCTGGGAGCTTAATATCCTCATCTGAAAAATGAGGCTGTTGTATTTGATGGTCTCTGAAATCCCTCTCTTTCAGCACTCACGTTTTGTGCTTTTTTCTGTAATATGTTTGTTTAATGTTGGTTTAGTGGGTGTGTTGTATTTACTTATAAGGAATGCCGGGAGAGTTTAAAGCATTTTAGCCCCAAGGTCTCTGAACTAGAAGTACCCCAAAGTGGACCAATGCAAGCTGGCAGGATTTGCAAAGCTTTGAAGGGCTCTGGGAATTCCCAAAGACAAATACACCAAGCCCTTCTGCACTTGATGTTTCAGTGTAATTGTTCGAAATCAGTTGCTGTTGGGCACATATGCTAGAGAGTTTGGTTTTAAGCCTAGCATATGGTGGCTTTGGAATAAATTTTGGATTCTTTTTAAAATCCTTGGCTTGTGCATCTTCCTAGTTCTTGCAAATGACAGAAAAGAGAGTATAATGAGAGGACTAGTCTAGTTAGGGGTATTATATAAGTGAAGGCTGCTTTTCTCCACTGAGGGGGCTGACATTTAGCATTTGGAAGCTTGAATCATATTTTTTTTCTTTCTTTGTGTTTGTCTTTGTGTCTACCTGTCTTGGTTTAAGTCTGTTCTCCCGCCTTCTCTCTCTCCCTCCTTCCCTTCCTCTCTCTCCCCCTTCTTCCCTTTCTCCTTTCCTTTTTTGCTAATGAGTTCCTTGGGGGCTAATTTGTGACCCAGAAGATGAATAGAGATTTTCTGTGAGACAAGTTTCTATTTATTGGAAAGTCATGAAAAGCAGAGAGGCCACAGGCAACATAGTTCTCTTTGTAACCAGGCCAGAGCCTACTCTCGGCTAAGGGATGGCCCCTCCTGGGGCATGCCGTCCAGGTAAAGAGGAGAACTAATTCGTTTTCCTCAACAGAGCCCAAGTCATCTGAGTTTTGCGTTTGTAAATTTTTTCATATGGAAATTAGAGTCAGAAGGAACCTTGCAGTCCTTTTAGGTCAGTGTGCTCCAAGGTGAGTTGGATTTTTGGATACCTCAAGGTTGTCAAGGTTAAATGAGTGAGTCTATGAGTTCCCCAGTCTTACTTTAGGTGATATTGCAGGCAGTTCAGAGCATGGAGAGTAGAGTTAGGCTCACTGTTATGACCTGGTTATTAGCTCTCAAAGCCAGGGCATGTTACTTAAACTCTCTGTTTCCAAGGTCCTCATTTATAAAATGGGAATAATAATCACACTACTTACCTAATAATGATGTGAGAATTAAATGAGTTAGTACATTTAAAGTGCTTAGAACGATGAATGGCATATAGCAAGTGCTATGTACATTTTTTCTGCTATGACTAATAGCATGTATATCATCATCACTGAAATTTTATACATCAGTTCACTTGATGAGAAGGTTTTGCTGTTAAGAACCTACTTAAACAATCTCTCTCTCACACACTGGTATTTTTATAATTTTATCCAGAACAAAACAACTTTGTTACATAGTCAGTTAAGCTCTGCTTGAACATGCCTGGTGATAAAGGGCTATTTTGCCAACTCATGTGGCTGCCTGCTTTGTTGACAATAAGCTCTTTCTAATGAGCTAAAATCGATTTATTTGTAGGTTTCATCCATCTAACCTTATTTATTCTCTCTGGAATCATATAATGTTAGCCACTTTTACTTTCATACAACAGTCTTCCACCTGGCCAAAGCATTAGCTCAACATCATTGAAGAGTGAGTCTCTTTGCTTACATACTTCCAAAGAATATGAGCTCACTACTGCCTGAGGCTGCTTCTCTATTTGTTGATCAACTCTTATAGTTAGATATTCCTCCTTCAGCCTAGCTGAGTAGACTTTCCTTGTAACTTGCACCCACTGTCTTCCCTACATTTGCTTAACACTTCAAATCTCCTAATCCAAATGGGCTTTGAGATAATAAAAGAGAGTCCCCTTTTGTCTTTTCCAGGACAGTGGTTCTTTCAACTGCTCCTTATGTGAAGAATTTCTCCAGGATTCATCATTCCATCTGGATCTGTATAAATAAAGCTGAAGTTCTGGTCATGACCACTCCCTGGATCACTCCTGCCCCTGTGTTCCTGGAGCCTCAGAGTTTTGCGTCACATGAGCTCCCAAGCTCTTCCTTTCTCATTCATCTGCTTTGGTTCATTCTTGTTGAGACTCACTATAAGGAAAGCACCTCATCCTGCTACAGCTGGGTACAGAACTCTGATGTCTTCATAAAAGTTGCTGCCTCTTGGGAGCTGTGAGCATTGGGATCAGCCAGTATGGCACATTTGCTGCTACCTCAGGGCGTGAGAGCATGCTAAGCTCCACATGAAGGCCTCACTTTCCCACACTATCTCCACTGAGCACTGAAGTGATGATGTTGTGTCCCTGTGTCTCAGGGGTAAATGGAGGCAGCCTTTTTCTTTTCAGGGCTGACACAAAAAGTCAATGGGGCTTGGGGATGAATAACAACAAAGGACAGGCCCTCTTGCATGAGGTCAGTCCCTCCTGCTCCTGCCCTCAAATGTATATGCAAAACTATTTTCCTTGTTCTGTGCATGAGGTCACTGTCTATGGTCCCATTGATATGGTTTGGCTATGGACTGACCTAAATCTCATCTTGAATTGTAATAATCCCCATATGTCAAGGGTGGGGTCAGGTGGAGGTAATGGAATCACAGGGGGTGGCTTCCCCCATACTATTCTCATGATAGTGAAAAAGTCTCACGAAATCTGATAGTTTTATAAATGGGAGTTTCCCTGCACAAGCTCTCTTGCCTGCTGCCATGTAAGACATGATTTTGCTCCTCATTTGCCTTCCATAATGATTGTGAGACCTCCCCAGCCATGTGGAACTGTGAGTCAATTAAACCTCTTTCCTTTATAAATTACCCAGTGTTGGGTATATCTTTATTAGCAGTGTGGGAACAGGCTAATACAGTAATTGGTACCAGTAGAGTGGGATTCTGCTGTAAAGATACCCCAAAAATGTGGAGGTGACTATGGAACTGGGTAACAGGCAGAAGTTGGAACAGTTTGGAGGACTCAGAAGACAGGAAAATGTGGAAAAGTTTGGAGCTTTATAGAGACTCGGAGGGCTCATAAGCCAGGAAAATACGGGAAAGTTTGGAATTTCCTAGAGACTTGTTGAATGGTTTTGACCAAAATGCTGATAGTGATATGGAAAATAAAGTCCAGGTTGAGGAGGTCTCAGATGGAGATGAAGAGCAAAGGTAACTCTTGTCATGCTTTAGCAAAAAGACTGGCAGCATTTTGCTTCTGCCATAGAGATCTGTGGAACTTGGAACTTGAGAAAGATGATTTAGGCATCCGGTGGAAGAAATTTTTAAATAGCAAGGCATTCAAGATGTGACTTGGGTGCTGTTAAAAGCATTCAGTTTTCTGTATTCACAAAGATATGGTTTGGAATCAGAACTTATGCTTAAAAGGGAAGCAGAGCATAAAAATTTAGAAAATTTGCAGGCTGATGATGCAATAGAAAAGAAAAACCCATTTTCTGAGGAGAAATTCAAGCCTGCTGCAGAAATTTGCGTAAATAATGAGGAGAAAAATGTTAATCACCAAGAAAATGCAGAAAATGTCTCCAGGGTATCACAGAGAGATTTGCAGCAGCCCCTCCCATCACAGGCCTAGAGGCCTAGGAGGAAAAAATGGTTTCGTGGGCTGGGCCCATGGCCTCGCTGCTCTGTGCAGCCTAGGGACTTGGTGCTCTGTGTCCCAGCCACTCTAGCTGTGGCTAAAAGAGGACAAGGTACAGCTCAGGCTGTGGCTTCAGAGGGTGGAAGCCCCAAGCCTTGGCAGCTTCCATGTGGTGTTGAGCTTGTGGGTGCACAGAAGTTAGGAATTGAGGTTTGGAAACCTCTGCCTAGTTTCAGAAGAAGTATGGAAGCACCTGGATGTCCAGGCAGAAGTTTGCCGTAGGGGTAGGGTCCTCATGGAGAACCTCTGCTAGGGCTGTGTGAAAGAGCAATGTGGGGTGGGGTCCCCCAGACAGAGTCCCTACTTGGGCACTGCCTAGTGGAGCTGTGAGAAGAAGCCCACCATCCCGCAGACTCCAGAGTGGTAGGTCCACCAATAGCTTGCACCGTGCACCTGGAAAAGTGGCAGACACTCAATGCCAGCCCATGAAAGCAACCAGGAGGGAGGCTGTACCCTACAAAGCCACAGAATGGAGCTGCCCAAGACCATGGGAACACACCTCTTGCATCTGTATGACCTGGATGTGAGAAATGGAGTCAAAGAAGATCATTTTGGAGCTTTAAGATTTGACTGCCCCCCTGGATTTCAAACTTGGATGGGGTCTGTAGCTCCTTCGTTTTGGCCAGTTTCTTCCATTTGGAACAGCTGTATTTGACCAATGACAGTACCCTCATTATATCTAGGAAGCAACTTACTTGGTTTTGATTTTACAGGCTCATAGGTGGAAGAGAGTTTCCTGGTTTCAGATGAGACTTTGGACTGGGACTTTTGGGTTAATGCTGTAATGAGTTAAGACTTTGGGGGACAGTTGGGAAGGCAAGATTGTTTTTTGAAATGTGAAAGTGACATGAGATTTGGGAGGGTCTGGGGGCAGAATGATGTGGTTTGGGTGTTTCCCGACCCAAATTTCATCTTGAATTGTAATAATCCACACATGTCAAGAACAGGGCCAGGTGAAGATACTTGAATCATGGGGGTGATTTCCTCCAAACTGTTCTCATGGTAGTGAATAAATCTCAAGAGATCTGATGGTTTTATAAATGGGATTTCCTCTGCACAAACTTTCTTTCCTGTCACCATGTAAGACGTGACTTTGCTCATCATTCATCTTCCACCATGTTTGTAAGGCCTCCCCAACTATATGGAACTGTGAGTCAATTAAACCTCTTTCCTTTATAAATTACCCAGTTTTGGGTATGTGTTTATTAGCAGCATGAGAACAGACTAATACACTCAACCACCTGCTCAAACATATCTGACCCAGTCTGAACTCAAGGTAGGACCCCCAATACACATGAAAAGCTTTGTAGGCCTTGTCACCTTCACATTACCTTACCTTGACTCTGAACCAGGAATTAATTACCATGAAATAAAGGATGATGCAAATGTTGATGTTGGGTCCAATCTGTAGTAGTGACAGGAAGTGCTCCACAAGAACACATAAGTAGGAGTGAAAAGGGGTGCTTCCATAAGAAGATGGTTTCTGACAGGTACAGTGGCTCATGCCTGTAATCCCAGCACTTTGGGAGGTCAAAGCAGGTGGATCCTTTGAGCTCAGTAGTTCAAGATCAGCCTCAGCAACGTGGCAAAACTCCTTCTGTACCAAAGATACAAAAAATTAGCTGGGGGTAGTGTCGAGCACCTGTGGTCCCAGCTACTCAGGAGCCTAAGGTGGGAGGATTGCTTGAGCCTGGGAGGAGGAGATTGCAGAGAGCTGTGATCACACCACTGAACTCCAGCCTGGGTGACAGAGTGAGAGCCCATCTCAGAAAAAAGAAAGATAAAAAAAGATGGGTTTTGACCTGAGTAGGGTTCATACAAATAAAGAGTGATGAGCTGCAAACTTTAACTGGGATTCTAGTGCAATGTGTGTATATGTAAGCTCGGTACAATTTCCTGGGATATATGAATAGAAGAAATGTGATTGCTTTGAGCAATAATTAAAATAATTAGGTTTTAAATTAGAACCATTGACTTGGAAGGCTATTTTCTAATGGTGATTTACTCTAATGCAAACAAAAAAAATCAATACTATTTATGTAGTGCAATCTCATTCAAATTGCTATATTTAGTTAGCATTTACACCTTACCAAGGCTGACAGTAATTGTTTATTTGTCTATAATGGTCAAGTTGCAACAAGACAATCTAAAAAGAAAATTAAAGTCCTTGTTTTATCATTTATTATTTTTCAATTACATTCACTTTTCTTTAGGTAGATTAGGTGCAGGTTCTAGACCTTAGCTTTTTTAAAACAACTTTGAAATTGCTTGATTTATGACTTCAAGTTTTCATCCCCAAACAAAACTATTAAGAAATATGTGGAATCTTTCTTCAAATCCACTTATTCATTTATTAATTTATGGAAGAAGTATTTATTAAACCTATAAAATGTGTAAGGCAATATGCTAACTAAACTGAGGAATTCACAAATTAATAAGTTACTATCTTTGCTCTCAAAGAATTGATAGACAACTAGAAGAGAAGTATCTTTTGCATTTGGACAGGATTAGGAGAAACTTCCCTTGCCTTTTAATTCTAGATAGAATAAAATTACTGCTTTCATGGTGGCACAAGTCAACTGCAATGGGATTAAGTAGGAGGGAGCTACAACAATTTAACAGTGGTGTTGGGAGGACTTCAAATAGGAGATTTTCTCAGGAAAATATTTCAGGTAAGAGTCTTCAAGGAACAAAGCTAGGTTCTTTTTTTTTATCTGATGGTCTTGATCTCTTTTTTTTTTAATTATACTTTAAGTTTTAGGGTACATGTGCACATTGTGCAGGTTAGTTACATATGTATACATGTGCCATGCTGGTGTGCTGCACCCATTAACTCGTTATTTAGCATTAGGTATATCTCCTAATGCTATCCCTCCCTCCTCCCCCCACCCCACAACAGTCCCCAGAGTGTGATGTTCCCCTTCCTGTGTCCATGTGTTCTCATTGTTCAATTCCCATCTATGAGTGAGAACATGTGGTGTTTGGTTTTTTGTCCTTGCGATAGTTTACTGAGAATGATGATTTCCAATTTCATCCATGTCCCTACAAAGGACATGAACTCATCATTTTTTATGGCTGCATAGTATTCCATGGTGTATATGTGCCACATTTTCTTAATCCAGTCTATGATTGTTGGACATTTGGGTTGGTTCCAAGTCTTTGCTATTGTGAATAGTGCCGCAATAAACATACGTGTGCATGTGTCTTTATAGCAGCATGATTTATAGTCCTTTGGGTATATACCCAGTAATGGGATGGCTGGGTCAAATGGTAATTCTAGTTCTAGATCCCTGAGGAATCGCCACACTGACTTCCACAATGGTTGAACTAGTTTACAGTCCCACCAACAGTGTAAAAGTGTTCCTATTTCTCCACATCCTCTCCAGCACCTGTTGTTTCCTGACTTTTTAATGATTGCCATTCTAACTGGTGTGAGGTGGTATCTCATAGTGGTTTTGATTTGCATTTCTCTGATGGCCAGTGATGATGAGCATTTTTTCATGTGCTTTTTGGCTGCATAAATGTCTTCTTTTGAGAAGTGTCTGCTCATATCCTTTGCCCACTTTTTGATGGGGTTGTTTGTTTTTTTCTTGTAAATTTGTTTGAGTTCATTGTAGATTCTGGATATTAGCCCTTTGTCAGATGAGTAGCTTGCAAAAATTTTCTCCCATTTTCAATAAAGCAAGGTTTGAATCATGATCTGGGAGCCTGGAAATCCAGCACATATTCAGAGAATAGCAGGTATTTTGATGCTGATGATGAATGTAGTCTTTTGAAAGAACTAGGGCTAACAATGCAGCTTTTCTAGATTGTGCAAAACTCTAGCCGACAGACTTTAAGGAGTTTGTCCCTTGCCTTTACCCAGTGGGAAGACTGAGGAGATTAGAGCAGAGGAATAACATGACCAGAACTTGGCTTCTGCATTTCCCCCTTCCCCTTTTTTGGGGGGATGTTTTTCCCATCAAATCCATCCAAAAGACCTATGTTACAGGTCTTATTAGAACTCCTACTTTGCAGATGAACAAACGGTGGCACAGAGGGACAGGGTAGTGAAACTAAGGCTTTTCCCTAATAACAAATGCTTTGGAGAGAATATGCCACTATCTCTTTAGCACATGCATCTAAGTCTCTGCTTTGGTTGTCTCAAACCTGTTAGGGCAGGGAAAAGAAAAGAAGAGAAACAAATATTGGCAGATCTTTTTCATGTAAAGAACATTTCACATGTGTATATATATTCTTATCTGATACTCATGTAACATTAGTATGAATGGACTTTCCTTGGTTGTGGGGCCAAGAGGCTCCCAGTCTTGTATTGATGAGGGGAAGGAGTGAAGAGGGGAAAACAGGGAGGCAAAAACAATTAAAGTCTCGTTTGAGATGAACCTTGTGCTAAGACCTTTGGCACATATTTAAAACTTTGCAATTTTCACAGTCCTAGGATGTTGATGTAATGATTGCCGTTTTATAGATGAATAAATCAAGGCTGAAGATTGTTACATAACTTAACATACACAGAATTCACAATTATTGGACACTTACCAAATGTCAGGCATTATTCTAAGCATTTTTTGGGTCTAAACTACTCAATTCTCACAGGAAAATTAATGGTACAGAAAAGGCTAAGAAACTTGCCCAATGTGAAATAAGCGGTAAACGTATGAGTTGGTAACTAAACATAAAAAATCGGACTCTACAGTACACTTGTTTAATCATTATACTATATTTGGCATTGATTTAACAGTTGCCATAGAATTGATGCGTCATAGAATATCCTAAATCCAAAGATCATGAACTTTCCACTAATCCATGAGGTTCAAAATGTTTTTAAGCAATCAATTCAATTCAAAAAACGTATTGACTGCCTGGTGTATGCTGGACTTTCTGATAGGTGTTGGAGATTCACCAACAGACACACCTCCACCCCCCACCCCACCCCCACACATACTCACATACACTGCTCAATGTGAGCCATCACTGAGCTGGTGAAAAAAGGTCTGTTAAGGTTTATAGTGCCCATTAATATATCTAGTAATTTATCTCAGTAGAGGAGTTGGAAGGGGAGGCAGGAAATACAGGTACACTTGAAGTGCAAGTACACTTCTTCCACTCATCAACCCAAACCTGGGAGCCTCTAGGCCTTACAACCAAGGAAAGTCCATTCATATTAATATTATATGAATATCAGATAAGAATATATATACACATGTGAAGTGTTCTTTGCATGAAAAAGGCCTGCCAAAATTTATTTCTCTTCTTTTCTTTTCCCTGCCCCAAGAGGTTTGAAACAACCAAAGCAGAGAGTTAGATGCATGTGCTGAAGAGATAGTGACATATTCTTTCCAAAGCATTTGTTATTAGGGAAAAGCCTTAGTTTCACTACCCTGTCCCTCTCTGCCACAGTTTGTTCATCTGCAAAGTGAGAGTTCTAATAAGACCTATAACATAGGTCTTTTGGATACATTTGATTGGAAAAACATCAGAAAAAAAAAGATGTAAAAGGGGAATGAGGAATGGAGAAGCCAAGTTCTGGTCACATTATTTCTCTGCTCCAATCTCCTCAGTCTCCACACTGGAAGAGGGCAGGGGACAAACTCCTTATGGCCTCTCTGCTAGAGTCTTGAACAATCTAGAAAGGCTGCATTGTTAGCCCTACTTCTTTCAAAATACTTGATGTAATTTTTATTGAAAAAAATCTGCGTATAAATGAATTCACATTGTTCAAACCTGTGTTTCCCAGGGTCAAATGTATTTAAATATTAATTTTATCTATTTGAAATATCTATTTACTAGCATCTGCCACTATTAATACCAAGCATATTATTTACCTACTGCTTCATAAAAAGCCATTCCAAAACTTAGTGGTTTGTGTACTAAAACAAAGACTATTTTTATTTGCTCTCAAGCTCATGGGTCTGCACTCTTACAGGTAATTATTTTGTTGGTCTCACCTGAGAGAGAAATAGCAAACACTGGAAGGTTTAAGATGGCCTTAACTATGTGGCAATTGATGCTGACTGTCAGTTGGGCCAGAAATCAGGAAGAGTGAGATATGGAGAAGAGAGTGAGCATGATATAAAACTGTCTACTGTCTCTGCATCTGTCACGTATCTGACCACAAAGAGTTTCACTTAATGTTATTCCAAACCTCATACAGGTTCCTCTTTTGGCCAATTCTAGTCTAGCACCGCATAGGGAAGATGATTTAAAGAAACATAGCTTCCACCTTGGTTGATGGACCAAAATGTAGCACGGTCTATCCTTGTGAACTTTGCATTCATACTCTATTGTATGTTTTTAATATTTAACTTGGAAATTAAGTAATACTAAAATCATCTTTCAACTCTACATAATGCAGTTATTTCAATAGAATGCACAAGATCTCATACTTCATTTTATCCTTTTGTTGGTGCCCGTCTTTCTAGTTCAATCACAGTCTCCCTTTGCTAGCTGATAACTTAAATATTGAGAAATAAAGTTAGCAACTCTCAAAACATTTTCTATCAAATAGGGTAGTAGGGTAGGGAAAATACTTACTACATGTGCAAATAAATATATTTATATGGAAGCAAAGATGAAACTGCACAGTCCTCAGACCTGCAAATGATCAAATGGTTGCAGCTGGCATTTATAGTTTCTTCCACTACCCTATTTTATATTACTTTTGCCCTCAGTAAGTACCTCAAGTGAGCATGGTTTTTGTCTATATGTTCAAACCTTTATTCCTCAGGGTCTTATACTATTTGCTATTCTGTCTATATTGGATTATTTTCGTTTTCTATTAACTTTTGTCACAGGACATGGGTGTACTAGAGAGAAGTTTCTGTATTCTAGGCCCACTCCTTCTTACCCTTGGGTTGCTGTTAGATAACATTCTTTTTTTTTTTATTATTATACTTTAAGTTTTAGGGTACATGTGCACATTGTGCAGGTTAGTTACATATGTATACATGTGCCATGCTGGTGGGCTGCACCCACTAACTCGTCATCTAGCATTAGGTATATCTCCCAATGCTATCCCTCCCCCCTCCCCCCACCCCACCACAGTCCCCAGAGTGTGATATTCCCCTTCCTGTGTCCATGTGATCTCATTGTTCAGTTCCCACCTATGAGTGAGAATATGCAGTGTTTGGTTTTTTGATCTTGTGATAGTTTACTGAGAATGATGATTTCCAATTTCATCCATGTCCCTACAAAGGACATGAACTCATCATTTTTTATGGCTGCATAGTATTCCATGGTGTATATGTGCCACATTTTCTTAATCCAGTCTATCATTGTTGGACATTTGGGTTGGTTCCAAGTCTTTGCTATTGTGAATAATGCCGCAATGAACATACATGTACATGTGTCCTTATAGCAGCATGATTTATAGTCCTTTGGGTATATACCCAGTAATGGGGTGGCTGGGTCAAATGGTAATTCTAGTTCTAGATCCCTGAGGAATCGCCACACTGACTTCCACAATGGTTGAACTAGTTTACAGTCCCACCAACAGTGTAAAAGTGTTCCTATTTCTCCACATCCTCTCCAGCACCTGTTGTTTCCTGACTTTTTAATGATTGCCATTCTAACTGGTGTGAGATGGTATCTCATAGTGGTTTTGATTTGCATTTCTCTGATGGCCAGTGATGATGAGCATTTTTTCATGTGTTTTTTGGCTGCATAAATGTCTTCTTTTGAGAAGTGTCTGTTCATGTCCTTTGCCCACTTTTTGATGGGGTTGTTTGTTTTTTTCTTGTAAATTTGTTTGAGTTCACTGTAGATTCTGGATATTAGCCCTTTGTCAGATGAGTATGTTGCGAAAATGTTCTCCCATTTTGTAGGTTGCCTGTTCATTCTGATGGTAGTTTCTTTTGCTGTGCAGAAGCTCTTTAGTTTAATTAGATCCCATTTGTCAATTTTGTCTTTTGTTGCCATTGCTTTTGGTGTTTTGGACATGAAGTCCTTGCCCATGCCTATGTCCTGAATGATAATGCCTAGGTTTTCTTCTAGGGTTTTTATGGTTTTAGGTCTAACGTTTAAATCTTTAATCCATCTTGAATTGATTTTTGTATAAGGTGTAAGGAAGGGATCCAGTTTCAGCTTTCTCAATATGGCTAGCCAGTTTTCCCAGCACCATTTATTAAATAGGGAATCCTTTCCCCATTGCTTGTTTTTCTCAGGTTTGTCAAAGATCAGATAGTTGTAGGTATGCGGCGTTATTTCTGAGGGCTCTGTTCTGTTCCATTGATCTATATCTCTGTTTTGGTACCAGTACCATGCTGTTTTGGTTACTGTAGTCTTGTAGTATAGTTTGAAGTCAGGTAGTGTGATTCCTCCAGCTTTGTTCTTTTGGCTTAGGATTGACTTGGTGATGCGGGCTCTTTTTTGGTTCCATATGAACTTTAAAGTAGTTTTTTCCAATTCTGTGAAGAAAGTCATTGGTAGCTTGATGGGGATGGCATTGAATCTGTAAATTACCTTGGGCAGTATGGCCATTTTCACGATATTGAATCTTCCTACCCATGAGCATGGAATGTTCTTCCATTTGTTTGTATCCTCTTTTATTTCCTTGAGCAGTGGTTTGTAGTTCTCCTTGAAGAGGTGCTTCACATCCCTTGTAAGTTGGATTCCTAGGTATTTTATTCTCTTTGAAGCAATTGTGAATGGGAGTTCACTCATGATTTGGCTCTCTGTTTGTCTGTTGTTGGTGTATAAGAATGCTTGTGATTTTTGTACATTGATTTTGTATCCTGAGACTTTGCTGAAGTTGCTTATCAGCTTAAGGAGATTTTGGGCTGAGACGATGGGGTTTTCTAGATATACAATCATGTCGTCTGCAAACAGGGACAATTTGAGTTCCTCTTTTCCTAATTGAATACCCTTTATTTCCTTCTCCTGTCTAATTGCCCTGGCCAGAACTTCCAACACTATGTTGAATAGGAGTGGTGAGAGAGTGCATCCCTGTCTTGTGCCAGTTTTCAAAGGGAATGCTTCCAGTTTTTGCCCATTCAGTATGATATTGGCTGTGGGTTTGTCATAGATAGCTCTTATTATTTTGAAATACGTCCCATCAATACCTAATTTATTGAGAGTTTTTAGCATGAAGGGTTGTTGAATTTTGTCAAAGGCTTTTTCTGCATCTATTGAGATAATCGCGTGGCTTTTGTCTTTGGCTCTGTTTATATGCTGGATTACATTTATTGATTTGCGTATATTGAACCAGCCTTGCATCCCAGGGATGAAGCCCACTTGATCATGGTGGATAAGCTTTTTGATGTGCTGCTGGATTCGGTTTGCCAGTATTTTATTGAGGATTTTTGCATCAATGTTCATCAAGGATATTGGTCTAAAATTCTCTTTTTTGGTTGTGTCTCTGCCCGGCTTTGGTATCAGAATGATGCTGGCCTCATAAAATGAGTTAGGGAGGATTCCCTCTTTTTCTGTTGATTGGAATAGTTTCAGAAGGAATGGTACCAGTTCCTCCTTGTACCTCTGGTAGAATTCGGCTGTGAATCCATCTGGTCCTGGACTCTTTTTGGTTGGTAAACTATTGATTATTGCCACAATTTCAGATCCTGTTATTGGTCTATTCAGAGATTCAACTTCTTCCTGGTTTAGTCTTGGGAGAGTGTATGTGTCCAGGAATTTTTCCATTTCTTCTAGATTTTCTAGTTTATTTGCGTAGAGGTGTTTGTAGTATTCTCTGATGGTAGTTTGTATTTCTGTGGGATTGGTGGTGATATCCCCTTTATCATTTTTTATTGTGTCTATTTGATTCTTTTCCCTTTTTTTCTTTATTAGTCTTGCTAGCGGTCTATCAATTTTGTTGATCCTTTCAAAAAACCAGCTCCTGGATTCATTAATTTTTTGAAGGGTTTTTTGTGTCTCTATTTCCTTCAGTTCTGCTCTGATTTTAGTTATTTCTTGCCTTCTGCTAGCTTTTGAATGTGTTTGCTCTTGCTTTTCTAGTTCTTTTAATTGTGATGTTAGGGTGTCAATTTTGGATCTTTCCTGCTTTCTCTTGTGGGCATTTCGTGCTATAAATTTCCCTCTACACACTGCATTGAATGCGTCCCAGAGATTCTGGTATGTTGTGTCTTTGTTCTCGTTGGTTTCAAAGAACATCTTTATTTCTGCCTTCATTTCGTTATGTACCCAGTAGTCATTCAGGAGCAGGTTGTTCAGTTTCCATGTAGTGGAGCGGCTTTGAGTGGGATTCTTAATCCTGAGTTCTAGTTTGATTGCACTGTGGTCTGAGAGATAGTTTGTTATAATTTCTGTTCTTTTACATTTGCTGAGGAGAGCTTTACTTCCAACTATGTGGTCAATTTTGGAATAGGTGTGGTGTGGTGCTGAAAAAAATGTATATTCTGTTGATTTGGGGTGGAGAGTTCTGTAGATGTCTATTAGGTCTGCTTGGTGCAGAGCTGAGTTCAATTCCTGGGTATCCTTGTTGACTTTCTGTCTTGTTGATCTGTCTAATGTTGACAGTGGGGTGTTAAAGTCTCCCATTATTAATGTGTGGGAGTCTAAGTCTCTTTGTAGGTCACTCAGGACTTGCTTTATGAATCTGGGTGCTCCCGTATTGGGTGCATATATATTTAGGATAGTTAGCTCTTCTTGTTGAATTGATCCCTTTACCATTATGTAATGGCCTTCTTTGTCTCTTTTGATCTTTGTTGGTTTAAAGTCTGTTTTATCAGAGACTAGGATTGCAACCCCTGCCTTTTTTTGTTTTCCATTTGCTTGGTAGATCTTCCTCCATCCTTTTATTTTGAGCCTATGTGTGTCTCTGCACGTGAGATGGGTTTCCTGAATACAGCACACTGATGGATCTTGACTCTTTATCCAATTTGCCAGTCTGTGTCTTTTAATTGGAGAATTTAGTCCGTTTATATTTAAAGTTAATATTGTTATGTGTGAATTTGATCCTGTCATTATGATGTTAGCTGGTGATTTTGCTTGTTAGTTGATGCAGTTTCTTCCTAGTCTCGATGGTCTTTACATTTTGGCATGATTTTGCAGCGGGTGGTACCGGTTGTTCCTTTCCATGTTTAGCTCTTCCTTCAGGAGCTCTTTTAGGGCAGGCCTGGTGGTGACAAAATCGGTCAGCATTTGCTTGTCTGTAAGTATTTTATTTCTCCTTCACTTATGAAGCTTAGTTTGGCTGGATATGAAATTCTGGGTTGAAAATTCTTTTCTTTAAGAATGTTGAATATTGGCCCCCACTCTCTTCTGGCTTGTAGAGTTTCTGCCGAGAGATCCGCTGTTAGTCTGATGGGCTTCCCTTTGAGGGTAACCCGACCTTTCTCTCTGGCTGCCCTTAACATTTTTTCCTTCATTTCAACTTTGGTGAATCTGACAATTATGTGTCTTGGAGTTGCTCTTCTCGAGGAGTATCTTTGTGGCGTTCTCTGTATTTCCTGAATCTGAACGTTGGCCTGCCTTGCTAGATTGGAGAAGTTCTCCTGGATAATATCCTGCAGAGTGTTTTCCAACTTGGTTCCATTCTCCCCGTCACTTTCAGGTACACCAATCAGACGTAGATTTGGTCTTTTCACATAGTCCCGTATTTCTTGGAGGCTTTGCTCATTTCTGTTTATTCTTTTTTCTCTAAACTTCCCTTCTTGCTTCATTTCATTCATTTCATCTTCCATCGCTGATACCCTTTCTTCCAGTTGATCGCATCGGCTCCTGAGGCTTCTGCTTTCTTCACGTAGTTCTCGAGTCTTGGTTTTAAGCTCCATCAGCTCCTTTAAGCACTTCTCTGTATTGGTTATTCTAGTTATACATTCTTCTAAATTTTTTTCAAAGTTTTCAACTTCTTTGCCTTTGGTTTGAATGTCCTCCTGTAGCTCAGAGTAATTTGATCGTCTGAAGCCTTCTTCTCTCAGCTCGTCAAAGTCATTCTCCATCCAGCTTTGTTCTGTTGCTGGTGAGGAACTGCGTTCCTTTGGAGGAGGAGAGACGCTCTGCGTTTTAGAGTTTCCAGTTTTTCTGTTCTGTTTTTTTCCCCATCTTTGTGGTTTTATCTACTTTTGGTCTTTGATGATGGTGATGTACAGATGGGTTTTCGGTGTGGATGTCCTTTCTGTTTGTTAGTTTTCCTTCTAACAGACAGGACCCTCAGCTGCAGGTCTGTTGGAATACCCTGCTGTGTGAGGTGTCAGTGTGCCCCTGCTGGGGGGTGCCTCCCAGTTAGGCTGCTCGGGGGTCGGGGGTCAGGGACCCACTTGAGCAGGCAGTCTGCCTGTTCTCAGATCTCCAACTGCGTGCTGGGAGAACCACTGCTCTCTTCAAAGCTGTCAGACAGGGACATTTAAGTCTGCAGAGGTTACTGCTGTCTTTTTGTTTGTCTGTGCCCTGCCCCCAGAGGTGGAGCCTACAGAGGCAGGCAGGCCTCCTTGATCTGTTGTGGGCTCCACCCAGTTGGAGCTTTGGGGCTGCTTTGTTTACCTAAGCAAGCCTGGGCAATGGTGGGCGCCCCTCCCCCAGCCTGGCTGCCGCCTTGCAGTTTGATCTCAGACTGCTGTGCTAGCAATCAGCAAGATTCCGTGGGCGTAGGACCCTCCGAGCCAGGTGTGGGATATAGTCTCGTGGTGCGCCATTTTTTAAGCCGGTCTGAAAAGCGCAATATTCGGGTGGGAGTGACCCGATTTTCCAGGTGTGTCCGTCACCCCTTTCTTTGACTCGGAAAGGGAACTCCCTGACCCCTTGCACTTCCCAGGCGAGGCAATGCCTCGCCCTGCTTCGGCTCGCGCATGGTGTGCGCACCCACTGGCCTGCGCCCACTGTCTGGCACTCCCTAGTGAGATGCACCCGGTACCTCAGATGGAAGTGCAGAAATCACCCATCTTCTGCGTCGTTCACGCTGGGAGCTGTAGACCGGAGCTGTTCCTATTCGGCCATCTTGGCTCCTCCACCAGATAACATTCTTTGATAGAATCTGTCACCCTCATCTGTTCAGCAGTCCCGTTTTTTTTGCCTATAGTTTCAGCGGTATGAGGAATTCAAAGTGGTCAGGTTCTGGGCTCAGCTTCCTGTTTAGTGGTATTATATTTGTGATCTCTTGTGGAGACATTGTCCCTTGAGAACTGAGATGTCTAAACCAGCTGAGCTCAAAGTGGTGGTACAGGAAGACACAATTTTTACTGGTTCATTATGAGTTAAAGTGGGATAAGCCACTTTCATTTTCACTCATTGAAAACCTTAGAGCCAAGAGCTGAAAAGAACAGTAGACTAGGGAATCATTCTTGGATTGCAAAATTCAGCCCAAATCAAGGAAAATTTCCTAGTTTGAAAACAGAGAACCTGACCTGTGCTCAGCTGGATTTCAGAATTGCTATGGACCAGTGAATGCTACACACCTCATGTTCCTCTCCTTTTAAATATGTCTATTTTAATTATTTTGTCCCTATCTCACTATTGCATGCGGGGTGTTTGGGGAACGGATAACTTATCTTTTTAGTTTGTAGTTCTTTGGTTCAAGAAGACCCTCATGCAGAGAACTGTACTAAAATAATCTCAATTATATCCAGACTTGATACAGATTATGAACCATGGATTTCAAGTCCGATGGCATGACTGATAAGATTTGGTGGGTCTGGAGAAAAGATAAGTGTAGTTTGTACATCAATGAGTGTGAATTACTGGGGCAAAAGGGTAGATTCTGGCTTTCTCTGTACATCTGTCTGCTTCAAGAGGCTGAGCTCCACAGATTGCAGCACAAGGGCTCCTTAGTCCTCTGGCTTTCTTTAGGTTTAACCAAAGGGCAATGCCAGTAGGAGATTAGTGGGTGGGAAGAGAGCAACTCTGAGGTTTTTTTTTTTTTCCTCCCTTACTGCTTCAGAGTGGTTTTGCAGAGGTTGTGTGGCTACCTTTGGTGGACCTCCTGTTTTACAACCCCCACACTTCAACCCTTTCTCTTTCAAGACTGAGGACCACTATTAGGTTGGTGCAAAATTTATTGTGTTTTTTTGTCAGTAAAAGTAATAGCAAAAACCGCAATTGCTTTTGCCCGATCTCTGGACTGCTATTAGTCTTTGGATGCCTCAACATTTCTTTCGGGTTCCTTTAACTTGACTGACACTTCTGTAAATAGTTATAGTTTTACACAATCTCTTCTAAAATCCCAACTGAAGTTTCAGTTTTCTGCTAGGACCTTGACTGATATATTTAAAATGCTGCTTTTTTGTCATTAACCAGGTATGCAACCAAGGACAAATCACATAACTGTTCTGAATTTAATATCTTCACCTATAAATATAATTGTAGGAAATTATCACATTTAGTGAGTATATATCATGCTAGGCGCTTCTTGTACATTAACCCATTTAATCTTTGTATTAATTTGTGTAAATATATCTTTTCCATCATTGTCTCCCCAACCTATACAGGACCCGGAACATGATAGATGCTCAGTAAGTGTCTCTTGAGGGAATGATGCAGGCATAAGTTGGTATTATTACTACCTTAGTTATAAAGAAATTGATGTGATGGCTGGGAGCAGTGGCTCATGCCTGTAATCCCAGCACTTTGGGAGACCGAGGTGGGAGGATTGCCTGAACCCAGGAGTTTGAGACCAGCCTGGGCAACATGGAAAGACCCCATTTCTGTTCTTTAAAAGAAAAGAAATTGATACTGGGATGTGTCATGACACTAGATAAAGATTACAGAGTAAATAAATGGCACTGTTGGAGTTGGAAGCTGCGCTGTCTAATTTTAAAACCTTTGCTCTTCTTAGTAAATGATCTTACTTCTCCACCCAGCCAACTCTTATAGAACCATTGTGAGAGTTAAAGGAAATGAAAATGTGAAAGCATGCTATGAATTCTGAAACCTACTTAAATATACTGCATCATCATTATTTTATGAATGTAATTTAGAACCTCTTTCCCACTCTCCTGCCCTAGAGTACCATACAGTCATTGAATACAAACTCATGCTCATATGTTAGCCAAACATAAATATGTAGGTTGCTTGCTAGGAAAAAAAAGTTATTTGAGGGTTTTCTGTCATTTTATGTTATTCTTTCAGCTATATTCTTCTAATAACATAACTAATTAGAAAATAACGTTTCAAGTTTCAAAACTTGAAATTAAAAAGAAAAATTTATTTTAAGGAAAGCATTTGGGCTTTGGATCTGGATTTGTCAGAGAAACATTCTGAAAGTATAAGTTTAGAAAGAGCTTGAACTTGGTTCTCTGATTCCCAAGTAACAAGTAAATAGAAGTCATGAGAGTCACAAGAAATTTTTCCTGGGAACTTGGGTATAGATTGAGGTTCTGAACCTGGGACACATTATTGACTGTTTCCATGATGAAACTTAGGTCTCCTGGGGAGTCTGCAAGATTGGCTAGACCCAAAAAGAAATGGACTCTTTGATGAAGAAATGATTGAAAGACCTTTATAGAAATTATATACAACATGGTATTCAAACCACTTTTCTCCTCTATGTTGCTTATATGTCACTTTAGAAAGTTCAAAGTATATAACACAAAGATAGTGGTAAGATAGATTTATCCTTTAGGGAAATGTCCTTGGACATGGAATTCCTTTCTTTTGCTTGTTGGGATCCACATTTTCTGACCTCTGGTTCTATAATTTTGAAGACCTAGGATTCTATTTACTAGTTTTATAGTAGTTGAAACAAAACAAACTCGCAGAGAAGAAGGTGTGACTCCAAATAATAAAACTGGTTTTAGCAAACACAGCCTCTAAATCAGTGTGGTACTTACAATTCATTGTTTTGAGAAACTGAGGCCTTATGTCAGTGATGGCAACATTGAGAAACTGCATTCGTTCTGTACATACATGACGTAATAACCAAACTAATCCTGAAGTGTTTGGAATCTTTCCCTACAGTGGTAAAATGAAGGATTTTAGAAACTCAGCCTCAGTAACATTTCATGTATTCTTTCATTTAGAGACCCAACAGATACTAGGTTGGTGCAAAAGTAATTGTGGTTTTTGCCATTAAAGTTTATTCAGCACTTACTAAGGCATCAGACATTATTTTTGACACTGTGCTTTGAAGTGGTCTTGAGCAACTTGAGCAACTCACAGCTGCTCAAGTAAACAGATGGTACAGAGAGTCTGATGGGACAGACAAGTAAACATCAATAATCGAGGATGGAAAATATGAGCAGAGGGCTAAGTCCAAGGTGCTCTGGAAGGGACAGATCAGCGTTCTGGAGAGCCAAAGAAGTGTAACTAGAAAAGAAATCTCTCAGGCTGAGTTTTGAAGGGCACTCAGAAATAATCCAGGGAGAAAGATTGAAAAATCAAGGGCAGCTTCAGCAAACGAAATGTAATGAGAGGAGATAGTTTACTCATCAAGCAATAGTTCACTATGTCTGGAGCATAAGTCAGGTACTCAAATGCCTGGAGAAGAGGTGATAAATGTAGGTTAAGGGCATCACCATACGAGGGACACGTGTAGTCCAACCTTCCTTAGATTTGGATTCCTCAGACAAGAATTAGAGTCTACAAAGGGATCATTGCCAGTACTGCTTTTCTACTTGCCTGTAACCACGTTTGGGAAAGGTCTTTCACTGTCCCAGGTTTTAATGGGACATTAAATGGGAATATCATGGAAATTCAAGAAAGTGTTGCTTTCCTAACTCTTGTGCTTCTTGAAATCTATTTTTTTTCCACCTGCGTCACCCCTTAGAAAAATGAGTTTGAATAATGAGTATTCATTGTTGAGTAATGAGTGACATCTTACTGACTGATCCTTTGCTCTCCATGTTGAGAGCCACAGTTGCTAAAAGTATTCATTCTTCACCCCAGACTTCACTTTCAGATAATTCCTCTAAAGTACTAAGACTGGTTTAGATGGGATTGGAGGTTGCTTTGCCTCTCTAGGACTTGATGCTTTTAGTGACTGGCTTTGCTATCACCCAGGAACTCTCATGCTGGACTTGAGCTCATTCACCAGACATACTGGTGTTTACGCCTGTTCATTTATTTACACAAAGTTTTAGAAACTGTTGTTAAGTTTTGGGGCACAAAAAGCAAAAAGAATCCCCGAGTACTCAATGTGTTATTTCAGGAAATTGATCTAGACTTCCTTCCATCTGGATCCTAGTTCCTGTGGCATACCTGTTCGTCATTCCTCTTAGCATTAACCCTGGGTCTTTATGACATTTTTATTCCTCTTCTTTCTCCATTTAGCCATTGACTGCTTTCCCTGGTTTTTTTTTTTTTTTTTTTTTTTTTTTTTTTTTTTTTTTTTTTGCCAAGTTGTGAGCCCTGGTCTCACATTGTTTTATTCTTGCCCTCATGGTCTGTCTTATATTCTGCCCCTGTCTGCCAATTCTGATGCTCTAGCTTGCCACATGTGGTCTGGTCTCACCACGTGATGTGTTAAGTAAGCACCTACCCCAGGCCTTCTATGTGGAGCGTGTCTACAAGTCTGGATTTGTGTTGCTCACCTAGACTCCTACATGTCTTGCTTCTTACTGACTTGACTCATCTCTCCCTGGACTTCTTAGCCTGGATCTGAGATCTCCGCTTCTTAGAATCTGAATACTCGAGGCTCCTTTCCTCTGGTATCATCTGGAATTTTGAATAATGACACTGTCTTCTCTAGCTCCAGTACTGAGGGAGTGGCACTAGCCCATTAGGTTTACTTAGCCACCCCTTAACCCTGGTTCCCCTCCTCATGCACAGTATTGCTTTTACAAAACAGGAATTGGACTTGTCTGATGACATAGTGGCAGCCTTGGCTATTAGTACTAGAAGAGACTACCTTTTCCATATTTACTTATTATTCCACTTTTCCCATTTCTATGGGATGTTAAAATTCATTAATTTGATAATGAAGCCTAAAATCTACTACTGTACAAGAAGAGTCATTGGTGAGGATTCTTTAGACATAGTTTAGGTGGACAAAATGTTGGACTAACTACAATGTTCTATTTTAAATCAGTGGTTTGGGAAAAGGATGATATAGCCTCAATTTGCTCATTGTTCCTCCCAAATGCATAATTCCAATGCTCTGGCTGCTTAAATGAACTGTATGTGCACTGTTGCCCTGAAGTTTATCTGTGTCATACTGACAACAAGATTAAAAAATACAATGTAGGAAATATTCCAAGTTTGCTTCTTCAAGGGCATTTTCTTACAAAAATAATAAAAATTATTGCTATGAATGTTTAATTCACACCATGCCTAATTTCAACCCTATTTTAATGTCTCCTTTTTAGGGTTGCAGGAAGAGTAGCTACCCAAAGCACATGGGTGAAGGGACAGTCCCCTGAAGACCCCTAAGGCCCAAAATACATGATGAAGTTAACAACCATGGATATTAGAGATCCATGGTTTCACATAAATGTGAAGCATTGAAATGTTTTTATGTTCTCTGATTTCAAAAATGTGGGTTTTTAAAAAAAATTTCCTAATAGTATTTTTGTCAAGCCAGTAGTAAATATAAGACAGTCATGAAAACACAGTTGAATAAATTTTCATTTTCTAGGGTTCAAGGTGGTAGAAGGGAAGAAAACAATCTCTGTAAGATATCTTGAAAATGTTTTTCTTAAAAAAATGTTTATGGGAATGTTTTTTATTGATGTCCACATTTGTTGACAGTCTTTCAGTCACCGAATAAGTACCAATGATCCAGAAATGAAAGATACAATCTCTACCCTGTGTGATAGTCCGTGGTAATAGTTACCAAATATTTCCAGTTACCTACCTCCAAGGCACTTCCTGGCTGCTTGTGGTTGGATGGGCCATGTGTTTAGCTTTGGTCAACGAGTTGTCAGCTAAAGTGCATGCTGTCACTTTCAGGCCAGAGAATTTAATTATCAGTACAAAACTCTACTTCCTCTGCCAGGGTGGCTGGTTGTGCTATGGATAGGGGTTATTTCCCTGGTATGTGATTAGAATCTGTGCATATCATAGGATATCACTTCTGTAGTTGGGTTATTCATCAGTCAGCTTTGAGTTAATCAAAAGAGAGGTCATCCTGGGTGGGCCTGACCCAATAATCAAAAGAGAGGTCATCCTGGGTGGGCCTGACCCAATCAGGTGAGCCCTTTAAAAGAAGATGAAGTGTCAAAGAGACACTTTTCTGCTTTCCTAGAAAAAAGCAAACAGCCAACAACATAATGGGACATCAATTACATCGTTAGAAGAAACTGATTTCAGCCCAAAACCTAAATGGGCTTGGAAGAGAACCCTAAGCCTTAGATGAGGTTGCAGCCCTGGCTAGCACCTTGATTTCAGCCTGGCGAATCCCTGAGCAGAGGATGCAGCAAGCCCATGTCCATATGAAACTTTGAGATAGTTCATCTGTCTTAAGTTTGTTGCACAGCTATAGAACTCTAATACCATCATGAGGGGCTTCTCAGGACTGAAATATTTTGACTATTAGGGTGGGTTTTGAAAGAATGAGAATAATTCAGATAAAGAGTGATGGCACAGAGGATATATCAAGATGAAAGAGCAACAGTTGCTAAGATTTGAAAACCTGAGTGAATAGGGGGTGTCTTGGGAACTAAAAGCAATTCAGTTTATATAAGCAGGACTGACAGTAAAAACATTTAGCAACTCATAAAACCTGCACTGTTGCAGTCCAGGTCCTCTGGAAGCAGATTCTGGGGCAGAATTAGCTCTCCCAAAGGTTTGTTAGGTGTTGACTTGTGGCAGGAAGAGGGAGGAAGATTGGGTAGGGGATGATGTTGCACCAAGGTCCAGACCTAACAAAGCTTTGGCCAATCAAAGGCTGTTCCAAGAAATTCCTGCCTCTAGGGGTATTTGCCACTGAGCTGAAATGGCCAGACCCTTAAGCTCCATCCTGCTCATTTATTTGGTATGATTATTCCAAGAGGAGCATGGCCCAGGTCTCTACAGCCAAACCCAATATTGGATAGTGTCTGATGACTGGATTCCTGGCAATGAAATGATAAATTCTTTATTGAAGGAGGATCTGGGCTGACTATCTCTGTCTGCCACAAACTCCAACCAACAAGAACAGGACATGCCTGGTAGGGCCAGGCATCACTAGTTAATGAGTCTTGGGAAATGCTGAAAAGTTTTAGGGAAATAAACAGTTAAGTGGTGGGAGGTTACTCTAGGAACACACGCTGTGACTATTTAGCAACCAGTGAAAAGCATTTCAGTTGGAATGGCTGAGTCAGTAGACAAGGTCTGAGGAGTGAACAAGGATCAGATAAAGAAGGGTTCATTTTGTTATCTGAAGCTTCACATTTCATATCCTATTGACAAGGATTCAGAACCACTATTGAATGCACTTTCCACCATAAATCAAATTGTTGCTGAGCAAAGATTGTAGCCTGACCTCAGCATGGTGGACATCCTCTGAATGAACAAACTCAAACCCAAGACACTGAGGAGAGGGAACATGGTCAGCAAGAACCATTCAATCTGAAAGCAGTAAAAAAGACTTCCATATGACATGATTTTGAGCTTCTGGTTAATTTAATTGTTTGCACAAGTACTTTTTCATCTGTCACTGCATTCTCCTTTAAACTTATGCCTGCCAATCCCATGATATCACCAGACTGTGGCTGGAAGGGTGTCTCAGGTCTACAACATCAAAGCCTCTCTGTTCCTTTCATGCCCTCATTTACAAAGCTCATCCCAAGATGGATCCATTTTTTGTGATGCGATTTGTCATTAATAGATTCATATTACTCATTGCTCTAGGGTCCAGTGTCTGAGAGCTACTGAAGTACCCTTAAGCTGCCCTGGTTGCTGAATCAGAACTTGCTCATCAGTCACTGTTGGTGCCACTTAGCCGGCTGCTTGCTTGCCAGGAAGTGACTGAGGCCTTCATCTCCTCTCCTCCCAGGTGGAATGGGGACCCTCCGCAGTTCTGGGAAATCTTGCATCTTTTATGGAGTCAGATGGAAGACAAAAGAGAAGGTGACAGTGGGGAAGGTGGACAGGAGCACAGAGATGCCATTAATGGTTCTTCTGGCTCCTAGTGTGAGAAGAATAAGCTGAACGTGTTATGTAGGATCTAAGAGATCACTTGGCCCCAAATTCCCATTTTGTAGATGAGGATGAGAGATGCAAAAAGGTTCATGCTTCTTCTAGATCCTCATTAGGGACTGAATTATGCCCTTCCTCAAATTCATATGTTGAAGCCTTAACCCCCAGTGTGACTGACTGCATTTTGACAGAGGGCTTATAAAGAGTTAATAAAGGTTAAGTGAGATAATAAGGGTGAGATCTTTATCTGATCAGAGTGATGTCCTTTTAAAGGAGGAAGAGACATCAGAGTGCTTTCTCTCTCTCTCTCTCTCTCTTTCTCTCTCTCTCTTTCTCTTTCTCTCTCTCTCTTTCTCTTTGTATCTCTCAGCACACAAAGAAAAGGCCATGTGAAGACACAGAGAGAAGGCAGCTGTTTGCAAGCCAGCAAGAGAGGCCTCACCAGAAACCAAACCTGATGGCACTTTGATCTTGAATTTTCAGCCTGGAGAATTATGAGAAAATACATTTCTATTGTTTAAGCCAATCAGCCTGTGGTATTTTGCTCTAGCAGGCCAAGCTGATTAGTATAATCACCCAGCACCCTTGTGACCTTTGCTCAAGTAGTTCTGCTCACTTAGCAATCTGAGGGGTAGTGAGCTGTGGAAGATGCTGGCTGTTTACAGAATGCAAAGGAGAAAGAATGAAAAACCAAAGGGCAAGCATAGAGAGAAAAATAAGAAAAGATAGAGAAAGAGGAGGATGTCGAACAACAGAGGGACAGAAAAGCAGAAAGAAAGTGGGAGAAATTAACCTCTAATTTAGGTCTGCAAGAAGTTTTTAAACCATCAATACATTTTCTTTATCTCCTGACTATGAAGTCTGTAAAGAGGAATACAAATAAATGTTTTTATTGAATCAGGATTTCAGAGTGGAAAAGACACTAAGGGAAAAGAAACTTAAGGCTCAAATTGGATCAAGAAGTTGGCCAGGTTCATACAATAAGTTCAGCATGCCAGCCTTATTGTGCATGATGATGGGCTTGTCACAGGTCTAGCTCTCAGGACATACTCTACCCTACCTGTCCTCTGCCCCACCTCATGCCATGTGTGGCCAGGCAGTGAAGAGCACAGACTTGGAAATGAGAGGCACCTGGAGCAGATCTCAGTCTTATATTTTTCCAGCTACATGTTTTCTGATAAATGCCTCCAGTCCTCTGATTTTGGACTGCTTTTGTCTCTAGATTCAGCACTCTCAGTTCTAGAGATGTGCTGGTATTTAAATGTGCAAGTTCAAATTTAATGAAAATGTAAGGAGAGTTACTGAGACTTTATTAAAAACACAAGATGAAAAGTACTTATGTTTCCATAGCAATTAGATTTGAACCTCCCCCATCTTCCTTGCAATCATATCCAAACAATGGATGTAAAATCCTACATGGTAATGTCATTTTTCCGTGATTGGGATTTTATACACAGCTTTTTTTAAAATAAAAACCTGGAGATGGTATGCAACCAAAACCAGTGCCATTAATCAGTGACAATTAGAATTAGCTGGTCTCAGCTCTGGCCCATGGTGTGCCTAATCTTGTGATCTATGCCCAGGGATGAGGGCTTTATTTTAGAGCGATGTTCCTGTGGAAGATCCGACAAGGGGCATGAAATGCTCAGATCTAACCTTTCCTGCAAAGACCCTGGTGCAGGGTGGAGCACAGGTTTCAGAAGAATAGGGGTTGGGATGGGGGCTGATTGGAGGTTTCTCTGCAGATCGAGGTTTCTCTGATTTCATAATCAGGCATTGTCTGGAGGCTCTGCTCCTCCTACTTCTCCAGAATAGAATGGGGCTTTCCCAGAGATGTGCAGCCCTGAACACATATCCAGGACTTCCCTGCAATTCTCCTCTCATTTATACTTTGATAAATGCTGCTTCCTGCAGTTTTGCTGCTATACAGCCGTGGGTACCCTGGTCAGCGTCTCTCAGAGGTGGAGAGGCCACTCTTGTGAAGGTCATTCTAATTTAAAAAAGTGAAGAAATATGACAACAGACTTATAGAAATCATATTTCATTTTAAATGTGTATGTTGAAACGCTTAAGCCTTTCTTTTTCAATTAAACTTTTTGCAGGTGCAAAAATACAAAGGAAGACAATAACTTACTAAATTACTAAAATAGGGTATGACAGGGAGTATAATACACAAGGTAAAACGAAATGATGAATGCTTCCTTCAGCCCCAGACCCTCACTGTAACTTTGTGAGCCACCTGAATAACCTCCTCTTGAGTGGACAAAGGCCTTGGCAAAGTTGAATCCTAGGCTTAGACTGAGGGATGCTTCTTGCCTCCCACACCCTCCTCTTCCACTCCTCTCACCCCCATTGTGAGTGATGGGCATTGATCCTGGTGTCCGGAAGGGACTGGCTCCAACCAGCTAACTTGCTTCCAATTGAGGCTTGGCCTACAGGGCAGCAGGTAGAGTGAGAAATTAGCTTACAAGATGAGTTTATACTTTAAAAGTGTCCTATCTGCTAAATGTCAACCTAATGATGAATGAGAGTAGCCCAGTACTTACAACCTGGCTGACTCTGGGCAGGACATTTTCTCCCTTTGCTGCCCATAACAATTCTCTAATGAGTCATCTATAAAATAGGCATAATTAATATCTTATCTGAGAGCAGGGACACAGATCAAATGACCTCTTGGAAACTTTTCCAGCTCCAAGGCGTAAAAGTCCGAGGAAAAGGTAGTGTGTTGTAGAGCAGTGATTTGCAACGTGTGGCCCCCGATAAGCCATATCAGCACTACCTGGGAACTTGTTGAAAAGACACATTCAGCCCTCACTCAGAGACTTATTGAATCATAAACTCTGAGTGGGGCTAGGCAATCTCTGTTTCAACTAGCCCTCTGGGGGATTCCAATACGTGCCCAAGTTTCAGAAGCTCTGGTGTAGCTGAGCATTGAGCCAAACCATTTAGACTCTCTGAGCCTCAGTTTCTTCATCCATTGAAATTATATAACTCCACTTCTTTCAAAAGATTGTCATGAGTTTCAAATGATATAAGAGCACCTAAGACACAGTAGGTACTCAATAAATGTCAGATAAAGTTGAAGGATAAGAAAGGTTGGAAAGGAGAATGAATAAAAAAAGAATGAGAACTCAGTCTTCATTTTTTCCTTAAATAACATCTTTAACATTATATAATTTGCAATTTGCATGCAAAACAGCCCACCCCAGGGCATCATAGAAGCCTTGAAAAATCCAATATTATGCAGACAGCCAGAGATTCTGGCTGCTAAACCAGGCTTAAAAACTAATTTTCCCTCTTTAAGGAAGTGACATTTGCGCATTCAACACAGCAGCCATAAATTTAGGCTTTCTTACCACCCCCTGCTGTACATGAGGTTATTATTTTTATTAATAACAAAGCTATTTCATTTTGAGTATGTGGAGCTCTTTTTGAATCTCCCCTTTTGGCCACACTATAGTTATCAGCAGAGTAAATAGCTCATTAAAAGAAAAAAACAACAAAAACCTAAAACCATTTTTAATGGTAGGAATGTGATTAGGGCATTTAATTAGACTCCAACAAGTACACTTTCTGTTAATAATTGAGGATACATTCCACGTCAATTAAAAAAGGATTAACAGCGAAGGTTTGGAAATTTGAACTTAAACGGAGCCTGAATTTCAAAGCTGTTTTTATTTGCAGGGTATTTCAGGGGAAGTGTTCAGAGGAAACAAAAACAGTGCTGCTTCTCCTTGGGAATTTTGTAGATATAAAGAAAGCTTCTTCATCCCCACAGGTGGGGCATTGCTGATCTCCTTTGATATTGTAAGGGACTGACCCCTGAACCTCAGGCATGGGTTCGAAAGTACTGGAAAGGAATATTTAGGTGGGACGGAGATTGGTCAAGTGGCTTCAACTGTATCCCTTCCTTTTGGTGCTAGGCCTGTAACACCTGCTTCTCCTACCTCTCCAAGACTTCAGAGCAGAGCATTGCCTTTTAAATCTCCGGTGCCAACTCTGATATCAATTTCTTCCTTTCTCATGACCTGTTGCACAGAGATTTTTTTTTTTTTTTTGGTCATTGATTTGATGTAAAAATGTGAGTGTGAATTAAGGAAGATATTGTGGTCAAAATCCCCCAAAGAACTTGAATTCTAGAGACAGTGATATTCATGCAATCAGAGGTGAAGTACCTCCCATATCCAATCGAGCAATGAAGGTCATGAGAAAGATGGTGACTCTTCAGTCTTCTACCTCAAGGACGTGAGTCTAGCTTGAAAAAGAAGACAAAGCTGAATAGCAGGAAGCTAGGTATTAGAATGTAGAAAATAAATGAGAGAAAGTTATCAAAGAGGACCAAGATCATTTCTCCATTCAATAAAGATTAAATTTCTACTATGCGGCCAGGCACTATTCCCCATGGAGCCTAACATGAACACATTTTTATTGACCTCTAAGTTAATGATAGTATAAATAACCTAATATAAGGGTGGAGGGTTAAGTTCTTGCCATTTACCAAAACCTTTCCACCTTTTAGCACATTTGACCACCATGAGAAGTTAGCAAGGTAGATTTTGCTGTCCATATTTTAGAAATAATGAAATCGAGATCTCTCAAGTAACAAATGTGTAGACTTGAGAATACCAACTCAGATCTCCAGATTCCTATTCCAATGGTCATTCCACTTTACCCTTGGAGTTCCCAGGATGATTCAAGCCTTCTTTGAATAAGCTTGGAAAGTAAAAAGGGGAATTTATGCCTTCCCACTTGTAGAAAGCACTGAAGCCCTGTGTGTAAACCATATGCAGTGGTCATATACTGTTGTAAAGAAGAGTGATATATAGATGTTGAAATTCATGACTTTATTCAAAATACTTGTGGAGCACTTACTAAGTGGCAAGCACCATGCAAGATGCTTTTAAAACAGAAATGCCATGAGTACAAGGTAGCATGAAAGGCAGACTGCAATGTCACTTAGGTAAGAATGAGATGGTACATGCAGAGCAGTACAGCCCATGTTCCTGGAGGCACATGTCTGAAATTCAACGTATGGAGGGTGGTTTGGAAAAGACATGCACGAAACAGAAATGAAAATGGATGCCTGAGTGACCGAAGGGAAAAGAAATGTTGGTGAAAAATGTGGGATTAAAAAAGCAAACAAAGAGAAGCATGGCAATGCGTGGACTGATGTGGATGCTGAGCCACAACTTGAGGCAATTGACTGAAGGTACCATTCAAATTGTGAGAGCCTGAAGTTCAAAAAAGCTGAGATGAATAAATAAATCCCTCTGTTCTCAAGGAGCTCATAGGCTCCCCGAAGGAAATCCAAGAATCAACAAACATCTGTAGTATGTGGAGTCTTCACCAGGCTTCGGGTATCACATTTTAAGCAAGTGCTTTCTTAGGAGCTCAGCCGGGGGTGGGGTTGCTTCTGGGCCAGGGGTGGATTTGTTTGGTGCTGGCCCTGCTGGGCCTATTAAACTGAAGTTGCAAACGCATGAAGTTGAAGTGTGAACGTACTCCCACTCTGAGCTGCGCTATGGTTTCAAGAGGACGACTGGCAGCCCCTGCTATTCTTGGCTGCGGGGACTCTCTCCTACACGAAATCTCCCGAGGAACATTATGTTCTAGCACGTTGTAAATGAAGGCAAGAGAGCATTTAATGACACTCAGGATTCAAATAACTTTGTCTTTTGTGCATACGCAGAGCATTAGAGGAGGAGAGAGACAGGAGGGGCCCAAGGCTCCCTCCCAACCCATGCTACCTGAGAGGGGAAAAATCTAGTAATGGTGATTGTTTGGAAAAGTGATACAAATAACTCTTTTTGTCCTTTTCCACCCTGGAAATCTCTGCACCTGTGTCTAGTCATCAGCCCCGAAGACTTTCTCTCCTGTTTGTCTCTATCTCTGAATTTCTTTGCCTGTGTCTATTTCTAATTCTTTCTGTGGCTCTCTTTTGCTTCTATTTTATTTTAGCTCTGTTTTTCTGTCTCTCCTTTTCCTTTTCCTTGCCTGTGTTTCTGTGCGTGTTCCTCCTTTGTTTATGTCTCTCGAATTCTCTGTGATTCTATGTCGGTGTTTCACTCTCTGACTCTCTCCTCCGTTTCATTCTATGCCTCTCTCTGACTCCCTACGACCCTCTGTTCCTGCCTCTCTCTGATCATCTCTGTGTTTATTGCCTCATTTTCTCCCCTCCCCTCCCTCTCTTGTTCATCCTCTCCCTCCTACCTTGTTTTCTTCTCTTAGTTGCTACAGGATTATTGGAAAAGGTTGAACAGCTGTCACCCAGATCCTGAGAAACTGAGAAGAAGCAGCATTACTCCAGTGAGAAATTATGGTTTAGGTCCAAGGAAATATCATGAGATTTCTTTCCTTGCCTGCTACCCTATCCCTTTAAACATTTCAGTAGCATTACATCTATGCATCTGTGTTCCAGCATCCTAGAATGGCAGAGCTGAAAGGATCTTCAGAACATGTAGACAAAGCTGCTCTTCATTTTTCACATGGAGAAACCAAGGACCCAGGAAGAGGAAAAGATCTATTAAAGAGCACACAGATAATTTATCCCAGAGTCAAGACTGGAATAAAAAGGTTTGAATGGCAGGTCAAAGAAATATTTGATTCATTAAGCTTTCTGTCAAGCATCCAACAAATATTCAACAAAATTTACTATCTGCAATATATTATACTAGGTTCTAGGACAAATGGTGTGTTCTCTCAGAGGCCCACAACCTATGTGAAAACCCTAGGTGCTAGAGTGTTAGGGTTCATAGAAATAACAACCTATTTTTCCACTCCTGGATTTAAAACCACATGAGAAAATAAAACATGAGAAAGATAGGGATCAAATTATCACTAAATGATTGGCTAATGGCTTTAGAGCTCTAGCCAGGTAAGTGTGTTAATATCCTCTTCCTTGAGTATACATTTAAGGCCATTCCAATTGAACTGAAGTTTAGGTCCATTTGGCAGACACAGGCGAGTGGAATTATCACCTCATGACTGATCTGGAAAGAAAGGAAATGGGCGACTGAATCCCCAAGGCTTGCAAATTCTTGGTGGATTAGCTACACCAAGAAAGAAATGTGGACCAGTGGCTAAGCACCCCCTATGACTTGTGGGGAGATAAAGCAGAGAAACTCCCACATGGAACTGGGAGACTGGGGGACAGTGGAAGAAAGTGAAGGCCGGTACTCCTCCTGACACTTCCTTGATGTTTCAGTTCTCTTAACCTATTAACTTAACCCCTGAGACCGTGGTCAACCAAGAGTAAATCTGTCTCCTTTGTGGGAGGAGATCCACAGCCCATAGAGAGAGTCTGGCTACCATCTTCCTGGGCCAACTCCTAAATATATGCATTCTGGATGGTGGCAAAATCACCACTAAAAGTGATTCTTAGGGTAGTAAAAATTAGTAAAAATAATCTTTAAGCATTATCATAGTTTTTAGTGTTCCAAAGCTGAACTCTACCTGACAACATAAACAGATATATAGTATGTCTGTAGTATTAAAATTTCATGGGTCAGGTGGGACAGAAACAAAATCTATAAAGCTCCTATGGGATATTGCCTTCATTGAGAATACATGTGTTATGGATCTGGCCCAGAAGATGACTGTGATAATGAAAAAAAGATTGAGAGAAACGCCCTCATGCTAAACTTGTCTCTGATGTATATGCTCCTGGGACCACAAGTGAGTATTTCACCTTTTGCCACAGAAAGCTCTGAAGTCATAAACCAAAAGACCGAAAGACACTTCTATCCAGTAAATAGTACCAGCCCTGATAGCTTAAGAGAAGAAAAGGAACTTTGCTTAAGTTGTGGGTTAAACTACTGAAAGCTTATCTGAACATTTTGGTGAGGAAGAGAGATTCTGAATAAGGAAAATGGTGTATCAGCAGCTTCCTGCCAAAGCAGTAAGGGATGATGCAGTAAGAGGTGTGACTCTAGGAATGGAACATTAGAAACCTGGGGAAAGATCAGGCATAGACTAGGGTAAGATGAATGAGGCATCTAGAGTATAAAATGTAAGGAAGGGTAGGTAGCTACATAACCTGAGGGTAGGCAGCTACTTCCTTAATGTTCCAGTGAAGGCACCTCACTAGACTTACCCTTAACCCCACCTGAGAAATACAGAGGCTTGAGTTGGCCATACTAGAGTTCTTGGTCTTCATTAGCCCCTCGGGGCTCAGGATTTGGTAGGTTTGCCAGATGATTTGACTCAGGAATGTGCTAAGGCTGCACGTCCAGCTGAACAAATGTACAAACCAGAAGGAAGCCTTCCCTGGGGGCAGGTGTTCTAGCCTAGGCAGTTTCACAGTGAGAAGATATGGTCTCTTTCCTTACAACAGCTTTTAGGTGCCTCATTGAGAAAGTCTCCATTCTTAAGGTAAGAGTAGCTGCAACGCTGAAATTGCTGTCCCTTTCCATGCTGTCATATCAACTGTACGGTGAGGGAATTTAGGGTTAGGATAAGCAAATCTCCTTTTGATGTACCCAGGACTGGTATCCACATCTATCTAAATTACCTGCCATAAGGTAACAACAAATATGTTCCTAGTAAAGCAGCTAACTAATACCATAAAATGGTGGTGGGTGTGAAATGAAAGAAAGTGTAGTTCTTTCATGTATATCTATTTTTTTGTGTGTCCTTGCCCTTCTAATCTGAGTGGCTGTGAACTCAGGAGGTGGTGTGTGTGTGTGCGCACATGCGCACGTGCTTGGCATATGTGTGAGTGGGTGAAGGTGATTTGATTTAATTATAAGCCTCATTCACTCAGACAGAGGAAAATAGAAATTAACTTCCATTATTTCACTAACTCTACTCCTTCATCTGAATTTTCACAATGACATCTTTGAATATGCATCCTTTATCTACAGTAGCCTTAATTGCAGGGGCTGCACCCCTGACAGTCCTGCTTAGAGCAGCATTCACAAAACGCTCTTTTTCCAATTACTGTGTTTCAGAAAACAGCAACAATTCCCCGGACCATGGCCACCGAATTTCCTTTCCACAAATATCGGTTCAGCCTCTTAAAAGTTGAATGAATAAGCATATAGCTTCCTTGGAAGTTAACTTCAAGTTGACCTGTCTTTTTCCTTATCTATTTTATTAATAGGTTTCTCTTTTCAGGTATTGTAAAAATGAGATGAGTAGAAAATTATTTTTGGCATATGGAACTTGGACCTCCTGAAGGAGCTTAACTTAGAGTTTGGATCTTGTCACTGATGATCCAGTCATTTAATACCTATCTACGAAGCACTGATCGTGTGTTTTGTGGCTTTCAATTGTCATAGCCATGCTCACTGCCTTTCCCCAGCCAGCCCTGCCCTCCTCATTTTATGCTGGGTCTCTCAAACTCAGTGTTCCTTGCATGTTTAGAATTCTTTTCCTGGGGGGATTATTTGATTGATCTTGTTTGAGTTACTTAGCCTCTCTGTGTCTCAATATTCTGATCTCTAAAACTGGGATAATAATGGTGCCTACCTCTTTGGGTTTCTTGAGGAATAAAAGAATTAATAATTAATATGTTGTCTCTTCATTCTGTTGATTATTTCCTTGGCTGTGCAGAAGATTTTTACTTTGATGTTATCACATTTGTCTATTTTTACTTTTGCTGCCTATGCTTTTGGGATCATATCCAAAAAATTATTACCCAGCCAGTCATCAGGGAGCTTTCCCCTTATGTTTTCTTCTGGTGACTTTAGAGTTTCAGGTCTTATGTTTAAGTCTTTAATCCATTTTGAGTTGATTTTTGTATGTGGTATGTGATAAGGTTCCAGTCTTCTTTTGCATGTGGATATTCAGCTGCCCCAACACTGTTTATTGAGGATATTGTCCTTTCTCTATTGTGTTCTTGGCATCTTTGTTGAAAATCAATTAACGGTAAATGCATAGATGTATTTCTGGGCTCTCAGTTTTGTCCCATTGGTGTATGTTTTTATGCCAGTACCATTCATTTTGATTACTACAGCTTTGTAATATATTTTGAAGCCAGGAAACAATGGATAGAATGAGGAAGCAACCCACAAAATGGGAGAAACTATTTGAAAATCATATATCTTATAAGGGGTTAATATTGAATATATATAAGCAACTTAAACAACTCAATAGTAGGAAAATCAACAATCTGATTTAAAAACGAGAAAACGGCTCATGCACATAATCCTGGTACTTTGGGAAGCCAAAGCAGGCAATAGCTTGAGCTCAGGAGTTTGAGACCAGCCTGGGCAGCATAGTGAACCCTGTTTATACTAAAAATACAAAAATTTAGCTGGGCATGGCAGTGTATGCCTATGGTCCCAACTACTCAGGAGGCTGAGGTGGGAGAATCACTTGACTCTGGGAGGTGGAGACTGCAGTGAGCCGAGATGGTGCCATTGCACTCCAGCCTGGGTGACAGGGTGAGACCCCATTTCAAAATAAATAAATAAATAAGTTAATAAATAAATAAATTAAAATAAAATGAGCAAAATACCTAAATCAATATTTCTCAAAAGACAAATGGCCAATAAGTATTTAAAAAATTCTCAATATGAAAAATTCAAATGCTCATAATCAGTAAAATTCAAGTTAAAATCACAATTAGATAACACTTCACACCTTTCAGAATAGCTGTTATCAACAAGATTAAAGGTAACAAGAGCTGATGAGGATGTGGAGAAAAGGGAACACTCATACACTGTTGGTGGAAATATAAATTATTACAGCAATTATGGAAAACAGTATGGAGGTTCCTCATAAAATTAAAAATGGACCTACCATATTGTCCAGCAATCTCATACTGGGTATTTATCTAAAGCCAATAAAATCAGTGTGTTGGAAGAGACATCTGTACTCCCCTGTTTATTGCAGCACTATTCACAATAGCCAAGATATGGAACTAACCTAAGTGTCCATCAATGAATGAATGGATTAAAAAAAATGTGTTAGACATAGAGAGTGGAATACTATTCAGCTATAAAAGAAGGAAATATTATTTGCAACAACATGGATGAATCTGGAGAATATCGTGTTAAGTGAAGTAAGCCAGGCACAGAAAGAAAAATGCTACAAGATGTCACTTATGTGTGGAATCTTAAAAAGATGAACTCACAGAAATGAGAGTCGGATGGTGGAGGTGAGGTGGGAGAGGGGGTTCTGGAGAGATGTTGGTCAAAACGTACAAAATTTCAGTTAGAAGGAATAAATTCAAAAGATCTGTTGTAAAACACAATGGCTACAATTAATAACAATGTATTATGTTCTTGAAAATTGCTAACAGAGTGGAGTTTGTGTTTTCACCCAAAATAAGATGTGAAATCATACATATGTTAATTAGTTCAATTTTACAATGTATACATATTCCCAAACCATTTTTGTCAATAAAAAATAACAAATTTGAGAAAAAAGTAGTTAGTAAAGAAAAAAAAGTTAATATGCATCAAACTCTTAATATCTGGCACACACTACTTTATAACTGTAAGTAATTGTTATTGAAACAATCACAAATAACAAAGAAGAGAGGAAATTTTCAAGACAGTCACAGTCAGCAGGGTAGGGACCAGGTTTCATGGCATCTCAGTGTTTTCCCAGGAGCTGCTTGTGGTTGGGGAGGGGACGGGAGTTGTTTCTGCTCTTCACTCCACCCCAGCTGCCCCTCATTTTAGGATTAGCCTATAGAACATAAGAAAACACATCCAGTCCTTGAATATACAACCCCTCTCTCCCCATGCCACTCAGAAGCTGCACCTGACATTTGTGGGATGGAGGGCCTTTCAAAGCTGACGGTCTTGCCTTTGTCTTATTGCTTGTGGTTTCCTGGCTGTTAAGCATAACAGCCTGTGGGGCTTCTGGCCCTTTTCATCCCTGGGCAGGTTGGGTGAGTAGACTATCCCAGACACTCTTGATTAGTCTAGAAGGAAAAGGGAGCTTTGTTAGCATCTCATTCAGAGGCCTTAGGATTTATGATCATTTTTCTGAAAATCCTGGATGAGATGAAAATACAGTGAGCATTCGGTGTCTGTGCAGCTATGAAGGAAGCAGCACATAACTCAATTTGCAATTGGCCCTTGTATGTGTGCAGCACCCTTGGTCAAGATCTCCAAATTCCTACCTCTTAAATCAGATGACTTGCTGCTCCTCTATCTGTTTATGCAGAGTTCTAGATGAACCCAGTAGACTCTAGTGACTAAAGTAAACCACTTGCAGGCCCCCGAAGGAGACACACTCTTTCTGATTTCCTGTAGCTGGAGCAATTTTTCTTACCTTTCCTCCAGCTGATGCTTGCCCATCCTTCACTTTAAATGTTACTTCCTCTGGATTTTTTTTCCCTAATCCTGCAAATCTTGGTTCTGTAATTCCAATTCCTCAACACCAGATCTCTCCTTTTTCCCAGCACCAAAGCACACATCACAGGGAACAGTTTTTGCCTGTTTTCCTCCTGAGCACTCCATGAAATCTTGAGCTCTTTGAATACTAGGACTCACAACTAGCACTGAATACAAAGCCTGGTACATCCTAAGAGTTGGACTGTTCAATAAAGATTTGTAGGCAAGAACTTCTAATTCACCCACCTTCTCTTTCTGGACACTGAAAGATGAGAAGGACCCGGTTCTGGGAAAATATGAGGGAGAGTCATGTTTAAGGCCATGAAAGAGCAAGTGCAAGGCCCTGAGGTGGAATCATGAAGCATGTTTGAGAAAGAAGAATGAGGACAAAACAAACCCAAGAGATGATGAGAAGAGAGGACTCCAGTGAGAGGGACGAGAACTACATCAGAGAGGGCACCATGAGCCACCATAAGGAGCCTGGATTATTTTATACATGCAGTAAGAAGCCTTTGGATTTTTTTTTTTTTTGTCAGGAGAGTGGCACAATCTGATTTATGTTTTCAAAACATCACTCTGGCTGCTGAATAGAATCATTTGGAGAAGAGCAAGCTTGGAAAATGGTAGGCTGTTGCAATTTTTAGTTTCTATTTGGAGTCTTGAAATTGGTGCATTTCTATTAATTTTTTTAAAAATAACAGCAACAGAAAGAATGTTTAATATAAAACAGTTTATTTTCAACAACCTGTTTATGAGGCATTTTTGGAAACTGGGAAGCACTTTGCTTGTACTCGTTTAGACTGGAAATTATGATGTCTTATTACAAATTTATTTTGAGAGTTGGGTGTAATTTCCCTTTATTGCAAAACCAGTATCAAAGAAACAAAAAAGAAACTGAAGAAAGACAGAATACAATTCACCTCTCCATGTCAGAAAATTAAGGCTGCTTTTTCTCCCCAATTCTCTTACAGTCCTTGACTCTGAACATAAAGAGTTGGTTAAAGTTGTAATAATGATGGATATATAGTGTATTGAATTCTGTTTCTTTCAAGTAATAGATACCACAGTACTTTCTATGTTTTATGTAAATGCTCAGCTCAGTGTTTGACATATAATCAGCAGTGTATGTTAAAATGTTGGCTTTCTTTTAATGCTCCTCCTCCATGTATCTCCATTATTGTGTTAGAATAAAGCCTTCATAGGGATTATTTTTAAAATTTGCAAAAGATTTTATCAAGTGAATAATCCATTTTTAAAGATCATTACACTCTGTTGGATATTTGGGCTAGTTACTTTTTTCCAATCTTATATAAGTTATTGCTTAATTAAACTGTTGTATTTATAATCTTTTTTCTTTTAGATTTTTGCCTTTGAACATGGGTTTCTAAAAGAATAATTTTTGGTTGGAAGAAAAGTTCCTTTCCTCCCAACGAAATACTGCATAGATTTACAATGTATGTATAATAGGCAAAAATTAAGTTTATTGGTCATCCACCTCGGAGTGGTAACCCCATCGTTCTTCAGGAAAGCTGGAAATTCCTGCTTTAGGATAAATAAATATAGGGAGCTGGGTAGAATTTTGAGTGAAAGCCTAAAATTATTTCTCAAATTCTCTGTATGACTCTCAATCTGTGTATTTTTTTTAAAGAATTGAATCCTTTTGCCCTGCTTTTAGAAAACTGTAAGCAGACCAAATTAACAACTACACTGGGTATTATCACTCTAATGAATTTTGTTAATAAAGTAGGCATCAATGGCATCTCACTTTCATTTTAATATAGTTATCTGTATCAGCCAGGGTTCTCCAGAGAAACAGAACCAACAGAATATGTAGATATATAGGAGAAGATTATGAAAATTGGTTCATGAGATTAAGGAGTCTGAATAGTCTCACAAGATATCTGCAAATGGAAGAACCAAAAAGATGGTGGCATAATCCAGTCCTAGTCTGAAGGTTCAAGAACCAGGAGCTCCAATGTCCAAGGGCAGAAGAATAAGGAAGATGAATGTTCAGCTCTAAAAGACAGAGAGTTAATTCACCTTTCCTCCACCTTTTTGTTCTGTTTGGGCCCCTCAGGGATTGGATTTGGCCACATTGGCAAGAAGCAAATCTTCTTTCCTCAGTGTACTGATTCAAATGCTAGCTTTTCTGGAAACACTCTTGTAGACATACCCAGAAATAATGTTTTAAGACCTATCTGGACATTTAGTAACCCCTCAAGATGAAATCTAAAATTAACAACCATAGTCTCTTTTAATACAAGGGAAGTTTATCATTTCAATGAAAACAAAAGGCTTAAATTTATTGGGCATTTACTATGACCAACTGTCTAGATTGTAGGAAATGCTCCATAAATTGCAGCTTTTTTTATTTTTCATGGACGTGAAACAGTTGGTCATGGGTTTAGTATGAATTCTCCTTTAATTCTTACCTTAGCTCTGTTATGAATATATTGTTATTGAATCTATTTTATGGGTGGGAAAACTGATATGGAGAGAAATTGAATAATTTTCTAATGGTCAGAGAGTGAGGGGAGATGGAGCCCAGCCTGGAACATGGATCTGTTGGACCTCACTGCTGATCATCTGTCCTCTTGCATGAATTGAATCTGCATTGCCTATTTTTTTTATTATGAACTTGATGTTTTTCTCACTAATTTGAATTTACTCTTGTTTCACAGAAGGTATGTATTTATTTTCTAGGCATATTTAATGCAAATATTTTTCCCAAGGACTTTTAAAAGATCCATTTAGCAGGAAATATTAAAGCTGAGGGAGTCATAAGTTGAGAAAAGTGCAGGTCTAATTTTATTAGTGTACTAGGTGTGTGATTGCAAGAAGCAGAAGGAGATATTTTTACAATGTTTACTTATAAGAGTTCCTTGGGTTTTCAAAAACGGAATGAAATTGAGAAAAACCTAATAACTCCAAGAGTTGAGAGATCCCCTGTTGACTGCTTTAGGCCCTAATAAAACTCCCTGCAACTCAAATATTCCTTATGTCCTTTTACTCTTACCTTCACAGTGGATATAATAAATAGAGTTTTTACAGATGAGGAAAATGAGGCAAAGATGCAAAATAGCTTTACTAACATCAGAGAGATTTTAAGTAGTGGGAAGAGATTAAACAGATATCTGGAGAAGTCCCAAACACATGCTATGTCTGCAATATATATCAGAAGGTGTCTACAGAGGTGCTTGTTTAAAGCAAATTATAGGCTTGAGGAAGCTTCAGTGGAGTGGCACCAATAGTCTAGATGTAGATCACTTCAATAACAAGAGACAGGCTGCGAAATTCGATCTGTCCACCATGGTGGTACATGGTGGCAGGGAGGGGAGATTTGAAAGACACGTTCATCCTTCATTTTTATTTCCTTTTTTCTTTCTTTGTTTCTCTCTCCCTTCCTTCCTTCCTTCCTTCCTTCCTTCCTTCCTTCCTTCCTTCCTTCCTTCCTTCCTTCTTCTTCCTTCATTCCTACTTCCTTCGTTCTACTTATTGCTGAATAGATGGCTCCTAGCCTGGAACATGGATCTGTTGGGCCTCACTGCTGATCATCTGTCCTCTTGCATGAATTGAATCTGCATTGCCTATTTTTTTTATTATGAACTTGATGTTTTTCTCACTAATTTGAATTTACTTTTGTTATGCAGAAGGTATGTATTTATTCAGCAAAAAGTACATTGAATGCTTTATACTAGTGTTGACAAAAAGAGTCAAACTCTGTAAAACATTTAAAAATATTTATTCTGATTTATGAGTGACCAAGGGCTCATGACACAGCCCCAGGAGATCCTGAGAACATGTGCCCAAGATGGCTGTGCTACAGCTTGGTTTTATACATTATAGGGAGACATAAGACCTCAACCAATATATGTAAGATGTACACTGGTTCAGTCTGGAAAGGCACGACAATTGGAAGTGGGGGTTGGGGGTGTGGGAAGGATGGCTTTCACATCATAGGTGGATTCAAAGATTATCTGATCGGAAATTGGTTGAAAAGTTTTATCCTGCAGATGAAGCCCCCAAGTAGCCAGCTTCAGAGCTCTTATCAGACTTACAAAGATCCCAGACTCTTAGTTAATTCTCTCTCCGATCAGAGGAAAGACCCAGAAAAGAAAGTGGATTCCATACAGAATGTAGATTTTCCCCATGAAAGACAGGTTTGCAGGTCCATTTCAAAATATGTCAAAGAAATACATTGTGGGGTGAAATATTTCAATTTATTTCAGGGCCTGCTATCTGTCATGTGATACTATGCTAGAGTGAGGCTGAAATTTGGTGTCTTATTCCTACAAAAAAATCTATTTTGTAATTCTTAAGGTATCTAGATCTCTGTTTTAATGTTAATGCTGGTCAGTTGTTTCTGAATTCTAAAGAGAGGAGAGTATAATGAGGCATATCTGACCCCTACTCCCATCATGGCCTGAACTAGATTTTCAAGTTTACTTCAGACTGTCCTTGGCTGAGAAAGGGATCCATCAGTTAGTTTGGGGGGAATTTTATTTTTGGCTTATGCTGTGCACTGAGGAAGCAGAGATGAATGGAACATGATCCCTGCCATTAAGGAGCATACATTCAAGTGAGAAAGGCAGACAAACAAATGATTATAAAATAGTGTGAAATTATTTGATAGTTAACATCCACAGAAAGCCATGAGAAGGCAGGGCTTATTAGCCAATGGGTAACTACTCCATATTTGTTGAGTGAATATGAAGCTCAGAGGTGGGGCATCAGAATCTAAATGGGATGGGAGAGGTCAAGGAAACTTCCTGGAGAAGGATGAAGTTGGGCTGAGTGTTTTTTAGAAAGGTTCATAGGATTTAATTACCTGAAACGTTGAGCAGAGGGAGGTGTTCCATCCCAAGGACATGTCCAGTACAAACATTTAGAGGTGGAGACTAGAAGTCAATGTGCAAGGACCTGAAAGTGATTTCAAAAGGATGATGTGAAAGGAGGAGGTAGGAGACAGACCTGGGAGATTGCAAGTCTCAGACAAAACCAAGCTAAGGGAGATTGCAAGGTCCAGATTGGACTAGGCTAAGGTTGCTGGAATTTCCTTCCTGGAGGTGAAAGCTGGGACTCTGGAGGTCTTATTTTTTTTTAAGCTCACTTTCTATATCATGCCTGAGATTTCTCCCATGGATGCATATTCTCTTCCACACCAGTTCCCCTGCTGCATGAAAGGACATCAGAGATGGCTCCACATCATGGAATCAATAACTTATTGCCATGTGCAGAAGGTAAACTGGTTTGGGGATGAAAACCATAGTCTCCAGTCTCCTAAAGAAAAAGATGATCAGGGTTGGAGAGAAGGAGTAGATTTATGGCTCCAAGCATGTTGGAGGTGTGAAAGTTCCATATCACACACCTTTCTGATTTTCCTCAGCCCTCATTGGCTTCTTACCTGGGAAGCCAACGATCAGCTTCTTTGAAAGGCCATTGCAGCATCCTTTGTGCCAGCTGTGGTCCTGACGTTTGTGGACATGTTACGAGGCTCAGCCAGATGGTTTGTCTGGTGTATATTGTATGAGAAATATATGATCATCATAATAGCTATAATTTAGTGGCCATTTTCCATGTACACATTTAATCTCCATAATAACTTTATGAAATAGGAATTATTATTCTTGTTTTACTAATGGGGAACGTAACTTTTTGAAAGATTAAGTGATTCATCCTAGAAAACGTAGTCACCACTCACGGTAAGAGTACTTGGGCCTGTGCCACACCAGCCTTCTATCTACATGGTATGCAGCTAAAATTGCCCTCAATGTTTCAGTTCTTAGCATTGGTTTTCTCTCCCCTTGGAGCGAAAATCTATCCCTCTTGATAAAATCCTAGGACCATTTTGATGTTCTGCAGATGTCACACTCTTCCATAAGGACTTTCTTGACTCTCCTCATGTCCAAATCAGAATTATCCCTCCTTTCCTATTTGTACATTGTATAAACTTCTATTACTGTCTACATTCCATAGTGGTTTTGGGATTTATCCGTGGGGCTGTGAGCCCCTCAAAGGTATGTCTCTTTCTATCTCCTGTGCTGATCCAGAGCCTCACAAATATTTTATAAACAACTGAATTAAAAATTGTTTTGGGGGTTTCAACTGGGAACATTACTTCACCTATTCATGACAGTTCTCATTTCTGAAAATGTTAGCCTTGATTTATTTATCTTTTTTGTAAGTCTGTGAAATTTAACAGATGTATTTGATTGACTATAGGGGAGTAATATGACTGCTAGAGAGGGAAGGATGACTTTTGTTTAGCTCCTCTTCTTCTGAAATGTCACAGACAGATCTGAAGGAGGTCTTTCCTCATATATTTTCATCTTTTCTTCATCATTCCCTTCTCCTTTCTTTTTCCAGCTCCAAAGCTATAAGTGTCCATTCGAAAGGTGAAACAGGCTTAAGAAATTTGGGAAGAAAGATGAAGACAGTTTTAAATTCACGCTGTGTGTGCCAATATTTTAAACTTTTTGGTTTTATACATTTCTTATCAAGAAGCTACTTAGCATGGAGGCTATGGTGAGCACTGACCTGAGATAGCAGTTGCCAATTGTTAGCTGTGTATTTGTGGGCAAGTTACTTAACCTCTCTGAGCTTCAGTTTCATCATTCATAAAAGTGAGATTTTATAATAATAGTATGGAAATCATAGGATTGTCACCAAGAAACCTTAGATTCAACTGTGCAAAATATCATTTAGTACTTGTTTCCTCTAAATAGTTTTCAGTTAAAGTGATAGCTTACAATCTTGGCTAGTCATTATATTCATGCACAGAGATTTTTAAAAATCCTACTCCTGATATTCCAATAAATACAGCTTAGAGTTACATTTTTCTCCTTAATTTTGATCACAGACTTACTATTGGTTTATTCAGAAAGATTAGAGAACACACCATATCATAATTAAGCATGAAAGCTGTTTTTATAATGGACAAAACATATGATTTTGAAATACTGAATATACATCTATATCATTTTTTATTGCTACAGGGTATTTCATGCCCTACTCCTTTGACTTTGGCTGAGATTCTCACTATATCTATGGAGAGCTATATTCATCAGAAAGGAGACATAGGCATGTTTAGAAGATCTCACTTGAGCCTGGTTTGGGGCAGAGAACAATGTGGCCTTTTGACATGCCTTTGGGCAGGTGGATACTAATTATATTATCATCATTAAAATAATGCCAGTATACATTAATCAATAGTTTTCATAAGATGTTAGCAGAATGCTTTAATATACAGTATTTTAGTTTATTCTTACAGCAGTTCTACTAGATACATTTATTATTACTAGATACTCGATACATGACACTCGATACTAGACACTAGATAGATACTCGATACATGTATCGAGTATCTATACTAGACACTAGATAGACACTAGATAGATACTAGATACATTTGGTATTGCCACTAAAGGAAACTGGGATGACTTCCCCACTTTGACATGCCTAGTGTGTGTCAGAATTGAAATTCCAATGAGATCTTTCAAACTCCAGAGCCTGATAGGCCCCCCTAGTCTGGTGCCTTACTATTCTCAAATCTTATGAATAATTATTTTTGATGGAAATCTATGCTTACTAAGCAATATTTTGAGTATAATTTAACTTCCCACATGGCAGGTCTACAGGGAGAGAAAGTGCTGATCAGCCTACCTGAGTTTGTTCTACTTGAAGGTTACATTTCTCATTGAAAGATAACAAATGGGCATCAGATTGATACATTGGCTTCACAAAACTGGTTAATACAATCTCAGTTCTGAGAGCTGACAAATCAAGGATTTGAGCTTGTGGATATGAAGCTCAGACTGTGGTGAATTCAGTAGGGTATTGCCCTTTGTGTGGACTTGCCTGTGAAGCTGTCTAGCCTTTTGCACTTGTTACTTCTCAGCTCTTTGCAGACTTTCTTGGAACTCAGTCCCATATTGAGCAAAATAATGTTTGCTGTACATTATTTGTCTCATCAGGGGGACCAGATGTATTTACCAACTTAGCATTTCCATACTGAGACTATGCTCCTTCTACACCCAAGTATCCCCTGATAATGCTTTTTACTAGTTAGGTTAGCATTAGTTGAAGCAACAAACCAACTCCAAATCTTATAAAGAAGTTTATTTCTCACTCACATAAAGTCATCTTTCATTTTGTGTTTCCACAATCTTCAACATAGTGCCTTCAAGGTCACCAAGAACGTGTATGGATGACTGCACGAGGGAGATTTTTTATGCATCAGTTCTGGAGTGGTATCTGTTACTTTGAATCATATTCCACTGGCTAGAATTTAGTCACACAGCCACATCTGAATGCAAAGGAGACTTGGAAATGTAGTCTAGAGTGTGTCTAAGAAGAAAGAATAATGTTTTTGAGTAGCAGTCCATTTCTTGCATGATTACAAATGATTAATTTTAGCCGTTATCCTTCCAGACCTCTAGCTTTGTATGCAAATCTTGTTTTTCTACATCTCCACTTGGATGTCTTACAGAATGTTCAATTTTCCAAACTAAATTTATTTTCTTTTCCTGCCTCTTGCAACATCTTTGCCGTCACTATAGCCTCTCACCTAATGACACTATAATTCTCCAAGACATCTAACATAGAAACCTGAAATTTAACCAAGATTCTCTTTCCTTCCCTCACTATCTTAGCCAGTCTCTAAGTTCTGTCTCATTTTCATCATCACTATTAGAACTTAACATGGGTTAGTGGTTCAGAATATGGTTTCTGGAGTTAGGCTACTTGGGTTGGAATTCCAGATCTACCATTTTTAGTCCCATTACTTGAGAAGCTACTTAACTTTTTGGTGCTTTGTTTTCTCATCTGTAAAGTGGAAAGGCTATAAGAACAGAATCTACCTCATGGGGTTATTTCAAGTTAAGTGAATCAATATACGAGAAAGCTTTACAGTGCCACATAACATGTGCCCTCCTTTCTTCTGGTCCTAATTAAAGCCAAAGCCTCCTGATTAGTCTCTGCCTCTAGTGTCACTCATTTCCTTCTCTTCCTTTTCATTATTTTCGTAAAGGCTCAAGCCCTGCAATGATACCTTACTGTCATCTAAATAAATTTCAAATTTCTTTACATGGCAGTCAATGGTTGCTAAATCTTTGTACTCATGTTTCACTCTATTTTATTTTATATTCCCTCAAATCCAAACAATGATATGAGGTCATATTAGTTCTTAAATTATCCTCCCTTGAAATCTCTTAAAATGCCCAACTCCCTGATTTTTAGAAAGCCAGGGAGAAAGAAAATTGATTTTCTTCTAAAATGAAATGATAAGTAGTAAATGAAAAAAAAATTTCATTTGCTACTAATTTGTATCAATTCTTCATTACCATCACCACCACCATCATCATATATCTGTATATTATCTATATCATTTTTATGTATATCATCTATATCTATCTCTCATGTATCTTCTTGATTGTGTGTGTGTAAGGGGATGTCATGATTTTGGAGTGCTTCTGTTGTTCTTTATCAATACACAGCATTTCTGAATTCCAGGACAATTTCAGAAGACAGAAACTAGAAAAAAAAATCTAGAATTTCTACTTGAACCTCCATGCATTATTTCTGTGATCCAACTCTCTAAGGTATAAGCCACTGAACTAAATGCATTTACGATTAGAGATGCCAAATATTTAGACCTTTTTTTTTTTAATCTCTCAGCCTCTTTACCAACACTACTCAACAAGCATGGAATACATGAGAGCAAGAATATGACAGGGAAAAGAAAACATGGAAGTCACTATGAATCTCACGTTGGTCATGCCTTTAGGCACTATTCTGACATGGTGATGTGCTGATGGCTTGCTTTCATGTAATGCTCAATGGAGTCTGGTAGGCAGCCTTCTAGGATGGCCTTGAATGGTTCCTACCTCCTAGTACTTGCGTCTTTGCATAGTCCCTTCCCCTTAAGTTTGGGCTGAAGGACTTAATGAGTTGTTTCTAACAAAAAGTATATGGCAAAGACTGTGACTTCCAAGTTACTAGAACTCTCTTGCCTTCTTGCTCTGAGAAAGCCTGTTGTCACCTTGTGAGTTGCATGGCAAGGACCTAAGGTAGCCTCTAGCCAACAGCCAGTGGGGAATTGAGTCTCCTGTTCTCAGAGCCCATGAGAAAAGGACTCCTGTGATTAGCCATGTGAGTGAGCTTGGAAGCAGACCCTTCCCCAGTTAAGCCTTGGGGTGAGTGCCACTCTGCCCATCACCTTGATTGGAGCCTGTGAGAGACCTTGAGCCGGAGGATGCAGCTAAGCCACAGCTGGGTTCCTGACCCCAGACCTGTGAGATAATAAATATTTTAAGTCACTACAATTTTCAGGTAATTTATCAAGTATATGTACCAATAAATTGACTACCAGAAATTCCCAACACTGTATATAACAAACATACACAACTCTCCCTTTGTGCTTTAAAGGGTATAGACTCTGACTACAAAACATTCACTCAGACATAAAGAATGCTCTTTCTGCTACCAGGTAGAGTTTGATTTACCATGTATCAGGTAAAGAAGAAACTTCTTCCTATCATACACCACCCTTGAGTATTCACTCACTCATGATCTCTCTAGCTTTTTAGAAATTCATTCTCTGAAACTTAGATCCGTCCACACCCTACCATGATCTTATATAATATTTGGTGTTTGGTTGGTGCCGAATGAATATTTATTCAAGAAAAGAAGAATAAATGAAATGAAAGATCAGACAGTGTAATGCTACAGAAAGAGGTTTAATAAACAGAAAATAATATAAATATTCAGTCCACAGTTTTTACATCAATTGGTGAAGTTAGTTTCTATAAAGGACAGGGAAGACAAATGTAGCTAAAGCCAGACAGACACTACATTCCCTGTTGCTGGAATGTGTCTATATTTTCTCTCTCACTTATGTTCTCTTAACAAGTATTTGTGATTTCTTTATGCTAGGTACTGTTCTGTGTGTGTTATATTTGACATGTCATTATATTCTTACAACATGCCTGTTAGGTAGGCTCTAGTAACCCTTGGAAACCATTGATAATTAATTTACAGTCCTGTTACAATGGAGACTGTGGAAGGAATAGAGCTTCTTTTCCAAGCTGTTGTCATTATTCTCTAACTCAGCAACCCTTCTGTCAGTCCTCTCTTGTTTGGAAAATAATTTCTGAGCTAGGGCTATTCAGTCCAGTGCTTCTTCTAGTGATGATTCAGTGAGTTTCCTTCCACAATATCCTGTATAGTTATGATCTGTGCATTTTTATTCCTTTAAATGGGTAGAAAGCAAGCATAGAGATGGATCTGGAAGATGGCATATTTGAGGACTGTAATGCTTGATATACTGAGTGAAAATAAGAGTTGATGGTGATAAGGCCAAAGGAAGCCAGGCAAGAAGATAAAGTCATGAAGAACAATGTTTATTCATTTAATAAGTAGGCATTTACAATGCAGTTTTGTAGAATTTGGCTGTGGAAGACAGATGTAAGTAAAAGTTACAAATAAGGAAGTTTACATTCAAAGTAAAGGTTTTTTTAATAACTAGCGCTACTTAATGCAGGCCTGAGAGGTCTCCTGGTGAGGTGATCTTACATTCATTACAAGCACTTAGCAGGAGCCAAAGAACTCCTTATGAGACAGGTAGATAGGATTTCTGTGTTGGGTAAAATATTTGACTAGATAAGCCCTAAGTCTCATTTATAATTGCAATTCTCTGGAGGCTTTTGCCTCAATGGAGAGAGCATCTTCTTTTTGATATAAATAATGCCTTGAGAAAATGCCTTCTTTTCTTCCTTTTTTCACTCAGTATATCAAGCATTACAGTTGCTTGATATGTGCTTTTTGAGCCCTAGCAGGTTGTTCTGGAGAAGGATAGAGATAAAATTTGTTTTTTCCATGCCAAGCTTGCATGCACACATGCACGTACATGTCTATATCTTAATATGTTTGCTTTTCATATGCCCCTTTATCTTACCTGCCTCCAAAATGCAGACTTTTCCACTTAGCTACTTTATATTGTGGGCCATTGTGATTATTAATTTTATGTGTTAATTTGGCTGGGCTGCAGGGTGCTCAGATAGTAGATCATATGTTATTCTGGGAGTTTTATTTCTTTAGGTGAGATTAACATGTAAATGGATAAATTTGAGTAAAATAGATACATTCCACAGTGTGGACATTCAATCAGTTTATGGCCTGAATAGAATAGAATACCCAGCTTCCATGAGCAAGCAATAATTCTCCAGCAGACAGCCTTCAGACTTCATCTGCATCATTAGCTCTCCTGGGTCTCCACCTGCTAGCTCTCAGAGAGAAATTGCACAATTTTTCTTCTAAGTCTTGAGGCCGCACTGCAGATTTTGATTTGCTAGTCTCCTTAATTCTGTGATCCAATTCCTTATAAGAGTCTGTCTATCTATCTATCTATCTATCTATCTATCTATCTATCTATCCACATCCTATTGTTTGTTTCTCTGAAAAACTCTGACTTATATACTCCCAGTAGGTGTTAGGTGAGAGTTTAGTTCTCACATTTGTGGTGGGCAGACTTATCTCCTCTTTTGAAAATAATTGCATTTAATACTCTCCAAAGCCTTTAAGGCCAGAATCTGTAGCTCATTCATTTCTCCTCTTGAGAAAGTGGTAGGAGCAAGATCCTGAGATATCAAGACGTCTAGATCTGATTACTGCCTTCCCCAGTATTAAGTGTGTGGCTTTTATAGCCTTTCTGATCTCCTCTAGTTCTCTCCAGCATTTGCTTCAGAAAAGGCTGCTGTCAAGTTTAAGGGAATTAACATATATGAAAGGACTTTGTGAAACATATTATTAATAGCTTTCTGTTATTTGGTTAGCTTATTGTAATACTTTCTTTCTTTTCTTCCTTTTTTCTTTTTGAACGGCTGCCAATCCTTAGAAGAATGTAAAGGGCTGGCAATTTTTTGAAAGAATGAAATGTCTTAAGACCACTATCAGTGAAACCTTCATGGTTAGATCATCGCATTATTTGCTTGATCTTACCTCTTGCCTTCACTTTGAGTGGCCCACTTTCTTAAGACAGTTTTGGATTAAAAAAAAATAAAGGTTAGATCTCATCTTCTGGCCTAACTTATGCTCAAAGATAGGTGCATTCAGTTTTCTGGACCATGGCCTTTGCAGTGATTGTCAAGGAAGAGAAAATCTCATTCACCGAAGATCAACTTTAGGGATTAAAGGAACAAAACTGAAGTGAGCAATGGGAAGTGATAGAATTGATATTTGAGAGAAGAAAGCTGTAATTATCTTCTAATTATAACATATTTTCTTGGCCATCAAAAAGTCCCCTTCTGGTACTGGATATGTCATTTCTCTTTGTTCTTGTATGAAAAGAAAGCTTCTGTTTTTGCCTTTTCTTTCCTATCACTAAGTATGGCCTTTGAAACATCATATTGCAAATTTATGCATCCATTTTAGTTTGAGAGAAGTTAGTTGCAATTAGAGACAACAATATTACCACAAGTTCCTTAGAAGAAATTTTTTTAAAAATCACAAGAATGATTGGAGAGACTCTGCTGAATCCAGAGAAGGGAGGAAACAAGCTGCAGAATCACCATCTGGAATGTTCCAGAAGGACAGTCCCATGTGCAAATTACAGAAGAGAAAGGTAAGTATTTATCTTTTAAATAGTCCATCATCAGAACCTAACAAAAAAGCAGAGCTTTTAGCTCAGAGTAGTAAGGAGGCAGGTATATTTGCAATGGATTTATGACACTTTTTCTTTCCCAGCTCCCTTTGTTTCAGCAAATGACATCATTATCCAGTTAGTAGCTTAAGCTAAAAACCTGGGAGAAATACTCAATTCTTTTTGTAAAATCACTCACAAAAATCCTCCCCTAGTCCAACACCAGTCAGGCTGAGTTAGTCTGATTTGTCTAACGAGAAGCATCCGACTAGCCTTGGTGGCCCTCCAGCAGTGGAAGGATACATCTTGGATAGGATTAACTAAGCATAACACAGCTAGGTCAGCCTCCATAGTGAAAAGACAAAGACATTTCTTATTTTCCTTGGCTTACATCTTCAGCAACCTTCAGGTTTTTAAGGAAACACTGTTTAATATTCATAATAATCAATATTGTTGATCATATCTGGATTTCAGGGTGGAATCATGGTTGGAGACCTCTCAATACCTTTGGCTTCCCCTATCTTGATATTTGGGTTTGAAAAATAGCTGTGATTATGAGAATTAGCCTCTTTACATTGAAACACAGTAATCTTAATTTTTTCACTTGTACTCTGCAGTGATGAATCATGTGTTTGGACCTTGACACAAACCTCCTAAAGCTCATTCAAAGATAGCATTAAATCTCATGTATAAAAAATATGTTTGATTTCTTCCAATTATGTCATTGCCTTGTGCTTTGTAATGGCTGACACCCATTTGTCCCCTCTCTGCAAAAACATAAAAATTCATTTCAGGCAATGAAATTCAATTTGTCTTGCAAGCAATTCTATAAAAAATAATAATCTGTGCAGCATTCTAATCTCCTTCTACAATGTTATGTTGAGCCTGGGCAGCTTTATCTGGCATTTTTCTAGTATTATAAGAGGATAAATGGGAAATTAATGCTTCTAGTAAAGCACCTATTAATGATAATGGAAAGTAATTAAAAGCCCAAAGTAAAACATGGAGGAAGTTTGCTCCAATCCAGAGCACATCAAAATGATTTTTTTTGTTTGTTTAACTTGCTGTGACAGATGGTATTATTAGTTCACTATTATCCACTCCTCTCCTGACCTTGCTTTCAGTCTTTAGCCCTGGTGTCTCTATTTGCCCAATTACAGTAAAACTGGGCATGGAGATACCAGTGGATCTCCTAATATTTTTGTCCCTTATTCCCCTCTGTAGCAGCAATCCCACCTCCTTGGGATGTTTAGTATCCATTACCTCTGCCAAGATGGAAATTCTTTTCTTTGCCTTCCATGTAAAGGCATGAAAAGCCCAAGGTGTCAAGAGGCTTAAATTGGTGGCAGACTTCCTTTCTATCCTGTGAAAATGTTCTCTTTCCTGAGAACCAGAAGCTCTACACTTTTGAGCTAAGATTTGTAAGGAGAGGAAGGGTAAATTCTTCAACTGGGTCACTGAGAATGATGGTGAGGCCACTTATATACTTAGGTTCCCGGACTTGTGTAGTTTACCTATTGGAGAAAACAACCATATACTGTTGATTTAAGCCATATGCTGACTTATTTCAGGATATCATCTCAAGGTTGGCACGTTAGGTTGGTCTTTAAAGAAGCCATATCATTGTTTCATTAGGCTAGTAGCTTCTATGAAAGGACCAGTGGGTCACATGCCCACCGTTGCACCCCATGTGAGTGGGTTCTTCAGTCCAAAGAGAGGCCACACTCCAGTTTACCAGATACTCTGTGAACCTCCACATAATCATGCCAGATTTATGTAAAAAAAATTGCATTGCTGCCATCATGTCTAATAGTATACAGTTAACAGAGATATCTCCTTAACAGATTTTTGAATAACAACCAGTGATAGCCTGCCTCTCTTTTCCTGCTCCTTCCAGTAACAAAATAAGACCTCCTTTTTAAAGACAGCATGCATGGCACTTACTAGTGAAATGAAATATTTGGATGTGAAGGTTGGTAGGGACAGCTAATTTGTTCTGCTCTCCAGTGGAGGTATGAGAAGTACTTGCGGCTGCTTTTCCTGTCAGCCACTTGGGTTCACCAGTCAGTAGGGTCAGTGAGGAACAAGAAGAATTACAGGCCAGGTGTTCCTGAACTACCTGTGGCTGTAATGATTGAAGATCACTGCCAAAGAGTGTCTAGAGAGTAATTGGGCTCCTTTTCCTTGCTGCAGTAGCCTTGCCATTATATTGTGGCATAAATCATTAACACTATTTTATTTTTGACAATCTCTTTTTTTGGTATAAGCTTTTATTTTGACAATCATGAGTCAAAAAACAAAAGTTCATGTTTAATAAAACATTTGGAATGAGATTTTCATTTCTCTAGAAAGCTGATGATAATTGTGGAACTTGCCTAAAATATTTGTTGACATTTAAATATCCACCATGAGGACCACAGTAATATCACTGATTGCAGCCTCCACTAATACAAGACAAATTAACATTCCCAATTACAGAAAGTGTGAAACATTGCTTTTTATTTAGATCAATGATTATTCTAAATTTATTTTCCTCATTTTAAATTCAATTTTTCTTGTGCATGTACCAAAACTGAGTAAATTAAAAATAAAAGCATAGCTGTGACTGCGTTGGCTCCATTAGGAAAAAAAAAGACCTTTACAAACGTCTGATAATGTCTCATCTTTCAAATTAACAGAAAAAAAAAACAATAAAAAACAGGATAATTCCAATAATTGTTAAATTGTTCTTATCATTTGTTAAATACAATCGGGGAAAGCTTGGGGAGTTTTGTCCTGTCAAAGACACACATCTGACATTATTACTAATACCACTATAAATACAATTAAAATTTAAACAGTGAAGAAAATTTATGTTTGTGGTTCTAATCTAAAGACAAATATTGATGGAACATTCATAGCATTGTGGCATATGCCATGTTTTGGGGAAGTAAGAGATCTATGGATCAACTACAAATATAGCGTTGTCTTTAGGCACACATCAACATAATAGCATCCAAATACGCTTAAATGTTCTACCAGTAAAAACAGAAGCAATGGTTGGCAGAAGTTACAAAAAAGATTCAATATTACATTGAGAATAAATAGACTACAGCTTTGTTTTGGGGACAAATCTGATATTGAATACAAAAAAGAGTTCAGCATCTCAGCGTGTTTTGCTCTTTGTTCCCCACCATCAACTGAATTTTAGAAATGTTCTAGCTTGGGAAACATCATTCTCAGCAAACTGACACAAGAACAGAAAACCAAACACCGCATGTTCTCACTCATAAGTGGACCTGAACAATGAGAAAACATGGACACAGAGAGGGGAACATCACACACCCAGGCCTGTCGGGGGCTGGGGGGGCTAGCGGAGGGATAGCATTAGGAGAAATCCCTAATGTAGGTGACAGGTTGATGGGTGCAGCAAACCACCATGGCACCTGTATACCTATGTAACAAAGCTGCACGTTCTGCACATGTACCCCAGAACTTAAAGTATAATTTAAAGAAAGAAATTTTCTAGCTTTTGAAGAACTTTTGCAAATTATCCTAACTGTCCTAACTGAATTTGCTCATCCTTCCATCAGTTCTACTTCCCTTGTTCTTTCTATAGGGTGAGTACTATAAAAGCAGTATGATTCTAAGATTATCATTATTTTGGTTAAACATGTCCCTTAAGTAAGCCAATGACTTTATCTTGTGTTTGTTAGAGTTTGCTTGGAGCCATATCTGATTTTTACCTCGTTCAGTGATTTTGATACAAAACTCCTTTAAAAATAAAGCCTTATGTGATAAGTCAACAACTCCCTAAAGCTTTGTACAGAGTGTACAAGTTTGATATCATGAGTGAAGTTTTATTAAATGTAAGCTCAATGTGAGTATTCAGGCAAATTGGGTGTTTGTGTGAGTGCTTATCTGTTTCTGAATGATAATCCTGAGAAAACAAAGGAGTTGCTGAAGATGGACAAGGGCAGTCATGGGATGTTCATACTGAGATCAAAAGCCAGACCATTCACCCAACAGGACAGCTCAGGGTGTGGTAATAAATCAAGAACTGAGGCAATAAAAGCTACAAATGAGGCCCTTTGCCAGAAAAAGCATGGCTTGAAAGAGGTTGAGATGGGTGTGGGTCTTAGGAGATACATTTCTATAGCAATTCAAAAAAAGACATTCAAGAAAACTGAATGATTGTAGAAAGTAATGTGTAGAAGGAAAGAGTGTGTGTGGGCCTTGCTAACTGATGAAGGCCCACGTGCCATTTAATAGTTGTGTGTGTCCTTTGGAAATGAGGCCAAAAGTGTCTAGTCTTTCATGTGGTGCAAAGAGCACAGATTTTGGTGTTGAGAGGCTTAGGTGGGCTGTTTAAATGTGGTTTGCTATTTACCAGTGTCCCTCCCTCTGTTTACAGTTTGCTGTAACAGTTTTTCAGTACACACACACACACACACACACACACACACATACATTAGTTATACCATTAACACTTGTGCACTTTAGTCATTTGACATTTAATCAATCTATTTATATTATTTCTCCATCAGTCAATATATAATAGATTTATCCTCTCTGATGACAGTACAGAATTCCTCACCTTTAATCAGTCCTCTCTGGACAGACATTAAAATAGTTTCCAGCTTCTTGCTGGAGCAGTCATTCTAGATGGTACAGATTTTCACACATTTACATGTATATGTGTAGGGTAAATTTCTAGAAATGAAATTATTGGGTAAACAGAAAAGTTTCCTTTTGGGAAAATATAGCACAATTAACCTTTTAAATGTACACATCCAAGGGTCAGGATTAGCTAGAGACTTTTATACACTGATGGATGAGTTGTAAATTAGTGGGGAATTCTGGGGGTTCACTTTACATTGCTTATAATCTTATAACTCCATTAATAAATTGCCTTATGAGGTTGTACGTCTCCCAAATAGTTTTACCTTGGAGGATCCTTTAGTAAGTAGAGTAGCCCAAATTTGGATACTTGGCAGGTGATTTACCAAAGTGTTTTTAAAAATTAGTTTGTTTTTGTCCTACATGGGTATCTATTTAGCCTTGTCTTTTTTTCCACAATCGTATAGAGAGGGATTTGAAAGCCTTAATTAGTGAGTCATGTGAGCAGATTGGAAACAATTTTCTGAGTCAATCTCACTCCAGGAAAGTTCTTCCTAATCCCATGTCTGGGTGGAAATGGGCAGGCTAGCATCCAAGCATTTGTTATAATCTGGCTCTTCAGTTCCCAGAAAAGCTTATTTCCCTGGAGCTTGGCTTGCTGATTTCCCAGCACACAGGTCTGCATGAAACAGAAATCACAGATGTGCCAAACTCTGGGCATCTCACAGGGAGAGACAATGCCAAGCTCACCACTATTACTCCACCTTTGCACAAAGATCAGGTAAGGGAAATGCTATTGGGGGAGGATTGCTTGAGATACATCAGCCTGTCTCCTCCTCAGATAGCCTTGAACATACACGTGGATCACATAAAATAACGAGATAATTTTATTCAAGACCTTGCCTTGAAGGATATTTTAAAACTGAATTTCATTTTGCTGTAATATCTATTCAGACTATTTTGATGTTATGAGAAATACCCTTATAAAAACCTTAGTGAGGTTTATAGAAAGGATGTTGTGTAGGTCATTTTATTCATCATATCACAAACTTTCTCTCTTTCTCTTTTATAAGAACCATTGGGATAAATTCCTATAGGATCTTAGTATCAAGGAAAGTTGTACTTCTTCTGTGCCATTGTCCTATTTTTGTTTCATGAGTATTTCAAATCATTTAAGATAAAAGTTGTCTGTTTTCATGTTGCTTGCTAGGAAGCTTAGAGCTAAATTTGTGATTGACTCACAGTATGATTTACTTATAGAGTCAATTCATCCAATCCAGTAGGAGGCTCCACATTTTTCTGTGCAACTGAGTTAACTCATTGTAAAAAGTATGTTATATATGCATCTATGAATAACTAATTCTTTAACTCCAAACAGTTCGCACACCCATGTTAAGACACGCACATTTGTTTGCAACCTAAAACCCCTCCTTTTAGATCTCTGTTTTGGCTTCATTTAGCTTTCTTTAGGATAATGTATGCCACCTTATCAGGGTGCCACTAAACTGCCCATTTCAATTTTTTTAAATGTTCCTATCTTTGTAAAGTGAGAAGTTCTTTGGGTTCCTCAGCTGGTCCTCACTCAACATTAACTTTAATAGAATTTGATTTTTCTTCCAAGTATGGGGAAGCCATGCTATACTTCTTAAAATTTGTACAATCAGAAATTAATATTCTCTTACATCTAATAGATACTGGTTTTTACTTTCATTGCTTTTGCAGCAAATCTGTTTCCTCTCAGATCATAAGAATACTCCATTTGACCCGCAATCCCATTACTGGGTATATACCCAAAGGATTATAAATCATGCTGCTATAAGGACACATGCACGCGTATGTTTATTGTGGCACTATTCACAATAGCAAAGACTTGGAACCAACACAAATGTCCAACAATGATAGACTGGATTAAGAAAATGTGACACATATACGCCATGGAATACTATGCAGCCATAAAAAATGATGAGTTCATGTCCTTTGTAGGGACATGGATGAAGCTGGAAACCATCATTCTCAGCAAATTCTCGCAAGGACAAAAAACCAAACACCGCATGTTCTCACTCATAGGTGAGAATTGAACAAAGAGAACACATGGACACAGGAAGGGGAACATCACACACTGGGGACTGTTGTGGGGTGGGGGTAGGGGGGAGGGATAGCATTTGGAGATATACCTAATGTTAAATGACGAGTTAATGGGTGCAGCACACCAACATGGCACATGTATACATATGTAACTAACCTGCACATTGTGCACATGTACCCTGAAACTTAAAGTAGAATAAAAAAATAAAGAATATTCTAACTTGCTCAATTAATGTTTAATTGCTAGTTTTATCCCAGTACTGCTGTAGGCCATTATAAGATGCTTTCTCATGGTTTAACTGGTTCCTTGTCCATACCCTTGTTGGCCAACATTCTTTATTTCTACATTTAATATTTCTAATCCTATCAGCTCTTAAGATTCCTTATAAGTTACCCCAAAACCCCTCTGGAAATTTGTGGGAATAAAGATAATCACACAACTAATGTTTATTTGAGCACATGAGAAATCACCCTGTGAGGAAATCATTTTGCAGAAATATATCATCTTAATGTAACAAATATCAAGTCTAAATTTCTTACATCAATTTTCTTTTTCTTTTTTTGATTATTATACTTAAGTTCTGAGATACATGTGTGGAATGTGCAGGTTTGTTACATAGTTATACATGTGCCATGTTTGCTGCACCCATCAACCCATCAACCCGTCAACCCGTCATCTATGTTAGATATTTCTCCTAATGCTATCCCTCTCCTAGCCCCCAACCATCTGACAGGTCCTGGTGTGTGATGTTCCCCTTCCTGTGTGAAAATGTTCTCATTGTTCAACTCCCACTTATGAGTGAGAACATGCGGTATTTGGTTTTCTTTTCCAGGGTTAGTTTGCTGAGAATGATGGTTTCCAGCTTCATCCATGCCCCTGCAAAGGACATGAACTCATTCTTTTTTATGGCTGCGTAGTATTCCATGGTGTGTATGTGCCACATTTTCTTTATCCAGTCTGTTATTGATGGGCATTTGAGTTGGTTCCAAGTCTTTGCTATTGTAAACAGTGCTGCAATAAATATATGTGTGCATCGGTTTTTGTAGTAGAATGATTCATAATCCTTTGGGTATATATCCAGTGGGATTGCTGGGTCAAATGGTATTTCTAGTTCTAGATCCTTGAGGAATCACCACACTGTCTTCCACAATGGTTAAACTAATTTATACTCCCACCAACAGTGTAAAAGTGCTCCTATTTCTCCACATCCCCTCCACCATCTGTTGTTTCCTGACTTTTTAATGATCGCCATTCTAACTGGCGTGAGATGATATCTCATTGAGGATTCTGAAGGACTCCAATTTCTTGTGCTCTGATGAGTAACTGAATACAATTTTATGTCCTCCAGAGACGAGACAATTTTCAAGTCAAAATATGTACAATTAAAATAAGGAGCATTTTGGGGAGAGTCACTTAATCTTGTCTGGTTTTATTTGGAACATAATCAATTAATTAGGAAAGAAAATAACCTCACTGGATGTTCATGTTAAACATGGAAACAGGCATTTCATCTTTAGTCATGAGTTATACACTGATGGTAAGGAACTCCGGAGAAGGTTGAAAGCAGTCCCATAACTTGTGAAAGTCAATAACAATTATTTTATTTGTGATCTGCAATTTGACATTGATAAACATATAAAACAAAGAGGTTCTGGTTCTAGTGACAGGTGAGAGTTTAGAAATACACACACACACACACACACACACACACACACACACAAGAATACTATTCCGCTATAAAAAATGAAACCCTGTCATTTGAATCAACATGGATGAAACTGGAGGACATTATGTTAAGTGAAATAAGCCAGAAACATAAAGCTAAACACTACATGTTTTCACTCATATAAAGAAGCAAAACTCAGTTTATCTCATAGAAATAAAAAGTAGAATAGGACCAGGCATGGTGGCTCACATGTATAATCCCAGCTTTTTGGGAATCCAAGGTGGGAGGATAGCTCAAGAGTAGGAGTTCAAGACCAGCCTGAGCAACATAGTAAGATCCTGTCTCTATTTTTTAAAAAAAGGTAAAACAGAAGATTCTAGAGTCTGGGAATGGTAGAGGGAAGAGAATATAGGGAGAGATTTGTTAAAAGATACAAAATTTCAGCTAGATAACAGGAATAAATTCTAGTGTTTTATACCACTCTAGGATGAGTGTAATTGAAAATATATGGTTTTAAATAGCTAGGAGGAGGATAAAGAACATTCTCAACACAAAGATATAAATATTTGAGTTGGTGGGTATGCTAATTATCCTAATTCATTTACTATACATTATATGTATTGAAACATCATTATGGAACTCATAAATATATATAATTATTTGTCAATCAAAAAACTAAGAGAAATCTTCATTGATTATAGCAATATTCAAAGTAGCCCTGTAGGTAAACTTGAATGTTTATGACCAATTGCAACTTGCAATATAAGAAGATTGTTGGTGACAAGAAGGCTTTATCAAGTGAAGAAAGGAGACAAATAATTAATACCTGCTAGTCACATTGATCACAGATCACACAAAGTCTAAGAGTTCCTTTGTTGCGCAGCTGATTGTAAACTAGAAGTCGTTAAAAAAAGATAAAGTTTCATCATGCTGGAAGGTGATAAGATAAAACACTGTGGCACAGAGAGAAAGCCAGCGCCTTCACTTTGATGAAGACTTCGTTCATATGGACAGGAGAGCTGATGACTTCAGTATTTATTTATTGAATGGTGTCATATACCGATTTCTATTCAGAGTATGTAAAATTCCTTAGTATATCTTTCTGATCACATTCCTGTCTTCCCCATTAAATTATGTGTTTCCTGATGGCCCTAGAACATCTAATTGCTATTCTACTCAGATGCATTCAGATCTTTCTTACCCTCTCTTAATACATATGCCTCAGCTGTGGTGTTTCTTTGTTTCTAAGGACCTACACCTGAGACCTTAGGTTACTAGCGCTGGTTTGTGAGCAGGAAAGAGATTCTGAGGATCCTGGGATGGTACACCCCTCAGGGAGGGCTTCATCAATGACTGAGTTGTGTGGGATTATGCAAGTCCGGCTTTCTTGCTCTGAATTGTGGTAAGCTCTGGAATTTAACTTACACTCCAGTGCTATGCAGGATCATGCTGTAACTCTCTTCTTTCGGACTTTGCCTGAAATCACCCTTGCTTGACTTTATCCTCTTTCCTCCTCTGTTTCTTCTACTTTTTCATGAAATTCTCCTGGGAGCACTTCCTTAAGAACCGAATACACAGGAATCCTGTGTCAGAGTCTGCTCCTGGAGAAATTCACAATGCCTGCCTTTTAAAATTCATTTTGGTTTTCACTGGCATAGTAGGAACTTAGCAAATGCTTGTGGAGTGAATAAATGAGAAACTCAGAACATATTTAGATGTGGAAACATGGCGAATATCCAAGAGCCTGACTTTACTGTGGGTAAATGTGATACACTTCCACCAAATCTTGAGTGGATTCACCATGAGCAGTGTGATAAAGAGGAGCTCTGCTCTTGGTCTGTTTTGGAGGTTTGCCCTGACTGATGCGCAACAGGTGTAAGAAGGAGCTCCAGGCAGTCTTTCTGTAGTCAGGTAGCACAGGGGTGCCTGTTTACTCAGATTATTTGGCTGATGAAGGCGAGAAGATGATGTTAATACAGTTTGGATATTTCTTCCCAACCAAATCTCATGTTGCACTGTAATCCCTGATGCTGGAGGTGGGGCCTTGTGGGAGGTGATTGGATCATGGAGATGGATCCCTTATGGCTTAGTGCTATCTTGATGACAGTAAGTTCTTGTGAGATATGTTCATTTAAAAGTGTGTAGCACCTCCACCCCCGTGCCCTGACTCTCTCTCTCTTTTGCTCCTACTTCCATCATGTAAGACACCTGCTTCTCCTTCGCCTTCTGCCGTGATTTTAAGCTTCCTGAAGCCTCCTCAGAAGCAAAGATACCAGAATTATGCTTCATATAAAACCTGCAGAACTGTGACCCAACTAAATCTCTTCGCTTTATAAATTACCTAGTCTTAGGTATTTTTTCACAGCAATGAAAGAAGGGCCTAATACAGATGCTTAACACAAAGGGGTGCTGAGAAAGTGATTTCTAAAAAGGACTGTTTCTGGAAATATTCTGCACACATGTAGTAAGGAGAGTGAAGCACAAAGAATTTATCTAAGCTCTGCATCATCTGGATCAGTCTTCTGCTTAATTTTCTTTAAGGGCTTCACAGTCCCTTTGGGTTGAAGTCTGAGAGCCTTAGCATGGCACTGAAGGACTCTAGTGATTTTGGACTGTGTAATATCTCTGGCTCCATTTTCCACCACTCCTTCCTTCAGGCTCATTTCCCATGATATCTAATGCTGGGTGAAGTCAACATCATACTGTTTCTCATATTTGTGTCTTTGCTCATGCTCTTTTTGCTCTTTAAAATGGGCTTACCTAATCTACCTTTAAGATTCATCTTGGTCACATTTTTCCTTATGGACTGGGTGCCCTCATTTACAATCTCCCAGTCCTCAGTGCATACATCTTTCATTGGACTCATTTAAAAAATCACTGGCTATGTGTGGGTCTTTCCCTTCTAAATTGAGAGCACCTTCTTACTGTATCTTATTCCTCCTTAAATTCTCACTATCAAGCATAAGGCCAGGACCAGTGTATTCTCAACAATACACTGGTCAAATACATGTTTTAATTACACTGATATTTAACTCTATAATCATATTACTTTTCTAACCTCTCATAAATGAAGTTATACAGTGTTACCATTTCCATATCATATCAGAAGTGGAGAGGTGGTTGGGAGAAATAAGACCATATGATCAATAAACAGTGTTTATGGTCTGCAATGACTTGAAATAAAAAGCAGTGCATAAGAACTCCTCATCTTTAAGCAATGTAAGCTAAGTTAATATATTTACTATAGGTATATTAACTTAACTTACAGACATTTCTCACAGAATTTTCTATCTCCTAGCTATGATAGGAATAGGAAGTTGATAAAGGTCAAGACTAAAACAGCAACAATAACAAAAGCAGGAGAGAAAGATTATATGGCCATCAAACCTTGTTTACGAGGAAACAGAAGGTCCATAGTAGATCAGAACCCGAGGCTAGTTTAGTCTAATAAGAGATGTCAAATGCAATATGGGACATTTGTAAAAATTAGAGTGTTTGAAAGAATCAAGAGATTGGGGAAAAGGCATACCATAGAAATGAGTGGGAATTTTTTGTGCAATATATGAAATTACTCTAGACATAATTCTGTAATGAGGTAGCCATACTAAAGATGTGAATTGACTTAGATCCAAATTAATAACACTGTTCTCTAGAACTAGTGTTAACAGAAGTTCTACGGGCTGCTTGGTGGTAAGGAATGATTCAGAGGCAATGTACGTGTAGATTTTAAGCACTAGAGTGGGCAATAGGATTATTTACTTATATAATTTGTTCATATGACAGCAACACAAGATAGAAAAAGCTGGGGTCTCTGAGATATCGGATAGGGGAGAGCCACTGCTGATATAAATAAGAAACTTATTTTTGTTCTGGTAAGTCACTGTGACAAGTAAATTTGTTTCAACTCCAAACATGTCTTGTTCTGACTAATATGGAAAATATGTTGCACCTCTAAAATTAATTAAAATATATATAATTGGTCATAGGTTGAAACCAATAAATTTTCACCAACCTTGGTGTAGGTGTGTTCTTAATGTCTACTCAGTTGGATTTCAAAATTGTTATGGGTCGGTGGCTACTTATTGTGTATTTTATTCTTTTACTATACACATAAGATTATTTATTGCAGTTCTCCTCTTCCTTTTCCACTCTCTATGTGAGTTTTAAAAGGATTATCTGTAGTTTTGGTTTATACCAAACTACAGGTCAGGTTTAACATCTAGATCTGAGAGAAATGATTGAGCATTACCTGGAGACTCTAGGGTTTGAGCTGGATTCTGTGATGGGATGAGGTTTAGGAGTATTCTATTTGGACACAAAGGAAAATAATATTTCTCCCTTCCTTATAATAAGATTACAATATTTTTGTAGATAGAATTGATATAAGGCACTCCTAGAATTAGTCATTGACAATATCCCATGCAATTCTCTAATCTCTCTCTTTGTCTTTCATTGCAACCAAGGAGGCCATCTGTTGAGATGAGAACCTGTGAAGATGGAAGGAACCTAGATGTTTGAGTCATGGGGTGGAGAAGAGACCATGTAAACCTACATTGAAATTTGTGTGGTAAGTAAATAAATCTTTATTGTATTAAGTTACTGGTGTTTGGGGGTTACCACACCATAGCTGATCTATCTTAAATAATTCACCCACTCATACATATGCTACAGTAAAATTTAAGAACATAACAGATAAAAAAAAAGTTAAGGCTTCTGGAAAGAATAGCTCTCTTACAAAAAATATATAATTTAATTGACAGATTTGTGAATCACATTATTTGATGCAAGAAAATGATGAAGTAATATGTTTGAAGTATTGAAGAAAAATTCCTCTGCATCTAGAGATTTGTATCCAATCATGCTGTTATTAAAATTTGTGGATCCAATAAATAGATACTCCAGCTTACAAAGTCTTTAAAATTTTGTAAATTGAATACATATGTTGAAACTCTTTTACAGAAAGTACTCCAATACTAGAAATAACTCTAGAGGGATGCCACAAGAGTTAAAGAAAATAAAGATGATGAAAACACTTAGTAAAGTTCATTATATTTTAAAAGAGCAAGGATCAAAGAAAATTAAAGAAGAATAGAAGGAGATTTATAACAATCCAGAATTATTAGCAATATCAAAAAAGTGAACATAGGGACAATCAAAGATACATTGTAAGCTACTTGTATTGTTTTAGGAAAATAATAGATAATTGTAATCTTAAAAAAATCAATAGAGGTCATTAAATATTAGTAAATGCCATCAGTTTAAGGTAATCTACCATAATAAAAAAATATGAATTTAAACCACTGATTATAAATTTGACATATCAATAGAAAATAGAAAATAAGAAAACAAATAAAATGAAAATGTAGTAAATTGAAATATGAAATATGATGCATAATTTAAAAATTACAATGAATGTAAATGAGTTAAACTTACCAAAAGAAAGGCAAAAACAAAATCTAGGAACATGTTTTCCAACAAAGGACTTTTTTTTTTTTTTTTTTTGAGACCGAGTCTTGCTTTGTTGCCTAGGCTGGTGTGCAGTGGTGTGATCTCGGCTCACTGCAAGCTCCGCCTCCAGGGTTCATGCTATTCTCCTGCCTCAGCCTCCCGAGTAGCTGGGACTACAGGCGCCCGCCACCACGGCTACCTGATTTTTTGTATTTTTAGTAGAGACGTGGTTTCACCGTGTTAGCCAGGATGGTCTTAATCTCCTGACCTTGTGATCCACCTGCCTCGGCCTCCCAAAGTGCTGCCATTACAAGCGTGAGCCACCGTGCCTGGTCAAGACATTCTTAATACAGAAAGACACAGAATGTTTGGGGAAAAGAAAGGTTGAAAACTATCAAGCAATTGTAAACAACAGCATCAAAAAGTGCTTAAGTGGCAATCAATCTAAAAAATTGAATTTGAGAAAACATTCCTATGGCATCATAGGATATTTTATGAAAATTAAAAAATAAACCAAAAGCATTAAAAATTATAACTCTCATGAACATATATGCACTACTAATATAATTATATAAACGGAAGCAAAATGGCAGAAGAAATAAAAAACTCAATATTTATAAGTAAATAATTTAACACAATTCACTTAGAGCTTGAAAGATGAAGAAAAATTATAGAAATCTAAACGAACTCTCACTGCTCAGAGAATACACGTTTTTCTCAAACATATGTGGAACACTGACAAAAATTGGCCAAGTGCTAGACTACCAATTAAATCTCAGTATCATACAGAATACCTTCTATGGCCACAATGCAGTCAAATTAGAAATAAGGAGTATAAATATAGTCTTAAAATCCTATAAGTATATGTAACATATTACTAAATAATTTTGAATTACAAAGAAAGTCTTAACAATTATGAAATATTTAGAACAATGGGGCTGGGTGAGGTGGCTCATGCCTGTAACCTCAGCGCTTTGGGAGGTTGAGGCAGGCAGATCACTTGAGGCCAGGAATTTGAGACCAGCCTGGCTAATATGATGAAACCCCATCTCTACTAAAAAAACAAAAATTAGCCAGGGGTGGTGCATGTAATCCCAGCTACTCAGGAGGTTGAGGCAGGAGAATCATTTGAACTCAGGAGGCAGAGGTTGCAGGGAGCCGGGATCATGTCACTGCACTCCAGCCTGGCCAACAGAGTGAGACTCTGTCTAAAAAAAAAAGAACAATGGGCAATGAGAACAGCACATATCAAAAGTTGTGGGACATGGCTAAAGCATATGTGAATGTTTTACAGTATTATACCTTTCAATACACTTATCAGAAAACTGGAATGATTAACAACAAGTAAGCTAGTTTTAAAGCTAAAATGCTTAGAAGTTAGATGTATTTCCTCTAAAATTCAAAACAAGTTATCACAATGATTGTTCATGTGCACCAGATGCATTGCACTCAATTATAAGAAAATACGCCAAAGGAATTAGAATTTTAGGAGAAGATGTGAATGTTATTCTTTGTAGACAATGTGGTAACCAGCCTAGAAAAAAATAACAAAATGAATAGAAAAAAATATATAAAAATATGCAGGCATATACATATGTATGTCTACACATGCACATATACGCATACGTATGGCATATAACAAGGTTCTCAAACTTATTTTTAAGCAAATTTAAAAAATAGGATAACAAAGATTTATCAGTTAAAATGATCAGATTCATACAAATTAGAAAGCTGGAATTGGCAGGTGTATTGGGCAATTTGGCATTCAGAAATCCAAGGAACTGCAGGTTTCCATGTCGAACTTAGTCAAATTAGGGCATACAAATGCCCTATGGCCCCAAAATTCCATTCTTGGACAGATATCCTAGAGAAATCCCCATTCACATTCATAATGGGACATAAAGGAGCAGATTTGTCACAGTGCTTTTCATAGCAGCAGGGAGTTTCTCAGCACAAGAGAAAGGAAATGTAAGGTTTGGTGAAGGCATGCTATAGAACAGCATGTGGCTGCTAGAAATAATACGCTACATATGAAATTATGACCAAGAATATGTCTAAGAATATGTTACTGAATGAACAAAGAAACAGAATTATATATATATAATCATTTAGGCAAATTTAAATATATAATAAAGCTACTGCCTTGCAAGGACATACAAATAAAAAGATGAATACTGACTACGCTAGGTGAGAGGGCAGTTAATGGAAGTGGGGAATGGTAATAAAACAATGCCAGGAAGGAAGAAATAGTTTTTTCATAATCTCCCCCGCAATCCTTTTTTTTTTTTTTTTTTCAAATCAGCATCCATACCAACACTGAAGGGAGTTTTGCCTTCCAATCTGTTTGTCTGGGTTTGTGCTACACTTATTCAAACATTTGTCAAGATTCCATTATGTGCCAGGCATTGGTGATACATTTTCTGCTCTAAAAGGTTGCATTCTAAATGTGTTCTGTGCGGAGCAAGACAGTAAGCAAACAAACACGGAAATATCAAATAGCGTTAATCCCAATGCAAAGAATTACTACTGGTAAAGAGTGATGAGGAGAGGTATTTTACATAGGGTGGTTGGGGGTAGGTCAATTTGAGGAAGAAACATCTGAAATGAGAAACAAATGAGAAGGAGCCAGCTGTGCAAAGCTCGGGGTGGGTGGGGGGAAGCTTCCCAGGTTGATGGAATAGCTAGCATCACAGTACTGTGGTGGTAACAAGGCCAGTGTTGGGGCAGCAGCATAGGAGGAAGGGTAAGGTCTGCAGAAAGGTCAGGGAAGGCCTCAAATCTCATAGGCTTTGTAGATCATGGGAAGGAGTAAGGATGCTATTCCAGGAAGCAACAGAACAATAATCATCTTTGGGGTCCCCCAAATGCCAGAATGAATAGAAACTGATAGGCTGTTCTCCTAAGTCCCTGCAGATAGGACTCAGTGGTTTGGAGAAACAATGCATTATATTCACTCATTTCCCTAAAACACTGCTGTATACAGACTCTGTCATGTTCTCCCTTAAGACACTTTCAAGGTATCCCAAGGTCTACAAGTTATGACTTACATCCAACAGTCTGAGTTTTGCTGTTGTCTTTTTTGTTGCAAATGTTAATATTGGGCAAATCCTTAAAATTATTCATGTTTCAGTTTCTTCACTTTTAACTGGAATCTGACTTTATCTGTCTTGTCTCTCCTATTATATGGCTGTGGGTCCTCATTTGCCATCACAGTGTTGTATCTCACTTTGCCAAGTTTCCCCTAGTCTTGCTCTGATATCTGGAGTTACAGCCAGAGAAGGGCTGCTGAGGTGTGGGTTTGCTTAGAAGCATGTTCCCACTCTGAGTGCATAACTTTATAATTCATATATGAACTTGAGAAGTCATCTGTCTGTGCATTTCTTACTTTAAAAACTTTAATTGGTCTTAGTTTTGTCAGATGGCTATGGAAAAAATTGGAGAGTTTTTACCCCTTCCATTTTCTCATTTGATTAGGATAGAAGAAAACTTTCTATGCTTTAAGAATTGTTTCCCAAATGAAATGTTCTCTTCTCTATTGCCTTTGACATTTGTTGCCATCAGATACCACCTTTCTTATGTGCATAAACTGCTTATTTGATTTGACCTGGTTCTGAATGTAAGAAATTGATTCAGAAGGGCCTCTGTCTTTAGAAATAGTATTGCATGAAAGCATTATGCTAACATATGTTGAAATTTAAAACTGCAAATGCAGGGGGAGAAAATGATCTTGTAGCTACTTCTCTCATTTAGAGACACAAGACATGAGGCTTTATTCTAATAAAATGTAGTGTGTTTGCAGCTGGGGCTGGGGCAAAGTCAAGATACATTAGGAGAAATTGACATTAAAAGTGCAATATAACAGATGGATGAAAAAATGAATTTTTATCAAGATGATCCATTAGCGTTCTGCAGCCAGGCAGAGGAGAACAATGACCTGGAACAAATTAAGAAGAATGATGCTTGACTTGTGTTTGCTTGTTCTAAAGGGTGACCCATATTCATAATCTTGAATTAGAAATGCATTTGCTTCTGGTTGATTAGATACATTTTTCAACTATTTTTTGTCTTGTTCCCCCCCCCTTGGGTTTGGGGAGCTGGGTGATGGAGGTGGTCTGGTGCAAAGGATTAGGTTCATCAAATTAGATTAAATGAAAAGAGAGAAAACAAGCCCAGTAGAGTGGAACCCTGACTAAATGGTGGAGTTCTTTGCAAAGAAGGAGAATTAATCTCCAAATTGAGGGGAACTGAACAGCTCAATCATCAACTATTAACCTCAAATAACCTTAGGTGACTCTGGCATCAATATGTAAAAGCAAGTCTACTACAGACCGTGATTTTAACTTCAAATTCTCTATATTTGATAACTGTCAGACTTCCTGTCTACTCTTTAATCAGTCTCTGGAATTAGAAAGTACTTACTTTTTAATGAAAAGAAAGAAGGAGAAAAAAAAACATGAACAGAATTCCCGTATTTTTTAGAAAAATGAAAACTAGGTAGAATATGCAAGCCAGTGAAGACACTATGCCAGCTGATTTGGAAAAACTTGGAGTTGTACTGCAGATAAATTGCTGGTTTGCTTGCCTCACTGCCAAGGAATAACTTGCTTAAGATAATTCATTTACTGTGTCTGTTGCCTGTACCTATCACTTCCTTACCTCTGGCTGATGTTAACAATAATAGCCTGGGAGGTAGAGGGGAAGGGGGAAAGGAAACTTCCTCTGATGTCACTTAAAGTCATCTGGAATCAACACAATTATAGCCCATGGATGTATGCTTGGATGAAAAGACCATCCTATCAATCTTTTACAAATTCTTTGCATAATTTGGCTGTGAACCAAATAGCATAGTCACGTGGCTACAAGAAAGAAGGGAATAAGAAATGGCTACGTATGTTTAAATAAAATTTTAAGCCTGGAAAGGAACTTTAGAGATGATCTGATTCAACCTAGGCTGGTATGAAATTAAGACAGATGAAAAGGGAGTTGAAATCAAGTGGCCAGTAGAAAGTGCTAGGAAAGATGTTTCAAGTTCTATTCTAACTCATTCTGTTTTCGAGCATTTCAAGGGAAGGTTATTTAAATCTATCCTTCTTTTCAGATGAGGAAAGTGAGTCTGTGATATTATAAAGGATTGTCCTAATTTTCTGAGTTATTCTGAGGTAGGTTGAAATCCATGCATGATATTATGTTATCTTTCCCATTGAGCTGTGGTGACAGCAACATGAGATAATATTCCTAAAAATATGCATTTCCCACAAAGGTCTAAATTGCAAGATATAATTTCACCATCAATTCTTTATATTGATGAAAGACCATGAGCTTTGGATTTAGAATAACTAAACTTATTTCAACTACTCACCGTGAATGTGAATACTACATATAAATCACTTATAGTCTCTAATCCTTAGTTTTCTCATCTCTAAAATGGAAGTAATATGGTTATATGCATGATCTATTTTACAGTGTTAGCAAAGCACATCTCCTGGTCCAGATGGTAGAGATTAGGTAGGTAAGTGGAGAAGAAGAGAGAGCAAATGTTGAGCTATGGGAAGAAAAGAACCAGCTGCAGCAGAGGACAGATGTCTCTGTGTGATATCGTGTCCTGTATGACAGTACTACCAGGATGCTATAACAGGACAGACACCTTGTTTTCCATAACTCGTATCCAAGGTAGAACCAGTACAGGCTATAGTGCACATTAGGTGCCAGATCAATGTGTCTTGCCTAAAAATAAATGTCAACTCGTACACACCTGAGATAGTTGTGCCATTTTAGGTTAGGGATTGGCTAGCCTGAATCCAAGGTGGGGTTAGTGTAAAAACCTGAGAAACAATGTATACACTCTCAGACTTACCTCATATTGAGATGCTCTGGTTTACAATTATGCAGGAAAGAGGAAGAAACTAAGGTCAGAAACTGGGAGGGAGGGAGAGAGGGACAGGTATGGGGAAGATCTCTTGCCTGCACTTGACTCCTTTACAGGGAGCTATTCCAAAAGTGATTCTCAGAGTCTGTTAGTTTAGATGCATATGTTTGAAACTAGAAATATATATCTCCAGAGTAGGTATTAGAGCAAGCAACTCAGCCTTGCTCATTCTAATGAAAATATTGCTGTTGAAGGAATGATACTTATTATTATGCAGAGAAGTTAGTAATTGAACTCTGAGACCTCTAAAGAATGCTTATAATCCTCTTATTCAGGAAAGCAGGATTATTAATATTTCCAACTAATCCCAATTCAGAACACAGAAGAGAGTATTAATTCAGATGTGTGAACAGGTGGTTTGAGAATGTTTTAAGCAAAACCTTTAGGAGAACTTCAGGCACGAGACCAGCTGGACTCGGATGGGAAAAGGTTTCCAGTTTTATGTCTCTGGTGTATGTATGCAGTCTGGAGAACCACTTTGAAAATACTGGGTTCTAAGCAACTTGAAATGAGAGCCACACCTCGTTCATCCTTCTGTGCCCCAAAGAACCTATGAGGCACTCACTGAATGCTTGTTATAGATTGATGTTGCCACAGACTTGGAAATATTTACCTTTTAAATGAAGAGAAATGCAGCCAGTTTCCAAATGGGGGGTGGGGTTTGCAAGAAACAATTATTAAAAGGTTTGCAGTGACCTTGTCCTCTAAATCTTCTTCATCTATGAATTAAACTCTCTCTAGATTCCTGTTATTGAAGAGTTTTAAAAGAATTTTCTTATCGTGTGGCATTTCAGACTTTTTGTTCCTCTTCACATTCCCAGCTCTGTTTGATACAAACGCTAAGCTTCTGAGGAGAGGGAGGATTTGCAGCCTCAGAGCAGATGAAGCATGCAGTGCAATTAAAAGCAAACACATTTCCACTTCAGTCACAGCCTGTGGGTGTTTTAAGAAGGAAAAAAATCTATTAAAAACATAAATGTCAAAATCCTCAGGGTTTTGATCTATACATTTCATGGAGAGCAAGTTCCTGGCAGAGCTTTGATCTTGAGGAGTTGATAAGGATGCTTTGCTCCTAAATCTCGAGACAGAGGATGTCGTGCTGGGCAGTGAGCAAGAGTGACTGGGCTCTGGCAGGTGCTGGAGCTGGGAAGCCGAGGGGAAGATGGAGGGAGAATGTGGATGCTCTTGGGGCCCATGCATGATGGCTAGGACCAAGAGCAGAGCAGTAATAGCTGCTGGGAGAAGGTTACAGGCTACCTTGATTTAGCCTCTAACCTAAGAAGAGAGAACCTCTACTTCAGTTTTTCCTCCTTTCCCCAGCCCACGTTTAGACTCCCACTCTTCCTTCATGGGGGCAGAGTTGCTCATCAGATTGCTCAGAACTGAATATTTATTTAGTTTATCGTTACTACTGGGCAGGACATTTCTTCTCATTTTGACTTCCTGGGAATATTTGTACTGGGCAAGCCCTTATCTTCTTAGATAAGGCTTATCTGGAAACTTCCAGCGTTCTCTGTGCCAGTTACTGGTCCAGGTGGCTGGGGCTGTCTGAGAGAACTCAGAGCTGGTCAAGCAGACCCAACCATTGAGATGTAGAAATGGTGCTTCCAGGAGTCCCATTTGGTATGCAAGCTGGAGCCTTGTGTTTCAAGACAAATTGTATCCCCCAAAATTCATTTGTTGAGGTCTTGATCCCCAGTACCTCGGAATATGACTATATTTAGAGATAAGGCCTTTACAGAGATAATTAAGCTAAAATGAAGGTCAGGGTTTGCCCTAATTCAGTGTGACTGGTGTCCCTATGAGGAGATTAGGACACAGACACAGAAAAGATCACATGAAGACATAAGAAAATGCCCTCTGCAGTTAAAGGAAAGAGGCCTCGGGAGAAACCAACCATGCTGGCACCTTAATTTTAAACTTCTAGCCTCCAGAACTGTTAAGAAATACATTTCTGTTGTTTAAGCCACCCAATCTGTGCTACTTTGTTATGGCAGCCCTATCAAACCTTGATTTTAGGTTTCCACTTACCAGAGGAGCCATGCAACAAATTGTAATGATTAAATACTTGCCTCGCTCTGAGGAAAAGTTATATTGGCTTTTCTACTACAGGCTTAAGGACATACCTCCTGGGGCAGAAAAACCTGGAAGTGAGGAGATTGATGGGATTGCAGTCCCAAAGCTCTACTCCAAACCCTGCCTATCATCAGCTATTGTGAGCCATGTGAGGTCATGCAGAAATATTAGTCCAGGCCTGGAAACAGATACCAGCAAAGGAAGATATCAAACCATGCAAGGAATAGCTTCGCCCTGGGAAAGGGTGAGTTACCTAAGCAACAGGTGGGAAGTAGCCCTGAGAGAAAACAGCTGAGGACAAAGGTGCATGCCTTCCCTCCATCTGGGTGCCCATCTTTGGTGTCTAAGCTTTCCTGAACCCTAAACTCATCCCCCCTTCTTGGGTGATAAACATTGACTGGGAGCTCTTGTAATGAATGCCCTAGCCTATTTCTCACATGGTACTCAGCTGATTATCATAATATCTTTAAATATCTCTCAAATCTACTAGGATGTGGAATAATCATAGGTTATAATTCTGAATTAATTCATTTGGCTGTACCCCAGCCCTTAAATCCTGCATTAGCATTTGTCGTACTAGACTGATAAATTGAGGGAGGAGGGATGAACAGTGGACAGACACACAGAATGGGAGGAGAAACTCAACATCTGTTAGACTTATTTTTGTATCTAGAAGCTTCTTTGGAAGCAGTTAGGATGTGGTACAGCGGTACTGGCTCTGAGAGTTGCCTGGGGGAACATTCCCCTAAGCACTCTCATCAGTAGGAAAGCTTGTGTTTCTTGATCATCCAAGATTTAAAACAGTGGATCAGGCTAAGGGTCTCCATGTCTGTACAGAGTAATATGGTGCTAAACCCGAATTAAATTTGTGACTCGGAAATTAACAGCTGAGTTGTTAAAACAAGATTCTGTCAACTTTTGAAGTTCAGTTTACTTTGTCATGAAATGGGAAGACAATCCCTAATTCACAGAGTAGAGGTGAGAATGAAATGAGCCAATCTGTGTGGAGAGGCTGAATATACAAGCAGACAATGAATGGCCAGACCACATGAAATAAAACCCTGACCCACCAACTGCAGCAACCAGCCCAAGAATTCAGCCCATATCTACAGTAGCAAGCCCAGGAATCCAACCCATATCTACAGTAACCAGTGCAGGAGTCCAACCCCTATCTACAGTAGACAGCCCAGGAATCCAACTCATATCTGCAGTAGCTAGCCCAGGAATCCAGCCTATATCTACAGTAACCAGCCCATATCTACAGTAACCAGCCCAGGAATCCAGCCCATATCTACAGAAACCAGCCCAGTAATCCAACCCATATCTACAGTAACCAGCCCAGGAATCCAACCCATATCTGCAGTAGCCAGTACAGGAATCCAACCCATAGCTACAGTAACCAGCCAGGAATCCAACCCATATCTACAGTAACCAGCTCAGGAGTCCATCCCTTATCTACAGTAGCCAGCCCAGGAGTCCAACACATATCTATAGTAACCAGCCTAGGAATCCAACCCATACCTACAGTAAAAAGTCTAGGAATTCAGCCCATATCTACAGTAACCAGCCCAGGAATCCAGCCCATATCTACAGTAACCAGCCCAGGAATTCAACCCATATCTGCAGTAACCAACCCAGGAATCCAATCAATATCTATAGTAACCAGCCCAGGAAGCTGGGCTGCTGTAAGTCACACTTCTAGGAAACCAGATCACTAGCTCTAGTGGCAATCCAGAAAGTCAAACAACAACTTCTCTAACAATGAATCCCAAATGGCCTGGACTTAATTAATAAATGACATTTTTCCTAATTTATATCCACATTTCCAAGTTTGTACCAACCAGAGAAAGCCAAATATGCACCCCCCCAACCAATTGTACAGGTTACCCTGCTCCTAGTTAGCCCACCTATGGCTTCCCAGGCCAACTGCCCCTAATCAGTGCACACCTGAAGCCTTCCATTCTTTCCACTATAAAGCTTTCCAATGCCTCTGTGTGCCTTTGGATCTCTATCTCTGCCAAAATGCAAGTGACAGTGGTTGACTCTCTTGCTACAGTAAATTCTGAATAAATAGCCTTTGTCTGTTCTTATTTAGATGGCCTTTCTTTATTTCCACAATGTAAAAACACCCATAATGGTGACTGTTACATGGTAGGTGCTCACATTATGAGAATGCCTTTGTCATTTCTTTTGGTCACTGATATGGTTTGGCTCTGTGTCCTCACCCAAATCTCATGTCAAATTGTAATCCCCACATGTTGAAGGAGGGGCCTGGTGGGAGGTGATTGGATCATGGGGGCAGTTTCTAATGGCTTAGCACCATCCCCCTAGTGTTGTCTTGTGATGGAATTCTCACAAGATGTGGTTGTTTAGAAGTATAGTGCCTTACCCTTTGCACTCACTCTCTCTCCTCCCACCATGGTAAGACGTGCTTACTTTTCCTTTGCTTTCCGCCATGATTGTAAGTTTCCTGACGCCTCCCTAGCCATGTGAAACTGAGTCAATTAAACCTCTTTTCTTTATAAATTACCCAGTCTCAGGTAGTTGTTTATAGCAGTGTAAAAACAGACCAATACAGCCACTCTTTTACCTTCTTCACTTGAAAAGTTGGTCAGCTTTGTCTGTTTTTCATCTTCTCCACATCCTTAATTTTGAGAAGGTCAGAGAGATTTTATTTATCTTAGTCTTTGCTGAGGGGCTACTAGATGCAGGAAGAGTGGGCACAGTCTAGACTTGGAGCAATTCTTCTTGGAGTCTCTGAAACCTACCAGCAGGTTGGTTTAGAGGGCTGTGCCTGCACATGGACCACATGGCTATCAGAAAATAATTTACTTTTCTCTCTTGTTAGAGAGATTATTTATTTATTTATTTATTTATTTATTTTTGAGACGGAGTCTCGCTCTGTCACCCAGGCTGGAGTGAAGTGGTGTGATCTTGGCTCACTGCAAGCTCCGCCTCCCAGGTTCACGCCATTCTGCCTCAGCCTCCCTAATAGCTGGGACTACAGGCACCTGCCACCACGCCCGGCTAATTTTTTGTATTTTTAGTAGACACGGGGTTTCACCATGTTAGCCAGGATGGTCTCGATCTCTTGACCTCATGATCCGCCCACCTTGGCCTCCCAAAGTGCTGGGATTACAGGCGTGAGCCACCGCGCCTGGCTTTATTAGAGAGATTAAAATGATATTCATAAATCCTGCAGGAAGAGCTAATCTGAAACTAAGCCTTTCTGTTACAATCAACTTTACATTTGGCTTATAAGAAAACAGAATAAATTATAATCTGATAACATCCCTTCTTTGCAATGTTAGTTGCCCCCAATGTTTTCTTCACGTCTAATTCAGCCCAAGCATTGGTAAAAAGAATTGTTTTTATGTTAAAATTGTGAAGTATCCTTTAAAAGAAAATGGTGATACTGCTTTCTTTTATTTTTTTTTCCCTGCATAATGCAAAATTTCCTTGGAAGTTTAAGAAGTGTTTGTGTTTGTGAAGCTTTCCTGGAAATTCCACTGGAATGCAATACTAATAGATTTTCTACTTATTCTCTGAGAGTTGAAGAATTGCACATTTCTTATTGCATTATCTGAATACTATTTTTCAAAACTGTTTTTGAAAATGTAGCGCAGTCCTAATGAAAATAATAAAACCCATATACCTAATACATGGAAAACCCCCTTCCATTCAGATATAAATGTAGGAATTTCTGGTAGCAGTGTGTTCTTTTCAAAGCCTCCAAGGATTTTTGGGGGGACTGTTTTTTAAGAGCCTCCACTACAAGGTGAATATGTCCTTAGGGCATAGCTAGAATGACAGCATTATATTTTCCTCTCCTGTCCCCTTACTTCAGCTCACTTTCCATTCTCTCCTTTCCTCTCCTTTCATTTTTTTGAAACAATTCAGTGAACAGGGAAGATAGGAGTAATGTTGTATGCCTCCCCAGTCAATGATGCTTCCTAATGATGCTGCATTTACAAAGTTGAGAGAGGAAAGAAACTAGAATAATGTTTATTTTACTCTATCAAACAAAGAATGGTTGTTGGTAAAGGGACTTTACCTCGACTTTCTTAGAACAAGTCTAATAATCAAACCCCATCAACTCCATGAGATCACAAGGATATGAACATTGAAAGCAACAGAGCTCAGTTAACTCATCACTCAGAGGCAAGTGAAAAATCAAAGGGGGCCCAGACTCAAGCAGATCCCATGTAGAAGTCAGCTGGCCAAGGGTTCGGTGATAACCTAACCATGCAGTCCTGGCAATGAGAGGATGTTGCTGCCTTAGAGAGCCCTAGTGTTTACGATGCAAAATATTCTCCCTTGGAGCACTGCTTTAGATGGCACAAAATAACTCTTTATCCCTTCTGGTCCCAGCTCTTTTGTTTCAGTTCCCCTAACCCCACCCCATCCAAAATTAGAAACTGGAACCTAGGTCATCTCCACTCCACCTTCTTTTGATGCACTGTTGGTTTTAATTATCTCAGATACCAGTTACTCTGTAATAAAACTGGGAGGAGGGCTCTCTCTTGGGGAGCTCACTAAAACGAGTGTTTATTAATAACTCACTATTTGACAATGAGGATGACCAAATATGGGTAACTAAATTATGCCTGACATCAAAGTTTTTATCTCACATTTTTTTATTTTTTGAAACGGAGTCTCGCTGTGTCGCCCAGGCTGGAGTGCAGTGGCACTATCTCAGCTCACTGAAAGCTCCGCCTCCCGGGTTGACGCCATTCTCCTGCCTCAGCCTCCCCAGTAGCTGGGACTGCAGGCGCCCACCACCACGCCCTGCTAATTTTTTTTGTATTTTTAGTAGAGACGGGGTTTCACCGTGGTATCGATCTCCTGACCTCGTGATCCACCCGCCTCGGCCTCCCAAAGTGCTGGGATTACAGGCATGAGCCACCGCGCCTGGCCTTGTCTCACATTTAGCACTCAGATTTTGCTAGCTCTTACATTCGTTCAGGCATAACTGGCGTATGAGCCCAGAAAAAGATGTGGGTGAAAATAAATTGGAATCTCTACACACCCCAATAGTTCCAAACTAAAAATGCGGTGTTTAGTAAATGGAAATGATCTGTTAGTATGCCTCTGTATCCTGGCTTGAGAGCTATTTCAGTTATGGACTCTGTCTTATTATCACAGTCTCCCCATTGACCAGCCTAGAACCTAACCCATACCAGGTTTTCATGAAATATTTGTCTATTTGAAATGAAGCCATCACTCACTTTATTTAGATCATTTTATGATAGAAATGATTGATTAAATGTTCTATTTCTACAGCATTCTCAAATATATAAGAATATAAATACATACTTCCTATAGCTTAAATGTGTATATTTATAAATGTGACTGATATAAATGTGATTTTTACTCTCTGCATAACCTCTGAGTGATATGGGTCATTTCTAACTTTCCCAAGAGCTTAAAGCACATGAGAAAATCTAGGTTAAGCTCATAGATGAATGGATATTTAGACACGAGTGAAATCAGTTCATTGAGGGCAGAGGCAGAATTTACATTGGTGATAGATTTGTAAATACTATTGAAAGGCAAGTCTCAGCTCTCTTTTGGTAAGTACTCAGGAGTCATAAGTTGGGTTCTCTGAGAAGTAGGCTGTGAGATGGTGTTAGAGTGCAAAAGGCTGTTGCTGCACAAGAAGGGAAGCAAGGAGGGTTGGGCAGGAGAAGCTGTCAGGCTGACACAGGCTTGGCAAAGCCTCTACCAGTGGAAAGGAGAACTCGGTAGATTGCTTGTTAGAGGAACCTTGCATTTGATGAACGTGGCCAGATCCTAGTACCATTGTCCCGCTCAGTTGTTAACTTATTAGCTAACAACTTATTAGCTAATCCCCAACAAGAGTGTGACCTCAGCAGAGGAGGCTTTTGAGGATCTAATAGCTGGGGGTATCTGGGCATCACATTCATTCTTGAGAGGGGAACTGGTGGGCCCATTTCTGTGTCTGACAGTGTCCACCTCTTGCACCATTCAGACACACTTCTTGCTCCATTTGTGAAGGCCAACACTTCAAGGGCTCTGGTGGTCCTCTTCTTCTGAGGGTAAACCTCTCCTTCTGAGGAGGTTAGTGGGATGAACTGCAGATCCTTGTACTGCAGATGTTTGTGAGTCCACAACTGGTATCCATCATCTATCTCTCTCTTTCACTATTATTCTAAATTTCTCTCACTCTCAGTATTTACCTCTTGTGTTCTGTGGCCTATCTGTGTGTGACTCAAGCCCTGATTTCTGAGTGGGGACCTCAGATCCAGAAAACTATTTCCTACTTGGGATCCCAAGTAGATCATCCAAGATGGACAATTGTTCCTCTCTGACCCTAATGTGTAGCAGCAGCTCTACCTCCTCCTACTGATCAGAGTCACTTGCCTGTGACAAGATGGTGACACCTTTTTTTCTGATGATCCACTGTACAAGGAACACAAAGCGTGCAAGTGGCAGCTGTAGCTTGGAGTTCATTGGGATTGTCGCACCTCTTTCGGGAAGAAGACCCCTAATCTTGCAGATCCCAAAGGTATGAGTCAAGAAAGCATAGCTTCTCCCAGTGGATTGTTGGAGATGATTGTAAGTGGGACCACACCTGCTTCCACCGCTTGTTTATTCTGTAACAATATATTTTTCCTATAGGGGCACAGAGCCACATGAAAAGTCTCAGATTCAATGTGTATACTAAAAACAGGGGAATTCCCTTCAATCCACACAGGATGTTGTCTCTTAGCTGACCCATCACTGTGCCTTTAGCACACTATTCCAGCACGCTATCAGGCCATCAACTTTCAGATGATACAACCAGTAGACCCCATGGTCCTGGACCTTCTCCCGTGCCTCTTTCTCTGTAAAAAGATAAAGTAAATTTTCTGGCTAGATGCCACATGTGTGGGATTCTGTGTCTGTGAATCAGGCATTCTGTGAGCCCATGAATATTTATATGGGCTGAGTCTCTGCAGGCAGAAAAAGGAAAATTCTACACCTTGAATAGGTATCTGTTCTTGTAGGATGAACTACTGGTCATTTCCAAATGGGAAGGCTACAGTGTCATTGAATGACCACCACATATTTTCTTCAAAGAATAGTGCTGTTCCAGGGACTCACTCTTGGTCTCTGCTGTTGTCAAGTCAGTCATAGGCAGCAGTAGCTACATCAGTTTTGGAATGTGGAAGGGAGTTCATGCTTCTGGATTCGTGACTAGCCTCTATCTCTGCCACTCTGGCTTCTTGGTTTGTGTGGTCATGTCATCATGCCAGTACTGAGACGGCCACTGACAAAGGCTGCTAATGACAATAAATCATTTTGCCTACTTGGTCACTCAGGGATTCTTCTATGATGGATATGTTCCCATATGTCATTCACAGACCTCTATTTCATAATTTATGGTACACAACCCTCTAATTGTTTTCATATTTGGTCCCTGACATGGTAACTAAGTCATTTTCTGACTCTGGAAAATTCTTGCGCACAAAGTAGATGACCAGTTTTGGTCTGCAAACTCTGCTGAATGGGAATGGGAAGAACTTTTTTCACTATTGTTTCTCAGACATCCCTGAGTGAAGATGTAATGCTGCCATGATCCATTTTAGGCCTCCCTCTGCATTCTGAGCCAGGCCATCTGTAAACCAAGCTCAGTCATTTTCATATGTCTTCAGCTGGTCCTACAAGACTTTCTCCCTCTCCCCTATATGTCTTTGGATGTGTGAAAGGGGAGAGGCACTGATGCCAAGATGATGGGTTACATAGGGTTCTGGGCTACTTGCACATACAGCTGGATTATGCTCTCATTATCACTTATGCTTTGTCCTGGATGTGCCATTTTTATCTTATGATGAACTGCTGCTGGGCCCTCCAAATTCCCTGACTTTGCATGGCCAATAAATCATAACTCATGGTCACTTCGAGATTTATGGTCATTTTGGGCCTAATGGTCAAGAGTTCCATTTCTATCAGCACCCAGCAGCACACTAGGAATTGTTTATAAAAATTGTGCAATTCTCCCCTATGGATGGTATGGCTTGCATGTGAACCCAAGGGGCTTTATAGTGATTTTCTTACTGGGGCTTGCTATAAACACCACATTGCACATCTCCCACCTCTGGATCTCCACCATTATAGAATCTACCAGGATGTATGACCCAATTGGCAGGGCTGATTTCATGGCAGCTTGAACCTGATGAAGAATCCTTTCTTGATCTAGGCTCTGCTCTAAAATGGCATTCTTTCATAGCATCCAGTGTATAGGTTACAGTGATGTTCTAGTTGTGGAAGGTGTCTCCTCTGAACTCAAAGAAGCCCACCAGGTATCGTGTTTCAAATTGTTTCTGATCTTCTTTCCTGTAAGAAATAGAAAAAATGTGCCAAATAGTTGGCAATAAACCATAGACCTGAAGCTATGTCAAACTGCTCTACTACATCCTCCTGTCATAATTAGAGCTACTACCTGGTTAAGTTTGCCCTAGTCTATAGTTGTTCTTAATTATTCATCTCATTTCTACAGGTGCCAGACTGTTGAATCAAATCGAGATAAAAAAGAGATCACTAGCCTGCACCCCTTAGATCTTTAAGAAGTTGACTCATTTCTGCCATTCTGAGATGTATGTAATTCATTCACCATCTTGGCTAGGATAGACAGTTTCTGAAGCTTCCACTCAGCTTTCCTCACAATGACAGCTGTTAATCCACAGTGCAAGGACCTAAGTATATCAGTCACAGTTATTCATCTGGGGACTGGAAAAATGATCTCCAGCTAGGTCCACAAATGCAGCAAATCCAGTGCAAACTGAATTTTGTTAAAGATTTCATTTATTTTCTAAATTCTATATTTCTGCTCTAACAGCTTGGCTTGGATGATGCTTTGGGTCTCTGGTCTCAATGTCAACTCAATCCTTGAGACATCTGGGGGTTTCTATTTCCCTGGTACATTACCACTTGAATGAAGGACCATAGGTTTTCTGGGGAAAGGACCTGGTGAAATTTTTACAGTACATACTTGTAGTGTTGCAGGTTCGTTTCTCCTAGGGATCAGCCCTTTTTTTTAGCCAGTTAGTTCTGTGTCTGGAAACTGACTAAGGACTGAAAATTAAGCAAGGGGTCATGACATTTTATTAAGGCACCTTCCTCAGCCTCGTGATCATCCATTCTTGTTCTTCTATGGTTATAATATATTAAGCATTGCTCTTGTAGGCTGCCAACAGATTTTGCCCTTAGGAGCACTATATTTTATTTACTATCCCCATAACTCTCTATGGGTTCTGGGACATTCCCATCTTATTGGTGGTTGTAAGTATGATCCCTGGCTTCTGGCTATTAAGTGATGCTACCTGACCTCTATTTTGGGCCCCATCACCCCATTGTTATCAGCAACACAATTTTAGGACAGACTCTCCCACTGTTAGCTCATAGAAAACACTCCTGAATGTTTTTGATGGCCGCATTCATCAGTTAGTGAATGGTACATCTTTTAGGACTTCTCTTGGAATATAATCCTCTGGAAGATGTTCCGTTCCCTTACAATATATCTATTTTAACGTATCCACTTCCTGAGAATTTTGAATTCTTTCCTCTGGAAATTCAGGCATTTCAAACTCACTCTGTTTGAGTTATTGCTTTTTCCAGGCTTCTAAGAGCTACCCCAAAAGTAATTTTGTGTCACCTCCTGGGGTTCTTGCCAGAATGTTGACAATGTGTTCCAGTCACATAAACTCACCCCCATTCAGTCCTATTTTCCAGTGACCCTTAATCAAGCATCCTTGAAATACAGTTTCATATGTGTTTCCCCAGCCTTTGCTGGTTCATGATGGCTGGGCTTTGCAGCTCCTTTTGGATATAGTTCCTTTTCTTTCTTATTTGGCCCTACTTACAGGCCTGATGCCCAGAAGAGGATGTGGAGCAGCTATTTGAAAGGTGAATTTCTTATCTTATTTGGGAGAGACCTCTGTATGTTTTACTTCCAGAGCAGAGTGCTAGCTTTAAAGAGGGACAAGTGGTCACTTAGATAGGTTTGGATGGTTCAGAGAGGCCTGGAGAGTTAAAGTCTTTGGGGACATCTACCCTGAGGTCCTTATCACATCTGCCAGTGTTCCAGTTTCCCAACTAAGACTCTGACTTTGCATATCAGACCTTCCTGGGTAGAGCATCCAGTACTCATTTACAATAAGCCAATCTGACTATTCAGACCTGGGCTTGCTCTTTAAGCTTTTCTTTTTACCCATTTCATGAGATAAGAACTTCTTGACAAGCTATGGAAGAGATGCCTCTGACTCGCATACTTAGTTTTCAATTTTTGTTAATTGCCCTTAGCTTTTAATTATTTGTCTATAGGGTATCAATGCAATGCAACCTAGTAACATTCATCAATTTTATTTTTCTTATACCCATCATTTCCCAAATACATGTTATATACCTGAATGTTTGTACAAACCAATGCATCCACTTCTATTGGCAAGCTCCTTCAGCTCACTGTGAAAGATTTAGTAATGGGTCATTACCTTGTACCCCTACACCACCTACCACCAGGGATACAGGCTGTCTATCAGCTGGGCAGTGAGCAGTTTGGGGCAAAAACTCATCTCATCACCTACTTTCTCAGACCTCTCCTGGTCTAACTAGTGTAAGATGGGTTCTTTGAGAAGCAAGCACTGAAATAAATGGGGTTTGGAGTACAGAAGTTTTATTTGGAAGTAACACCTATGAAAGGAAAAGGGGAGGAAACAGGATTGGACAAGGGGAGACAGATGACAGGCAAAGTCTATGTCAGCCCAATGGGGAGTTCCAAAGTAAAGATGACCTCTTAAAGGAGCCCCATATTTGACTGAAATGGTGAGGTCCTTATAACACCATAACTTTTCTCAGTCACCACCTGAAGACAATTCTAGGAAAAGCTAAGTGAGACCTTGGCTCAAAAGAGAAGGCAGACCTTATAGGAGACAAGGCAGTGAGCCTCCTCTGGATAGTGAGTCTGAGCAATGCATTCTGGAGTTGGCCTCAACTATAATCTTTTTGAGAAAATGTGATGAACTTGCAACAAATGAGGCACTTTCTGTGGTTCATAATATGCAGCATAGGTTTCTTAATATAACTCTATCTTTTTTTTCAGGAAATTGGTTAAATATCAAGACTGATTTCCAAGGTACTAAAAAAGAAATCAATATAGTGTTTCTACTTACTCAATTTAATAATAACTTTAATATTAAGTAGTATATATTGAATGCATGCGATAAGCCATCGTTCTTACTCTCACAATGGTGGTATTACCATAGAAGAGACTAAAAGCAAGATTATTAGAGTTAGAAAGACTTAACACCAAGTTGTAAATCTTCCCCTTATTTACAGTTTGATGTTGGGCAACTTACTTACCTTCTCTGAGCTTCATTTACTGTTTATGGAGTGTCCCTCTACTGCATCCAGGAATAGGCCCACATCTCAGCCTGCGCTGGGAAGTTAGAGACTTGGGCCCTATTCTCAACTTTGACACCCATTTACTTTGTAATCTTGGGGGAAAAAAAAACAACAAAAAAAAACCACTTAATCTTCTAGCACCTATGTTAATCTCATTAATTTCTTAAGGTTTGTTTTAGCTTTAGGATTTTATGACTTTCTTTGATAGGCAATTCTTTCCCTTAGAACAAGAGATTTAATCATTAAAATTATGTTTAGTTTGTCAGAATCAAATTGATCCTCAAATTATATCTAAAATGTGTCAGGAATGTATATCTGGTCCAAATGAACTTGGAAATACCAACTTCCTAGCTGATGATGCCGAAGTTTGCTTTTTCATACCAGTGAATTCCTCCTACTTTCCAGGAAACAGATTGTTGGTGCTCTGATTTTAGTAAGACAAGGTCACATTATATAGTCACTTGCGAAGTTGAAGTCGTCAGCCAGGAGATGAACTTTACCCTAAAATCAGTTCAGAATAATGTTGTGTCTGCCTTTTTATTTTTTAATCTTGGTAGGCTTGCTAGATTCCCTGCAGATGTTTCTCGTTTCAGTTTCCAGAAACATTGTGGGTGATTGATTTGCTGAAATGCGTGACCATTAGCTTGCTTTGCTTCTGATGAACGATTTATTCATGGTTGATTACCATCCATTATGCACAGGAGACAGAGTTGTTTTATGCTTATGTTATTTTTGTTTTTATTTGCTGTTAGTGGGTACACAGTAGACAGTTAGAAAACAGATCTCAATGGTGATAAATGTGTGGTTTGTGCCAAGTCAAAGGACCCAGTTTTTCATCCATGATGATGAAAATTGTTGGCCTCTTCATGAGCCTTTTTATAAGTACAGTGACATAGAGGTTGAATCTGAGAATTCCAGGAGGCATAAGCAACACTAACATTTTAGCTGTGGCTTTACAATAGCAATGTTCATTTAGGGTTCAGTTTGCGCCAGGCCTGCTTCTAAACATTTAACTTATATTAGCTCATTTAATGCACATGCCAACTCTATGAGTTGGGTACTACGATTATTCTCATTTTATAGACAAGAAAGCTGAGACATGGAACTTAAGCAATTATCCTAAAGTTACACAGGGGAATAAGAATTCAACCAGATCCTCTGACTCCAAAAGCCAGGTCTTAAACATTGCATACAATATCACAGTGGAAACATCTTAGAATTATGAATGCCAAGTGCTTCCCTTCATTGACCTTACTCTTTTTTCTCGACATTCTCCCATCCTCTCAGCTACTCTAAGTACTAGGCCATCATTCAGTCCATGATCGTGTGCAAAGTTTGTCAACACACACACTTGTGCGTGCATACACACACACTTGTGCGTGCATGCACACACACAAACACACACACTACACTTGTCATTTGCTATAATGAGTATGCAGACAGCACATCCTTCCTTGTCTTTGCTGTAACTAGTAGAACTGTATTTGTTTTATAGCACTGCATAATAAATTATCCCAAATTTAGCAACTTAAAACAACACGTATATATTATCTCAGTTTCTGTGGGTCAGGAGTCCAGGCATGGTTGAGCTGGCCTGCCCAGTGGTCTCTTCAGCCTGCAATCAAGATGTCAGTGCAGTCTGCATTTCCATTTGGAAGCCTGACTGGGGAAGCATCTACTTCCAAGCTCACTGAGGTTGTTGGTGACTTAATTTCCTTGAGGCTGTCTGACTAAAAGCCCCAGATTCTTCCTGGATGTTGGCTGGAGACCACCTTCAGCTCCTATGAGTTGCCCACAGTTCCCAGTTGTGGGGGTTATAGGCCTTTGGTCCCCTAAAGTTTCCCTGAAAAAATCACTGGCATGAGGCAAGATTGATTTTTAGGAGAAAAGGCATATAAATTTATTTAATGCATATACATGGGAGCCTTCAGAATGAAGACCCAACTTCCCAGTGAATTATGGAAACATAGATACCATCCTAAGGCCACAGTAAAGAATTCAGACTCAGAATATGCCCAGAACAGATTAACTAGGTAAACCAGGTTTAGTGGCAAGACAGGTTAAGAGGGAGAGAAAGGAAGAAGCTTGCCTTGCAAAGGTGGCTTTGTTATGTAGATGAAGCCTCCCTCAGAATAGACGGTAAGCATTTGTTTTCAGACTTTTAGGTGTCAGACTCTCAATCTCTCTCAGATTACGGAAAGGCCCAGAAAGGGGAGGGGGCATGGCTTTGCAAGGCCACTTCTGTTTGCTACCCAAGTAGCAGTTGTTTCAAAATATATCAAAGAAATATTTTAATTTCCTTAAGTGTCATATGGCCCTTTCCAGAGGAATCTCACTCAATGGCTGTTTGCTTCTTCAAGGCATGTTTTTGTTTGTTTGTTTATTTATTTATGTAACTTTTAAGTTCAGTGTTACAAGTGCAGGTTTGTTATATAGGTGAACTTATGTCACGAGTGTTTGTTATACAGATTATTTTATCACCCAGGTATTAAGCCTAGTACCAATTAGTTATTTTCCCTGATCCTCTTCCTCCTGTCAACCTCCACCCTCTGAAAAGGGGTGTGTTGTTCCCCTCTATGTGTTCACGTGGTCTCATCATTTAGCTCCCACTTGTAAATGAGAACATGTGGTGTTTAGTTTTCTGTTTCTGAGTTAGTTTGCTAAGGACAATGGCATCCAGCTCCCTCTGTGTCTGTGCAAGGGACATGATCTCATTCTTTTTTATGGCTGTATAGTATTTCATGGTGTATATGTACCATGTTTTCTTTATCCAGTCTATTATTGACCGGCATTTAGGTTGATTCCATGTCTTTACTACTGTGGATAGTGCTGCAATGAACATTCATGTACATGTGTCTTTATAACAGAATGATCCATATTCCTTTGGTAAATAGTCAGTAATGAGGTTGCTGGGTTGAATGCTATTTCTGTCTTTAGGTCTTTGAAGAATTGCCACACTGTCTTCCACAATGACTGAGCTAATTTACACTCCCACCAACACTGTGTAAGTGTTCTCTTTTCTCCACAACCTTGCCAGTGTCCATTATTTTTTTGACTTTTAGTAGTAGCCATTCTGATTAGTGTAAAATGGTATCTCATTGTAGTTTTGATTTGCATTTCTCGAATCATCAGTAATATTGAGCATTTTTTCATATAATTGTTGGCCTCATGTATGTGTTCTTATGACAAGAGTCTGTTCATGCCCTTTGCCAACTTTTTAATGGGATTTTTTTCCTTGTAAATTTGTTTAAATTCATTATAGATGCTGGATATTAGACCTTTGTCAGATGCATATTTGCAAAAATTTTCTCCCCATTCTGTAGGTTGTCTGCTTACTCTGTTGATAGTTTCTTTTGCTGTGCAGAAGCTCTTTAGTTTAATTAGATCCCATTTGTCAATTTTTGCTTTTGTTGTAATTGCTTTTAGCATCTTTGTCATAAAGTCTTTGCCCGTGCCTATGTCCTGAATGGTATTAGGCTGTCTTCCAGGGTTTTCATAGTTTTGCATTTTACATTTAAGTCTTTAATTCATCTTGAGTTAATTTTTGTATATGGTGTATGGAGGAGGTCCAGTTTCAATCTTCTGCATATGGCCAGCCACTTATCCCAGCCCCATTTATTGAATAGGGAATGCATTTTCCATTGCTTGTTTTTGTCAGGTTTGTCAAAGTTCAGATAGTTGTAGGTGTGCAGTCTTATTTCTGGGTTCTCTATTCTGTTTTGTTGGTCTATGTGTCTGTTTTGTGCTAGTACCATGCTGTTTTGTTTACTGTAGCCCTGTAGTTTGAAGTTGGGTAGCATGATGCCTCCAGCTTTGTTCTTTTTCCTTAGGATTGCCTTGGCTATTTGGGCTCTTTTTTGGTTCCATATGAGTTTTAAAATAGTTTTCTCTAGTTCTTCGAAGAATGTCAATGGTATTTTAATAAGAATAACATTGAATCTATAAATTGCTTTGCGCAGTGTAGCCATTTTAACAATATTGATTCTTTCTATCCATGAGCATGGAATGTTCTTACATTTGTTTGTATCATCTCTGATTTCTTTGAGCAGTGGTTTGTAGTTCTTCTTGTAGGGTTAGCTGTATTCCTAGGTTTTTTATTCTTTTTATGGCAGTTGTGAATTGGAGTTTGTGCATGATTTTGCTCTTCGCTTGGCTTTTGTTTGTGTACAGGAATGCTGGTGATTTTTGCACATTGATATTATATCTAGAGACTTTGCTGATGTTGTTTATCAGTTTAAGAAGCCTTTGGGCTGAGACTATGGGGTTTTCTAGATATAAAATCATGTCATCTGCAAACAGGGATAGTTTGACTTTCTGTTTTTTTATTTGGATGTGCTTTATTTCTTTCTTTTGCCTGATTTAGGTTGAATAGGAGTGGTGAGAGAGGGAATACTTGTCTTGTGCCAGTTTTCAAGGGGAATGCTTCCAGCTTTTGCCCATTTACTCTGATGTCGGCTGTGGGTTTGTTAGAGACAGCTCTTATTATTTTGAGGTATGTTCCTTCAATATCTAGTTTATTAAGAGTTTTTAACCTGAAGGGATGTTTAATTTTTATCAAAGACCTTCTCTGCATCTACTGAGATAATTATGAAGTTTTTGTCTTTAGTTTTGTTCATGTGATGAATCACATTTGATTTGTGCATGTTGAACCAACCTTGCATCCCAGGGATGAAGCCTAATTGATTGTGGTTGATAAGCTTTTTGATACACTGCTGGATTCAATTTGCCATATTGTGTTTGGAATTTTTGCATTGATGTTTATCAGGTATATTGGTCAAAGGCATGTTAAAAAAAAGAAAAAAAAAAGAAAAACCTTAGCCAAATTAAATGTAACGGAGTTTAATTAAGCAAAGAATGATTTGTGAATCAGGTAGCCTCTTGAGCCAGAGTAGGCTCAGAGAGATGCCAGTGCAGCCACATGATGGAAAGATATTTATAGACAGAAAAAAAGCAAGTGATGTAGAGAAAATGAAAGTGAGGTACAGAAATAGCCAAATTGGTTACAACTCTGTGTTTAACATATGTGAATGTGTTTTGAACAGTTGACTTCCTTTGATTGGCCGAAACTTGGTGATTGGCACAAGAGTAGGTTATAGTCTGTTTACATCTCCTTTTAGGTTATAGTTTACTATGTACAAAGAAACATATAGGCTGAACTTAAAATATTTAAGGGGGCAGCTTTAGGCTAAACTTTATTTAGTAGCTGTCAGAGGAAGCTTTGTAACTCCAGTCTGCTGAGGCACTCTTATGTAACAAATTTAATCACAGGAATGACAGCCATTCTTTTTGCTGTAGTCCACTGATGATAAGTAAGTTATAGGTTCCACTCACATCCAAGGGGAGGGGACATACAAGGGCATGACTTGTTAGAGGTCATCTTCAAGTGCATCTGCTATATGTGGCCTCACTGAGCAGCCAGTTCTTTCCCTACTGGCTAGTTTCCATGGGAATCCAAATGATATTCAGATTGTTATTTGGTGAATGATAATAACATCTCAGCAATGAGAGACAGATGATGCCAGTCATGAGTACCTAATTGTCAAATGCTTTATCCAGATGTCTTTTCTTCCAGACCAGACATTTCTGTCTAACTCTTATTTTGTGTCATTGGATTAAAATCCCAATTCCGCTAATAAGGAGATTTGTAATCTTAGCCCAGTGTCTTAAGTTTTTAAATCTTCTGCCTCCTATAAAATGGGAATCATATCACCCACCTCACTGAATTATTGAGTGATTGTGCTAAATGCCCAGCACCTGATAGTTACTTTATCAATGTCACTTCTCCCTCTCATCTATTTCTTGCTTTTGTGCTAAGTATCATTTCTCTGTTGCCTCTTTTGTAATTCAAAAACAGAACTTTTCACTTTGTGAAGCTCAAATTTTAAAGGGATAATCACATTCCTGTCATGTTTCTCCAAGTCTCTATTTGAGACTTCCTAAATCTCCTGGGAAACTTAGCTGTTAATACCTAGTTACTTTTATGGATGGCCTCATCTATTGCACTTTCCCTGTTTTAAACCTCAGAGGGTGACCTGAACATTTGGAAGGGTGACATAACTGTGGCCCCTTTGTGCAGGGGAAGTTAGTTTGTTTTCTGTGTGTCTCTGTGCACAATGTACTTTGCAAATATCTGCTCTTGTCCATACTCTTCACACATTCATGAAAAGGTATACTTAAACAAAGGTACTTGTTCTCTGCTTCTTCATCTTGGCAGGCTTTAATGGTTCTATGCATGTGTTCTTCTGCACTAAGCAGCTCCTCTCACTTAATATTTAGGGGCACAACACCTACTGAATTACTCTGAGACTGGTCCAGATATTTGGGGTATGTGGAAGTCAGGAAAACTTCTCTGCATTTTCTTTTTCTTAGGGAATGACTTACGTCTGAGTAGATGATACAATTTCAGAGGATCTGAGGTTAACACATAATTGTGTGTGAAGTGCTTTTGGTTCATTCCTGATTAATTTTTATTAGGGCAGACCTAAGCAAGAGGCCTGTGCAGACTCTAGAAGCAGGCTTAGGGCCATTTGGGGATATAATTTCAGGTTCCTAGAATCCAGAATATGGTCTAGAAGGGATTGTGCAGACAGGACACCTGCCATGCCCAAGAAAGTAACACTGATTTCTCACTTTGTTAAGGTCATTTACTTGCAATGTTTACCTTCCTGATATTTTCTCCTCTTGAGAGGTTTATAGCTGATCCAAGGCAAAAGCCCAGGCAACTTCTCCAGGATTACTCTCTTGAATGATATACTGGTAAACTCATCTTCCGGTCTGACCCAAAGCCTCTGAGTAAAGGTGGTAGCGGCGGGGTTTCCTCTAACCCTACTTCCTTTGGGTTGAGGATCTGCTTTTCTGGAACTCCATTCCCAGCAGGTTGTGTGGACATTGTTCTTCCCCTCTTAGGTTGGGCATCATACTTCTTGTGCTTGCAACTTCTCACTGTAACCTTCAGACCCCAATTCAATGATTGTTCAACTGTTCTATTCTCTGTCTCTGTATTAAATGGATATACTCCTGAAGCTGGTATAATTTACACAGAGCTTGAAACAGCATGATATAACATTCATTCTCCTTGATAATTGTTCTAGGGAGCTACACTTCCCAACTCAAAAAGACTCCATTTTTTTAGCACTCTGAGTCCTAATTTTTCTATTTAAAACAAAAACAAAAGTTTATATTTCTAAACCATCTTATATATTCTCTGCTGCCTCCCCAATCCTTTCCTGAATTGTGAAACCATTTTCTCTTCCAAATTCTGTTTTTATCTCAATAATGATTAAAATGACTTTTCCATGGTACATTCATCTAGTCATGTCCTTCCTAATGGTTAGAAATGACCACATAATCTATGTCTAGGATGTTCATTTTAGGTTCTGTTAGATAAGTCAAATCTGCAATAATGAACCTGAAATGGGAATATATATCCTATGTATTCATCAATTCCCAATTCAGTAAGGTCTTTCTTCTCTAAGATCTCATGCTTTTTCCTAGCTCTGAACTCTTAGACATGCTTCTTCTTCCTCCTAAATATCCTCTTTCTGACCTCACCCTCTCTCCTCCCCTTTTTTAACTCCTTGCATTATTAGTCTCAGTCTAGATTATATTATATCACTTCTGCTACCAGCCCCAGGAGTGAATCCAGTACTCTTCCCACCCCTACCATGTATTTCAGTGTTTCTGTACTTAGTGCAATAGAAGGACTGATATCCCTGCTCTGTGAGTTTCTGGCCTCTTGCCTTGTTTCCGCAGAGTGTAAACTCCCTGAAGGCAGAAACTGAAGCTTATTTACTGTGTTGCCTCCAAGCTCTCAAGGGACTTTTACTGAGTGATTGAATCCATCCCTATCATGTAGATGAGAACACTGAGAATAAGAACATTTAAGTGAGCTTCCCATCAGCACATTGTTGTAAAAAGTTAAGACAGCATATGAATCTATATTTAATGGCTCTAGAGCTGGATTTCCTACTGCAACATGCTATCCATGTTTGTTTATTTATTGCCATATAATAATCACAAAATTTAGTGGCTTAAAGCAACCATTTATTTTGCTCACAATTTTGTGGGTCAGGTTATTGGTAAGGACTAGCCTGAACAACTTGTCTCTGGTCTACACGGCACCAGCTGGGAGAGTTAAGGCTGGAGGGTCCACTTCCACAGTGGCATCTTTACTTCCATGCCTGGTGCCTTGGTGGTCCTTGTTGCCTCCCTCTCTCCCTTCACATGTCACTTCTCTTCCAAGGTTTCCCCACATGACTTAGGCTTATCTACATGGCAGTGTCTCTTCTTCTATTGCAGCTCGCTTTCAAGAGTACCAAATAAGTTAAAGGCTGTGCTCAGACCTTGCACAGTGTCACTTCTGCTATATTTTGTTAATCGAAACAATTATAGAGACCATCCAGATCTGAGGGGTTGGAGAATGGACTGCAACTTCTGATGGGAATGAGGCAAAGTTATATTACAGAAGAATATTTGAAATGAGAAATACCGTTGCTTCCAATTTGAAAACTATAATCTCCCATAATCATGTAGGAACAGAGGAGTATATGAAAACAATTCACTTATACATTTTCGTCACACATCTACTCTAATGCATACTTTACACAAATGACTAAGTAACACCATCTGCTTGTAAGATGCTGACTTTCTAGCAGAAGAGGCAAGAAAAATGATTTATTGGTTAGTTTGTGCTGTGTAACAAAGTATTTCAAAACTTGATGGCTTAAAAACAACTGTTCCTTTGGCTCATAATTCTGTGTATTAGCGGTTTAGGCTGGGCTTTGCTGGGATGTTCTTCTGGTTTCAACTATACTCACCTATGAGTCAAGGGTCAGCTTTGGTGAGGTGGGTGGTTTTGCTGATCCTGGTTAGGCTCTTTCATTTGTTTTGGTACTGACTACCTGAAGATTAGTCTAGAATAACCTTGGTTGGGAAATCTGGTCTGTCCTCCATGTGAACTCTTATTCACCAGGAAGACAGCCTTAGCTTGTCTTAGTAGCAGATATGGAAGTCTAAGAGAGTAAGAGAAGTTGTGCATGCCTGCTGGGGCATAGGCTTGGAATTGGGGCAAAGTCACTTCTGCTGCATTCTATTGAGCAAAGCAAGGTATAAGACCAGCCTAGATTTAAGAGGTTGGGAAATAGACTCTATGCTTTGATAGGAGAAGGTACAAAGTCTTGCTGCCAAGTACAGAGATATAGAAGGACAATTATTTGTGGCCACTAATGCAATCCACCTATCAAAGGTGCCAAGCAAGCAATGTCATTATAGTGTGGTAAATGTGGTGGGCTATGGGTACAGAGGAAGAATACTTTATGAACCTGGGACAGAGAGGAAGGGGAGAGGGGAGTAGCATGAAAAGAGGTCAGAGAAAGCTTCACTTAGGTGTGGATCTTGGGGATGTCTGGATTTCTGAGCCTGCCTGGAGAACAGAAGGGAATGGCTGTCTTTTACTGAAGCAGTCCTGCTTTGAAGTCTACTAAGTATTTAAAAATCTTTATGTTATTCTTGGCAGGGTGTCAGAGGATGATCAGGCAAACTTCATGGTCACTCTGATAGCACAGCTAAGAAATCCAGGGCAAGAAGTGATCCTGGAGATCAATTCTATTCGTCTTCCTACTGTGCAGATGTGAAGACTTTCCCAGAGATAGGCCTGCCCGAATTTATTAGTTTGGTAGTGCTGCCATAACAAAATTACCACAGACTGAGTGGCTTAGACAACAGAAGTGTATTTCTTCATAGTTCTAGAGATTAGAAGTCTGAAATCAAGGTGTTAGCAGAGTAGGTTTCTTCTGAGGACCCTCTTCTTGGCTTGCAGATGGCTACCTTCTCCCTGTGTCTTCACATGGTCCCCCAGCTTGTGTGTGTCTATGTCCTAATATCCTTTTCTTATAAGGTTAAGAGTCATATTTGACCAAGGCCCACACTAATGGCCTTATTTTAAGTTAATTACCTCTTTAAATACCCTGTCTCCAAATGCAGTCACATTCTGAGGTACTGGGCATTAGGGCTTCAACATATCAATGGGGGAGCAGGGCACAATTTAACACATAGCCCACGGTCACATCATGTCAGCACTGAGCCCAGAAGCTCATGCTTTCCCTGAGAAGAAGGTGCTCTCTCAGGTTTTTACTAAAAGTGCTTCCATTCAGCTTCCCAGATGACTGTTGTTCCCAATGCAGATGCTGGTTATCTAGTTGCATCCCTTGCCTTGTATTCTGCACGTCTCCTTCCTTGGGGATGCTTCCAATAGTCAAGAAGTTAGAGGAAACCCAACAGAGCCCCGGGGTAAAGGACGGCTGGTACACAAACAGATTTGTGAGTCACTGGCACATGTGAGGGATATTATCTTTAAATTAGTTGGGGGAAATTAATATTGCTCACTTGCTATGCTCACCCTTATTGTCTGCTCCAAGAATCAGCAGGTCTGGAGCCTCTGTTGATAGTATTTTTTAATTAAAAGGAAAATAACTTCTTGTGATTAATCTGCTTCTTCGGGGACTTGATCCGGAATCTCATAAATCTAAAATAAAGGCATCTGCTCATTCACCTGCAGACTCCCTCCCCCTCAACCAGCTTAGAAGTCGGGTGGAAGAGGAAGCTGGATGGAACAACATGAGCCCTGGTCAGGGCAGACTTAAGCCAGGAGATGAAGTGCCATATACAGAGAAAACCTCAGTGGGATCCCAGATGGAGCACAATTCCTGGTAAGGGCATCTTCTCCCATATTGTTCAAGAGAGCAAGTGTTGGGACCAGAAAACTTTGGCTGTGAGTCTTGGATCTGCCACTTGTCTGAGTCTCTTGGAGAATGTCTGAGACTCAGTTTTATCCATCTGTGAAATGGGGATAGATGAATATTTACCTCAAAAGGAGTATTTGTGTAAAAGGGAGTCTGAGCTCTGGAGCCACACTGCCTGGTTTTTAATATGGAAGACTTTATTTTCTTGACCTCAAGGTGGTTGTTTAAGTATTCTGTGCTTCTGTTTCCTCTTCTGAGAAATGGGGATGATGAAGGGGCCTGTCTCATAGGGCTGTACTGAGGACTAAAAAGCTTCAACATGTCAAGTGCTGGGGTATGGCATAGTAAACACCCAAGTAAATGTTTGCTCTCACAAGCCCATTCTTAGCACACATGCGCACAATGGTTTCTGTGATTGTTATAAGCAAAAGGGATCTCAATGGGGGAAATTATCCAACTTTTGTGTTTAGAGATTGAAAAGTGAAGCCTCAGAGGGATGGTTGGGCTTCCCCAAAGAACATTGAGCAAGTTATGGGCAAAACTGGGCCCAGGATGCACTTTTGAACCCAGGGCCAGAATTATGCAGTGTTGAAGCTCTTTCCTGGTTCTAATCTTCCAATAATCTAGAAACCAGTCCACTTCTTGCAGTGCAGTTAGCCCAAGCAGCATTGCAAGAGGATCAAGAGTCATGACACACCAGCATCTCTCCAGGCCAAGCACTGGGCAGCCCTCCACATGCATTGACTTGTTTTATTTTCCCAGCAGCCCCGAATACAGCCCTGTTTATGGATAAGAACACTGAGCTCAGAGGGGTTACATAATGGACTAAATGCAGACTCTACAACACTGGAGCTGCCATCTCAGATGAGATTTAGTCTAACTCCAAAATGCTATGATTCTAGGCTGCCTCTTGGAGCAAGAGGGTCCTGTTCCCTATATTATCTACACTTTCCCTTCGCCCTCTCCTCCTTAGAGCTTTCTGTAGCCAATGTGGCCTCATCTTCACATATCCCTTTTCCAAGCCTGCTTAGGGAAAGGTTGGAAATTTATTCTTACTAAAGTGTTAATGACTGATGCACATTCCAAATGCCAATCCTTCCCCTTTCCCACCAGCCCTCCTATACATTGATTTAACTAAGGTCTTTTTCCCCTGAACATGGGCCAAAAGGGATCTGTGAAAAGCTTCCTCCTAATGGGCCTATATGCATTCAATTCATGTTAGTGGTTGTTTCATGTGTATCATAGGTTGTAAAATACAATGTAAACTGGGCCAATTATTATCACTCTTCTGGCAGCTACGTGAGGCGGGCCAGGCAGGATCAGGGTCCCATTTGACAAACGAAAAAATGGAAACCCTGGGAGGTGAATTTAGCACCTTATTTGTCAGACATTTAATTGAGTTAATAAAATCCTGGGTGTTCCTTCCCATTCTGGTGCTGTTTTCCTGTTATATTGGGGCAACTGAGAGCTCCTTTGCTTGTCAATTTTAGGTTACTGGCAGGAAGAAAGATGGGATTAGGCTAGACCATGTTCAAAATGTTCATAATTGGTTTCTGGCTCATTTCTGACTTTCATGAAACAGAAATTCCATCAATTATATCAAAGGCCCCAAGCAACCCTCCAAACAAGTGTTGGAATCCATTGCCCATGGACTGACAATGAACCTGCCTTTTATCCCACAGAAGCCACTTGTGTCTGATATTCCTGATTAATGCCAGACACTAGACTGGGGACAGCAGGGTCATTCAAAGGAAACATCTCTCCTTTTTTTCTCCTTACACAGAGCTGTGGAATTTATAGCTGATGGAACACTTACAGAATATCTAAGCAGACACTCATGGTGTGGATGAGGAAACAAAGGCACAGAAAGGCTAAGCAATTTCCCAAATGTGATACATGAATTATGTCTAAGCTATAAGAAAAATCAGTGTGTAGATGACAAAGGGAGATGACCACATTGAAAGCAGATGAACCGGCCTTCCTAACAGCTACTCCTCAGTGAAATGAATAATTTCATGAAGGAAAATGTCTTTTAACACAATGACTGAAAACTGTGTGTCAGGTTTGCTATAGAGGAGTCTCACATATCTGAGCTGGGACATGTGTGCTTGTGCTGGGGAAGAGGGCAAAATTGAAATAGATGATCTTGTCCACCTTTGTCTTGTTATTTGAATTGTGCCTTATTATTAGCAAAGCAGATCAGTACAACTTCACTCTATGTTAAAGCAGATATTAAAGTTTCCATATTATATATAAAGAAACAAAAGCATAGAGAACTTAAGTAACTTTTCCATGTCGTACAGTGGTCGTTGGTGACATTTGGATGGGAACTTTTGTTGCCTCACTCTCAGTCCTGTTCTCTGTCCTCTATGGGCCTGCCTTCTCACCTATTATATTTTGTTTGATTCTTGGAAACTATTTTGGTCTTACACAGGCACCACAGTCTATGTTCAGCTGCACTTTTTGTTCACAGTGTCTGTTGTATCTGTTGTGTTTGACCTTTGGGGTCAGACTCATTGGTTCACAATTCCAAATGTTTTGTGTCATTGTGCAAGTCTTGACATCTCTGGGCCACTGTTTTCTTATCTCTAAAATGTGGAAGACCAAAGAAGTATATAAAGTACCAGGAATAGTGCCAGACCCCCAAGTGGGCTCTCATGAAATGTTAATTCACTTATATCCTTCATTGTTTGTCTTCATGGCCTCTTTCCAAGCTGTGTTCAGGAAGTCCCTGTAAGACACAGCCCTAGTTTGAGGGCTGCAATACAGGATGGGAGAAGGAAGAGTTAGAGAATGTAGTGAACAGATATTTGCGACTTGACTGGACATTAGTGTGGCATCAAGAAATAGAGAGTGAACTAGGATTGTTGCTTATAACTTGCTCATTCATTTATTTATCAATCAATATTGCTGAGCACCCAGTGCCATATCTGTTAGGTACTAGAAGAAATGTAAAGAAAAGTAAGTTCTTCAAAACTTGCCTGGCTTTGTGGTGATTGGCCTTGGGTAAGTTACTTCTATTTTTGAGGACTCAGTTTCTTCATCTATACATTATAAATAACAGCTTTCTTGGCTAACTGCTAGTTTACTTGCTTTTAACTTTTGGCAACTGAATCTTGTACCAGATATCGGGTCTAAATGTCACTGCTAGAGACAAGGGAAGGCATTGCCTAGAGGAGGAGATGGCATTGTCACCCACACTCAGTTGTGATTTTCTCAGGCAGATTCACTGGAGCTGGCTCTCATCTCCCTGCAGATGTACCCAACTTTGATCTAAAAATAACTTTTTTACATGCTGCATTCTTTTAACTGAAATTCCTAAAAATCTTATGCATTGTTCAAGTTCCAACCTAAGTTGCTCATCTCTCCAAGGCATAGCCAAAAACATTCTTAAATCATGAAAAATCCGGTCATGTTAAGTCCTTCTTCAATATTCTCCAAAAATAACAATTTTTGAACAAAGTCCAAAATGGTTTCTTAGTTTGGGATATTCCCAAAGCCGACTCTGAAACAAGGGCTTGAATTCAAATAGCATATTGGGATGAAAATGAGACAGGGAAGAAAGAAAGCCGGGAAAGAGTATCCTGATGAATAGGTTATCATTGTGGGGAACTGGGATTTCACCACTCTCTGAGGAACCTCATAGAACATGCTAAGAATTGTTCCATCAAGGGATGGTGAATCTGGGCACTTATCCACCATGTCCTTTCTTCATTGGTGGAGGGTTGACCTGGGGCACATTAAACTTCTGGCACATGAAGCCTGCCCTGACTCTGGATTCAACACCTCTCCATGGTGTGGGAGAAAACTGCCAGGCAGCCAAGGGGAGAGAAGGCAGGTTTTTAGGGTGTGACTCTATCAGCATGGATGATGAGTCCCCCTATAGCAGCAGGTGAACACAGAGTTGGGACAAAGGTTTATGAGTCTGGATACCCACAGTGTCCTCACAGCCTCCGAGGACCTCCACTCAGACCTCCACTCCATCTATCCCCTACTCTGCTGTGGCAATCGGATCATCACCATAAATGCCAAACAAATTTCTATATTTAGATCTGTATTCTTTTTCTGTAGGCTACCATAACAAAATACCACAAACTACATGGCTTAAACAACAGAAATTTATCTTTTCCCAGTTCTGGAGGCCAGAAGATACAGATCAAGATGTCGACAAGGTTGGTTTTCTCTGAGACCCCTCTCATTGGCATGCAGCTATGTCTCCTCTCCATGTGTCTTCATGTGTTCTTCCCTCTGTGTGTGACTGTGTCCTAATTTCCTCTTCTTACGAGGACACCAGTCATATTGGATTAGGGCCCGCCTTATTGACCCCATTTAACTTAATCAGCTCTTTAAAGACCCTACTTCCTAATACATTCATATTCTAAGGTACTGGGGTTTAGCACTTCAACATATAACATTTTTGAAAAAAACAAAAAAACAAAAAAACAAAAACTCAGCCCAAAATAGGGCCTTTGTGATTTCTGATCCTTTTGCCTGGAACTTTTATTCTTCAGATATTTACATGCTTTGCCTTTCATTTTATTCTGACCTCTGCTCAAATAATCTTCTTTGGTGGGAATTGGCTGAATGTCATTGTTAAATTAGCAACTCTGGTCTCTTTTTTCTCTTCCTTTCCCTCTCTTTCTCTTGCTTCATTTTTCCTGATTTTTAAAACATCATTGACCTCATAGATATGCGCATGCATACACACACACACACACACACACACACACACACGTTAATTGTTTTGTTTTCTATCTCCCTCACTGTAAGTTAAGCTCCCCAAGGGTGAGGACATTTCCCATCTTGTTCACTGAAATATCCTATGGGCTTCCAGCATTGCTTGGCCCAGGAAGACAACGTATGTTTTGTAATAACTCACTGACTGAATGAGCATATGACTGAATGAAATGTGCTGTTCTCTGCAGGTGTGTCCTCAACTTTCCTTCTCTGTATTTCCCATTGCACTTATCTTAATGTTCTGGAATTGACTAGTTTATAGTCAGTATCTTGCACAAATCTCAACAGAGGTCTAGAACGTCTGGGTTGTGCTTCAGATCCTTAGGAACCAGTGGCTTGCTAGGCCTTCAACAAACATCCAGGAAATGTGTGTGCATATAAATGTTAATATTCTAACAATATTGCTTATTATATCATGCTGTTATTTTCATAAGGGCTCACATGAGAAATCTCTTTCAGAATTTAGCAGCAGAATTAAAAATGTAATTTTGTCCCATGAGGAATGTGTCTGTTTCTATTTTTCCTATAAGGAAAATCATGTTAGATTTTCTTTTGTGTCCTAACTGCAAGGAATTGCAGTTATGTTATTAACAGCTATGATTCAAATGTCTCCCTTCTGCATCTTTCCGTAATCTCAAGTTTATTTTTCTATGTTTAGAATACATGTAGAACTTTCTCCATTTTATAAGTCACCCTCAATATATTTGAAAAAGAGATAATAATAAATAAAATGAGTAAATTAAAAATGGGACTGTATCTGGACAGCAGACGTGGGATAGCAATGGCAATGAAGATGAAGGGAGGTGAGTGAAAAGGATCTGGAGGGTGTTGGGGAAGTTATGGGGCAGGCCTGCTGCGTCGCATGTGCTATGGTATTCAGGGTAGGGAGGGGACGCTAGGAGGCTTGCAGAGAATTACAGGTGAGCTATGGAGAGGGACAGGTGGACACAGGGGAGATTTCCATTCATCAAATTACTTAGAATTTATACTGTAAAGCACATACAGAAATCAAATGCAAATTAAAGCCAACTATCCCGCTCAGAAATCAGAACCTTTTGAAAAACAGGATTGCGTTACATGCTTCCCAGGGTTTTGCCATTGATTTTATTGCTTACTTTTGCGTCTTTTCTCCTTAGAGTCATAGAATTTTACTGCCAGATGGGAGTCTATCCCAGAGATTCTGTACCTGAATTCCAGGGGTAGATATGGGATTGATGGATGGGCTTCAGGAAATCTGTTTCTCAGTGATATTGTATGAAAAAGATGTATTTTTCCTGAGTCTATGGTTTTTTCTTCAGAATCTCAAAAGGGCATGTGATATAGAACCTTTCCCCACTTCCTCCAATAAAAAGCTGAATAGAGTACATCTTATTTAGAAGTGAGGAAGATGAAGCTCCACCCCAAAAAGTGACTTTCCCAAAGGCACACTCCAACTTGACGTCAAAGCTGCGATTCAGAGCCAGACTGATTTCCTTGTTCTAATACTGCAGTTGTTGCTATCAAAGTGTGAGTCTGTGTGTAGGTTAGAGAGTTAGTACCCTCTATGGTGAGGAGATTTTGCCATACTATGGGCACACAGACACCTAAGGTGCTTAACACCTTTTTTTAGACTCTAGGCAGCCCAGAAGACCTCTGTTATTTGGAATCTTTTATGGAGATACCTTTGCTGCAGGTATTTCAGGACTTTGCTTTTTTTTTAGACAAGCAACCCTCATTTGCACATGGTGTTATGAAGCAAAACTCATTGTCTACTCTCAAAGCCCTTATTTACTGTATAAGGAAGTAGGCTTCCCAAGGATGCCATGGAAATCCAGAATCTCAGCGCTCAGAACAACTGAGTTGCACTGGCTTAAAGAGGTAGGCCCCATGCTTTTACAGTAATAATTTGGATGCATTAACTAGAGGCACATTTTAACAGTATATTTCTATCTACAAGAGAGACTTTCCTGGGTCTCCAGCTTGTAGAAGGCAGATCATGGGACTTCTCAGCCTCCACAACCTTGTGAGCTAACATTGTGTGTGTGTGTATGTGTGTGTGTGTGTGCACGTGTGCCCTATTGGCTCGGTTTTTCTGAAGAACTCTAATACATGAGTGTTCCTGGTCAATGTGTAGCTTTCTATGTAGTGAGTGAATCTTGTGGCTCCATCCTCCTCTTTGCCTTGAAAACCTCCACCTTCATCTGGAGATGGAGACAAAGAGTGAGCAAGGCATGCCACATCTGTAGCTCCTTGTCCTGAAAGTAATAATTGTCTCTCCTGTTCACATTTTATTGGTGAGAATTAGTCAAATCATCTCAGATGCAAGGGTGGGGGGTCGCAGACGGATAGAATCATTCTGAGCAGCTGTTTCCCAGCAACAACATAAAGCTATGGAAGGAAAAGCATGTTATCTCTGAACAAAAGCTGATAATCTCAGCTAGAAACATATGCTGGATTTGGTCCAAGAGTACAGGATTAGAAAGCAACATCTCTTTGTTAGGCCATTTTTGCCTTGCCGTAAAGAAATACCCAAGGCTGAGTGATTTGTAAAGAAAAGAGGTTTAATCAGCTCACGGGTTCTGCAGGCTGTACAAGCATGGCACTGGCATCTGCTTAGCTCCTGTAGAGGCCTCAGAGAGTTTTTACTCAAGCAAAAGGTGAAGCAGAAGCAGGTACATCACATGGTGAAAGCAGGAGCAAGAGAGAGAATGGAAGGCAAGGTGCTACACACTTCTAAATGATCAAATCTCATGAGAACTCAGTCACTATCACGAGGGCAGCACCAAGCAGCTGGTGCTAAACCATTCATGAGAAACCTGCCCCCATGATACTATTACCTTCCAGGCCTCACTTCCAAGAATGAGGATTACAATTCAACATAAGATTTAGAGGTGACACTTATCCAAACTATATCAATCTCTTTTTAGGTTTCCTTTACCCTATTTCAAAGGAGCAAATAACCCCTTCTTTAAACTCCTGGGTTGAAATTAAATGTGAAATAAGATAATACTGTGATGACTTCATTGAGATGGAGTGCTGAAAATAGAGGCAACAATATCATAGTAATTGTTATAATGAGCATTGAGGGTGGATTTATCAGAGAAACATTCTCTGACAGGCAAGAGTTAAGTTATAGTGTATCTTGACCCCTCAATATTCCTAATAGAAACCTGGGATTAAGGTATTCTCCTGAGTAGGTACTTGTATTGCTTACTTAATCTTTTATTTCTTCATCAAACATTCGTGGAAAGCCTTTTCGGTATCAGAGACTGTGGATACAAAGATGATTAAGACAGGGTCTAAGGCCTGGAAATACAATTGGTGCAGGGGTAGGCAATCCACATTGCCCATGTTCACTTCCACATTACAGTGGCAGAGTTGAGAAGTTGCAGCAGAGACCTTATACTCTGCAAAGCCTAAAATATTTATGGCAAGCCCTTTACGGAAAAAGTTTACCAACCACTTGTCTAGGGGAAGGTAGATGATTGTGGACCAGCTTGAAATTAAGTGGACCAGACCACTTCCAAACTTCTGGGTAACTCTCTTCAATTCTCCCGCTCTCAGATTAATCCATGTCTCCCTTTTAGGTGTTTTCATAGAGCCATATGCTTTTCTTTCATAATACAGACTACAGTTGATATAATTTTTCACTTTCTTGGTAATTAATTGATGAGTGTCTGCTTTCCTCACCGATATAGGCCTGATTATATGCCCAGCACTATTCTTGGCACTTTTCATATATTCACTCATTTAATTTTCTCAACAATCCTCTTAACCTACTCTATGAGGCAGATACATTATTATCGTCATTTTACTGAAAGGACCTGAGACATAGGGAGGTAAAATAACTTATTTAAGGTAACTTAGAAATAAGTGGTAGAGTTGGGGTTTGGACCTAGGTAATTTGGCTCTAAAGCCAGCAATTAAAACATTGTACAGCATGGGATGGGCCCTACAATACATTTGCTGAGTGGATGAAAGATACGGTACTGTGGGTCACTGCTAGTCCAGAGGAATGGGTGAAACACTGTGCAGGCAGAAAACATGAGGCACATTTCTAACTGCATTTCAGGTGGGATCAAAGGGAACTGTATATATGACCTTCATGTTTTTAACTTGACTCAAGGCCTAAGAATAAGAAGCAAGAGAGCAGGCACCTTATCTTTCTCCATTTTCATTTGCTGTAGCCAAGGACTAGTGCCCTGGCAATCCCCCCACGTGCCATCTCTGGGCTAAGGTCATGCCTCTCTGGCCATCCTTTCTGTTTTTCTAATCTGTGCAGTTGCAATCCCCTGCTCAAAGCAATTCCCTTGTTTTGACCCCCTCTTACTCCCCCAGACTCTATTAAGCTTCAGGAAGCATAAAAGCAGCTAAGCCATTACCCAAACTGAACCTGAACTCTAAACCTCAGGAGATTCACCCATCACTGTGCTGAAAGGCCTCCCTGGGCTTTCAGCTGTAGCAATTTTGTGAAGTCAGCACAGTGTGCCCACGGGGATGCACCATATTTTATTCTTCAATCAAGCATGGTGCCATCAAGGATTGCTTAAGTGGTTTGATATCAGCATTTTTTTTTTCCCCAAACAACTTATGAGCTTTACGTGCATGAATTTTGCCTGTGTGAAAGTGTGTCAGTTACCAACATTTTTCAAAGTCTTGGTTTTCTGGTTCTGAGAGTTTCCTCCACTGGGATCCCTTGGGCCCTCTTCTTCCAGCAGAAGGACAGCCTCCTTCTTTTTGCTGTGCGTGCACTCTCTTGACACAAAATTGGAGCAGCCAAGATCCACTTCAACGATGGCAGGTCAGGGGTCAGGGGTAGCTTCAGGTATTTGGTTGGTAATATTCAAGACCCCTTGCTTGCAAATTGGTGGTGTAATTCTGCACTGCTTTCAGGCTGAGCAGAGTCCCTGAGGCCGAGAAAACGAGCACAGTGCTGACTGCTTGGAATCCGGTAATATTTCCCTTCAGGCTGCTGCTCTGACTGGCTTTTCAGAAGAGTGTTGCTTCTAATAGAAAATTCCTTATTTTCACCTGTGAAGAAATCTGATTTGGACAGTGAGTATCTTTTGTCTTCTGAAATGCTAATTTTTACAACATTGAGACAGCAGCTGCAGACGTGGATTTGACAGTCCACCTCCCTTCTACAGCACAGCTGAGTAAAGAGAGTATGACTTGAGCATGTAGGTAAGACAGTTTTCATCCTTAACCATCACAGCTGGAGAGATCTTGATCTTCATGGTGCTCCCTCCATACATTCTATAGACTTAATTTTTGGTAGGTACAGTGTGATGTGTAACTTTTCCAAGATCAGAGAATATCAGGGAGAATATCATAGGCACCATCTGTCTGTTTTTCAGAGATATCCAAACTATGGCCCAGTGATTTATTATGTATTAATTCAACAATGGCAACAGCACCATTCTGCCAAACCTTAATTACTCTCTATTTGAGGTTGGATGAAGTCAGAGCTTTGGTTCTAGCCAGTACTCGGTTTAACTGCTCAGATCTGAGCATCAAGATTTTATGAAACCCCATCTCTATTGAATTTACAAAAAAAAAAAAAAAAATTAGCTGGGTGCAATGGTGCATGCCTGTAATCCCAGCTACTCGGGAAGCTGAGGCAGGAGAATCACTTGAACCTGGGAGGCAGAGGTTGCAGTGAGCCGAGATCATGCTATTGCTCTCCAACCTGGGCAACAGAGTGAGACTGCGTCTCAGAACAAACAAAAAAACAAACGAACAAACAAACAAAAAGCAGATGTTAGGGGTGGGCCAGACTAAAGTACTTTGTAAGTTAATATTCAACATGCACAGTTTCTAGTACCTGTGAGTGGGTTGTAAACTGTAAAGCACTGTATGCATTTGAAGCATTATTATTTAGATTATATATAGGTTATTATTACTTAGACGATTATATTATTAAGTTAGGTATAAAATTAATAACAGAAAAATATAGGACAAATAGAAGAATGGACTATTTAAAGTACAGAAAATAATCTTAAACATTATTATTTTTTCTATATCCCCTTAAGCAAGAGGAAGGGGAGTTCCCAGTCATCATTTACAGTGTTTATTTAGTGTCCACAGTATATATCACTTTTGTAGCCTTACACTTTTCAACATCTTTAAAGCATAAGATTAAGTTTCACAAGGGCAGGACAAAATATCTGATTGGTTCATTGCTCTAGCACAGAAAAGGCCCTTAATATATATCGATAGCATGAGTAAATGAGATAAAACTTATCACACACATTTATTAAAGAATGTATTTCTCTCAAGGTTTGTAAGGAAACAATTTGAGTATCAACCACTGTGATCCAAAGTGCAACAGCTTTTGTCACTCTCAAATTGCCTTCTAATCTTAACAGTCATTAGTATTTTCCTCACATTGATTGAATAGCTAAATATTCAAAATCCACCACACCTAGCATAACTCCAGGTGCTTTCCTCTCATTCAGTCTTGGGAGGTAGTCTTTTAAAATTTAGGTTTTATTAATATTCAGGTGTGGTGGTGAGTCCAACAGACCAGGAGAAAATTGCCAGATAAGATAATGTATTACAGTTCCCAAAAAGAGGAAGCCCACCATGCCACAGGGGCCACACGGGAAAGCACTAAGATTGATCAGGAGGCAGAGAGAGCAAGAGGAAAACTGGGGTAAGAGCCTTTATTGTTGCTTTCTTAGGAAGGAACAGGTGAAGTAGAGTAAGTAGTTTAGGGTTGTCTAGTTTGAATCATTTCAGTAGCTTTGGGGGCATAGGAGCTGTCCCTAGTTGCCTGGTGTTGGCACTGGGGTGATTAGGGCAGAGGAATAGTGACCTGAAGTGTTAGAGCCTGATAAATGAGATGGTCAAGGGTATGGGCTCTGTATTGGCTGGTTTGCAAATGAAGGACTCCTAGGCAAGTCCTTTATTTGCAGGAATTAGCTAGTCTTGGGAAAGGCAATCCTTCCAGAGTCAGCAAGCCTTCAAGATGTCAAAGCATCAAAAATATAGAAAACAAAAAGACATGGTTAATATATATATGTATTTATTTATGTATTTCTGTTGAGAAAAATGTGATTCTGAGAAGTTAAGTGGCTTGATGAGGTGGAGACAGCTGGAAAAAGTATATAGGAGTAGAACCTAGACCTCAGGAGGGCATATTGGCCACAGTCCGCAAATTTTCCCCTTTGCTTTGTATCAAGAACATCTCTTGCCAAACAACTATTCTATTCATGACACCTTTTAGTAGCAAGATTGATAACTCAAACTTGAGTTAATTGAAATCGATATCTATAGTGGGAAAGGTAGGAATTTGAATGTAGAAGGTTATGTAGAAGGGCTCTCTTTCCTCAACTCATCTTTGCTTTTCTCTGCATCTGGCTTCAACCTTTCCTCTTGCAGACCGTCTTTCTTTAGAAGGCTGGAAAGACAACTTCTAGAAGTTTCTGTGCTCGGTCACTCAGGTCTTCACCACTTGAGAGGAAAAAACGCATTTCATACAATGGGAGGTCACTGACTGATCTATGTTGGAATGCCATTCCACTCTGTGAACTAATTCTTGTCACCTGAGATGTGAGATAGTATCATTGTTCCATCTTGGGTCAGATGCTTATCTTTTAGGGGGAGTGAAGAAAAGGAGGGAGGGCTGTCACTAAAGAAGTAATTAGATAGCGGTTAGACTAAAACATTAGATGTCCATCACAGGAGATTTGGTTAAACTCAATGTAAAATCTTCATCTTCCATTCTCAGTCAAATTCTTGGATGGTGTACTGGGTCATTTGAGGCATTTTTACCAGAGAAAATCCCAGGAACATTTCAGCAGTCATAAAATGGATGGGGAAAAGTATTTTTTGTTGCACAACAGAAAAGTGAAGTTTAAAATGTCAGCACAATTGTGAATGGAGGCTGAATTTTGTTTCAAATAAACATGAAAGGCAAAGAGAAGTCTAAGGATTCTTCAGCTCTAAAGAGTGAGCTTCTCTGGGTAATACAGCCCCTGACAATTTGAGCATGGAGAAACCACACTGATCCTTACAGAGTCATAAAGTGCCTTGAGGAATAAGAATCAAGCATTTGCAGTTAATTCCAGAACTTGGTCAGCACAGGGCTAAGGGAAACCTGTTCCCTTTCCCAATTTCAGGCTCTTCAACCTTAATTTTTGGGGAAGTAGAATCAACTTTCAACATTTGTGATCAGGAAAAACCCAATCTTTGCCTGACATGGCATCAAAAAGTCACCCACTTGACAGAGCACAAACTACCTGGAGTGCTCTGTCCTTGTTTGTCTCTATCAAAGGTAAGTGATTGCCTCAGACAGTACCGCTGCCTACCCTCTCCTACACCCACCTGTGATCTCCCTTAGTAGTTTAAGCTGAAGTCTTTATAACACAAGGCTGTTGTAAGTTTAGAGTGCACAGTAGGGCATGGGAGGCTTTGAACAGAAGCTCCCCATCTGTTGTCTTCAGTCCCTGAGCATTAGTAAAGAGATGAGTTAGGGCTTATAAACCATTAAATGTATCAAAATATCAAACAGAATTAGATGTTGGCCAGCATCAATATCAAAATGGTCAATGCCCATAATAACTGCCTCCACTTATTGTTGGAATTATAACAATTTCCTTGTGTGGGTTACCTTCCTGAAGGTCAGAATTTTCAAAGTTTGGTGACATGGATCATTGATTAGTACAAGCAGTAATCAAGAAATTAAAAATTATTACCTATAATGCATTTTATGATAAAAAAGTATTTCAAAATATAAAGATTACCTCAAGCATTCATTTTTTAAAGTACTTTGAAAGGAATTGCATTGAATCTGTAAATTAGTTTGGGTAGTATAAACATTTTAAGAATACTAGGTCTTCTAATCATTGAACACAAGATGTCTTTCCATTTACTTGTGTCCTCTTTAATTTCTTCATCAGTGTTTTGTAGTTTTTAGTGTACAAGTCTTTTATCTTCTTGGTTAAGTTTATTCCTAAGTATTTTATGCTTTTTGAAATTTTATAAATGGGATTTACTTAAAAATTCATTTTTAGGTAGTTCATTCTTAATGTATAGAAATATAACTGATTTCTATATACTGATTTTGTGTCCTGAAATTTACTGAATTGATTTATTAGTTCTAATTGTTCTTTTGTGAAGTCTTTAGTTTTTTTTTACATGTAAGATCATGTCATCTGCAAACAGAAAAATTTACTTCTTCTTTTCCAATTCTGGTGATGTTTATTTCTTTTTCTTGTCCTATTGCTCTGGCTAGGATTTCCAGTACATGTTGAATACAACTGATGAAAGTGGATATCTTCAACTTGTTCCTGTTCTTGGAGGAAAAACTTTCATATGTTCACCATTGAGTATTATATTAGCTGTGTGATTTTTATTCACATATATCAATTATATCTCAACAAAGCTGTTAATACATAAAAGAGACTCTGATCGGAGAATATTTAGAAATATTAATAAAAGTTTCAGGCCCAGGCTGCTAATGATGATGGTAATGGTGTGTGTTTAGAGTTAAGCACATTTGAAATGCAATGCTATATCTTTGTGGGAGAAGGGGATGAGACAGTTTTTATTGCTCTGGGTCCTTGAGATTAGGTGGTGAGAACAAGATGAAAAGTGCCTTATGGGAGGATCCTTAGGTTATGTGGCAAAATGTGTACAAGGACTAAATTCCTCTTCCCAGTGAAAATCCTGGAAGACAGCAAGAGCAGGGCATGAATAAACTAGCTCTGTTTATTCTGAAGGATCAAAGAGACTCACCTAGAATACATCATGGGTGAAGCTTCAGAAATTCATTACATCCAACCCATTCATTTTTCAGAGAAGAAATCTATGGCCTCGTGTAGAAGGGTTTGGCAGGCAAAATAACCTACCTATGATCAAGTACTCATAGCACAGGCAAGAAGCAAACTAAGAGTGAGCTTGTGTCTGGGTGACACCTTCATCATTTCCACCATCATGCTCTTGGGAAAGTATATGTTTTTTCTGAAGTACTTTAAAGGCTCATGTTAATTTTTTCTGTTTGACTTCAAATGACAAAAGAGTTAAGTGGTTTGAAATTATAAAAAAATACTCAAATGAATATATAGAACATTTTCTAGGAGTTAGAGCTGTACAAAGATGGAACAAGTCAGCACATCATAGATCAAAATTTAGTGAGCATGGTTTTGGGGAGGTGATAAGTCCTCTTAACTACAAGGATTCAAGAATGGCATGACATTCTTGAATGTCTGAGCTGGGGTAAGCTCAGAGATGTTTCCCCAGCATTGCCTTGGTAGATGGCTGGGAGAAACTTGAAAATCACAGGATCTTAGTGAGTCTGAGGAAGGCTTGGAAGAGTAGTCAACTCTTAATGGGACACCTGTCCCATTAAGTTAGCACAGAATAATTGAGAGGGAGGTGTTCTTGAAGACCTCAAATAGTCCAAGACCATTCTCAACCAAGGATGGTAGACTCTAAGAACTCAAAAAATATTTACTGTTCCTATTGTTTTTTATCAGCTGGCCTTTCTTTGAGAATATTAGGTGATGAAATGAAACTACTTCATGAATGCACTGTAACATAATGAAAATACATAGGCTTTTAGGATCAGTCAAAATTCATTTCAAGTTTTGGCTTAATCATGTAATAGCTCAATAGCTCAAGGAAAAGGGCTTAACTCTCTTGAGACTCTGCTTTTTCATCTGTGTGATGGAAATTAAGATTTGTCTCAGATGGGTGCTGCAAAGGTTTACCAAGGTGGCATGTAATACAACTAGTCTAGAGCCTCATCTCTGGGGTTAACACCCTTTGCCAGCCTCCATTGTTGGGCAGCTCCCGTTGCTTAAAATATCCATTTTTTGTCCTTATTTTCAAATACTATCTGCTTACTTAATTTCTGCTTCCACCAATGGATCCCAGATACACCATTTTTATTGTTCTCACTATGCAATAGAGCTGACATTTCTGCCTCAAGTTCCCATATAGATTCTTCATGTCAGTGGGGGCATAACAAATAATATTTGACCATGCCTGCAAATTAACAGTGAAGCCCTTTTACTTTGTATTTCTAGTGGTGACAGGTACTTAATAAATGCAAAGGAGTATTACATTCTATTACAGAGATGAATACTTGTTGGTGATATAAATGAATATTGTCTATATTGCATTTCTCCAATCTTAGAATAGCATTATAAAAGGATCAATCATTTTGTCATTATGGTCTTCTTTGGCTCCAATCCAGTTTATTGGATTCCTTTAGTTTCAAGTAACAATAAAATGAATTGCCTCTTATATTGAAAGGGAAAATACCATGTTTGAGACAGAATTGAGATTTTACGGTTTAGATAAAAATGAACCTACTGAAAATACAGGTTTCTTATCCATGGGCCAGTGAATTATATGTGAATAAAGTTTATTCCTTTTCCTTATTGAGGACTGATATTATGTCACTGGAATTTGGTTTTTGAAGATGAAGATTAGCGTTTTGATTCAGATATTTCTTGTATTTTGGAAGGAGGCAATAAAAAAGATAATCTATTCTAATATCTTTGATTTATAATAGAGAAACCAAGGTCCAAGTTCAGCCCTTAAAATGGCTTTTGTGTATGCGTTATCAAGCCCTACAATGTCTCCTTTAACTTGATCTAACAGTCACAATTATAGACTCATGAAGTTTTAAAACTAGTCTGGAACTTGGTGATTATCTGGTCATACTTATTTTACAGTTGAAAAAACTAAGAGGTAAATGGTTGTTCAAGGTCACACGGAGAATTACTGGCGGACTTGACAGCAATACTCAACCACTCTAGGACTTTTCCAGATTATCTCATTTCCTCTCTCTTTTCTTTTATTCAATCAATCAAACAAGCGAGCAACCACCTGTGTCTGAAGCTTCTCCACTGTACTAAGCACTACAAAGTAATATGGACAAATGAGGCAGAGAAATAAAATACTGTCCTTTCCACGGAAGAACTTAACAATCTTAGGAGACAAGATATCTTAGGGAACAACACAAGAAGAAACTGAGAGATGATAACATCCTATGTTCTTGTGTCCCTCCATGCCCCATTTAGACACCTGCCTCTGTGCCCTCAAAAGTCTCTGTTCTCATCTCAGCTTTAGCCTTTTTCTCACAGAATTGCAGTTGTTCACTTAACTTTTCTGGTTTTTATCTTTGTTTTTATTTCTTTGCCACTTGGCAAGTCAGTGCCTCACAATTTTCTACTCACAAACTTCAGGATTTGAAGCTACTAAAAATATCAAAATGTCAGAAATTCAGAACACTTTAGCGTAAAGAAATAAAGAAACAGCTTACACAACTCAATACATTCTAACACGCTTCTCCCATCCTGGCCTCTCTCCTACCCTTTCCTTCTGTCTTAAATTTGTAATGACATTTTAATTAAAAAGTTGATAAAAATTAAACATAGAAAATAAACCCAGGAACATTTAACATTTGTACATGGAGGCTGCATTTTTACTCAGATGGAACCTCCCAGCTTGAATGATTCATTTGTGGGAGTCATACACAAGAGTTGCTTGCAAGAGGATCTTATGAGTAAATGATAAGTGAAGTCATCCTTTTCAGAGAATAAGAAGAGTTATAACTGGGGTGGAGAAGCACTTGCCCTCATCTCAAGAAGGGCCCTATGCATGGCCACAGAAGTCTGAGGCCATAGCCCGTGATTTTGGCACTGATCATGCCCTCCCTGGGGGTAGCAGGAGCCATTAGTTCAATCCTAGCATTAACTTGACCATATTTGGATAAAACATCAGTATTGATCTTAAGTACTATTAGCGAGACCTGCCTATATTACCAGTAGCCAAGGCAGCAGAAGCAGAAACAGCTGGAAAAACTACAAATTGGGGCCATCAGGGGCAGATGTATCTTGGCACTCAGGGCTACAGAACATGTGGAAAGAGGCAGCAACAGCACCTCCTGTGATTTTTATGCAAAGATTGAGGAGGGACTCAGAGCTAGCATGTCAGTTTGTTACCCTTGTGATTTTCGTCCATGCTCTTGATTATTTTTTTTTTTTGAGGTTATATGTCCAGGAGACTCAAGAGTTATGGAAGAAAATAATGGAGCAAGAAAAGATGGAGCAGAAGAAAGGGAGAATGGCCCATTATTGGGAAAATTCTGTCTATAGAAAGAACACTGTGATTGGTTAAAACAAAAGCAGCAACAATAAAATTACCAAACGCCTCTGTGTTCTGGACAGTGTGCTGGACAGAAGGGACATAGAGACAGTGGGACAAAGTCATATAACTCTATTCATATCTTTATCTTAGCTCTTATATTATAATCATCTACTTACCTGTCTTTCTAAAAAGACTGAGCTCTTCTAAGGCAAGGATACTGTCTTTTGTATCTTTGTGTCTCCAATGTATACTGTATCCTTGCTGACTATGGAACTTGCTGTGCAAACTGAGACACTTGTGAGAATGAAATGGGTGCTATAAATGATTACTCCTGGGTGATAGGCACAAACCAGGACTTTCCCAGGCAAAAGGAAGAAGCGCTGTACAGAATATGTATTTTCAAAGATAAATGCACCTCGGGTCAATTCTTTGAACTCAAGGCAAATCTTGGAACAGCCTCTGAGCTAAGCAGCAATTGACAACGGAGAGCATTTTGACTCTTTAGTTTTGTGTCAGTTGGGGCATCTTACCATTGTGCATTATTGGGTTGTGACTGTGCAGAAACCCAATAAAAAAACAGGCATGTATGAGACTAGATGTTCTACAGTCATCCAAAGAATGACAAAACCGTTTCAAGAGGAACATGATAAGATCTGCTGGCAAGGATCTTTATTGGCATCCTGGGAACTTCTGGGGTGAATGTGTGTGCTGAGCTCAAATCAGAATATCTGCAGGAAAAAAAAAAAAAAAAAAGAAGAAGAAAAAGAAGAAGAAGCCAGACCAGGAAAGTGAAAGGAAATGGATATCGCTGCTGGAGGCAACGACTAATTTAAGCAGAGTAGGAGAAAAACTCTTTTTTTTTTTCCTTTGTGCCAGTTCCTTTTACACGACTTCAGAACATTCTATGACAACCCAGCGTGCAACTTGGCACTGTCAGAAGAGTCCTGGGAAAGAAAGGAAATGCGGTAAGAAATGGAAACAGAGTATTGTTGTTGAGAGCCTGGAGACCATTTGCAGAGTATTTTGCTCAGGGGGGAGTAAGAAAATAGGAAAAACCTTAAAAAAAAAAAAAGAGTAAACAGTAAATTTCTCCCTCATCTCCATCTCTTTTCACTGGAGGCAACAAGGAAAGGAATGAATTTTCATGTTTGTCTGGGATTCTTCCTATGTAGAAAACAAAAAAAGAACTCAGTCAGATAAAACAAAAACTTTTTCCAAGACTCATCGTGGAGGGGTGGCCTTAGTGTGAAATGATGATGCCCACTGATGGCAGAAAACCTCTTTTCTTTCTACCTCAGGTTTGGCCCAGTGCCCTTTGTCTAAGTCTCTTTTTTCTGTCAACAGAAATTGAGTCTGTAGCAACTATATGTAATGGTCTTCCCATGCCTTCAGTATTTCTTTTTTCATTTTCTTTCTTTCTTTTTTTTTTTTTAACTTGAAGTTCCGGGATACATATGCAGAACGTGGAGCTTTGTTACATAGGTATACGTGTGCCATGGTGGTTTGCTGCACCTACTGATCCATCCTCTAGGTTCCCTCCCCTCAACCCCCACCCCCAACAGGCCCCAGTGTGTGTTGTTTCTCTCCCTGTGTCCATGTGTTCTCATTGTTCAACTCCCATTGATGAGTGAGAACATGTGGCATTTGGTTTTCTGTTCCTGTGTTAGTTTGCTGAGGATGATGGCTTCCAGTTTCATCCATGTCCCTGCAAAGGACATGATCTCATTCCTTTTTATGGCTGCATAGTATTCTATGGTATATATGTGCCACATTTTCCTTATCCAGTCTATCATTAATGGGCATTTGGGTTGGTTCCCTGTCTTTGCTATTGTAAATAGCACTGCAATAAACATATGTGTGTATGTCTTTATAGTACAATGATTTATATTCAACATTTCAAACAGCACATTTGAAGTAGACATGGGAGAGTTTCCAAGAGACCACTCATTCATTGTAAAATAAATAAATAAATAAATAAAGGTGGTGGGGGGGCGGTTTGAGTGTCTTTTCTTTTCTGTAAAGGAATAGTAGCTCACTCTGATGCAGTGCTGGACACCCAACAGTATGCTCAGAGGGTTACAGTTTCTGCTCCCACAATGGTACTGTGGCTTGCACTGGCAGAGATTGAGGGTGATCATATCTTGTTCTCATGCCTTTTTTTCTTGGTTGCCTTCTCTTCTCTCTGCTTGGTTAAACATGTGAGCTTGTAGCCCTTCAAAGACTAGTACACATCAGTCTCTTCCCTTCCTCCCATGCTTCTTGCTGGGACTATGGTATGTATATCCTTGGCTTGCTAGGCAACTCTACTGTGTGTGTGTGTGTCTGTGTGTGTCTGTGTGTGTGTTATGTGGATGTTTTGTGCATACAAGCACGTGGTGCATATATGCACATGTGTGTCACATATATGCTACGAGTGTTGTCTAGTGTGTGGATGTATATGTGTATGCGGTATTTTACCTGTACTGGATGTGTTGTGTATGTAATGTGTGTCTGATGTACATATGATGCATTGTATACATGGTTAATGCATGTTGTGTGTATGCATGTAATATGCATGTGTTGTATATGTTTGTGTGTTGTGTGTGTTGCGTGTTCAATGTGTGTGATACATATGTTGTATATGTGTTTTGTGTGTATTGTGTGTATGTGCATCATCGGAAATGTTGAATTACTTTCTTATGTTCATCACTTTTGTTGGGCGTGCTCTAGCTTACCAATGTCTCTTTTCAGCTTTGGGCTGCTGGAACCACATTTCTTCAGATATCTCTGAGTAGTGCACAGACGGCAGGATTCCAGACTCACTATTCCTCTGCAAACAACCACTGGGTTTCTACAAGTTTATCAGCCATTTTGCATGCACAAATCTCTCCCTGGAGCCTTCATCCTCTCCCGGTTATCACTCACCAGTCTGTACTTTCTCATGGGGTTGTCAACTAATTCTCCTCTGCAGGCTCCTCACTTCCCTGTCATTCCTTAAACTGCAGTGATGCAGCCTTCCTCTGCCATCATGGCTCCACTGAAGATGGCCTCACTGTGATTAATGAAGAACTAACTGCCAAATTCACCGGACGCTTTTTAATCCTTATATTATAAAAATCAAACAATTGTAAGCATTGTCAAACTCTTCCTCCTACTTGAAATTCCTCTTGCTGAATTCTGCAGTGGCATACGGCAGTTTCTCAAATAATATTGTTTAATTCAACAATGTTTCATTATAATGTTTATGAAAAAAAATTTGATGCCCAGCTGGGGCCACTGTCTGTGTGGAGTTTGCAAGTCCTCCCCATGTCTGTGTCTGCCTGTGTTTTCTCTGAGTACTCCAGTTTCCTCCCACACATCAAAGCTGTGCACATTAGGTTTGTTGGTGTGTCTCAGTGGTCCTAGTCTGAATGAGTGTGGATGTGGGCATGAGTGTGTGCTGTGATGGGACAGCATCCTGGCCAGGGTCGGGTCCCACTTGGCTCCTGAGCTGCTAGGACAGGCTCCAGCCACCCAAGATCCTGCACTAGAATAAATAAGTAAATAATTATCTAACTTGTTTTTATTATTTTTTCTTAAACACATGCATATCTCACATTTATTTCAATGTTTAATATTAGAAGTGTTTGGAGTTTCCATTTAGAAGTATAATGATGTTTTTCTGACCAGAATATGGAGTACAAACTTAAGTCTTGTTAATATCAATTAGCCTATGGTAAAACTGGTTTTGTCACACTCACACATTGTTTTGTTTAGAGTTGCCATTTCCAAAAGCCTATTGACAATGTTAAGTGAGACCTTTCTTCACTGTCATACTCCCCCTGCTTCTCTAGCAGCTCCTCAATTTTCTCCATCTCATTCTCTTCTTTAGTCCATTTTTAAAATGTTAGTTCCAAGTATTCCATTGTGGTCTCCATATTTCAGTCTATACATTTTCCCTGACTGACCACATTTACACACTCAGTCTCATTTTCCTCCTCATGAATGACCCACAAGTGTCCAGGCTCAGCTAAGACCCCTTCCAGGTGCAGATCTGAGTTCTGCCTACCTGCGGGACAGCTCCCTCTGGGTATATCAGCAAGTAACCCCCCAGGATCTGCTCAGAGCCTGTGAGTCCTCCTTTGTCTGTCATTAGCATCACTAAGCCTGTGGTTACTCAGGCCAGAAACCCAAGACAGCTGCTTACCTTCTGGGCAGTGAGAATCCTATTTTCCTCAGAGGGTTGTTGTGGGACTAAAATGAGATAAGCAATACAAGTCAATTTAATACATTATCTAGCTTTTAGTAGGTATTAAGAATATGGTTTTTTTTTTCTTTTTCTCTCTTAAAACATTATCATGGAAGTTCATTGAGTCAGAGATTAGTTACAGATGGGAGTTTTCAGACATGACTTCAGTAAACAATCAAACAAAATTACAATGTTTAAATAACAAATCGGGAACAAGGACTGTCTCCATAGCACAAGAATTCACAAAGCGATTCTACAACACCTCCATTACTGATGCTCAGAAATCTGTGGTATTGGAGGACAGGAATTGTATTTTCTACATTGTAGGAAAGGAAACTGCTTCTGATGGATTCAGTGACTTCACCAAAGTCACCCAGCTGGCCAGTGGCAGAGCTGGGAGAGAAATAATCAGAAAGATCAGAATCCAGTTTAAAGAGTGTATTCACATGAAAAGCTGGGAATGGCCACCTGGAAAACACAGACATCAGAGAAGTGAGGTCAGTTCTTTGAAGTTAAAAGTTAAGATTTTGCCTATAAAGGAAGAAAACAAACAAAAAAATTTAACAGGATTACAACATTTTCTATACAAGGCTGGTTTATGAGTTATAACAATTTAATTAGTTACAGTTTTTCTTTTCTGTACAACTTTTCATTTCCTTTCCAATTTAAAAGAGTATATTTAACATTCCAGTAGACTAGACGTCCCCAAGACCTGGGCTACAGACCAGTGGTCCTGGACCACTTGGCAGGAGGTGAGAGTGGGTGGGCAAGCATTACCCCCTGAGCTCTGCCTCCTGTCAGATCAGCGGTAGCATTACATTCTCATAGGAGCACGAACCCTATTGTGAACTGTGCATGTGAGGGATCTATGATGCGTACTTCTTGTGGAACAGTTTCATCTCGAAACGATTCCTCCCACTCTACCCCTACCCATGAAAAAATTATCTTCCATGAAACTGGTCCCTGGTGTCAAAAAAGTTAGGACTACTAGATTAGATAATGTGACAGCTGTGGTCTTTGTGTGAGAGAGGTAAGAGGGAAGTTACTCTATAACAAAAATCAACAATAAGAGGGTAGGGGTCTTCCCTTCCCTGGTGCCCTTTAGTCATTAACATTTTATAAAACAATATAGGTGAAGGAGGAGGCTAATCCATAGTAACAGAAACAAAGTTTACAGCTGCCTATGTTACAGCTGCCTATGTTGCAGCTGCCTATCACCTGACTCAGGCCCTGTGATCTTATTCCTTTAAGGCTCAAAATAATTTAAAGTTCCAACAACTTAGAGTTGGAATTACTTATTTTCACCCCTCCCAAGTATGCGTTCCTTCTGTTTCCTGCGGCCTGCCAATAACAAGGTAGGTAGGTAGTGTCTCTCTACCAAGGTAGATATTGCCCAACTGGACAGACTGACAGGCGACCATCCATCTCTGAGTTCAGTAGAGGGGGCAGTGGCTGAATTAAGAGGGTCTAATCACCGTAAAAGTCCTTGGTGGGGTTGAAGCTTGTGATAGTTTTTAAGACAGGGACGTAGATTTGGGGAGAGAAGTGTTAGGGGCTTGCTAAGCCTGTGATGTGACACATTGAATGAGACAGATGAAGGAGTAGTTTCAGGAGTATAAATCTGCCAGACACATGATGCAGACTGTTTTGCCTGTCTATGAGCTATCATTTCTGAAAGAGTGAATACAATGCAGTGCCAGGTGCCAAGGCAATTCAAAAAAAAACTAACTAAGCTCACCATTTTATAGTCCGTGAAGTGGAATCATATATGTGATCTGATGTGAACCTTGCAACCACCCTTTGATATTTTAATTATTATTATTATTATTCCTCTTTTATAGGTCAGGAAAGTGCAAATCTCAGAGTAGAGAATTTGTAAAAGGTCATGTTCCAAGGTCAACTACCAGAGAGACAATAGACAAAAATCTAAGGCTATAGACCTAAAATCTCTTTAACTTGTTTACCATGCTACATCTGGGACTTAACCTTTGCTCTCTCATCTTGGGCAGACGCCTGAACTTAGGTCTGTCACAAATGCAGATACTAATAACCACTCTACCTACCCCATGCCATTGTTTGTGAAATCCAGATTGATGATATATGTGGAAGCGCTCTGTAGAATCCAATGTAATATTATAGACCTGGAGAGTATTGGTATTAATGAGTTCCCATTCCTGCTGCCTTTCTGCTCCATGACTTTCACCTTTATCTCATGGAGGGAGGTATCATTTTCTTTGCTGGCAATACAAGGCTGGTCAAATCAATGAGCCGAGCCTTCCCCAGCCATCAGGACAATGTGTGTTCCATTCCTGCACAGGAGGCTCTGGGCTGTTTGCAGTGCTGCCCTCGTATCATGGATGTCAGAATGTCAGTGTGAGATGCCAGATACCACAGGGTAATCTCCTCTTTCTGCAGAGGAGGGGACACAGGACTGCAGTGGTGAAGTGCAACATACCCAAGGTCACCCTGATGGTTAATGGAAAAGCCATTTCTAATAAACCATCTGTGATTTTCTTTTTGAGAAGTTTACCCTCTCTTTAGGCCCTTTCTATCCACATCACTGTATTCAAACGAAGAAAAAAAATAGGCCTTCTCAGCCCCCATGTTCTACTTTCTGCCACTTTCTGTGGTCTAGTTCCAGGAAGTGGGTGATGGGGAGGGAACACAAATTAATCCTATCACTTTTTGGCAGAGTGAGCTGGCTAAAAGGTGATTTTGTTTTTTTGGTATCAGCACTTTAGCAAATGTAATAGGCTTCTGATCATTTCTGTGAAAGAAGAAGACTAAAGGGAGGAAAAAGAAAAGAGGTGAACAACAAGGTGTTGATGCTTTAAAGGAATAGATGAAAGTGACAACAGCAATAATAACAATGTTAACTAACATTTGTTGAGTACTCAGTGTGTGCCTAGATGTGTGCTTACGACATTTTAATTAATCCTTGTGAAAACACTATGAAACAGTTATTATTGTTATATTTACAAAAAAAAAAAAAAGGCTGAGTCTACCTGAGGTTCAGTGACTTTGGATAGCATGACAAAATAGTAAAAGGATAGGTGAAATGTGAACCCTGACCATCCAGTGGCAGAGGTTTTATGCCAGGGCATTATGCTACATTAAAGGTAAGATAGTGAGAAGCATTCCTGTTGGGTTACCAGGATTTTCATATGACCAAGATATCCATGATGTCTGGGTAGTCTACCCCTAACAGGTAGTACACCCCTCCAGGGTACTACTAACAAGTACTACAGATACTATCTGTTAGGGATAAAGGTAGCATTATAGAGGATGATTCAGAGGCCTCAGTCATGTGCTCATTCATTCACTTTTTTTTTTTTTCATTCAACAGGCATTATCCTATTGGGTTAGACATTTTAAGCAAGTGAAATAGTGCTCCCACCTATACTTGACATTTGTTGTTCTTTGGCCTTTGCTGTGGCAGGCAGAATTCTAAGATAACCTCATTGACTCTCACCCTTTTCTTATTCACTTCCCTTAGAGTATGAGTAGAACCTGAAAATGTGATGAATGTGAGACTAGAGAGTGGACAGAGTTGATTCTGAGTATGCTTAAGATTCTTGATTGTGAAAAGATGGGAAGAGAAAGGGTGATCGCTGGGAATGGGGACATCAGATACATGATGTGTCGGAGATACCGAAGAGAAAGGGAATTTCATGAAACAAAATCCCATAAAAATAGCAGATGAGGTGGTTACCATGGGATGGGAGTAAAGAACAGATTACCCATGAACAGAAGTCTTACTGCCTTGTCTGTATTCTTTCTAATAAGTAGGAGTGAAATGAGGGAGAATCTCATTTGCCTAAAGAGAATGGGACATTGTAAGCTTTGTCATAAAATCTGAGGGTTTAATGTTGATGCACGTATTCATATACCTGCCACTCATTAGCCTCTACTATAACCTTAACTTGAGGGTATGTGCCTAGTAGACATTCAAACTCCTCAAAGTATTATAGTTTCTGGGTTTTTTTTTCTGGGCATCTTATAAAATTGCACTTCTCTCTTCCCTTGCAGTTAGGCATGGCTGTAGGAGTTGCTTTGCCCACCCAGTTAAATGCCAGGCTATCTCTTTTGGGAAAACACCTTAGAACCAGTTCTCAATCACTATGTTGTCTTCTCCTCTGCCACAACAATCTGCAGTGATTTCGAACAGCCCGGGCACTGAAGAGAGAAACAGTACAGTTTCCAGCTCATCCATAATGAGAATTTCATGACAGTAAGAAACACATATTTCTTGTTTTAACGTATTGGGGTTTGGGAACTTTTGATTGTTACTGCTGCATAATCTAGATCATCCTGACAAAAGCAACACACAAGGAAAAAACACTTGGCTCCCCATTGTTGAGATATTCCCTAAATGGATGAATGACACCATGCCATGTGCCGAGGACCATTAGAACAACAACCAAAAATGGCAACACAACAACAACAACAGCAGCAGCAAACACAATTATGTCTCCATGCGTAGCTCTCTGGGCTTCCATGGCAATTATAGTCACTGGGAGGGTTGGACTAGCTTTTCGAAGAATTCACTGCTCTCTAGAAGCAGGGACTCTCTATCAACATTTCCCATATCATTTCTCCACAGCTTGTCCTTAGGGTGAAAGAACAAGGGCTTTTATAACACATTCCATTGGCTGGGTTTATGATGCTCTGCCTCACTCCCTCTGCCCCGAAGTAAAGCTGAATTATAAAGTAGGGCTCGTCTTATCTTGGGCAGCCATGCAACAATGGTTTCTGGAGGTGAGTGTTGAAATATGTCTTGGGGCTTTGGGAAATGTTTTCAATTCAGCATTCTGTGATCCTTGTCCAAAGATCCTTGATAGCATCCTTTAGGCATCACTGAAACAATCAGCACACACACAAAAAAAAACAAAACAAAATCTTTGCATTCATATGCCTTAAACTAACAAGTAAAGAAGCAAATATCTAGAAAACATTTTGTAGACTAAGTAAAAATATGACTATAATTACATATATATAAAAATAATAATAATGTAGTCATGTACATTCATAGATAGTCATATATATTAGGGTTCAGAGTCTTTGAGAAGAATATTGCCTAGGTGTCAGAAGATCTGGGTTTTAGTCCAAGTTCATCATTAACCAGGAAACCTAAAACAAATGGCTTGGCTTTCTTTACATTCCCTATTTATATAATAAAAGCATTGACTATATAAACTAATTGTTCTCTGAAGGCTCTTAAAACTCTGACATTCTAGGATTTTATGTATTATTATGCCACAACCTCATCTAATCACAATAACAATAGCTAACATTTCAATTCCAACAACTATGGCGGATTGTTGGCAAAAATAGTGACAATTATTCCCTTCCCTTTGTCGTATGAGGTTGTAGTTCTATCAAGTGGTAGAGTCTAGGCTGGCCTTGTGGTTTTCTTTGACCAATAAAACACGGCAGAAATGGTGTTCTACCCGTTAGAAGCCTAGGTGTCAGGAGTCTTGCATGCTTCCACTTTTTCGTTTGGAACACTGCTGCTACCTTATGGACAAGTTCAAGGTAGGCTACTGAAAGATCTGAGACATGTGGCCCATTCAAACTCCATCACCCTAGCCAACAGTTATCCACTTCCTGACAATGTAAATGAGAACACCCTAGAGAAACCAGCCCTCAGCCCATCCACCAGCTGACCTCGGACTCATGAGCCAGTCCCGCTGAGATCTACCAATACTAGTTCAGATCAGCAGAGCCATCCAGGTGACCTGTAGACTCACACGCAAAAAGACATTGTTGTTTTAAGCCACTAAATTTTAGGTTGTTTGTTACATAGAGGTAGTAATAGATAATTTATATACTATGTCAAAAATTAACTCATTTGATCCTTAGCTGGAATTTTAACTCAGATTGTCCTGCTCTAGAGCCTCCATTTTTCCTATGATAAGCACAAACTAGTAAATAATTTCTGCTAATTATAAGAAATATCTGCCACCCATATACATCTGTCTGCCAACCCACACCTCCACGTTAAAGTGAAATAAAACACATATAAAATTGCACAGTTTACATTCACATTACACATCTTCATCCACATTGTCTTTGAGTTATGGATGCCAATGATAATTTCACTTGTTATCTCTAAAGACAGTCTTTACAAATCTCCCTTACTTTCATTTATTTCAAAAAGTTCTTGAGAAAGAGCAGCAGAAATAAACGCTTTCTCACCCAGAGAAGTTTTTTTCTAGAGATCTGGAATCTGAGGTCACCCTTTCAATGGAACACTCCTTCACTTACCCTCACCTCATTAAAGGTTGCTCTTCTTAAAGATGTTTCACAGACATTTCCACCAACTGCTGCTAAGGGCAGAGACAAGGGAAAAACTATTTCAGTGGGTGTTTCTGACCACAGCCCAAAGTGATCCCTTGTGTATGTTGCATTACATAACAGATTACCACTATAACAAACCTGTAATATCTCATCGTTTCCATGGGGCTGAAATCCAGGTACACCTTAACTGGGGTCACTGGATCTCTTACAATCAAAGGGTCAGCCAGGGTTGCAATCATCTCAAGACCGGAATACAGAAGAATATGCTTCCAAGTTCGTGTATCTACTCATTGGCAGGGTTCAGTCCTTGTGGATAGTCTGATTGAGGGCTTTAGTTCTTTGCTGGCTGTTTCTGACCAGGTGGTCTTCTCAGTAGGGCAGCTGAGAACATGAAAACTGGCTTCATCGGTGGGATTAAATGAGAGGAAAGAGAGAGAGTGTGTGAGAGTTTCTAGTTTTTCCTAACCCAAACTTGCAAATTTATTTCTATTACTTTTGCTGTATTCTATTCTTTTTTTTTTTTAATATATACATTCAAGGGGTGTAAGTGCAATTTGGTACATTGATATATTTCATTGTGGTGAAGTCAAGGCTTGCACTGGAGCAACACACATTGAACTCACCAACTGATCTCCCATCATGACCCCCCTCCCACCCCAGCACCCCTCTGGGTTTTTATTGTCCATCATTCTACTCTTTGTTTCCATGTTTACACATTCTTTAGCTCCCACTTATAAGCAAGAATATTTGGTATTTTTCTTTCTGTGTCAGAGTTGTTTCACTTAAGATAATAGCCTTCAGTTCCATGCATGTCACTGTAAAAGACATTCTTTTTTATGAATGAATACTATTTCACTGTGTATATATACCTCATTTAATCTAATCTTTCATTGATGGATACTTAAGTTGATTCTGTATCTTTGTTGTTGTGAATTGTGCTGTGATAAATATACCAGTACAGGTATCTTTTTGCTATGATTTTTTTCCCCTTTGGGTGGATGCTCAGTAGTAGAATTGCTAGATTCTATGGTAGTTCTATTTTTAGTTGTTTGAAAAATAGCCATGCTGTTTTCCATAGAGGTTGTACTAATTTGCATTCCCACCAGCAGTGTATAAGAGCTCCTTTTTCCCTAAATTTTTGCCAAATCTGTTATTTTGTAATTGCTCACACTCCCCTCATGGCTTTTCCCAGGCCCTCATCTTGCTGTCCTGATTTATGATAACAAGCTCCAAACAAGTCCTCTGACTCCAAGTTCTTCATTTCTATACATTCTCTTCCCTTCAGCTTCTATAGGGTTTTGAAAGCAGATCTTATTTTCCTGCTAAAAACACACCAGTCCTCACATTTTCTTCAAATATATATCCAATTCCTTAGGTAGACCAAGTAGGGTCTTCATGTCAGGACCCTGGCTTAGCCTGCAATTTCATCTCATCCCTCTCTTTGTCATGGGTCCTACTCTTCATCCCAACAACACTCCTTAGATATTCCCTAAAAGGCAGAGTTGTTTGTGCCTCCATGCCAATATCTATATTGTGTCCTCAGCTTTGAATCACCTTTCCTTGAGCCTCTTCTCTCTCTTACTCATTCTTCAAGATTTATTTTAAGCATCTCTAGCATTGGAAGCCTTTTATGTGTCCCTCCTCTCCCAGTCTGCACTTCCTACGAAAGCTCTAAGACATTCACTTCAGCTATTATCATTCCTCCTCTTTACATTTTCAATATCACACCCAGGCACCAATAACTACAAGAGTCACAACAAAAGCCACACAGCAATGAGCTTTTTTTCACATCATTTACTAAGCTCTTCTGACACATCGAACACTGTGCTATGTATAGTGCATGTTATCCTCTTTCTTTTGCAGTAACTTTAAGAGATCAGTGTGTATAAGCTTTAGGAGTAAAGTTATCTCAGAGAAGTTAAGATACACATGGTCAAAAATAGATCTCGGATGCCAGTCTAGGTCTGTCTCGTGTTCTCTTACTATACTTCTCAGATTTATATTATTGAGGCAAATTATCAGGTAAAACTGAATCAGCATGACCTTTAGGGCATTGTTTCTGCAGTATTCTTGTGAATACCCTTGTGATTGATCAAATTTGTGCAACATTTGCTAAAAAACAGCAACCTTTGCTTTTCCTAATTGAATTTGAGAATTAATTTGAAATGACTCCAGGAGGGTGGCTACTAGCAGCATGGTATAGGTATCACACAGAACTGTTCTCTTGTTTGACTCCATAAGTTCTCTTCATTGCTTTTGAAACCCTCAATGATCTAGTCCCTGCGTCTGGATTTTGGGTGTCAGATGTTCACAACAGTGCTTTTTAACCATTAGCATGAACCTGTAGTGCCTGATAAATACAGATTACCGAACCCCACCCCCAGAGCTTCTAATTCAGTGTTCCGAGGTGGGCTCTGAGAATTTGCATGTCTAACATGTTCCCAGGTGATGTGGATGCTGCTGGTTTAGGGACCATGGATCATCTATTGAAAACAATAAGTTTACAAAAATTGTCTGGGAATGCTAGGGGAAGGGAGCCAATGGTCACACTCCACAGAATGCTTAGGCTGGTTACTGTTCCGCCCACTTAGAGAAGGTAACAAGCACTCTGCATTCCCTCATGACAGCCAGCCTGCTTTCCTAGCAACTGAGAGTGAGTTTTTATGGTCATTTTCAGATAATTCGATTCACTGTTTCACATTATTATTAAATAAATCTGGATATATTTCTTCTTAAATGAGATAATAAGTATCTTTATTGTTTAACCTGTTTACTTAGGACATTTATTATTTGCAGTCTAATGCATCTCAAGTGATATGGCCCTTTTATATGAGCTTCTAAAAAGCACCATCTCACCCTCCAAGCCCCACTCCCTAGAGGTGTGATTATACCTTTCTTTTTTCCTTCTATACACTGAAAGAGGGTCTCCTTCTATCTATGAGTTTTAGTTCAATTTCTTCCAGCCTTGATGTTCTTATTTCATCATTAAATCATTTTAACACCTGTTCCATCAGCCTTCCCCTCTTTATCTTGCCCTCTTTGGCATATAAACATGCTCAAGTTTTCTACTCTTAACATGAAATGCTGAGGATGCTATTCTTTACCAATTCAACTTCAAGACTAAAGACACATTTTGGCAAAGAGATTCTTTACAGCCCAGGTATTGTTGACGTTTCTGAAAAGAGGTGCAGTTATTGTGGAGAGCCCTAGTGAAGCTCTGCAATGGGATTTCAGACACAGCAATATTGACCTCTGTCCCCTGGAAAGAAACTGAAGAAGTGTCAGAGTCGCTAATGTTGGGGAAAGAGAAAGAAACATGCTATTGTTTACATGAGCTGTAGTTTGTAGCTGTACACAGACCATACTTTAAGATATTGCCAGGGACTTCAAGAAGAGGAAGAGAGAGGTCTATGCATGTTCAATTCCCACTGTAGAATTTATTCAAGAAAGTCTCACTTGTTTAAATCAGAAATGTTTTTTGTTTTAAAAGCAAATATATGAACAGGTAAACACGCTTCTTTAGAGTTTGATTGAGGCCAGGCATTGCTTGTGCATTTTACAAGCATTGAATGATAAGGTACTTCCTGAAGGAAATGCAATGGAATGTGAATTAAAATTCAGTTGCCTTGATCCAATGAGTCATGTCAATCATAATTCCCATCTCTCTCCCCCTTTCAGAAAGATTTGACAATGTAGTGTCTCCAGTTTTGATGTCCAATTTCCAATTTGCTGCAATACATTCTCAATCCACAAAGGCAGCACTGACAGCCTTGGGACAATTCAGAAATTACTTCTTAATTGTGAAATTCAGTAGACTTACATCAGTTCCTCATTTCACCTAATTTATCTATTTCATTTGATACTATTGACTCATCTCTTCTAGAGAAAACATTATTTCCCCTTTTCTGTTCCTCTTCTCCTTTGGCCTTGAAACTGTTCTCCTTCTGTCTGTTTCCAGTCTTTTCAGGCTGTTTCTTACCATTTCCTATTTATTAAATGTTTGTATTTCACTTGACCTTGTCCCTGGTCTTTTATTACTCTTTCTGAACTTCCTGGGCAATCTTGCCCACTCTGTGGCTTTCACTCCACCAATAAGCTACCTCCCAGTCCTGGATACTCTCTAGGGCAATAATTTACCCAATGAGGCATTTTGAAAATTTGGGGAGATGGTTTTTTATTATGATGATGAATGACAGAAGGGGCCCACTGGTGTTTGGAGGGCAGGGCTTAGGTAGGCTAAACGTCCTGTAATACATTGTATAGTCCCTCCCACAAAATAGATAATTATCCTGTGCCCCACATGATTTTGAATGGCCAACCTGACACTCATGTAAGTAAAAAACCTGATTATAATTGCATGGGCCTAGAACATATGTCTAGTTTTTATAAAATGCTAAAGTATTTTTTTTTGCTTATTTTTATTATATGCTTGAATTCCAGAAATGCAATGTATGTACAAATCAATAAGCAATTGTTGTTTTAGTTTTTCAGAACTTTACTAGGGGTAGTTGATCCAAATGGCATTATTGGATGTGGTGGTTTCCGGACACCCACCTGTGACACTGCGGTGACCGGTCTCCTGTCTGGCCTGAAGTGGATCTGGACCCCACACAGTCCCCATGTACAGCTGATACCAGGCTGAAGTGGATCAGGAGGCTGAGGAACTAAGCCAGTGTCAGGTGGTGCACCAGGCTGCCCAAGTAAGAGGCCCTACACATGCAGGTAGGAAGGCTGTACATGGCCTTTCTTCCCTTCTGATGAGCTTGGGCGAAATATGTGGATATATAACAGATATAGATCGCATAGATGTGATCAGTGGGGCTGACAGTTCATGAGATCTGACCACCTCAGGCAGCACCAAAGGATTCATCAGCAGATGCCAAGATCTTCAGATCCATAGGCTGATAATGAAGAGATGGATGGTCCTCCTTCTCCTTGTCTTTAGGTCAATCTCTTCTCATTTTGGCTTCTCTACCTTCTCTTTGGTAGGTGGAGGCTTAGATGAACACAGGATGATTATGGAGCAATACTTGAAGCCCAAATGAAGCTCTGAACCCGGAGACTTCTCAAAACCTGTCATCAATGCTCTAACTCTTCTGTGGCCACCTCCTTCTACTGGAGTTTAGCCAGGTGGGAAGGTAGGGCACAGTAGAGATTGGGAGCTTCATTAAAAAGCTCTTTATCTCATGTGCCTCTCAAGTTTAAAACCCTTTAGTGACTCCTTTACCTGCTACATAAAATTCAAGTTATTTATCTTGGTCTTCCACAGTTTCCAGAGCCAAACAGCACTCAAATCCTTAATAAGCATGTGACCCTGGGAAAGATCTTTGATCACTATGCCTTGTGTTCTCTTCCAGAAAATGAGAAAACCAATATTGGACTGTACTGGACAGGACATATGTACTATATCAGATTCTCCCTGGCCACATGCATAGAGTCTCTGTCTTTTCCCACCACTTTAAAGACATTGATAAAATGCCATACCACAGGGCATGAGATCTGGCATCCCAAGTTGCCACCAGCAAACCTAGAAGTGTGGGTGAGTTAATACTTATGGGATAAAATTTGACTAATGGAAAATGGGAGATAGCTAACTGCCAGGCAGATAAATTCCCTCTTCTTCCCTCCCTTCCATGAATTGCTGCAAAGCGCCATTTCTCCAAAATAACACAGTCTATGGGGAAACTTCCCAAGTAGCAGGTGGACACAACTGCTATCCCTCCTCAAGGCTTGTCATGAAGCAGTGCCCAGCCTGGTAATACATCATCTTGTATTACTTCCCATTATTTCCTCTCTTGCTTCTTCCCTTGCTTCTCACTCCTAATGCCTTGAGTTTTTACCTCCCCAAATAAAACATCAGTACTTAGTTTTTGGGCTCTGTTTTCTAGGTGAGTTTGAGGGTGGAGGGAAAGGAGAACCTTAGACTAGGGCAGAAAAGGATGAATTCCACTCTAACTTCTCCTCCTCCTCCCACCTGTCCCAGCTATCTGGACTACCAAGTACCAGATATTAAGGGGCTTATCCTGTCCTGCTCTCTCCTGAGGTTGAGGGGATAATGACTATCCTGGCAACTCTGCCAGATAGTTTAGACCTCGTTTCCAGGCTCAGCAGTCTGTTTTACTCCAGAAAGCTAATAGAAAGAAAGGAACTTGGCTATGCTATCAAGTGCAGGGCTGGCATCCCAATCAGGATCAGTCCACTTCAGAGTTTGTCTCTCTCCTAAAAGATGATGCCGTCAGTAGGTGTTTCCTGAACCCATACTGGTGCCAAGCATGGCCACATGATGGCTACAGAGAGATGAATCAGATCTGGTTTCAAGGTACCATCTTGATCTTGGGGCAGACAGGTCCACCTAGGTGCAGTGGCCATGGAGTCGAGGAGCCCCTAAAGGAAAGAGTCAGAAAGGCCTTCTGGAGGAAGTGACCCTTGAGCCCAGTAAGAGAGTGAAGTATCTAGCAATCCCTCAAATGTTGAGATAAACTGAGCAGGTAAATGAAGAGGAAAGAGGATTCCAGACAGAGAGCATTGGACCTGGCAACTGTTCAGGAGAGAGTCAGCCTGCAAGTGTCCATTCATTCATTTGGCAGATGTCTTTTGAGCTCACAATACAAGAGCACCAAGGCTATGGGGTCCCATGGTGAAGAACACCAAAACAACTAAAAAATGTGTCAACAAATAAAGACTTCTCAATGAAGTACCTGAGTCAGACCTGAAGGACTCATGGGGGTTGGTCGCACCACCCATTTCTTGAACATATGCCCTTGGTCATGCTCTGTGCTGGACACAAGAATTCAGAGGAGCATGAAGGTACCCTGCCTCTATTGTGGGGCAGAAATATCATGGACAATAATTGTAAATATGTTCAGTGCTGCCAAGGAAAAGAGCCAGACCTCAGCAGGATCAAGCTTATTCAGCTCTCTGGAGAAGTTCCACAGCCTTGGCCATACCTGCCCCTGCCCTCCCACCCCTATCCTGACTTTATCTTGCTTGGCCACCTTGGTCTGTGTCACTAGTAGCCCCAGCATACTTGGGGTGGACATCAGATGCCCTCCACCCAATCTCCAAGTGAGAGAAGTGGATATGATTGAAAGAACAGAGGCAGAAGGGGCTAATGTGTGACCTGTTCACTGGCTCCAGAGATTGAGGTCTTGGGTATCCAAACTCACTTTCATTTCCAGCTGGGCACCAGGACCCTTCCATGGGGCAGGCTATCTCGGGTTCCATAGGCCAGGGCTGATCTCTGTCCCCCAGCCCACCTGTCTCACACACAGCCCTGTGGGTAGGATCAGCAGACCAGATTGCTTATTGTTGGAATGTAAGATGAGAGATCTGGTTGGTAACCTATCATTTTCTCTGAGAGATGGACATGGAGAGTACCAGAGTGAGCAAGGGTGTACGGTGTGCACTATGATGGTGGGCAAAACAGGCTCCTACCCTTGTGGAGGTCACAATAGAATGGAGGAGGGATGTTACTAGAAATGTACAAAGTGCTGGAGGACACACAGTGGAGACTTACTGCAATGGGGCCAGGGACTTAGGAAGGCATTTCTTGGAAATTGTGGTTTGAGGTCAGAGTTAAGGAAAACTAAGCAGACAAAGAAAGTGAGATAGTAATTCAAGGAGAAATAAATCTGTCCTTTAGCCAGAGATTACCCTGTATGAGGCAGTGGCTAAGCCTTTCCCAATATCACCCAAAGTCCTGCCTCTGCCATTTCCTGGCTGTGCGACTTTGGGCAATTTACTTGTCACCTGTTGCTTCTGATAGCAAAGGGGATGGAGAGATAGAGAAGTTGAAGAGATATAAGGTTTAAAGCGCTTCCTTTGGCTGCTATCTGGAGACTGGATTAGAGCAGGCGTTTAAGAGACAGGAAGGGACTTCAGTGTTTTTGGTGAGAGTCAACGTGGCTTGGGCCTGGGTGTGATAGTGAAGGTAGGGAGAAGTAGAATGTGATAATTAATTAGATTTGCTTGGTGAGGGAGTGGTCAAGAATGACTCCCAGTTTTCTGGCTAGTGTTATTATAAGTAACACATAAAAAGAATGGATGAACTTCATTAATTTATTTTCTATTTATTGTGATATCTAGCATACTTGCAAAACATATTTTGTACATATTCAATTTAAATAATAATAATACTACTTAGTTACCCCTTAGGTCACCTGAGGGAAAACATTTACCAATACACTTAAAGCCTTTGAGTCCCCCATTCTTCTCTCCAGGGGTAACTGCAATCCTAAATTTTTGTTAATCTTGCCTTTCCTATTTATTGTTTTTATTCATATATATATATCTATTTCTAAATGATATAGTGATATGTTTTGTGTGATTTTGAATTTTACATTCACTCAATCTGGGGTTCATTGAACTTTTTTCAATCCAAAGGTTTATAGTCTTAATAAAATGTGGAAAAAAGTAATAACAATGTTATGTAATTTGAGTCACCAATTTAACATAACTGCATCAGTTTACATTCAAAGGGATTCTGCTTATTTACACCAATGTGTCTCGTTCTCTTATTTCAAAATGAAAAACAGTTTTTAAAAAACCCATTAAGCTGAAAATCAAATGCTGTTAATTTTTTTAAAATCACTGTTACATGCTTGCTTCCCTGCACTCTGCTAGCCTTAGACAATAGAGGAGGGATGATACATAGTTAAAATTAATAAATATTAGAAACTCCTAAATAGCATTCATTAATTGCCAGGCACTATTTTAAGGACCTGGCGTATTATAACTCAATCCTCACACTAACCCTAAAGAGATTACTATGGTACCCGTTTACATACAGCACAGAGGTTGAGTTGTTTGCCTACAACACAGAGGTTAAGTAAGTGTCCCAAGGACAAATAGCTTATTGGTGAACCAGTGTCTACACTCTTAAATCACCATTTCACATTAACTCTCAGGAAGGCAGCATCATCAAGAAAGAGCTTTGAGTGTGAGAGATTAAAGAAATGTGGGAGATGATGAATATTAGCATTCCAGAAAATCCTAGAGAGACACATCACATCAAAATACGGCCTTTAAAACCAGTTTATGCCAGTTGCAAGTGGACATGTATATTAAGAGCCAGGAAATTAGTAATTATTATGAAAAGCTTAAGTCCAAGTTGACAGAGCTTCTTGCCACACAGCCAAGAGTACAGTCTAACATGAAATGTGCCTGGTGCTACGTTTTGCCTACTCCAGGGGGCTCTCCAGACTCCATTAATCTTTGGATTATCCTTAAATTTTCCCATGACTTGGACTTTCCTTCCTAGTTATTAAGGATTGATAACTTGGCTCCCTGTTTATCTAAAGCTGGCTTCAGTTTTTCTCATGGGTTCTACCCACTGGGAGGTCCCTATGTTTAACCCACTGTAGTCCATGGACTTTCCCTCTCCATCACAGACTTCCAGGACTCCAGCCAAGTTGCAGATCTTCAGATTTCCTTTTAGCTAAGATGAGACAAAGAATGCCACCAGATTTTCTTCTATATACAACAGAATACAAAGTGCGGGAGTGGGTGTCTCTAAAGATTCTTTCTTGCTCTAATGATGAACACTTTGTTTTTTCTTTGAGTGTGCAAATGGTTCCATAATTTAAGTTAATAGTGTTTATGACAATATGTAATAAATACCATAAAAAGTATAAGTCATTCTGGGTGTGTTAGCTCATTAAAACAAATGCTTGCTAGATTCTGTAGCAAGCTTTAGAAACATGGTGCTAACTCATGTAAATTGCCATGACAAATGTGCTTTAGGACCAATAAAGTGTGTACTGACTCATTAATAGTCAAATCCAACATCTCCCTGTTGGTTCCCAAGAAAAGTCAAGTGGAGATTGGTGGAAGAGAAATTGCTGCCTGAATTCTGCCAACCTTCAGGCATTCTGATTAGCATGTGTGATTTGGTGCCTGTCTTTTGTGACACTGTGCACTTGCTATATCACCCTTGTGTTTTTGATCCTGCAAGTTCTGGAAAAGCCTCGTAGCTCAACACATTCTTCCTGCCAGTGCCTGATGTAGAGTCTTTGGATTTATGCAGACCCCCCAGGTTCCTTCTGGCTCAAAAATAAATAAATAAAAAATAAATTAAAAAAAGCTTTAAGGGGCTCAGAAGGGGGTTTCCAGATTAAACTCCACACAGGTGTGTAGAAATGCAACCAGTCCCAATGGTAAACAAGCATATCTCCTGTCTCAGAAGCACCCAGGAACTACAGGCATAAATATGCAATAAAGATGCACTGACGGGAGGCAAGCTCATGTTTTATAATGCATTTCTGTCTTACTCAACATCTGAGATTCCAGGCACAGTCCAGATCGTGGCTGTTTGGGTTTTGCTAGGAAGAAAGCACCTTTTTTATTACTTAGTAAAAGTATGATTGGGAGTTATAGGAATGACTGTGGAAGAGGTTGGGTGTGTTGAAATATATCTGTGTTGTTCCTTTTGCTGTCAAGCTTTGCTATTTAATTTCACATTATACAAACTGCTTAAAAACAAAGGATTAAAATATTCATTCAACAGAGTCATGTGGTCCTGAAGTTCACAGGTCTCTAAACCTCAGTTGTCTGTGGAAGGTCTCTCACCTTTTATGCTTTTACAGTTTACGGAGTTGACCTTCTCTGTTGCATCCAATGTGGATGATGTGGTTATTGTCTCATATCTGTGAAGCACATTAAATTTTAATGCACACATTCATGAGATTTCTTTGATTGAATCCTCACCACTGGGAAAACACTGAGAAAGCATACTTCCCATTTTATGAGTGAGAAAAATGAGACTCAGGGTAGCTAAGAAAATTGCCCAATATCTTACAGCAAGTAAGTGACAGATATGGACACTAAATTCATTCCTTCTAATTTTAGTCTTATGCTTGACTTCCTCCATTAAAGTGAGTGGTGGGAAGAGGGAAGTTTCCTCTTTCCTTTGGTACTTCCACCTCCTGTATCCTCACCTTTTCTTAGGAGTAGATCTTGATGATCAGAATCTGTTCACATTGGCACTGGCTCATGTAACTTTGTCTTTGCGTCAGACAGATACATGCTAAACAATAGTACATAGACAGCCAACTTTGATGCCTATTGGATGCAGAATTTACCAGGTATCTGGGAGAATAAAGGATCTATAAAATTGAATTAGTCAGTCAAAATGTTTTATCAAGTGCCTATTACGTGCTAGACATCTGGTGTCTGTATTTTAGACTGTTTGGAGAAAACAGACTTTTATAAATATATTGATTCACTCATCTTTCCATTTAATCATTAATTAGCCTAAATCATTTAATTGCTAAATCATATAATATACTAGCCCCCTCCAAAAAATGATAAATAAAAGAGGAAAAGAAAAAAACCTCATCAAAGGAAACAAATAAAAACCTTCTGGGCCAAATTTATTCAAATTAAGACTAAAGATTGTCTATTTGAAAGCATATCGGCTCCATTTACGTTTTCTCCATCCCAGTAGGAATCAACTACTCACTCAAGAAATTTATATCCACGATGTAATGTTAAGTTTGTATAATGACCAGAGCTAGAATTGCCTTGATATATTGGACTGCTTTCTTTGCATGCTTTTCTCCTATATTTCATGCCAATAAGTATAACTTCCCTCCAGTATATTTCAATTTTTCTTTTCATTCCTAAAGTGCACAATCTCAGACAAACAGGAAAAGCTTTGACAGTAACTTTGAAAGGTTTTTTTTTCTTTAAATAAAAGCTTTTTAAAATTTACTGTTATTTCCAGTTCTAGCTATCAGCCTGTACTAGTATACCTATTTGATGTAATTGAATATTTAGAAAAAATAAAATATGCTTCATAAAATGCTGGTGTAAAATCAACTGTGGCAAGCCGTTAAAAAAAAAACACTCCACTAAGATTTACTAGCATGGAATTTTAAAAAATTTATTCCACTTTTTTTTAGATTTATATTTCAATTTTATGCTTTAATTTCTTATTAAGAGACTGCATAAAAATAAGTATGCAAAGGACTTAGTTAAACAAATAATGAAGACAACTGTGTGAATGCATTATCGTAAAAATGAAATATTTGCTAAAAATCTAGGAGACAAATAGGAAGAGCTAATGTTTACTGAGACCTTACTAAGAACCAGGCATAAAATACACATGCATTATTAACCCACTTACCTTTCCAAATTTTTGTTATTGTTGCTTTGTTTTGAGATGGAGTTTTGCTCTTGTCGCCCAGGCTGGGGTGCAATGGCATGATCTCAGTTCACAGCAACCTCTGCCTCCCGACAGTTCTCCTGCCTCAGGCTCCCAAGTATCTGGGATAACAGGCCCCTGTCCCCACACCCAGCTAATTTTTGTGTTTTTAGTAGAGACGGGGTTTCATCATGTTGGCCAGGCTGGTTTCAAACTCCTGACCTCAGAAGATCCACCCACATTGGCCTCCCAAAGTGCTAGGATTACAGGTGTGAGCCATCATGCCCGGCCCAACTCTTCTTTAAGAAAGGCAGCACTGTTACCTCATTTTATAGCCTGACCATTTTGGCATATGGAAATTATGGAATTCTTGCAAGGACACCGAGCTAGTCAGTGCGAGAGCAGAGATTTGGGAATTCAAAGCCAGCTTGCCTGAATCTGGCTGTTACTATTCTTATTAAGGAATCTTGGGCCTGTTGAGATTCACCAATCACCTAATTTGGAAAAGACACTTTCATTTCCCCTCCCTTTAGCTTCTTTCTTCAACAAAGAATGGAACATCTAGGGACAATTTAAAACACATTAGATACAAAACTAAGCTACTAGCTTCCTTGTATCTACAAAACTGTTGAAACAGGCTTTTCAAGAAGGAGTGAGTGAAATGTGTGAGTTGATGGGACCCTACACATGGCCATGTTTAAAGACAAATAGAATAAAATCAATTATTGGGCACAGAAGCAGCGTATCTGTGCTCAAGTTAAATTAAAGTGACAAGGGATAGTAGAAAGTAGATGAAGTTTGAGTTGAGGTACAGGTGGACTAAAAAAGTAGTGTGGAAAGATAAACAGAAAAAAGGAAAAAGGCAGGTGGGTGAAGACAACTACACATATTGAAGAAGCTGAAAACAGTGGGTTAGTGGGCGTGAGGATTATATTCCTCTAGGAAGAATTGGACTAAGGGAGAAGGTGTTAACAGATAATCTTCTAATCCCCAATAGGAACTGGACTTCAAATCACTGTGACTTGGCTTCCATTATTTGATGCAGCAGGCCACCTAAGAGCGGGTTCTCTCCTCCTGCAGCTATCATTTTAAACTTTCTAAGGAATTATTTCCTGACTTCATTATGCGGCAGGTGTGTGAGTTTCCTATTGCTCCTGTAACAAAACATCACAAAGTTTGTGGCTTAAAGCAGCATAAATTTATTGTTTCCCAGTTCTGGAGTCCAGAAGTCCAAGATCAAGGTGTTGGGAGGGCTGATTTCTTCCAGAGATTCTGAAGGAGAATCTGTTCCAGGCCTCTCTCATAGTCTCTGATCGCTGTAGATGAACAACCCTTGGTATTCCTTGGCTCGTAGATGTATCACTCCAATCTCTGACTCTGTCTTCACATGGCCTTCCTCATTGTGTCTGTATGTCTTTGTATATTCACATGACAGTATTCCTGTGTTTCTGTGTCTGTGTTCAAATTTTTCTCTTGTTAGAAGGACACTAGTCATATTAAATTAATGCACAATGTAATGACCTCATATTAATTTAATTAAATCTGCAAAAACCCTACGTCCAAAGAAGATCACCTGTACAGGTACTGCAGGTTAGGACTTCAACATATGTTTTTTGGGAGGACGCGATTTGACTCCGGACCGTAGGGTGAGATCTGATGTTTCACTACCTGCTAGTTTTTCATATTTTACTTCTGAGAAAACCAAGTCTTAGGATATTCAAACATCAGGTCTTATTGTCATGATTTGATCCCAGGCCCCAGTCCTAATGAAATTTTTCTTATTATACCATTCTGGAAAACTTCTTTTTAACTAATGCTCATGTGGTCCCCTAAAAAGCCATGGTAAAAGACGTGATTTAGGGAATGGGGCTAAGAAGGTGAGGGTTGGGGTAACAATTATTTCTATTGGTATAAATGGTACTTTACACACCTGTTACTGAGTAGACACCCAATACCTGTTTCATCAATGCAGAAAATCACACAAAGCATCAAGGACACTGATAGCAATGAAAGACTGCTTTTGATAATTCAAATATCTCACTAATAATTTTCGCACTCTCCTCCTGGTACACTGTATAGCACACTTACCTGAAAATTGGCTTCCAGATTCAATTTCTCACTAGAGGTCTGCCTTCACTTCACCACTTAATAGAAAGCTCTACAGGATGCCTTACTTTTCTGTTCTAAAGCACTATCTTTAGAACAGAAGCTATAGAATAAAAGAGATCTGGTGTCAAACCCCAGCCCATTTCCTTGCTAGCTTTGTGATCTTGGGTAATATATATTAATCTTTCTTAAACTTGGCTTCTTCATCTATAAAGTAAAGACAAAGATAGCACCTGTGAGGATTAAATGAGCAAATCTATGTAAAGTGTTAGAGAATAAAAGCTGGTCAACAGAATGTGGTATGTTATTATCATAAGTATTCCATGTACTTGGCTTGACACATTGTATGTGATTTTACATATAACGTTCATACCACTTTTTGAGGTAGGTGCTACTTTTATCCCCATTTTGTAGACAGGAACTGACACAGAGGGGCTGAGGACCTAGGTTAAGCATTCATGGCTTCAGAGGAGTAGTGAAAGGGATGGGATAGGTCGGGCTTAGGCCTGTCTGACTCTAAAGGCTTGTTTTTTAACCTCATTATCCTAATATGATGCATTATTTTAGGGAGCACAAAGAAAAGTGTTTTGGTTTAACACCAGACAGAAAACAGTCTGAATTTACCTTCACAGTGTTTGTTCAGGTATTGACTTCTCAGACACAAGTAGAATAAAAACTAATAAATAAGCAAACAAACAAACAAGCCTGCTTTTCCTTAGTAGGAAGTGAACATGGCTAGAAACCATCTGCATCTCACTCCCACCCCAACTCAATCCCTTCCGCATGACACTGTCAGGACTCTCATGGCCCCTCCTGGGTAAAACAATGGCCCTTTGGGTAACCACCAGCATGCAGGAACAGCAAAGTTCCAAATGGGATCCTGGCCAGTTTCAGTTACAAATAGATTTTAAGCAATTCACCAAAGCACAATATACAAAAAGTGACCAAAAACGTGTGGGAAAAGTAGGGTGAAGAATCACTGGCAAGTGAGTTACCAAATATGAACACAGGGGAAATATAGGAACAGTTATCCATATCCAAAAGAGGTTGACAAGCCAGGCTAGCAGGTGTTGATAAAAAGAAGGAGCTGCAGAAACAAGGAGGGACCTCTGGAGGAAACCATTTGTGAATGGCTTTGATTTAGCTCCCCTGGGGTCCCCTCTGCAGCTCTATAAAGTAGCAGACCTCACAGTTTAAAATCAGATACCAATGCGTCAAGGGCATTCACAGGAACCCCAGTTCTGATAGCCAGCTGCTATGGTCTGAATGTCCCTCAAAACATATGTGTTGGAAACTTATTCCCAATGCAACAGCATTGGGAGTTGGGTCCTAATAAGTGTTTAGGTCATGAGATCTCCTTCCTCATGAATAGATATTGCCACTATAGAAAGTGTTCATGGGAGTGGGTTCACTCTCTTCTGCTCTTCTGCCATATGAAGACATAATGTTGGTCTCTGCTTGTCTTTTTACTTGCCATGTAAGCATGCAACAAGAAGGCCCTCACCAGACACCAGACACCACAGATGCTGGTGCCTTGATCTTAGACTTTCCAGACTCCAGAACTGTGACAGATAAATCCCTTTTCTATATAAAGTTGTGCAGTCCCCAGTCATCTGTTACGGCAGACCAAAACGCACTATGACACCAGCTCTTCTATACTCACTTGTCTGACCACCTCAGAGGGACAATCAACATAAGGCCAAATGCATTTACCTTGAGGATGCTACAAAACATAAACACTACCTACTGACATAGAATGTGTGAACCTAGCTTCCCATAAGAAATTAAAGCATTTTGGTCTGCACTAAAAGCAGAATTCAATTATTATAGGAAGACTTATGATGAAGGAATAAAAAAAGAGTTATGTAATAAATGTGAGTCACAAGAGTACATTAGTGAACTTGGTTTCAATTATTCCAAGCATCAAGAGAGTTAGGGCTCTGAATTTTGTAAAAACTAGTTTATTGCGCATTTTAATTGAGGAGGTGATAAAGGCTGTAGATTTTCTGCATACTTAGTACTACTTACTTTAAAAAACTTGAAATATAAATTTGTTTATTTAATATAGGTGGATGATTTAGTCAGGAAAATATTTGAAAGGGGTTCTTTCATCTGCTTTTTCAGATTAAGGAGTTTGGTAAATCAGATGACTAAACAACTCACATCTTTAAACCCTCAATTATAATTTTTCAGTGCCATGGCAGAGATATGGATTCACCAGACTTGATGCTGTAAAAAGACAGCATATATTTCAATTTGGCTGATTGGTTTCAGAAAGTAAAGCCACTCAAGAGAAAGCTGGACATGAGGATTGAACAGATGGTGACTTGAGACTATAGCCAATTCCCATTGCTAAACTACCCTGAAGTCAATGGAATCACAGCTGTCAAAGAATTGTAGAGCTATTCAGTGGAAATGAAAACCTAATTTCAGAAACAATTCATAGATTTGATGGGCATGAATCATACCTTATGTTTTTGTGTCTGCCTTTAGGTTCCAACTCTATGGGTATATCTCAGTCATTTAGCATCTGCTCTATCTTTGAGGCTGAGTTTCCAGAAGACCTGATTCAACCAGAAGCAAAAGACAGTAGCCAAGAAGATGGCATAGCATAAGAATCTTGGAAATTGATAAAAACATCCCAGAGATATCCAACAAAATTAGTAACTATGTGAAGAGATTCTGTAATATTGGGTCTATTGGGCTCTGTGGGAAGGTATTCCCTTTGGAAATGACTGAAATGGAAATTTTGAACCACTTTCAATGATACAAGTTTGGGGTTAACATGGAGATGGTGCTTCACAGAAGACACCACATTTCAATAATTGTATTCTTATCGAATTGTTTAAAATTGGTCAGTGACTAATATTAAGCCTCTAAGAACAAAATTCATTAGGTTTATTTAGCCTGTTTTTGCATTACTGCTACAAAATCCAATAGTTTAAATAGCTAACTGAATACTTTTGATGTTAAAGAGCAAAATTTCATGAAGATTTTAGATCAAGAGAGCTACCACTGAGAAAAAACAATGCAGATTTGTGGTAAAGTCCCATGAATTTGTTGAACTGCCAAGGCTTCTGATCATCACTGCTGAAGAACTTCTAATGGTGACTTCCATCTCAGCTTTCTCATTGCCAACTATTAAGAATGTATGGATTATCCAGATGTTGCAACACAGTTGTGTTTTTGGCTTCACCACTCCCTCTGGGCTGTGATTCTGTTTTTTTTTTCTTTTATTGTTGATGTTCTTTGTTTTTAATATGAGAAAGATTTGTGTATTATACTTCAGTTTTAGTTTCCTTAATCACAGACTAGACAAAAGAAAATTGGCTTGGTTTCCTATTAGGAAACCACTTAGAAGCCATTATCAGAATCGTAGACCATCACTGTGAACTATATCCAGGTGTTGTCATGAAAGTATGACATCCTAGAGTGGAAAAGCAACCTGGGTTTCCGAGACTGTTTTACTCTTTTATCTGGAATGTTGTTTTAGCTGCTATGGCTCCAACAGGGTGAACATAGCATTTTATTTAATCTAAATATCTTTCTGCTTTTTTTTTCTAAGTTGCAAAAAGTCAATGACCACATTTCATCTCTAGCCTCTCGTGAGGTTTAAATTACACAAGGAAGAAATATTTACAATGTCAAATGCTGAAGATTGTTTGGAGTCAGAAGTGATTGTTCAGAATCTGTCTTAATGACAAGTCAGAAATTAGACAAAGAGATGAAATGCTAAGCCCCCAATGTGTTCTGAAAAGTTAAATAACCATCTTACATCAGTTGGTACGTTTTTGTAAGAGTCCAGGATGTAAAAGTGATAAATAAATTAATGAAAAGCACTTTTAAAAATCAACAAAAGACATGGCAGGAAATGGAAGAAAAGAGAAGCAAGGGATGCATTCTAATAGATATTAAGAACAAGCCAAAGTGCAGTATTTGCTCTAGGGTTTTACTGTTCATTGTGTCAAGACTCACAGATTTTAGATATTTTTTTTAATTGGGAAAGTAAATGAGGCAGGTAGATAAGTAGAAAAAGTTGTGTGAAACTCATCAGTACTGAAAATAAATAGTTGTACTTCTCTGTGGTTGTAGTTAAACTTATTCAAAGCTCAGTGTCCTAGTGGAAGAGTGGAAATGAACCTCACATAGTTGTTCAACTGTCCTATGAGTAGGCAAAAATTTCCACACATCATGTTTATTGATCATGATTTTTCTTTTCTTGGACTGTTATTTTAAGATCAGTACACACTTTACCTCATACCTCTACAAGAAAGTGTAGGATCTCATGGTCCTGTGTATGTGCTCTATAAAGTACATGATGAAGGAACCTTGTCTGTCTTTTGCTACACAGCCCAACATAGAATAGAACCTGACACAATGGAGTCACAAAAAGCATGTGTCAAATGAATGAATAAAGAATCAGCACGCACCATTGTGGAAGACAGTGTGGCGATTCCTCAGGGATCTAGAACTAGAAATACCATTTGACCCAGCCATCCCATTACTGGGTATATACCCAAAGGATTATAAATCATGCTGCTATAAAGACACATGCACATGTATGTTTATTGCGGCACTATTCACAATAGCAAAGACTTGGAACCAACCCAAATGTCCAACAATGATAGACTGGATTAAGAAAATGTGGCACATATACACCATAGAATACTATGTAGCCATAAAAAATGATGAGTTCATGTCCTTTGTAGGGACATGGATGAAGCTGGAAACCATCATTCTCAGCAAACTATCGCAAGGACAAAAAACCAAACACCGCATGTTCTCACTCATAGGTGGGAATTGAACAATAAGAACACTTGGACACAGGAAGGGGAACATCACACACCAGGGCCTGTTGTGGGGTGGGGAATGGGGGAGGGATAGTATTAGGAGATATACCTTATGTAAATGACGAGTTAATGGGTGCAGCACACCAACATGGCCCATGTATACCTATGTAACAAACCTGCACGTTGTGCACATGTACCCTAGAACTTAAAAGTATAATAAAAAATATATATTAAAAAAAATAAAAAATAAAAAATAGAAAAAGGATCAACTCACTTTATTCTATTTTTTTCTAACTTTTTATCCTTCTCTTCTGTTTTTCTACTTACTAGTATTTTATCTTACTTGTTTTATATGTAATTTTGAAATCCACCTCAAATCAAAAGGACACGGAAGGAAATTTCAGATTTCAGGTAGCTGTAAGTAATACTCCCAAGAACCATTGAGGGTAAGATGCAGGAGAAAGTCTGGGGTAGAATATGACTTTAGATTTATAAGCAAATAGACTTGCTTATATTTTACCCCCAAATTACACAGACTTATAAACCTAGCCATTGACACAGATAGGTAGCCACAGGCTCCTCCTGGAAAGAGCTGAGCTAATCCTTTTTAATTACTTCTCACATGTTCACCTCTTAGATAAACTACTTCTCTTCTGCTGGTGTAATGGCTAATTTTATGTGTCAACTTGACTGGGCTAATGGATGCCCAGAAAGCTGATGAAACATTATTTCTGGGTACATCTGTGCAGGTGTTTCTGGAAAATGTTAGCATTTGAATCAGTAGACTGAGTTAAAAAGATCACCCTCCCCAGTGTGGGTGGGCATCATTCAATTTCTTGAGGGCCTAAATATCATAAATTCACTCTCTCTCTCTGAGTTGGGATATCTATCTTCTCCTCTCACACCTCAGTGCTCCCGGTTCTTGGGCCTTCAGACTCAGACTGAATTATACCACTGGCTTTCATGTTTCCTCAACTTGCAGATAGCCGATCATGGAATTCTTAGCCTCCATAATCTTGCAAGTCAATTCCTATAATAAATCTTCTCTTACAGTTATATTTAATAAAATATTCTCTTATAGATATATGTGGAGTACTAATAACAAAAAGGATTCAGGCTCGTGGGAGCACAGGAAAGCAAAAAGAAAAAGGAGATAAGATATAAATCTGCCTTTTTCATTGTCCAGGACTCAGAGCCCTCCTGCACAACTAACTCACAATCATCCTGCACCTGACTTATCACGAGACCCTCAGCTGATAGAGAAATACAAGTTGGCTCACTGCAACTTTGACATTATCAGTACTGCATGTAGCCCTCTCCAGCACAAGCACCATCCTATAAAATTCCCAGCAAGCCTTTGTCTCCTTGCAGTCAGCTCCTCTCTTTCCTCTCTTGCTTGCCTGCCCCTTGCATCCTTGCAACGTATTTTCTATATTTTTTTATTTTTATTTTTGAGATAGAGTCTTGCTCTGTCCCCCAGGCTGTAGTGCAATGGCGTGATCTTGTCTCACTGCAACCTTCGCCTCCTGGGTCCAAGCGATTCTCCTACCTCAGCCTCCCAAGTAACTGGACTTACAGTTGCCCACCACCACACCTGGTCAAATTTTGTGTGTGTATTTTTTTTTTTTTTTTTTTTTTCAGTAGAGACGCAGCTTCACCATGTTGACCAGGCCAGCCTTGGACTCCTGACCTCACGTGATCTGGCCACCTTGGCCTCCCAAAGTGCTGGGATTACAGATGTGAGCCATCATGCCTGGCCCTTGTAATGTATTTTCATAATTTCTCCAAAAAAAAAAAATCTGTCTTTTTTTTTTTTTTTACCTACAACTGTCTGGTAAATTCCTTTACTGCCCATGCCACAGGCTCCAGCTTGTTGCTACCTATGATAATATATTTATAAGAGAAAGCTATGTTTCTCTGGAGAAGCTTAAAGAAGGTTATTTTTCTCTAGAGAACCCTGATGAATATACCTGGGAAGCAGTGAGAGCTAAAAGAGGTCAACCCTCTTTGTCTAGTATAAGTCCCTTCTTTTGGAAACCAAAGCTTTCAGGGGAGTGAAAATTCTTCCAAAACAGGTATACAGAAAGAAATCGAGGAAGAGAGGGAAGAAAGAAAATATTCCAGAAAATAAAAAGACAAAATCAAGTAGTGATCTGATTATTCCATCAAGGTAGCTAGCATAAATGGCAAGCCTCTGGCCCTTCCCTCATTCCATTTCAGCAACTTCTTTCTTTCTCACATGGACTTTGGGTTTCTGTGCCAGTGTCTTTATATTCTTTCCCTCTTCCTGGGACAAGTGACATTTAAAAATTATACCTGAAACTGACAAGGATATCAAGTCTATCATTTGCAGTTCAAACAGTCATTATTCCAGTATAGATATAATTACTAAACAGCTTCAACATTCATTATTCCAATATAGACATAATTACTAAACAGCTTCAAGGCCATCAAGGTCGGAGAAAATCTATGGCTATCACTGAGAATCTATTCTTGCGCACAAGCAAATTCTAAAACCTTTTTCTTTCTTTCAGATGCTTAAGGTGGGAAGAGAAGCTGGAAACCTAGAATTATTTCAACTCAATCACCAGCCATTCACTGACTTTTTACCATGTATAAATCCTGATCAACCTCAAAAAGAGTAATATTAAGTTTGATTCTTACACTTTTTAAAAAAAATATATCCAAGATACAACTATCAAAAGATGGCCCAGAATCAACTGCCAGATTAACTATATGGCCCATAGATAATGATAGAGGAGGGAACTTAAAAAACTACTTTCTTGTGCAAAAATTATACCTGTCACAAAATAAAGATAAAGTGGAGCACTAGAATTTATGAGGCATTAAAATAGCTCATTATTTTCTACAGCCTAAAAGTTTTTTTTTTTTATTTTTTCTGAAAGATAAAAGAAAGTGAACATGTAAGGGTTAATCAAGAACCTGAACAAACATTCAACAGACAGTATTCTTTATAAACTTCAAAGTTCATAAGAATATGTTTTTGCTAAGTAGTAAGGGGAGAAAATAAGAATTCAGTTAAACAAAGAATAAAGATAGCTGCAAGTTAGGAGTAAACATACCAGAGGATACGAGAGTATTAAGCTTCTTCAAATTTTGCTTCCAAGGTTTTCATTTTTCTGAAAATATAAATGAAGTTCAAGTAAATTAATATTTTTACCATGTTAATATTACTTTTCTTTTTAAAAGCTGATATTGAGTACTGAATTCTCTGAGATCTAGCAGTCCACACCTGGAAATTAGTTACTACTTAAAGCAAGAACTAATGGCTCCTAGGAGAAAATGCAGATGATAATGTCAACCTACCTCTAGAGGGCTTACTACAAATCGAATCTAGTTGAAGACATACCAGACATCACTCCAGGAAGCACTTGTTTTTAAAGGTGGTATACAGGTATTAAAAAGACTTTTGTTTGGAGAGACTCATGCCTGACTTGCTTTTCCAAATGACAAATGAGTCTTCACTGATCTTCAGGCATAATTTGGTATTTCCAAGTCTTTTTTTTTCTTTCTTTTTGAAAAAATACCAATTGGGAACTAGGTATTTCCAAATCTTAACTGGGGTTATTTACCATCTCTGGTGCCACCCAAGCTGTGAGCTCCTTGTGTGCGCATTGTGCCCAGCAGCAGACACAAAGTCTGGCATAGAAGCAGGCGACGAGGAAATGTGTGCTGCTTTGAATTGATCCTCTCTTTTAGTTCCAATGATGTTTAGAAAATCTCAGTACAGGATGAAGCTGACAATAATAAAAATGCATTTGACATTTTTTTGTAGTTTATAATAATTAACACACACTTTCAAGCACATTATCTTAATGAAACCTTAAAACATCAGTGAGTGAGGCTTTATTATTATTTACATTGATGAGATGACTGAATCTAAGGGACTTAATGTAATAAAGTAGAGATTCAAATTTAGTTCTTTTGATTTTAATCTCAATGACCTTTTCATTGACTCATTGCTGCTTCTGATTATACAGGTAAGAAAGTGAAAAATCAGTAACTTTTTAATAGTTTTCCCTCAGTGTGTAGAATTGTAGAACCTGAGACAGGGAAAAGCCATCGTGATTGCAGCTAATTAGTCAAAACATTGACTTATGAAGGGAATTGGGGGGTGAGGCCTTAATGTATCAGCTCCTGGAGAGCTCCTTAAGCCAAAGTGTTAAACTAATCAGGTGCCAGGAAGAGAGATCAGACCCAAAAAGGAAAGCCATCTTCTTGGCTGACAAACTAAGGGAGGTAAAAAGACCACTAGGATGGTACCCAAGACACAGGATGAACCACGTTAGAGCTGAGCATAGAGTTTGACATGAGAAACCATCATGGAGAAGCACAAGAGGAAGTGAACAAGATGGGATCTGGTAGACATGGAGTTGGCTCCAATTGACTGGGTCTAACTGCAGAGGTCTAGTTTATTCCACACATGCTGTTTCCATCTTGGTGCACTGCTCAAGACTTGACATCACTCTCATTCAAATGAGATGGGAGGAGAAAGAGGGAATATAAATTATTAACCTAAAAAATGGTCCATTTTCTTTCTACTCATCAGCAGATGCATGGCAGTTAACCTGGGAATCACGCCCTAGTAAATGTATGCTTTGATAAATGACCTATCTTCCTATTTAGAAATAAGAATAGGTTGGTGGGGCTATGTACTGTTTTCCAGAGAAACAGAACCAATAGGATGTGTGTGTGTGTTTGTTTATTTATATATATATAAATATATTTATTATAAGGAATGGAGGAATGGACTTACACAATTAAAGAGGCTAAGACCTAGTAAAGCTGATGATGTAGTTTCAGTCTGAGCCTGAGTCTGAAGGCAGGAGATGACCAATACCCCAGGTCAAAGAAGTGAGGCCTTTTATTCTATTTAAGTCTTCAACATATTGGAGGAGGCCAACTCCCATTGAGAAGGGCAATCTACTTTACTCAAGTCTGCTGATTTGAATGGTAATCTCATCCAGAAACACCCACAGACATATCCAGAAATAATCTTTAACCAATGTCTGGGCACTTCGTGGCTTAGTCAAGTTGACACATAAAATTAACCATCGCAAGCTGTTTCTAGACAAAGCAGTGAGGGTGGTATTAAAGGCTGAAATGGATGAATGGTCACAGAGAAGAGAGGATGAAGCCCTGAAGGTGGGTGCCGGTATCTTGCAATTTTGCACTGGGGTTAGAGCTGGTGCTGAGAGCATTGGGAGGGCAATAAAACAGTGGTTAAGAGCATGGATTGCCTGGGTTTGACTCTTGTTTCTAACACTCACAAGCTGCATGTTTTGAAAACTTTTTGTAATCAAATTTTTTCTTTTTTTTTTTTTTTGTAAAGTTGTGATAATGTAGTACCTGCCTCCTGGGTTGTAAGTTTTAAAATATTTAAATAATATATATGATTCACTCAGAGCAGTAAATCCCCAATAAATTTTGAATTTTTTATGGTAGAAGGATTTGGGGAGATAAGGTAATCTGGGAAAGTGTAGTAACTTGCATCAGTATAAAACTAGATTGAATATCACATCTCTTAGGGCAGGCGTATTTCTTCAGGGGATACTGGAAAAGTCTAAACTACAAAATACATGAGTGAATCTTTGACTCACATCACTTGTTTACCTCTTCAACTTACTGTTACAAAGGAAGGAAGGTACCTGTTCTAATTTATCTATTAATTCAACAAATAGCTATTGAGAATCGACCCTATGCCATGGGATGTTCCAGGCATCAAGATACAGCAAGTTCCTGCCCACAGGGACTGTCCATTCCAGTAGGATTCACTTTAGTGGTTGTTAATGTTTATCTCTGTGCTTCCTGGCTGTTGTGCTTCTTTCAAAGATGATTAAGAGGTAGAAATCCAGGCTAGGTAAGAACCCGGCAGAGGTGACAAGAAAATGGTTAATCCATTTCATTTGCTTTCTGCCTAGGTGGAAAGATCTTAGGCCTTTCCACACACTCGTTCCTTTGGACATTTTTCTTTTTTGAAAAGCTGAGCTCCATTCTGGTTCTGACTACACATCCAGAAACCAGCGGGGATGGATACCTGAGGAGAACAAGTACGCTCCACCAGTGAGCTGAGTCCTACCTTCTCTCAGTTGGAGGTCACTTACAGTAGGGCTGTGTCCTATGCTTTGTTTCTGGTGTCCTGCCTTGAGAGCCCCCAACTAGTCATAACATAAAATGGGACAATGCCTCCTTTGTTCCCATCAAATCTGTCCACTCCAACCCAGCTGTGCTCTTCTAGAATAACTGTCTCCTTGGGCTCCTTATGGGACATCAGCAGAGTGTTCTATTCTTCAATAATAATGTCTTTCTCCAAAGGTTTTTGCCTTTCTTATTTTCTTGCTATATGCCATGCCTGGCACATTAGCAAAGACCTAATAAATGTTTGTCAAATGAATTTGAGTGGTGTTCAAGATGATCTTAGAAGGTATGTGGTAAACAACTTACATTTCCATATATTAACTTTAATGCTGTAGGAAAGATATATAACTGGATTCAATAGATTAATGTCTTTTTAAAGACACTGAACATACAAACTGAAATTATTAATATATATATGTTCATCTGTAATGATTGCAAAGTTTTCTTCTCTAGCATAGTAAAATCCAATAAATCTGTTACTATTAAACATTAAAAATGTTTAACTACTATATAAAAACTTCAGGTAACTTTATGGTAGCTACATCTTTTTAAACATATTATTTATTTCAAATAATTTAATGAAAATGGAATTTTAAGGAAATAAATAAAGACATTTACAGTGGTATGAAACTGACCAAAGTTTGGGAAACATTGACCCAGTGGCTAATCACACAACCTCTGTAGTTTACCTGGCTGGGTTTTAATCCTGGCTCTGACATAAACCAATTGAATGGCCTTGGGAAAGGGTTTGGCTCCTCTAGGCCTCAGTTTCCTCATTTTAAAATGGGGCTAAAACAGTACCTACCCCATAGAGTTGTCGTGATGAGTAAATGAAATACATAATCCATGCAAAATGCTAAACCCTCTGGCAATCAATTGTGACTTTTCAGTAAATGGCAATTATTACTAATCATTGCTCTAATAACATAAGTAACATCTTCTCAACTCCTACTTGGTGTTCTAAATGCCATTGAATGGAAGGCTCAGGCTGCTGTTTCATTCTCAAGGACTTGCACAGGAGTTGTGGTAGGCCTGGATGTGGAGGTGGATCCCAACAAGACACATGCTTACAGGAAGGGGAGGTCATAGACTCAGAAGAAACCAAGAGAAACTGAGGTCTGGGCAGAGGTCCCAAGGTTTAGCTAATGAGCACATCTCCTAGGCTGTTGAGTGGGAAGACTGGAACCTCTTCTGAGACCCCCACAACTACTTTACTTCAGTAATTTATTTCAATTGGTACACTTGATCCCTTAAGAAAAAATGACCCTGCTTTCCTGAATGTTAAGTAGATGAGAGTTCGGTCCATATTCAATGCTAAGAAGCAGAAATTTTGCAGAGCAATAAAGAGAACACACACATAAATAAGATGAAATTTTGTTTAACCATAAAACCTGCAGTTGGTTAGTCATTACATCGTAATCTAACCTGATCTAAACAAGGCAGCGCACAGATGCCTTATAAGCTTTTTCTCTTCTACAAATATCTCATTACCATCCATAGGAGCAGTTAAAAAAATATATAGATATTTTGTTTTTATTGCCTTTATTTCTGAAACATAAAAGGTTTTATGTTTCTAATTCCTAGACAATTTTTCATGATATTTCTGTTTATCTTGCATTCTATTTTCAAACCCTGTTTGGGAAAAAAAAATCAGTGATTTCGGGAAAGTCTAAAGTGTTTTTCAATTATAATGAGGGAATTCTGGAACTCGAGTTCTTTGCTGACTCTGATCTTAGACAACTACTTTGCTCAACAGGAGTTAGTCTACTTGGGATTTTAGTCTCCTGGTTCCTTTAAAATTCTCTCTGGTTGCTCTTATTTCCTTTTGTTTCATTATTGCTTATTGCACTGAGTTTTAATAAAGTTTACTTAGACTGGTTTTGGTAGCAATAAAGCCTTATTTAGTTGAAAGTTTTCCAACATAAGAGTTTTATTTTGCAGAAAAATAACATCCCTGCAGTCGTGCTTCTAATGATCATCACACAGATTTGAACAAAAGACTCTGAGACATAAAAACAGCAGAGGCAAACTTCATGCACATCCATCCGTAGGCAGTGTGACTTTGTCTCACAGGCCCTCACACTTAGAAGGGTTATTGCTTAGTTTAATGCTCTGCTGTCCCTGTTTTGAAATTCTTAATGATTTTTTCACGATCCCTTATGAAGCCATGGGCTGCCCCAACCCCAAGCTTGTTGCCACATGATGCTCCACCTGCTTGGAAGGTCACCATTTACATTTTCCCTTCCTGATAAACTCCTCACAGGTCATGGGTAACTCTCTGTAAAACTTTATCTCCCTTCTTAAGGCCAAGTTTGTTTCTCCACATATCCGTGTTCCCGTGACAACTCTTGCATCCCTCTAGAGGTGCACTGTTTATTCTGTACCATATGTGCACACATGACTGCTATCTGTCCCAAGTATGAACTCTAAGCCAAAGAGTAGGCCTGCATTTATCTTTGTGTTTCTCTGGAATAGTGCGTGCTTCTTGGTAGGATTTCTTAAATGTACCATAATGAGAAAAGTTTCAATAAGCATGCACACTCAGCTCCAGCAAGACGAAGCTTCTTCTTGCCCTTGGTACACTTCTGTCTCTGCAGGAGCTATAATTCTCTGTTTTTTTTTTTGTTTTGTTTTTTTGTTTTAATAAATGTGGAACTCTTACTCTTCTTTTAACAGACAACTAAAAGGTCCTTTTTCTGAGAAGTTTTCTTTGAATGCAAAAGAAAGAAGGAATCACTTCCTCCTGTGTGGTCTCTCTGCACTTACCCCATTGTATTTTGAGTATTTGAAAATGTCTATTTCCCCCACTTGACTGAGAGATCCTTGAAGCTCATGTTTTATTCATCTTTGTATCCCAAGCTCTGGCACGGTACCCAGCACAAAAAAGCAGAATGAAACAAGCAAGCAGGAAAATGCAAAGGCAAAGAAACAAATCACACGGTTGCATAATCCCAAGATAATGATGTGATAGATGAAAATTCCAACTGAGCAATTCAGTTTTATTATCTGACATGTCATGAGTTGCTAAGTACCTTTTTCTTTATACTCCATCAGTTGAAAGAGAAATGGGGTCCTCTAAGCTAGTTGATTGTTAGCACAAACTAGAATTTGCTGGCCATACTAGTTTCATGAGTCCAGCTAGATAAGAATCCACATCTTTTGCCAAGTACAAAAGAGAAGTCTTATACTTTAAGGTAAACATATGGTTTCCTTAAAGGCTTACAGGCATACTGATTGCTATAGCTAACAAAATAAACAACAACAACAAATCAATCTTACTCTCTCCCCAGTGTGATTTCCAAACCCAACTGTTCACAGACCTTCTTTTTTTGCAACTTCTTTTCCTTCAGCTCATCTAGGTAAGTTAGTTTGCCCTGGGATGCTCCCTTTAATCCTAGCTGATGCCATGTATGCAGCCCAAAGATTCTTCAGGCATCTACCTTTTTACATGGTGAAAACAAGAAAAATTGTTCTCTGTAGTCTTGGGTCCTGTTTTGTGATTTCATTTCCCATTTCACGCCATCACTTCTCCCAGTGGATTTACGTGACTTTAAGCTTCAGTGGCACTCAGAGGTGAATTAGAATCTGACATGAAATGCCCAGTGGATCCCTACTCTTGTGTTCCCCATGCACTGTCACCTCACTACATGTGACTCCCTTCCTTTGTCCTAGGTTCCTCCTCTTAAAGAAAAGTTGATTAGCCCAGAGCTCACCAAGCTATGTTTCAGAAGTTAGCATCTAAAAGCTCAGCTTTAGAATTGGCTGTGGCAGGTGCTGGGTAAAAATGGAGATCCGCAGCATTATTTCAGACCAATGGACCGAGAATCTCTAGCACTGGGGCCCTGGAATATCCACCTCTAATAATCTCCAGGCAGATCTCTGTGCAGTGCTATCTAGGAGCCACTAAACAGGAATATCTCTAAATCTTTACATCTCTGCTACAAAGTTCTCTCTGACATGTGAACTGAATTCATTGATAAAATGATGTACAGGTCTCCATGTAGGAGCCCCGCTATTCATATTATTGTTTTGCATTTTACAATTCATACTGCTATCGTATAGATCACATTATTTTAAATATTTTGATCTTTGTGACAATCTTGAGAAGAAGAGAGGAAGGTCTAGACTCATCAGTCACTCTTGTAGAAAAATAAAGCCTTTGGGAGATTGAGCAATTTGATCAAAATCACACGGATCTAAGTTCAAACTCCAAGATCTTAATACAGTTGAAAGAGTGGATTGTAAGGGATCCAAGAAGAGGAAGTTCCATTGAACAAAAGAGTCTTGGAAGAATTGTATTTCATTTTCAGGCTGCCTCCCTGTCCACTGGTAGAGGAAGGTAGCAGCAAGGTTTGCCTCTGTGTGAGGGTTTGGGTGGTTTGCCAACACATGGGTACGGAATCCAAATGAACACATACTTCATGCTCCAGGTATGTCTGAAAAATTAATACTAAAGACTGGTTGTGGATTGGTAAGTTCATATGTGCCAGGCCTTGGGTTAGGTGGTATGGGTACAGAGCTAAGGCCTCACAGCCAGGATTGTAATGCTTCTCAAACTGTGGCCTTTGCCCATGTGCATGAAAAATGCTGATTCTTAGGTACTACCCTGACTGTAGAATATCTCGGAATGTTTCCCAAGAAATTGCATTTTCTATAACTCCATCTAGTGAGTCTATAACCTCTGTTACAGTGCGGAAAACAGAATATTATTAAAAATATCTGAAGCATTCACTCATTCATCAAATATTTTTTGAGCATTTATTATGTGCCAAGCCCTGTCCTGGAGGACATCAAGGAATAAAACAATAAAAAAGTATTTTTTTTTTGCAGCTTACCTTTTCCTTGTGAAAGAAAGAGGAACAACATCAAATAATTAATAAAGAATAAAATATGTAATAATAATAAGTAAAATAAGTTCTACAGTATGTTAACAGTAAATAGGACAAGGAAAATAAAACAGAGAAAGAAGATAAAGGGGGCGGTGGTACAAAATTCGGTTTGAAATTTTAAATTGGGTTGCCTGCATGTGTTTTGTTGGGTTATTTGAGCAAATTCTGCAAAAAGTGAAGGACTGTTCCTGTAGATACCCAGGAGATGGCTAGAAGGGACAGCTGGTGTAAAGGTATAACACCAGACCTCACTGTGAATTCAGAAGCATCACTTCATTAACTTCCCCCAATAATGCTATTTGGTAGGCACTCCCATTTCCATCCTCCAGGTAAGAAAACTGAGCTTGGGAAAGCTGAAACTTTTGCTCCATGCTATTCCACTGAAAAACCAGGTTAGAACAAAACAAATAATGCTTTCCCCAATTCACAATTTTGTGTGTGTGTGTGTGTGTGTTTGGTGATGGTTGAGGGGTCGGATGTTATTTATATTAAAAGGTTGAAGTCATTTCATTTTAAAAATTCAGAAGATGGAAACCCATTCTCTGTTAACGGGTGCCAACTAATTCCAATAATGATCCTTTACAAGCCTCTGCTTGCTACAGAGTGTTAACTGTTTAGTAGCAGTTGTTTTTAAACAGCCCATAACATTGCCATTACATGAATTATACATGGCTTATAAAATGATTATTTATTCAGTGGAAAATTAAATTCGTCAGTGTTTTCCAAATCTGAGCTAGGACATTCATCAGAAAAACTGTTAAATTTTTAATCAACTGTACTATGGTTGATGTAGCTATCAGCCTAAATTGCTCTTTCTCTGTCATTCCCCTTGTTGCAGAATATAGTGTAGAATTACCAGCTCTACAATGCTAATTGATTTTTTTCTTGCAAAGATTTAAGACACAGCAGCATCCCATCTAACACTAAAATAAAAAAGTTGCATGAGCTTCAAGGCACATTTCACATACAATGAGTGGCAATTTAATATTTTAGGGTTTTAAAAAATGTCTTCCCTCTGATCTAATGCTTCAGACTGGAGCCCACCTCACTCTGATTTCACACTGAAAATATTCAGACCCAAACATTAAAATTAGGAAATTATATAATGTGTTAAAAGATGGTAAGTTTAATGAAAAAAAATATTGTATAGAGGGGGTTTCTACCTGTACATCAATAACACAGCATAATGAAAGAGTGGATTCCCCAGGTGCACAAGAGTGACTCAAACTCCATGTGAATAGTTAACTCACTGGGTATTTCCTGCAGACATTCAGTGATTTAGACATTTCTCACTTTCTTTATATATCTATTCTGTTCAGTGTACAATCTTCTGAGACAACGAGGGAAAATCTTATACTTTTCTTCAAGGAAATTCATTTATTTGTTAGTATAGCCTTTTAAACTTAAGTTTGCATCTCTTTAACCAAGTATGTTTTCAGGTGGACACAGGCAGGGAACACAGGCAGGGACACAGGCCTGAGAACACTTCTTGACCCACATCTCTGTGTCACTAGCACAGCTGGTAAGGGGAATAAAAAATCCATCGTCTATCTTTGCCCCGACACACCACAGCTCATCCCCCTACAGCACACTGTGGGTTTCTGCACATTTCCAACCCATTCTGGATTTCTCAGGCAGGATTTACCATTAGCAAGGACAGGCTTATCTAGACTGGTGTTTTTCACACTCAGACATGCACGCAACTCATCTGAGAAATCTTATTAAAATGTAGATTCTGGTTTAATTGTTCCAGAGTCCAGCCTGAGATTCTGCATTTCTAATGTACTCCTAGCTTATGCCAATGTTGCTGTTTGGTGAGCCACATTTTGAGGAGCAAGGATCTTCAACAAACTTCTGGAATGGAGCTATTGATGATGGTATCAGTCCTGGGACCACAGACTAGGTTTAGATTACTATTGCATACATGGGATAGATATTGATTCCATGAGGTATGTTTCAGTATGGATTCCAGTAGACTGAGCAAGTGCCCAGAATGGGCCCTGAGAGAGGGTGTTAGGGTGAGGTTGGGGTGGGGATAGGTAAGCGAAATTAGAGACTTCTGCACTCTCTTCTTGATGGGGCTCTGACTGAGCTCAGGAAGAAAGGCAGAACTGATTATCATTACTGCTTTTCCTTCCCATGTACTCTGGTTTGGGGCCCCATCCACCTGGAGGAAGCAGTGCCTTTTGCTTATTAGCACAGTGAGAGACATCCTATGGGAAGGAGATGCACCTGCTCCAGGCCCCTCACTGTCTGCTCCTGACTTTTTAGACCCCACCACAATCTGGAGATAAACTGTTACTGTTTCCTACACACACTGTGTACTTAAGAGATGTCTGTACATTTGCAATCACTGTCCCCTCTAACTAAAGCACCCTTCATCTTTTCTCTGCCTGATGAAATCCTATTGAACTTTCTAGAAAGATCTCAAATGAGAGGCACATCCTGTTCCCTTCCTGGACACTGCCCACCCAGGCAGAAGTAACACTCCTACTGCCCCGGTGTTACCGTGGCAGCCCAGTTATGGTTCTTCCTGCTTCTGTACTCAGTCCTTCCCCATCTTGTAATCAATTCTGAATCCTAAAACTCGTAAATAATATAAAACTCCTCCACTTAACATCTCTACCCTGCCAGTGGCCACTCAAATACCTTCATAAAAGCCAAACTCACAGCCAGGTATAGTGGATCCTGCCTGTAATTCCAGCACTTAGGGAGGCCAAGGTGGGTGGATCTCCTGAGGTCTCAAGTTCGAGACCAGCATGGACAACATGATGAAACCCTGTCTTTACTAAAAAAAAATACAAAAAAATAGCAAGGTGTGGTGTTGGGCACCTGTAATCACAGCTACTTGGGAGGCTGAAGCAGAAGAATCACTTGAACATGGGAGGCGGAGGTTGCAGTGAGCCAAGATCATGCTACTGCACTCCAGCCTGAGCAACAAGAGTGAAACTCCATCTCAAAAAAAAAAAAAAAAAAAAAAAAAAAGCCAATCTCCCTATCCTGGTCTACAGCGCCCACGCAACATGGCCCTGCCTGATTTGGGGATTTCTTTCCCTACTGTATTCCCCTTCCTCACCCAGGCTCTGGTCCCACCAGCCTTCCACCTGAACCTGGAAGCAGATTAGCTTGTTTCACTTAAGCCGTGAGCTGTTTCCTCTGCCTAGAATGTTCTTCCCAAAGAGCCTCACTTGCCAGACCTCTTCTCATTCCGGTCTCAGCTCATTCCTCCAAACTGAAAGTCCAAGCAGCCACAGGGCTCTCTCCATGTATTGTCCCATCTCGCCAGCTTCATTATTACCTGCCATTTTCTTCTTTATCATATGTCCTCTTCTACCATAATTACTAGTCCAGAGAGAGAGACAGAGACAGAGACAGACAGAAACAAAAAAAATGCTGCCTCCTCTGTGGAATGCTATGTTCCCAGAGCCTAAAGCCAGGTGTGGCATTTGGAAGGCTTCTTGTAATATTGGTTGGATAGATGAATATTGAAAGAATTTAACAAAATGATCCTCCCTTTAGAGAAACAGATCTGGGATAGAGAGCCAGTTCTGTCACTTACTAGCTATTTACCTTCCCTAAGCCTCAGTTTTCTCATTTGTAAGATGGGAATAATAAATCCCACTATCTGGAGCTGTTTCTGAGAAACAAAATCAGATAATGCACATAACATGTTTAGCACAGCATGCTCTAAGGAGCAAGCTCAGTAAATAGACCTGTGATTTTCATTATCATTATCCACTCCTTTATTTACACATGAGGGGCAGTGGGCGTTGAGAGGAGGTGGAAAGAGTGGGTTGTGAGGGCTCATGCCTAGGAGCCAACATGGGAAACATGGCCTTCTCCCAGGCTGCAGGAGATATCACAAATCAGAGAATGTTATTTAGAGAATCAGCTGAAAGTTACTAGTTATCTGATTAATGGCAATCCCACAAAGGGCTTCTATTCCAGGATGGTGGGTTTAAGTGTATCTGGACTCAAGGGGAAGATTCTAACCTGCTGCTCTCTGAATGGTGAGATATTTAAAATGGGATGTGTGGATTGGGGAGGTAATTATGTGTGTGGCAAACATATGGCAGAGGCTATATTTCTCCTGCTGAAAGAAACAAGTCCAAATATGTAACACACACACATTTTCTCTCCTATAAATACACAGATTGGAGGATGCCGTGGCAACATTTTGTTAAGTACCACAGTCCCAGAGAAATCACTGGAAGCATGTTATCGGAGGAACAGATGGTTGGTGTCCCTCCTGGTCTAAAGGTATTTCTGGCTGTCATGTGGGTATTCTATAAATAAACCCCACTGAGAGGCAATGGAAGATAAGCAATCAGCTGCACACTCCAACTTTACAAAAAAAAAAAAGTACTGGAAAAAAATTAAAGGCCGACTAGTTTTAAGATGATTCTAGCATCGAACATTAGGGCTAGAAAGGGTCTTGGAAAACCATCAAGACAATCTGCTCCTTCTAGGTGATACCTCATTTGATTAGGTTCAATTTGACTTTTAAAGACCTTCAGAGGCTGACACCAAAATTCAATCATGACATCTGTAGAATTGTTCAAACACATTGTGTGGATTCTGCCCATCTGGATCCTAATTCCTTTAGCTGCTTCCTCCCATTGCCCCCCTCAACTCTGGACTTGTTCCTGTTCTGGGTTCGAATTTCAGGTAACCCAAAGTCAGTGTTTCTGATGATCCTTCTCTGACCTCAGGAGGGGACCCACGAAGAGAGATGATGTTAACTCAGTGACAACTAACCCCCTGGTCGATTTGTATGCAATATGCTTCTTATTTTTTTCCCTCACAACTGTACTATGAGGCATGTTTTATTATTCTGATATTATGGATGAGGACTTGAAGTTCAAGATATTTGCTGTTCAACCAAGATCACACAGCTAGTCATTGGAAATGAGATGGGGGCTGTGCCCCAGGTTCTCTACCTCCTTGTCACTGCATCAGAGCTGTGCAACATTCTTATCCTTTCTAATTTCTGATGCTTTATTGCTCCATAGAAGGCTTCTTCCTGAAACTGAAGGGACAGATATTTATTCTCTAAAGCACAACATGAAACTTGCCCATACGTGAACAAGGAACTGCTGTAGAATGAGAATCTCTATGTCTTTCCATTTATTCATCTACTTATTCATTTACTCATTCATTCATTTTTAAAAATTTTCAATAGGACAATGAGAATGAAGGACCTATTGGATACTTGCTGAAGTCAGAAACCTCTTCCCATCATGTCCCTATTACTAACTATGTCTACTCCTATTTACTTATTTCAGCTTTCTGAACCATAGTTTCCAGGTCTGTAAAAAAGTAGGAAAATCACCTGCCTGAGAGGGTGGTTGTGATGATGACAAAGGACTGTCTGTGAAGTGCTTAGTGAAATGCCAGGCTCTTCAGTCAACATCAATACTCCTTCCCTTTGGGTGAAGAATAAAGTAGAGTGAGGGCTCTTCTCATACTTGCCACGACAGCTCCTTCAATATGGGAAAAAAGTGTGTCTTTTCTCCAAATTCCTGGAGACATTTTTTATAGTTTAAGCACTGTTGCTAATTCATTTATGTATGCTCAGAACCTAGAATGGAAATGGAGCTTGTCCAAAGGAAACGCATAATAGGTCTTTGTCAAACACTCATATTGAAAATGGAACCTAAAAACAAAATAACTATGTTTGAAAACAATTATACTCATTTTACTTCTTACAAAATAGACTTTTCTTCACACCTGAGAAATAGCTACTTTCAAAGTGAAACTTTCATATCAGATTTTTAGCTTGTGATGGAAATAGTCTCAGAAATTTCTGAAGAAATCTAGGGTATTCAAGCTGCTAGAATTTTTGTTTTTATTTTTAACATTCTTTGTTCTTACGTTCAAGGAATAATTAAAATCTCTAACTTGAAGAATCTCAGTAAAATACTTTTAATTTTGTATTTAATTTTAGAAATAGTTTCTTAAGATTATTTTGTAACTTGAGTTTTGGGAAATAAAACAACCCTATATAAATAAGAATGCACTGGGGACTTTTAAAAGTCTTTGAAGATTATTGCATTACTGTGTTACTTACAACTATGATTTACCTTATTTGGAAAGCATTTCCATCAATAGAAAAAATAACATCATATTGAAAAATTATGCTAGAATTTGATAAGTAGAGACAGTTCTTTTGGAATGCTTTTGGTTACCAACTTAGTTTTTGAAAATATATTTCTGAAATATTAACTATATCTTTTTATTTACTTTGTGCATAGTTCTTTGGCCCTGCCATTCAGATTTCTGGAGTAACATGGACTCTGTGAGGAGAAAAATACTAGAATCCCATCAGAGAAAAAAGTGTCACAGTCCCAGTGGATGAAGCCCCTGTACAGACGGCAGTAGTCCTGGCCCTGTCATAGAGTCACTGGACAACTTGAGCCGAGATATTTGAGCTCTCTGAGCCTTGGTTTCCCCATATGTAAATGTTAAGCTGGACAAGTAATTCCTAAATTTTTCTCTAACACACTTAAAACATGCCCTTATTTTTCCTAACTAAAAATAATCTATGTTCATGGTAGAAAAATTAAAAATTGCACAAACTAAAAACGAATTACAATCCCTCCTGAAATCATCACATTTATTTATTTATTTATTTATTTATTTATTTATTTATTTTGAGACGGAGTCTTGCTCTGTTGCCCAGGCTGGAGTGCAGTGGCATGATCTTGGCTCACTGCAAGCTCTGCCTCCTGGGTTCATGCCATTCTCCTGCTTCAGCCTCCCGAGTAGCTGGGACTACAGGCGCCTGCCACCACGCCCAGCTAATTTTTTGTATTTTTAGTAGAGACGGGATTTCACCGGGTTAGCCAGGATGGTCTCGATCTCCTGACCTCGTGATCCACCCGCCTCGGCCTCCCAAAGTGCTGCGATTACAGGCGTGAGCCACCACCCCCGGCAGAAATCATCACCTTTCTATAAATATATGCACACATGTATGAGTGTGTGTCCACACACACACATCTCTCCCCACAAAAGCAAGTGTGATTTCTTATAAATGCCTTAGGATCCCTTAGCCTAACCACAATAAACATCTTAATCCAGTCCTTAAAATTACTTGATACCTTTGCCATTCTATTGTTTTTTAACTTTAAAAAATGTATAAATTTCCAGAAAGTTGCAAAGATAATGCAGAGAGATACCATGATCCATCACCCAGCTCTCTAGCTGCAAGAAATCTGGTTCTCATCACAAACATTTAATTCTTATAATAGATAATCCTTACACTCCTACTAAACTCATAGTTTCTGAATTGTTAACCCACATCCAAATGAGAAACAAATGAACTAAGTACATTACAGCATTTGCGTACAGTTCTTATTGTCTTTCTCTTTACAAACTATTTTGTCCAGAAAAAATAAAATTTTCAAAGTTTCTTGGGTTAGTTCTTTTCATCACCACCCACTTCAGTGTGATTTTGTTATTCCTCTCCATGCAACTACATTCATTTAGTACTGTGTCTATGGCATTTCACATTCCCTTGAGTTCACGATGATTTTAGTTATTTAATTTGGGGGTTTGCCATATTATCCTGTGATTCTAAGAGTTAGAGATACACAAAAGTTCTACTTAGAGAAGCATTTCTCTTTATCCCTACTACCTGTTCTAATTCCCTGCTGCTTTCCAGCCTCTTCTTACCCATATCCTGCACGTAACTCAGCTTAGTTTTTGGCTTATCTTTCCTGTATGCCTTTTGCACAAATTATGTATATGTATATTTTCTTATATTTCTTCCTTTCTAACATAAAGGGTAGCTTATTATAGATAGACCTTTGTAATTTCCTTTTTCCATTTAACAATTATCATGAACATCACCTCATGTTAGGTAATAAAGATCTTCCTTTATGTCTTGTTATAGCTACAAATTACTGTACTGTGTAGATGTACCATTTTATTTCACTAACTCTTCTAGGTATGGGTATGAGGTAGTTCCTGATATCTTGTAATAACAAAAAATCCTCAATGCATATCCTTGTGCATATATGCATTTTCATACTGTAGGTTCCTAGAAGTAGATCTGTGTGATTAAAAGATACGTGCACCGTAGTTTTTTGTTGGCCATGCACTCAGAAAATGTTCTGTTTGACAAAATGTTTGAAGAAAGCCTGTTTCCTTGCAGCTTTGCTAACCAGATGTGTTGTCCTGCATTTAAAAAAATATATACACTTTATTTTTAGAGCAATTTTAGGTTCACAGCAAAATGAAACGAAGAATACAGAGTTCCCCTATTTCCTCTGCCCCCAACAAGCACAGCCTTCCCCACTATCAACATCACAACCCAGAGCGGTACATTCGTTATAATCAACGAGCCTGCATTGGCACATTATTACTACTCCAACCCACAGTTTCCACCTTAGTGTTGTACATTGCTTGTGTTTTGACAAATGTATAATGACATGTATCTGCCATTATGGTATCATGCAGAACAGTTCACTGCCCTAAAATCCTCTGTGTTCTGCCTTTTCATCTCTCTCTCCCCACTAATTCCTGGCAACCACTGGCCTTTTTACAATCCCCATAGTTTTGCCTTTTCTAAAATGTCATATAATTGGAATCATACAGTATATATCCTTTGCTGAACAGCTTATTTCACTTCATAATATGCATTTAGGTTTCCTCTATGACTTAGGTACTTACGGATGAGGACTTGAAGTTCAAGATACTTGCTATTCAACCAAGATCACACAGGTTGTCATTGGAAATAAGGTGGGGGCTATGCCCCAGTTGCTCTACCTCCTTGTCACTCCATCAGAGTTTACTTAGGTTTTCATCAGACAGTACTTAGGTTCCCTCTATGACTTTTCATGCCTTGATAGCTCATTTCTTTTTAGCTATGAATCATATTCTATTGTCTGGATGCACCAGAATCTACTGGTGGCATATTTACCCACTCACCTACTGAAGGACATCTTGGTTGCTTCCAACTCCTGGCACTTATGAATAATGCTGCTATAAAAATCTTTGTGCAGACTTTCGTGTGGACGTAAGTTTTCATCTCCTTTGACTAGATATCAAGGAGTGTGACTGATAGATTGTACAGTAAGAGGATACTTAGTTTTGTAAGAAACTGCCAAATTGTCTTCCAAAGTAGCTGTACCATGTTTCATTCCCATCAGCAATGAATTAGAGTTTCTTTTACTCCACATGCTCACTAGGATTTGGTGGTGTCAGTGTTTCAGATTTCAGCCATTTTAATAGGGGTATCGTGGTATCTCACTTGGTTTTAATTTTCAATCCCCTAATGACATATGATGTGGAGTGTCTTTTCATATGCTTATTTATAATCTAATCTATCTTTTTTTTTTTTTTTTTTTTGGTGAGGTGTCTGCTGAGGTCTTTGGTCAAATTTTAAAATCAGCATGTTTACTTTCTAATCGTTGAGTTTTCAAAGTTCTTTGTATATTTTGATAAACAGTCCTTCATCCCATCTATCTTTTGCAAATGTTTCATCAAGTGTGTGGTTTGTCTTCTCATTCTCTTGTTAGTGTCTTTTGGACATTAGAAGCTTTTAATTATGATGAAGTCCAGGTTATCAATTTTTCTTTCATGGATTATGGCTTTGGCATTTTATCTAAAAAAGCATCAACATACTCAAGTTTGTGTAAATGTTCTCCTATCTTCTAGGAGTTTCACAGTTGTGAGTTTTACATTTAGATCTATGATCTATTTTGAGTATATTTTTGTGAGGTATAATGTCTGTGTCTAGATTCACATTTTTTTCCTGTGAATGTCCAACTGTTCTAGCACCATTTGCTGTCCTACGTTTCAGTCTTTGTAAATCTGAAAGGTGAGAGATTGTACCTCAGTGTTGTTATAACTTGGATTTCTTTAATTATGAGTCAGCTTGAGCTTTTAAATCTGTTTGAAGTCCATTTTTATATTTTGTGTGAGTTGATTTTGATTATTTGTCCCTCAATTTTTAAGAATTCTTTATGTCTCGAGAACCTTTAACCTTGTATATGGTATCTATTACAAATATTTTCTCATTTTTTTCAGTTGTCTATTAATTTTGTGTATGGTGATTCTTGCCATGCATTTAAATAATATTTGTCCACAGTCAAATTTATCAATCTTTTCATTCCTTGTTGCCTTTGGATTTTGCATCATGGTTAGATATTCTTTCCCTATCTTGAATTTAAGAGGAATTCACCCATGTAATACTTGTACAGTTCCATTTTTTATATTTAGATCCCTAATCCATTTGGAGTTTATCCTTGTGTAGGGTGTGAGATATGAATTTTATTTTACTTTTTCCATATGATTACCCAATTCTCCTAGCACCATGTATTTTAAAGTCCATCTTTGCCTGGGGTTTGTCTTGATTGCTGTGTCATCTATGATCAAGCAGATTCTGGAATTTCTGCTATTTCAGGATATTTATTATCTAATAAAAGTGAGATATTAGACTTTCTTCTTTTACTTTTGCTCAAAAAATACTGTTTAAGTACAGAGCTTTTTCAACTTAATCACCAATGAACTCTTGCTTCTTAACATGCCACATAAAATAGCAGCTTACCTATTGGACTTGTCAACCGGAACTGCTGTAGGATATTGCAGCTCTTTCACCTTAGTATCCTGTAACTACAAGTTGGGGTGATGGAGATTGGTGACTTAAACACCCTTTTTCATGAAGTCCTTTAGTGTTCATAGTAGAGATTGAGATTCCCATACTAGGAAGCCAAGTCTCTTCCTATAGAACAACATTTACCAAACAGTAGCCTATTGATTGTAAGCTATGGAAGAGAGAAATATTGTCTGCCTTGATAACTAGTATATCTTCAGGATGTAGTACAGTGCTTTGAACATAGTGGACCGTAAATTAAATCCTTGTTTAATGACTATGAAAATGAAAGAATAAATGAATGAACGGTGTATTACTGTCAAATTTCAAGTCCAGTATGGAACAGCTATAACAGGTTACTAAAAATTAAACACCTATATATCAACCATATTTAAATAAGAAAAATGGTGTTTGTATGTTCTTCTATGGGTCAGCTACCTGTGGGTGTTCTACTATGGGTTAGGCATTATACAAGGGCATTTAACTTCTATTTACTCACTGATTCTTATCATAACCCTATGAAGTCGATATTATTAACCTGCCTAATAAAGATTCAGTAATTTGTGCAAGATGACACAGCTACAAAGGGAAGCTGGGTCTCTGGATTTCAAGTCCACTAATATTTCTCAACAGCTTGTTGAGAAGTGTTAAGATTTCATTATTCCAAAAATGCAGATCCTACAAGAGTTTAACGATGGTTACTACTGTTCATAACTCAACCCTTGCAATGGCTGATGTGCAATAATTTACTGATGTTTACAAACTATGTCTTCAGAAGGTGTCAGAACTTCATTGCTTCTTACAATATTATTAGCATACCCTGATCTGTAGCAGGTAATAAATAATTCAGACTGAATTTGGCAAGAGCAAATGTTTGTCCTTTCCTACTTTGTATTGACTTGGGAGGAAATTATTTTCCCTCTTCAATTGTTTACTGAAAAAAAATGCACTTATATTGCTTTCTAAGCCAGTTGTGCGGCTGGCCTTATTTTCCCCCGTGCCTTGATGAATAAATTGTGCAAAATCTACTTATTCTTATAACAGGAGATCTTACTAAGAAAGCATTCAGTTAGACTCATACAATAAACCACACCATCCCATGTCTGGGTCAGATTTAAAAATCAATTCTCCCCTGCTTCCAACAAAGTTAGTTTATCATGGAAGACAAACTATCATAGTACAACTTGGGAAATGAAAAATCTTTATGTAGAACCGCTCTGGATTTTCTGACTGGTCAATAGTTATATTTAATATATGTAAAGATAGATCAAAGGCAGTTGCAAATAATGATGACATTTTCTTAGTCAGGGATTACTGAGATACTCCTGATAACAACATGATAAAAATACACGCATTTGTGAAGAATATTTTATTGTCAGCAAAATGTGGGCCTGGATTTGGCAGTGGCCGTGATGTTGAGAAAGGGAAACTGAAAATGAGTTGGACATTCTTGGTTTAATTTTCAGTTGAATGGCTTGTTCATTACATGATTTTAATCAAGTATCTTACCCTCTCTGTATCTGTAAAATGTGGACAGGTAAATGGGATTTGCATATAAAACCTTTCTATATGATCAAAAGCAATATGAAAATGTAACATTTTTTATTCTTATCACTTTTTTTCCCACGAAAGATAATAATACTTGTATCTGCACAGCAACTTACTTGAGATATGCACAGAGTGAACCATCTAGGTATGCCCATTTTTCAAGGAAGAAACTGCAGTTGGAAAACAAGGGAGATCAGGTCTCTCTGGTCAATCTTTCAGCAATTTTTTACTGCATGTGACTCTGTGCCAGGTCCTTTTCTAAGTGCTAGGAACAGGTTGAAGAAGACTGTGCCCTACTTACCACAACTGAGGAGCTACATAAGGTTTTGGAGCTATTAAAAAAAAATTAGTCCTAATTTTTTGACTCAAGGTGCTCATAGCACATTGGGAAAGAAAGGTTGATGTACAACCAGATAGTTGTGACTGATTTGAACAAATTTATAGGAAAAGTGTTCAGAACTGACGACATTATATTTCTCTTATTTTTCATATTCTTGGCCAAAGTCTCATTTGCTTCAATTTGCCGAAAGATCAAATACTCTCCTGAGTCCTTCTTTTCTCTCCACGAACTTGCCAAGAATTCTGGGATCAACTCTATTTCCATAAAACAGGAAGAGAGAAAAGGAAAATTATAAGGCCCCTTGGGGTCACTGGTATGTGGCTATAGTTCGTCTTTTACTGGTCTCTGGTAATATTTTCACTCACCTTTGTGTCCTTGACTTATAGCCTGTAACATTTCACCATTTCATAGTTACAGCTCTCTGTATTACATACAAATGCATGGCACAGTTCTGACACAGATGCCTTGTGAATATCTAGGCCTGCATTGTCCAATATGGTGAGCACTTAAGGACTAGAATACTTGCAATATGGCTAATCCAAATTGAGATGTACTGTCAATATAACATACACTGGATTTGAGAGATTTAGTACACAAAGGATAATATAAAATGGTGTATCAATAGTATTTGATATTAGTTATTTTTTGAGATGATAATATTTTGGATATACTAGGTTAAAAAAAGGTAGTGTTAAAATTAATTTCATTTTTTGATTTTGACTTTTTAAAATGCAATTACTACTAAATTCAAGATTGCATATGGGACTTGCATAATATTTCTATTGGACATTGCTATTTTAGTCTTTGGTGTTTTCAGGTTACTTGCATAGACTACATCTTTCCCCATGATAATTTCCTCTCTGGTGAACTTGTTCTTTATTGCTAGCACCCTTCAGTTCTGACCATCCTAATTCATCAGAGACGTTCAAATATTGACTCCTAAGAGCAAAAGGAGTCAGAATCTAGGTTCTTTTTATCTCAGGAGGTTTCTTGGCCCCTATGCAAATTTACTTGTCCTTGCCTTATCAACTATGCATATCAATGGGAATTGGGAGTTCACTTTCTTGTTCATTATACATGCATCCCCCTGTCTTCCACTGAAATTTAAATCTGTTCTAGTGATTTTTTCTCAGAACAGAGACAACGTGCTGTCCCCACCCAGAAAAAGGTAATGCTCAAAGCTACATAATTTATCATGCAACATGACAAGCCACTGGATGCCTATTTTACAATCTGGATGCCTATTTTACAATCTGGATGCCTGTTTTACACTGGATGCCTATTTTACAATCTGTAAAATAGGCAAAGAGCTGCATGGCAATTTGCCTAAGTCCAGAAGGTGGCTAAAATTGGGACCAGTAATAACAACAAAAAATAACCAGGAGGAGATGAAACAGTTAAGGGTGTTTAAATGGTGCCCTCAGTTCATCTAAGAAAGAGGAACAGAAAGAATGAGCTCATGGGGATCAAAGATGTGGCACTCCCAGAAGCATGTGAGAGCTTCAGGCCTAACTTGTGCATAACAGAGTTGAAGAGCTGACACGGTGCTTACTAACTCATCAGAAGCAGAAGCGCCCTGGTGATTCTATGCCACACCACCATTCCCCAGGAAAATGTTCTCCACTGAGACAAAATCCTTAAATTTTTAGAATGGCCTTATTATGGATTACAGCAAACATCTCAGCACATCTTTCTCAGCAAGGATCTCAAAACAGCATTGGGATGGCCTTATTAATAGATCCCTTACGAAAACTCAGAAAAGTTAGAGAGGCACTCAGAATCTTCCTAAAATATGAAATGTTGAAATCTGGATTCTTTTTTTACCATGACTGCAAAATGTAAGCCACTACTTGGGCTCACCTTGTTGAATCAGATTTCTTCTACTTTGCCATTTTGATGATATCACTCCCAGGTATGTTTTTTTCTTTTTTTTTCCTTTTCTTTTTCCTTTCTTTTCTCTTTCTTTTTTTTTTTTTTTTTTTTTTTTGAGACAGAGTTGTGCTCCTGTTGCCCAGGCTGGAGTGCAATGGCACGATCTCTGTAGGCTCACTGCAACCTCCACCTCCCCAGTTCAAGCAATTCTCCTGCCTCAGCCTCCCGAGTAGCTGAGATCACAGGAGCCTGCCACGACGCCCAGATAAATTTTTGTATTTTTTTAGTAGAGATGGGGTTTCACCATGTTGGCCAGGCTGGTCTTGAACTCCTGACCTCCAGTCATCTGCCCACCTATGCCTACCAAAGTGCTCACTCCCAGGTAAGTTTTTGAAGTAACTACTCTGAAAATACCAGGCAACTTTTTAATCTATTCAGTGACACTGCCTACAGTGGCCCTCCTTACCAGCTGCAAAATGTTGAGATGTTAAAAGAAGTCCTAATTTTTCAAATGAGAATGGAAAGGAGGAAGAGACCTTGACTTTATTATACTGCTTGGCTGTCATATGCCAGGAAACATAGAATTTGGGGTATGCCTACAATGCATAATTAAGGTTGGAGATTGGTAATGGTGGAATGGTTTGAAGTCCTGGGCTGAGACAACCAATGGACTAACGATGAAGAAAAGGCTCTTCTGCTCAGAATAGCCTTCTCCCCACTTAAGTCTCTCCTAAAGAGGATCATCAGAGCAAATCTGTGACTAACAATTCTAAACTTGAAGTGGAGACAGATGTTCACAAATATGTATACGAATATTTAGCTAAAAATAACTAAAATAAGACAAAATGTCTTATTTTCAGTAGCTAAAAATAAACTAAATGCTCACCAACAGTTGATGGGCATAAAAGGGTGGCATATTGATTCAGTGGAATACTGTTTAGCAACGAAAAGTAACATACTACTCATAAGCATAACTAAATTGACAAATCTCAAAAAGGTTATGTTTAGTCAAAAGAAACTGGAACAAAGAACTGTATATTGTATGATTCCATTTATATGAAGTTCTAGAATAGGTAAAACAATTATGATGACAGATTGTTATTATTTATTAAACAATTATGACGACAGATATTGGAGCAGTAATCGTCTCTAGGGCATGACCCTAGAGAATTGACCAGAATGAGGTACTAGAAGGGACCTCTATAGGATGACGAAAATATTCTGTTACTTGAGGGTTTGGATGCACAAATTTATTATGCATTTGTTAAAGCTCATCAAAATGCACATAAAATCTGCTTTTTATTATATGTAAATTGTGCCCCATTTAAAAAAATGGTAAAAGAAAAATGCTTCATACCCTTTCCCAAATTTAAATGGAATTTCCTTTTACAGTAGCCATCAAGAGTCTATAGATTCACCCCGATGTTAAGAGCTTATCAATTTTATCAATCTTATTGCCTTCTCTTCTCCACGGATTCTTTTTTTTGAAATTGTCTTTCACTGTTTTCCTAAGAAACAGGCAGAAATTGAAAAGTAACTGAACACAAATGGGATTTTCTAACCAGAGAAAATGCCTGTCCAAGCATTGGCCTTTAAGAGAAGAGAGAACAATTCTCCCTTCATCAGATATCTAATTTCAGAGACTGTTTTAATGATAATTGGCCTTTAATGATTTCCTTCACAACTAGCAACTAACATTTGAGACAGAATTTAGAGTTTGAAAAAAAAAAAAAAAAAATCTCAGGTTATTCCAGTCACTGTTTTACAGGGACTGGCATCTGAAAAAAGCATCTTGTTTTTCCAACAGCAACTAAGTTAAAGATAACATGGCTTTAAAATAGAGAGATAAACTGGTTTTACTACATACTTTGACCATTTTCTTCATGGTTAGTCAGCAGTTTAATCTAGCCTTTCGTTCATGTCTTCGAATTCATCACATTCACACAAAGTACATGATGACTAAGTAAATCTGAAAATAAAGTGCCCAAAGGCAGATTATTTGCCACATACTTTATGATATTTAAAATCCTGAGAAGGTAAGCAGTCTTGTCTCAGTTGATGTAAAAGTGGTCTTAAACACACATCAACTACGAAATCCTACTAATGCTAACTGATAATAACATTGATGTTCCAATTTCCTGACTTGTTGATTGCCAGTTTGGCTAGTTTTCTTTGACCTATAGTCGTAAGATGGTGATGACGTTGACGATGACGGTGGAAAAGCTTATGAAAATGTTGGCTATCAAGAAGATTGTGAGCAGTGAATTTATTTCCTACTGCAATTTTACACTAAAACTTTCACATGGTGACTTGTTTTCTCTCCATTCTTTTGCTCGTATTCTCTTACAACATCAAGATTATGTTCTGTGCCTAACAAGCCCATTCAATGTTGTCTTCCACAGCTTTCAGACAAGCTCCTTTCCAATTAGTGAAACTTTTCTTCTTCCCATCAAATGATAAATACATGATTATTCTGATTTTAATATGAACATTCCAGCTGGCATGAAAATAACTCTCTAATTGCAAAAGAACAATTTATTACCTTTATATGCATTTTTTTTTTTTAGCATCCATTGAGTATTTATGTGGCATAAGGCACTATGGTTGACAGACATAAAAGTACATACCCATTAACTAATTACTGATGCATTAATATATGTATTGATATACATAGAGATAGAGATGATAAAGCTATAGAAAAACTATGAAATCATGAGCAACTGAATTTGCTGAAATGGCTGTATTATTGGACATTGGTTTTCAAAAGTTCAAACGACTGCAGTGAAAGTTTTTATTTTAAGAGCAATCATTGAAAGAATCAACTGACCTTGCTGTTCTCTGTCTCAAGTCAGAAAATAAACAGAGAAAGTGTATCTTAGTGGTTTGCAAGTGATTCAGAGCAGGATGCTCAGCTATTAGAAAGTCATCGATTCGGCTGGAGGAAATGAGTTGGCTGAAGCACGAGATATAAGCCAATGCCCAGGATTGTGAGGTCAGGGCAGGATGCCAAGATGAACTACATTTCCTGGCAAGAATTCAAGCTCATTGCCAAAGGCCTTGCTGTTATTCTGAATCCAGGTTTTGTAACCTTTTCAAAAACTCTTACCTTGATATTCAATATTTTTCATTCAACCTTTCTATTTTTCAAGATGCACGATATTAGTATGACATTTATATAAATTTAAATGCAACCTAAAAATCCACATTTTAAGTTAAAATCCATTCACTGCTTTAAGGCTATTTTTTTTAGGGTGACAATCAACATTGTCCATTAACTTTATTTTCAGACATATCTCTCACCCTGGAAAATAAGCAAGCTTGCCAGGAATGTTACTCAGAAAAAAAAAATTAATGGTTCAAAAATATTAAAGCCGTTAGCCACTGCTGACCAGACTGCTTCAAATAATGTGTATTGGGAAGGGTCATGACTGGATGGGAAACCAGCAGACATCAGTTCTATTCTGGGCTTGACTTCCACGTGACCTTCTCAATTCACTCAATTTTTCTGTGGTTCAGTTTGCTCAGGTTTCAAAAAAATGGAATGATAATACCAGGATGTTGTGGGGAGTCATCAGATTAGCAAGAAGCTTTGGACTCTTGAGACACACCTAATGTAGAAATAGATGATATCCAAGACTTGCCTCAGAACAATACATCTTGTATTCTATGTACTGTATTCTCCTTTTTTCTTCTCTCATTGTTTTAAAGCCCCATGAATTATTCCTTTCAGACACTGCATTGTTGTTTTGAATTGTTGCTCGGTAACAAATGATGAGATAAATGTTTCAGGGGCGTCCATGTGAAGAGACCACCAAACAGGCTTTGTGTGAGCAATAAAGCTGTTTATTTCACCTGGGTGCAGGTGGGCTGAATCCGAAAAGACAGTCAGCGAAGGGAGATAGGGGTGGGGCCGTTTTATAAGATTTGGGCAGGTAAAGGAAAATTACAGTCAAAAGGGGTTTGTTCTCTGGTGGGCAGGAGTAGGGGGTCACAAGGTGCTCAGTGGGGGAGCTTTTTGAGTCAGGATGAGCCAGGAAAAAGACTTTGACAAGGTAATGTCATCACTTAAGGCAAGGACCGGCCATTTACACTTCTTTTGTGGTGGAATGTCATCAGTTAAGGCGGGGCAGGGCAATTTCACTTCTTTTGTGATTCTTCAGTTACTTCAGGCCATCTGGGCATATACGTGCAAGTCACAGGGGATGCGATGGCTTGGCTTGGGCTCAGAGGCCTGACATTCCTGCCTTCTTATATTAATAAGAAAAATAAAACAAAATAGTGTTGAAGTGTGGGGGGTGGCGAAAATTTTGGGGGGATGGTATGGAGAGAGAGAATGGGCGATGTTTCTCAGGGCTGCTTTGAGCGGGGTTAGGGGTGGCGTGGGAACCTAGAGTGGGAGAGATTAAGCTGAAGGAAGATTTTGTGGTGAGGGGTGATATTGTGGGATTGTTAGAAGAAACATTTGCCGTGTAGAATTATTGGTGATGGCCTGGATACGGTTTTGTATGAATTGAAAAACTAAAAAATGGAATAAGAGAAGGAGAAAAACAGGTATAAAAGGTCTAAGAATTGGAGGACCCAGGACATCTGATTAGAGAGTGCCTAAGGAGATTCAGCGTAGTCCTGCCAGCAAAGATTATTTACTTCAAGAGTTTAGAGTGGCAGTTTGGGGATAGCACCAGGAGATATCAGCTGTGATGGCTTGGAGAAACAGTGTAAACCGGCAGTGTAAACAAGAGCAGGGCATGTATGAGTAGTTGAGAACGGTGAATAGGAGTATGACTGGACAGAAGATAGTAGGGATGACAAATTTTTTGGGGCACAGTCTAAGTTGGTCTGGTGTCTGGAATGAGACTGGGGCCTAATAAAAAGGAGCATCTATACAGGAGCTCAAATGGGCTGTACCTTGTAGCATTCCGAGGACAGGCCTGAATTCTGAGAAGGGAAAGTGGTAAAAGTATTGTCCAGTCCTTTTTAAGTTGGTGGCTGACCTTGGTGAGGTGTGTTTTTAAGAGACCATTAGTCTGTTCTACTTTTCCTGAAGACTGAGGACTGTAAGAGATATAAAGGTTTCACTGAATACTAAGAGCCTGAAAAACTGCTTGGCTGATTTGACTAATAAAGGCTGGTCTGTTATCAGACTGTATAGAGGTGGAAAGGCTAAACTGAGGAAATATGTCTGACAGAAGGGAAGAAATGACTGTGGTGGCCTTCTCAGACCCTGTAGGAAAGGCCTCTACCCATCCAGTGAAAGTATCTACCCAGACTAAGAGATATTTTAGTTTTCTGACTCGAGGCATGTGAGTAAAGTCAATTTGCCAGTCCTGGGCAGGGGCAAATCCCAGAGCTGATGTGTAGGAAAGGGAGGAGGCCCGAACAATCCCTGAGGGGTAGTAGAATAGCAGATGGCACACTGAGAAGTGATCTCCTTGAGGATAGATTTCCATGATGGAAAGGAAATGAGAGGTTCTAAGAGACGGGCTAGTGGCTTGTAACCTACATGGAAGAGGTAATGAAATGACGACAGAATAGAATGGGCCTGTGAGGCTGGAAGGAGATATTTTCCTTGGTCTAAGAACCATTTGCCTTGTGTGGGAAGAGATTGATAGGTGGAAGTTTCAGCAGGGGAGTAGGTGGGAGTGACCGATGTGAAGGAGAAAAACTGGCCGTGAGGGACAGAAGTTGGAGAGCTAGCTGCTTGTCTAGCCACCTTATCAGCATAAGCGTTGCCTAGAGCAATGGGATCTGACGCCTTTTGACGCCCCTTGCAGTGAATGACCCCAGCTTCCTTTGTAAGTAAAGCGGGCTTGAGTAGAGTTTTTATTAAAGAGGCATTAATGATGGAGGACCCTTTTGTAGTGAGAAAACCTCTTTCAGCTCATACGACCGCATGGTGGTGCAGAATATGAAAGGCATATTTAGAATCAGTATAGATATTGACGCGTAGTCCTTTTGCAAGAGTGAGGGCTTGAGTTAAGGCAACTAGTTCAGCTGGCTGAGGGGTAGTGGAGGGGGTCAGAGTGGTAGCCTCAATGATAGATGTGGAAGATACTATAGTATAGCCTGCCTTTGCTGGTGAGTGGCGATTAAGCCTGGTGGAACTGCCATCAATAAACCAAGTGTGATCAGGGTGAGAAACAGGGAAGAAGGAAATGTGGGGAAATGGGGTGAACGTCAGGTGGATCAGAGAGATGCAGTCATGAGGGTCAGGTGTGGTATCCAGAATAATGTGAGAGGCCGGATTGAAGTCTGGGCCAGGAACAACAGTAACTGTGGGAGACTCAACAAAGAGTGAGTACAGCTGAAGGAGCCGGGAAGCAGAAAGTATATGCGTCAGGTATGAGGAAGAAAATAGATTTTGGAAGTTATGAGAACTGTAGAGAGTGAGTTGAGCATCGTTTGTGATTTTGAGGGCCTCTAAAATTATTAAAGCAGTGGCAGCCGCTGCACACAGACATGAGGGCTAGGCTAAAACAGTAAGGTCAAGTTGTTTGGACAGAAAGGCTACAGGGTGAGGTCCTGGCTCTTGTGTAAGAATTCTGACCACGCTAACCGTGCCTGGGAAGGAAAGGAGTTGTTTTGTAGAAGTTGCTGGGGTTTGAGAGATCAGTCAGACACGATTGGCAGGGAGAGCACGTGTGTTTTTATGCGAATTATGCCGAGATAGGTAACAGATGAGGAAGAAATTTGGGCTTGACTGAAGTAATGGGGGCTGTCTGTGAAGCTTTGCAGCAGTACAGCCTAGGTAATTTGCTGAGCTTGATGGGTGTCAGGGTCAGTCCAAGTGAAAGCAAAGAGAGGCTGGGAGGAAAGGTGCAAAGGAATAGTAAAGAAAGCATGTTTGAGATCTAGAACAGAATAATGGGTTGTAGAGGGAGGTATTGAGGATAGGAGAGTATATGGGTTTGGCCCCACAGGGTGGATAGGCAAAACAATTTGGTTGGTAAGGGGCAGATCCTGAACTAACTTGTAAGGCTCATCTGGTTTTAGGACAGGTAAAATGGGGGAATTGTAAGGAGAGTTTATAGGCTTTAAAAGGCCATGCTGTAGCAGGCGAGTGATAGCAGGCTTTAATCTTTTTAAAGCATGCTGCGGGATGGTATATTGGCGTTGAGTGGGGTAAGGGTGATTAGGTTTTAATGAGATGGTAAGGGGTGCATGATCGGTCGCCAAGGAGGGAGTAGAGGTATCCTATGCTTGTGGGTTAAGGTGGGGGGGGATACGAGAGGGAGGATGTGAAGGAGGCTTTGAACTGCGGGAAAAGGTGGCAATGAGGTGTGGCTGTAGCCCAGGAATTGTCAGGGAAGCAGATAATTTAGTTAAAGTGTCTCGGCCTAATAAGGGAACTGGGCAGGTGGGGATAATTAAAAAGGAGTGCTTAAGAGAGTATTGTCTAAATTGGCACCAGAGTTGGGGAGTTTTAAGAGGTTTAGAAGCCTGGCCGTCAATACCTACAACAGTTATGGAGGCAAGGGAAACAGGCCCTTGAAAATAAGGTAATGTGGAGTGAGTAGCCTCAGTATTGATTAAGAAGGGGACAGACTTACCCTCCACTGTGAGAGTTACCCGAAGCTCGGAGTCCGTGATGGTCTACGGGGCTTCTGAGGCAATCGGGCAGCATCAGTCTTCAGCCGCTAAGCCAAGAAGATCTGGGAAGGAGTCAGTCAGAGAGCCTTGGGCCAGAGTCCCAGGGGCTCTGGGAGTGGCTGCCAGGTGATTTGGACAGTCTGATTTCCAGTGGGGTCCCACACAGATGGGACGCAGCTTAGGAGGAATCCTGGGCTGCAGGCATTCCTTGGCCTGGTGGCCAGATTTCTGGTACTTGTAGCAAGCTCCTGGGGGACGAGGTTCTGGAGGAATGCCTGGCCACTGCGGTTCAGGCCTTTGGAAGTTCTTGTGTGCTGGAGATGTGGCTGGGATTTGTCTCACAGTGGAGGCAAGGTATTGCAACTTTTTTCTATTATTGTACACCTTGAAGGTGAGGTTAATTAAGTCCTGTTGTGGAGTTTGAGGGCTAGAATTTTTGGAGTTTTATTTAATGTCGGGAGCAGATTGGGTAATGTATATTGAGAATAAGATGGCCTTTTGAATTTTTAGGGTCTAGGGCTGTAAAGCGTCTCAGGGTTGCTGCCGAACGATCCATGAACTGGGCTGGGTTTTTTATATTTGATGTAAAAGAGTCTAAATGCTAACTGTTTTGGGAGAGGTTGGATAAAGAAAAAGGAGTATTAACCTTGACTATGCCTTTAGCTCCAGCCACCTTTTTAAGAGGAAATTGCTGGGCAGGTGGGGGAGGGCTAGTTGTGGAACCAAACTGTAAGCTGGACCAGGTGTGAGGAGGGGAGGTGATAAAAGGATTATAGGGTGGAGGAGCGGAGGCTGAGGAAGAATTGGGACCTAGCTCGGCCTGGCGAGGAGGGGAGAGGTCAGATGGGTCTGTAGAAAAGGAAGATTAGAAAGACTCAGCGGCGCTTGGGGTTGGGACTGAGGGGACAGGCAGGAGGGAAAGGAGGAAGATTTGGTATGAGTTGCATTGGGCACAGAGACTAGGAAGGGACCAATGTGTAAAAGAATGCCTGGACGTCAGGCACCTCAGACCGTTTGCCTATTTTATGACAACAATTATTTAGATCTTGCAGGATGGAAAAATTGAAAGTGCCATTTTCTGGCTATTTGGAACTACTGTCTGTATTGGGGTCAAGTGGCATTGCAGAAGAAAATAGGGCATTTAGGTTTTAGGTCAGGTGTGAGTTGAAGAGGTTTTAAGTTTTTGAGAACACAGGCTAAGGGAGAAGAAGAAGGAATGGAGGGTGGAAGGTTGCCTATAGTGAAGGAGCCAAGTTGAAAGAAAAGGGAGAGTAGAGACACAGAGGGAAGCTGTTCGGGGGTTCTTACCCTCCAGAAAAGCGGGAAAGGGGTCGAGGCACAGAGATATGAGGTTGGGGGCGCAGAAATAAGGGATCAGGGCACCGAGATATAAGAGGCTGGGGTGCGGAAATAAGGGATCGGGGCACAGAGATATAAGAGGTCGGGGCATGGAAATAAGGGATTGGAGCGCAGAGATATAAGGGGTTGGGGTACTTGTCCCTCCCTCAGAAAAGCGGGACTTGCCTCTAAGGGTGAAGAAGAAGGGGTTGGGGGGTTTTTTGCCCCCCAGAAAGGCGGAGAAGGGGTAGAGACACGGAGATAAGGGGTTGGGGTACTTCCCCGCTTACCGGATTTGAAATTGGTGAGATGTTTCTTGGGCTAGTCTGTCTGAGAACCTGAGGTTGTAGGTGGATCTTTCTTACGGAACAAAGAACAGGAGGACAGGGGATTGATCTCCCAAGGGAGGTCCCCCGATCCGAGTCACGGCACTAAATTTCATGCGCGTCTGTGTGAAGAGACCACCAAACAGGCTTTGTATGAGCAATAAAGCTGTTTATTTCACCTGGGTACAGGTGGGCTGAGTCTGAAAAGAGAGTCAGCTAAGGGAGATAGGGGTGGGGCCGTTTTATAAGATTTGGGCAGGTAAAGGAAAATTACAGTCAAAGGGGTTTTGTTCTCTGGCTGGCAGGAGTGGGGGTCGCAAGGTGCTCAGTGGGGGTGGTTTTTGAGCCAGGATGAGCCAGGAAAAAGACTTTGACAAGGTAATGTCATCACTTAAGGCAAGGACCAGCCATTTACACTTCTTTTGTGGTGGAATGTCATCAGTTAAGGCGGGGCAGGGCATTTTCACTTCTTTTGTGATTCTTCAGTTACTTCAGGCCATCTGGGCATATACGTGCAAGTCACAGGGGATGCAATGGCTTGGCTTGGGCACAGAGGCCTGACAAAATGTATACTCTACTAAAATCAGTTCATTTAAATTCAGTACAGCAAACATTGATGGAGTACTTATAAAAGTAGGTTATTTGATGATAATCCATAATCCCCTCATATTAAAATAATCTATCTTCCATTTTTTTTCTCCAACCAAAGAAAAAAAAACCTAAGGTTGGTTTACTAAAAACATCTCATATTTGCTAAGTGCTTACTGGCTGCTAGGCATTTTTGTTAAGCACTTTGCTTGCCTTACCTCATTTAGTTTTCAGAATCCCAAGAGGAGTGTTTTATTAGTATTCTCATTTTGCAGACAGGAAAACTGAAAGAGATTTAGCAAAGACTCAATCACTCAAGCAGTTAGGAGCATAACTGTTGTTCAATCTTTGAGCTCTTTGATTCTAGGCACTGACTTATATTTCCCCTAAATTAGTAATTGCCAAATGTGGGTAAGCTTGTGATGTATTTGACATACTTGTTAAGGATGCAGATTCCTGCCTCTGCATGCATACACATAGTTCTAATACTATGGCTTATTTATTGCATATTATAAACACATCCACGGATTGAGTTGCTCATCTGCTGTGAACTCAGTGAAGACTGAGGGTCAGAACCAAGACTTTTCGGAAATCTAATGGGGTACCCTCCTTTCCCAAGGTTGAGATAATTACACGAGTACAACAAACCTTATGCCTTTGAAGTATTGAGTGGTTAAACAAGTGTGACTAAAGAAATCAACAAAATGCAATTGTGCTTATGTATCTCAAGAACAAGTGTTTCTTTAAGTACCCTTTAGCTACCACCCAACTCTTATTCCCATTAGTCAGTGAACTGCTATGGGAAACTGCAATGAGAGTCATCCTAAGTCAGGGTTTCTCAACCTCAGCACACTGGTATTTTATGCCAGAGAAGTCATTATTTTGTGGGGCTGTTCTGTACATCGTATGATGTTTAGCAGTATCCATCAGGCCTAACTACTAGAAGCTAGTAGCACATCCTCCGTGTTGTGAAATTAAAAAAAAAAATAGCCAACTTTGTCAAATGTCCCTTCAGGGGCAAATTATCCCTGTTTGAGAACCGCTGCTATATGATACGTTGGGAAACCGAGGACACTGGAGAGGTCATCAGTGGAAATTGTTGTTCCACATAACATTTCTTACTTTAAAAGGATCTGTAAAGAATACAGAATATCATATTTACAAATACAAACATTGATTTTTATAAAAGAGATTTCCATGTGGATTCAATGGCTGATCCTCATCTCAGACTCCTTGAAAAGCCTTGCATTTAGGGACTTGGGGTAGAAAAACAACCCAATCAAGAAGGGAGAGAAGATCATTCAGAAATGTAGGCTGAGACTCACAGCTTAGAATAGCTGTGCTGGTAAGGGAAGAATTTTAGGGACATAACTCCCAAAAGAGAGAAAGAAGAGGATATGGGCCAGCCATGGCCCCAGGGAGAAGCAACAATTATTGACTAGCATCAGAGGCTCAAACTGAGGCAGGCTGACCTCTGGGAGTAAGGAGGGATGGAAGGTGAGTCAGTGGAGCAGGAGAGAAAACCAATTTGGGGAAGCTTTGCTTAGAAAGGAATGAAAGTTAGGGCCTGATAGGTAAAGCAGAAGAAAAGGAAAATTTAAATACTGTCTTCACAGAATGATTCCAGAACTTGACAGGCCAGATTGTAGCACAATTAAAGGTGTAAAAAGTTGTATGGCTAAAGGAATTTAACCACTTTGAAGTTTATACACCACACAAAGCAAAGAGAGGAGGTAATTGGCCAGAACTCTAGTTTTGGTTGTTTTAGAGCATGGAAAGAAAAACAGTCACAGGATGGATCTTCCTTTCTTGCTGGCACTTCTTTGAGAAATCACAAGAAAGAAGAGGCCTTTCTAAGGCTTTGGAGAGCCAGATGGTTCTTTAAACATGGACTTTCCTCAGGCCTTTAGCCAGGGAAGTCCTGTGCTAGTAAAAATTTAACAACTGACTTTCTGGGACAAAACAAAACCCTCTAATTTGTGATGTTTACTGATCTCCATGGTGTGAATACTTTCACATGGCTCATTTCTAGCTAACATCAAGAAGTCACTGAACAAGGAATTGGGAAGAGCTGCATTCAATTGGTCTTGCTTGCCTGTGTGACCCAGTGTGAGCTGGTTTCAGCACACCAGTGTAGTCTTGGTCTCCTTTGTCATTTTTTTCTGAATGCCGTCTTTCCAGTATGCAGGCTTTGACTAAGCATTTAGGCAGAACTGAAACATTCAAATTAATGCCATTTCAGGTACCCACTGGTCTCAAGGTGGTAGTTTCTATCTTTGTGACTTGCCATCCATACCACCCCTTTCGACGTACACTGCTTTCTAGCAGCAGAAAGCCAGCTTGAAACTTCTGTGACAAATGAGGTCCACCAAAAATTTTTAGAACAACAAAAAATAAACTAGTAGGGAAAAAGTGGCCTAAATAAATGGGTCATGCAAGTAGAATTAAAATTGTAATTTTTGCTATTTGGTGATTTGGAGAAGACTTAGCTTTTATGCATTTTGACAGAGTAGCAGCTGTTGTTATCTCTGTAACCGGGGTGTCAGAAGTAAAATGTCAAAGGTAGAGGCACTTCCTGCTTGGTTAGTCATCTGCATTTCCTGACAAAGGCCCAAGAGGAAATGGTTTCTATTCCTTGAGAAAGAAGCAAGGGAGGGGCAAGGACAGGAGTCCTGGCTGAATTCACTGTATCTAAAAGTCTTTCATTCTGCTGAATTTACATCATGAGACTGAGGCCTTGTAAAAGCTTCCTAACATAAGAAAAATGGTCTTGGATAAAACCTTCATGTTCCTTTGTCTTTTGTTTTTTGTGCATTACTAGGATTTCAGGAGTAAAATTTCATACACCAGTGTTATTAATTTAAGAATCCAAGTGGCCACACTCATCATATAGTCTGATTGTCCACTTCTGAAAACTTTTGGGGAGTATTTTTAAAATAATACATTTCAAGTACCCATTGTCTCAAGGTGGTACTTTCCATTTTTGTGTCTTTCCATATATAGTGCCCCTTAGAATATACAGGAATGGTACACTCCAGCAGCAGAAAGCCAACTTGAAACTCCTGGGTCACATACAGTCTATCAAAGATTTTTAGAACAAAAAAATAAACTAATAGGAGTTAGTTTATTCCTATGCTATCAAAATATATTTAAAAATTAACAGTGAATAATGAAGAGGCAAAAACCTATAACATGAGACACACCTACACAATTTCGTCTTTTTCATTCTAGCATTTTTACTATTTTTTTCTACTATGTTGTTTTATCCCCCAAGTGTTTAGAACAGTGAAATGTGTTTCCAGTTTATATTCTCTTTATGAAAAACAGCATTACTGAATAGATGCCAATGAGAAAAATAAACTATTAATATACCCTCTCTTTTTACCTCTTGGTTCCCAACTCCATAAATCAAAGATTTGAATACAGTCTGGTACAAGAAGTGAGAGTATTTAATTCCTAAATTTGAACTCAAGTAAAGGTGTGTGGGCTGGAGAGCTCTTTGGAAAGTGGGAGCAGACCTTTTTGTTTGTTTAACAACTGGATGATGTGGAGTTACCTCATTAGGCCCATGCAGGTTTAATGATGATTTACAGAGAATGCATTGGTAAGTCCCTGCAGAGGGCAAAAAAATGATTTTCCTTGACGATTTCTAAGACATTTGTATCCTCTTCTCCATAATTACCCCATTGGGTTTTGACTCTCTTAATAGCACAGGCATTTTCCTAAACATTTGCATTTTTTTCTGTTATTAATCCTCTTGCACAATGCTCAGTGATTTTTCTTGTTGGAGATCCTATTGCCAGTTTTCACTGGCTCTCACTCATACAGAGCTGGGGGTCATGAGATTTTTATCTTCTACCCCTTATAGCATCTATCCCAGTTGCTAAGAATGCCACTGATAGCTGGCATTTTCAGGATTTGACAATCTACCTTGCCCTTTCACAAACATTTGCTAAGTTGTTCATCACCTCCCTGTGGAGGAAACAGGAGAGAATTTTATTAGGTAGGGTGATACAAGGGGAATCCACACATTGGGAACAATATTGAGTAGCCAGGTTGAAGGTACAGGTCAATCAGCAGTTGTCTTAAAGCTTTCCTAGTATTCTGCTTGCTATTCCCACTCCTTTTGTTTATCTGAAAATATTTATTATCTGTTCAGACAGTGTAATTCACTGGGATGAAGCTCAACACAGGGAATCCCGCATGCCCTTTTCTCATAGAACATTTTAAAATTACCTTTGTAGTTGTGGTTTAGCAGGACAAAACTGGAACCATTCCCCATGTGTCATCTATGTCATCTTGGTTCTCCCCTTGCCTGTTGCTGCTAGAAAATGGGTCAGGTATTTATGGCTCAACATAGCATCCCTGGTGCCAGGATGATCCAGTTGGCCTAAGGCAGAAGGAAGCTCAAACAAAAAGGCAACATCACCAGATTGGTTCCGTGGGAGCATAAGCCTCTGAATTTGAGGTTCAGGTCACATTTCTTGGCATGATCTTCCAGTTTTATGTGCTAGCAGCAAGCAAGTGGGTTGTTAGAGTACTAGGACTGAAGTGGGCTAAAATAAAATTGGATTATGAAAGATATTCCAATGGTCAATGACACTTATACATTTTCATGAAATAAAACAAACAACTTTCTCCTTTGAATTGAGGTAGAATCATTTCAACATCCACTCTCATGATCCATCCATGCATGAAGATGTCAATTTTTTTCATATTCCACAAGACACTCACTCTCTTATCATTGGCAAATTCAGAGAGTGTTTACTAAAAGCTATGTCTATTAGGGAGGCAGTGAGGGTGTTGAGGGATTCTGGTAATAGTAATGATGTTATTATCACAGCTCAACTGAGCCTCAGAGTGACTTTCCTGATGTTCACAATTGGTCAAGAGTAAAGATAGAGTTTGAATCCAATTCTTTTGATATCAGGCCTCCTAACTTTGAATCCAATTTTCTGTCCTCTATGGAACTGTTGGTGCCTGCATATAGAGTATTCAATAAAGGTTTGCTGAACTAGATTGAATAAAACTGAAGGCCAAAGGGAGTTTTAGCCCTGCCTTTCCAATGAAGGCAATTTCCTATTGACCAGACTCTCACCTTTCTGTTCTGCCTCTGAGTTCATTTGATAAGAGACTTGATTTGGGCTTGTTTTAGCAGATAAGTTGAGTTAATATTTATTTTAGGAAAGTGGGATTAGTGAAGATAGGTAGGGAATGAATTATACATTCTCTGAGCAACTGAAGGTCATTAGGAAAACATGCAGCTGCCGGAGATTTCCGGGTAAGGCTTGCACAGTGGGGGCTGGAGGTGATTTCCAAATGTTGTGGTTTCTATTTATTGGAGTTACTTTGGAAGTGGTGAGCTGGGACAATTACGCTGTTAATTCAGATAAAAGGGAACTTTTTAATAGAGAGAGTGACAAATCACTATGTAAATATGGAGAACGCAGCTTCCAAGACTGGCAGACAGTGCAAGGTATGGGGACGTGAGAATCATAGGATTTGAGTGTTTTGCTGACTCTGTATGAGTCAGAAACCAAAAGAGGGGCATGAAGTGAGAGAACCAACTCAACTAGCAAAAGAGACCCGGCAAGGGGAGCCATTCTAATGCAGAATCCAAAAAGTGTATACAACTCAGGGAGCATTTAGAATAATGTTAGCACTAGAAATTTTTGTTTTGTTTTGTTTGAGAAGCAAAAAATATTGTGTAGACAGAAACTAAAGGTTGTTATTAGGCAATAATAATAGCTAGTAGATCATTCTTTATCCTCACATCTCATGTGCCAGGCACTGTGCTATGTACTTTGCATTAATCTGCACGTTAAATCTTCACAGCAGGCTGGGCATGGTGGCTCATGCCTGTAATCTCAGCACTTTGGGAGTCCGAGGCAGGCGGATCAAAAGGTTAAGAGATCGAGACCATCCTGGCCAACATGGTGAAACCCTGTCTCTACTAAAAATACAAAAATTAGCTGGGCGTGGTGGCACATGCCTGTAGTCCCAGCTACTCAGAGACTGAGGCAGGAGAATCGCTTGAATCTGGTCGGCGGAGGTTGTGGTGAGCTGAGATCGCACCACTGCACTCCAGCCTGGAGACAGAGTGAGACTCCACTATGTCTCAAGAAAAAAAAAAAAAAATTCTCACAGCAGCCGTATAGACTAGACACAATCAGAAAATGTACAGATGGGAAAAACATTCTAAAAATTTGATTTCTTTGCTCACATTCGTAAGCCCCAAGTGAAGAGCCAGAATGCAAACTCAGGCCCAGTTGATGTCAATTATTTTTGTGTTTGTCATGTAGAAGAGCACTTCACAGCACGCGGTGTGCCTCTTTGGAAAGGAAAACCAGAGAGGAAGCATGAGTCTTGTTTTGAGTGTCCCACAGGGAAATGAATTTGAAACACTACAGTTCTGGGGTTTTACGGTTTCTAGAGTCCTTTTCTGTGACAGGGAAATCTTCATTTTTGTGCGAAGAAATATCCAGCCCTTATCAGCTGATTTGGCTGAGATTTAGAAACTTTTCTTTATCTGTTTAAGATTGATGCAGAAACAGAGCAAATGTGAACAGGTGAGCAGCGTTGACCAGATGTTCCAGTGAGAGAGCTAGTGACAACAAAGGGAGGATAAAGCTGGTGTGGGTGCTGTACATAGTCCACTTGACAAATGTTTGTTGAGTGCCTGCCATTTTCTAGGCAATGTCTTAGGCACCAGAACACAACCCATGCAGCAGGGAACTTAGCCACAGTGTAAAAGGAGTAGAAGCTTTGGTGGTAGGCAAGTCCCAGCACAGTCACTAACCAGCTAAGTGGCTTTTGGGCATATGACTTAGCCCCTCCAAGCCTCCATTTTCTCATCTCAGAGAGACATGATGAAGCCCAGCTCTGCGGGTCACTGTGAAGAATAATGTACATAAAATGCCTGGCCCATAGTAGACACACAATTAAACAGTAATAATAACCCTATTAATTGTTAAGGGTTTAATTCCTCTTAGAAAGTTCATGCCCAGTTTCTTCACAGGGCAACACAATGCCAACTTCCTCTAAGTCCTTGCAAGTTTTCTACAGAATCTAGATGTTTCACCGTGTTTCCTGGAGGATGCTAAGTATCAGTGGATTCCCAGGATGTTAAATTCTACATTCCTGAACTCTACACACCTTCTACCCTCCTCTTTCCTCCCACATGGTATGGTTGATGTGATGGTTAATTCTGTTTGTCAACATGGCTGGGTCACAGGGTACTCAGATGTTTGGTCAAACGTTGTTCTTGATGTGCATGTGGGAGATTCTGAATGGAATACTACACTGGAATTCATAGGCTGAGTAAAGCACATTGTCCTTCTTAATGGGTACAGGCCCTCAGCTAATTAGTTGAAGACCTGATTAGAACAAAAATCCTCACCTTCCTAAGAGTATGAGGGAATTCCTTCTGACTGACTGCCTTGAGCTGGGACATGTTGTTTGCCTCCCTTCAGACTTGAACTGAAACACTGGCTCTTTCTGGGTCTTGACTCCACTGGCTTTCAGACTGGAACTTACACCATTGGGTTATCAGGCCATTAAACTTACACTGGAACTGCACCATAGGCTCCTCTAGTTTTCCATCTTGCCAACTACATATTTGGAACTTGTCACCATCTGTAATTGTGTGAGTCAATTCCTTATAATACACACACACACACAAACAGACACACACACACACACACACACACACACATCCTACTAGTTCTGTCTTCCTGGAGAACTCCGACTTAAACAAATGAGGGTACTGAAAAACAGAGACGGAAGTTTCCCAAAGTTATGCTAGTGCCCAAGGAAGAAGAAAGGATAGTTCTTGGTTCTCAGTTCAGAGCTGCTTCTGTGTAATTCTTCCTGCTGCCTCGCATGATAAATACTACTTCATAATTAAAGAGGAAAGGAAGCAGATTAGATATCTCCTTTACAAAACAACATGAAACCTAAATTTGGCAGCCATAACCCTACCAAAGACAGGCCCTGCGAATATCCAAGACAGGGAAGTGGCCTACCCTGTACTCAACACATACTGTGTACCCTGCATGCTCACCTATATCTCTTTTAATCCACACGAAAAATATACTCTTGTCCCCATTTTTAAATGAGGACATTGGAACTCAGAAGATAAGATAATCAAGGCCACAGACCTGGTAAGTTATAAGGGCCACTTCTGCCTGAATCCAGAGCTCATATTCTCTCCGTGATGACAAACTGACTCTTTAACACTGGGCCAAGGCATGGATAAGGCAGACTCCAAAGTTTCTTCCTCAAATTCCTAGAAGGAGAGAGCTTAAGAAGCCTGAGGATATATGAGACAGCTGGGTTCTGTGTATGACCCTGATTTGGAGCTCCCAGCTCCTGTCTGTCCCTCATTATCATTAGCCACATATGTCTGCAAGTTACACATGAGTCTGGGAAGATGCCGGGACCTGGCGAGCAATGCTTGTTTTATAGCCAAGCACATCTGCTTCCTGCAGCCTTCCAAACCCTTTAGCTACTGACTGCTGGGCTGGTGAATTATCTCCCTTCAGACCTGGGAGGGAGCTGCCTGCATCTCCTTTCCAGGGAAGAAAGATCTCTTCTCTCTCTCTCCCCCTACTTGTCGATCCCCTCCTTGTTTCTTCCTCTCTCCTTCTCTCCTTCCCTTTCCTCTTTTAGTTTAGACTTTGTTCTCATTTTATAAAGATAAAAACCATAAACATGCTGTTTTGAATGCTTTTTGCTGAAACTTGTATACCAGGCTCATTTTATTCAAAAGTCCTATGTCTCTCTCTGACCTCCATGTTTTACCCTAAATTTGGTACCCACTTTCCTTTGCTGCTTTTTATTCCTGCAGAATTTTTACCAGATCCTAAGCACTAGTGTGTGTTCTGACTATGCTCTGTTGTTTGTCACACAAATAGGATTTCACTTTGAACATTGTTTTAATCTGATGAATGTCCAGGCGGTTTGTCATGCAAACAAGATCTAATTGGCAGAATATCTTTTTTCTTAGCCAATTCTGGTAAATTACCACATTCCCACAGTCACTCTAGTAACTTAGCCGTATTATGGTTCAGGATTTGGGGGAATTAAAAGCACTTAGATTATAATTACTAAATTTGTATGACATAACATTTTCACACACCCATATGAATATGTCTTTTTCATGGAATTTTAAATGATAAAAAATAGAAATCTGTGGGGGTATTTTTTATATATATACATATATATACACACATATATATACACATATATACACATACATATATTTATATAAACAGATTCCATATATACAAAGTACATCTATGCAATTTTTTTTTTTTTGAGACAGGGTCTTGTTTTGTCATGCAGGCTTGAGTACAGTGGTGCAATCATGGCTCAATGCAACCTCCGTCTTCCGGGCTCAAGGGGTCCTCCCTTCCAAGCCTCCCGAGTAGCTGGGACTACAGGTGCACACCACCAGGCCTGGCTAATTTTTGTATTTTTTGTAGAGATGGGTTTTTGCCATGTTGCCCAGATTTGTCTTGAACCCTTGGCTCAAGTGATCTGCCTGCCTTGGTCTCCCATAGTGCTGGGATTACAGGCATGAACCTCCGTGCCTGGCCTATGCTCATTTTTCAGTGCTATGCACCTGCAAGTCCTTTTGTTCTTATTCATATTCATGAAAATAATAATATTTTTGTTTATAAAGAGCCAGGGAGAAAGAAATTTAGTTCCTAGTGCCAGGTTTCCGATGCTGAGAGCAAGATCAATAGTAAAGGTCTGGGTTTTTTAGGATGCTCTTAGCCTGGATGATAAGGTTTAAGATGCTAAGATGTAACACCTTAACAGTCCCTGAACGGAGGTAATATATGGTCTAGAGGAGCAGTAGAAATAAAGACATGCTGAGGAAGCAGGAGATCAACTCAGGGGAGGAGAGGGGCACCTCATTATCTCAGGATAATTCATACAGGAAAAGGTTATTTAAAGGGAACCCACAAAAATGGAGATACCTATTTAGAAAAAATAGTAAAAGCAAGTTTGACTGAGAAAATGCATGATAAATCAAACTAACGATTATAAGTTTATCTTATCTTATTTAAAAATGTAAGTTGCAAATGCAATCATGATCTAATTCTTAGAATAAGCAAAGAACGGATCAAGCAGACTTTACTGTTTTGAAGGTGAGTAAATAATTTTTGTTATACACATATGAGATCAGGATAAAATGTCCTTCATTTTCCAACATTACCTTAAGCATCACCTTAAAGAAAGTACTGTTTTCAAAAGTACTTAGTACTTCACCCATTTTTTGAAGGTCTCTTCTTAATCTTTTAACAGTCACATTATGCTCCCTGGAGATACTTTTAGGTTATCTTTGTAGTTTGTCTCTTCCTCAATTATTGTCTGGTTTAACTCTTCCATCTTCTTATCAGTCAATGATTTTATGAGAACTGGGGCCTTCTCCAAGATCATTTTTATTACTTTCATCAATTTTATGAAATCTCTTGTAAAATTCTCAATTCTTTTACAATTACTTTGTATTATATTCCTCAAGTTATAAATATCATCTCTAAACAACAGATACATTTATAACACCTGGCAATCATTGACAGTCTAACCAATAAGATCTTGATACAATAGGTCAGGAAACATGCTAATGTTAGAAGAAAGGTGTATGTGAGGAGTTACTCACTTTATATATGATTACTTCATTAATGAATTTTAAAAATTAATTTGACTTTTGGTTTCATAGAAATTGCATGACTGGGGAAACAAGTACAGGGAGAATTGAATAAAATATGACTTTTTTTGTCAAATATCATTTCTAAGAGTTACATTATAGACTGGAAGCAAGAGGGAGGTGTTCAAGATTCAGAGATACAGGAAATGGACCGGAAAGCAGAAAAACAGATAAATGGCTTATTCCGCATTGCCTGAATGACACTTAGACTTTCTGAAGTTTGTTCCTTCTGGGGGCTGATGTAGAGGGGACGGACATTTTGAGTTATAATAATGTGGTAGATCAAGTTCCTAGGGAAATGCAGTAGGTAAAGATTAGTGACGCAGGCCCATCAGAAGCCTCAGCCCACCCTCTGGGGAGCGCTAAGACTGGATGATCCTTCAGCATTGTCTCGAGTTAAGAATCAGAAATCCAAGTCTAGTTTCTATCCTTACATTGAGCAGTTATCAAGTGCAGACAGTCCAAGGAAGAGGATGTGAGTTTGGGCAGAAGCTGTATTTAGTGAAGGCAATCTCTATAGGATGCTGATGTGTGAGGCTATCCATTGGATTACCTCTCAGAGCTCAGGATAAAAATAATGATAATAAACATATTTATTGAAAGCTTACTATGCATACGTGTAGTCACTATTCAAGGTACTTTACCTGAAGTTTTCAAAAATTGTTATAGCAAACTTATAAGAAAGCTTCAATTATTATCCCTACTTTAAAGATGAAAAAAGTTGCAGTTTCATTAATAAGTGGAAGAACACTAATTTTACTGTTTATAGTCCAATGTTCTGTCCATTCACCACCAATTATCAACCAGTCCTTCTTACCAAAGCCAACTACACAACCTACTCTTCTTCAAGTCACAAGTCTTCTAACATAGCATTGCCACTACCTTCCTTTTCTTTTATTAGGTATGCCTTTTACAGCACATTTCACTTTTATTATTTCTTATAAGGAAGAAATAACTATTGTCCCACATTACAGAGGAGAAGAATAAATATATATTCACTCATTTACTACATCAAAAAGTAGCTAATCAGCATTATTGTATTTTAGAAACGGTACAAGGTTGGGGGAAGTCAGTAATAAATAAGACGACAGACGTTAGGTGACTTTCCCCTAAAGTCATAGACTTAGTAATGGGCAAAATCAGGGCTGACACCGGGACCATCTGATTCCAGAATCTTTGTCCTACATGACCTGAATCTTGGGACTTTATTATAACCTTCTCTCGCCTGAATACAAAGGGAGAGAAAATGTTTCATACAAATTTCCTTAGGCCCCCCCATTCCTACACTGAAGGCCCTAAAGGAGAGGTGACTCTCTCATCAACTTTCCTGACTTAATGCTTATCTTCTTACTTCAATGCTTAACACATTTCCACTTGATGCTTTTAATGGCCAGCCAAAACAAACACAACAATCAAAGGCCAACTGAAAATTATCTTGTTTATAATCAGCCTAAAATACTATGATTTGGATTTTGGCTAGACAATTTCAGTGCAACACCTGCTCCCAGGCAGGAGAGCAGACCAAAATATCTTTAGTAGTTCTGTCCCACCCTGTGTGGGTGTTCTTTCCTTCAGAAAGTAAAGGACTCACTGAAATGGAAAAAATCCCAAGGCTGAATATAGGTGATACAGGTTTATAAAGAACCTGAAGCAAGTTAATACAGAATTGCTATCTAAAGAATGGATTTGCATGGGTAATTTCTGTTCAAGGGGATTCCCAAAAAGTGAGTGCTTTTCTTCTTTCCTTTTTGAGGTTTTTGGTTTTCTTTTCTTTTCTTTTTTTTTTTTTTGGTTTGTGTAAGTTGTTCTACAAGTAGCTTCCTTAATCTCTGTGAATATATTTTAGTTATGACAGTGGTATAAATCTTTCTTCCTAAACCATCTGAGCTCAATATATAAAAAACTGTCAATACTTGCATAGCAAATGCAAGAATATAGACATCCTGGGTCGGGAAGAAAGGAAATAACCACTAATCCAATACATTGTATAATTGTGATTCTATCACCATTTATGAATGCCTTGTTTTAATGCCTTATATCAATTCCTTTCATATACATCATATACATCTAAAATAATCATAGAAAGGATGAGTTCTACCATTTATTTTTATTGGGTTCCACTGTGTTCCAAAAGCTGTGCAAAGTATCTTATATACATTATTTGCTCTTTTCAATCTAAAATCAAGTCCATGTTGCTTAAGAACACTGAGATTTTAGAAGCAGAACCAGAATTCGAATACAGGTGTGTGTGTGTGTGTGTGTGTGTGTGTGTGTGTGTGACTGAAGATTGCTATTTTCGGCTGGGCATAGTAACTCACGTCTGTAATCCAGCACTTTGGGAGGCCGAGGCAGTTGGATCGCCTGAGGTCTGGAGTTTGAGCCCAGCCCGGCCAACATGGAGAAACCCTGTCTCTAATAAAAATACAAAAAAAGTAGCCAGGCATGGTGGCAGACGCCTGTAATCCCAGCTACTTGGGAGGCCGAGGCAGAAGAATCACTTGAACCCTGGAGGCAGTGGCTTCAGTGAACTGAGATTGCGCCACTGCACTCCAACCTGGGCAACAAGAGCAAAACTCTGTCTCGAAAAAAAAAAAAAAGATTGCTATTTTCCTTGATCACACTGGCTTTCCATAATCCTTGTAAGTATACAGATAGCTGAAGCATTACTATTAATATATGTGTCTTCATATATAGACCTTCTTGAGCCTGGAAGAGGGTTGTCAAAGACTCGTTGGCTTCTCAAACTCATACCATTACCAGGCATTGAACTTGGTTCTGTAAGAATGAAGGGGTAAAGCAAATATAGATTCTACCTGAAAGGGATTCATAATTCATAAGGAAATAGTAGTTTACCATTTACAGTGCTATAGTTTAGATTGCTAAATGTCATCATCCCAACCACCTGGCGAGGCAGAAAATAGTACGAATTGATTAATCTATTTCGAAGTTCCAGTTTCTTCATCTCTAAAATGGATTTCCATTTGATATAGTATCTGATACAGGATTTCCAAGTGTTATAGTAAATTAAATAAGTTATTTCTTGACAATGTAATCTCATGCATATTTGCAAAAATTATTATCGCGAAGTTAAAATTACAAAGAAAAGGTATAGCTGAAGTGCTAGTTGGGTTGAAGGAAAGTTAGGAAAGGAAAGGATGAAGGTACCATATAAAATTGTATTACATGTCTTCTATGTTTAAAACATTTATTCTGGCTTTGCAGAGAGAAAAAAGGCAAAGAGAAGTAAATTGTTTTGCTCAAGATTCCACAGTTAGTCAGTGATATAGCAAGGAATGAAATTCAAGCCTTTTAAATCCTCAATCCTGGGTTCATTCTACCACATCACATGTCTATCCCCAGAAAAGGGTATCTATTGGAAGAAGAGGTTATTTCTGAGACTCAGCAAGTATTGCAGTGTCAGCTCTTAGGATAAAGACTAAATTTCTCTTTTCTTTGTAAATGCGTGTCATCATGCAGATCGACGACAAGCACTAGTGAATATCAAGGGATTGGCATTCTGTAATTATAGAAGCTTTGGTCCTTTTTTGGTTCTGCTAATATTAACAATTGGATCAGACTCTATGGAATAGAATAGAATTGATAGAATAGACTCTATAGAATAGAATATTTTCTCTAGACTAGAAAATAAAGACAACTCTCCTAGCAGAGATGCTATATATTTTCTTGCTGAATATAAACAAAGAAAAATCACTTTCATTCAGGAAATCAGTGTTTGCCAGACAAAAGCTTTAATACAAATCAAAGAATACGTTTATTTATAGGTAAAAATGGAATGTTCACAAAAGTGAAGCATGGAAGTTGTAGTAGCCTCAAATTCTACTTAATGGATATTTCTTTCTTGTTTTTGAGCCCATGGCATAACAGAACTTCTGATGCTTTTGCAATTAGGTGAGGCTGTGTGAATATTTCTAACCAGAAGATTGTGAGAAAATGTGATAAGAGACAAACTCTTAATCACTAGATTGAGACTCTACAGTTCGCTCATTCTCTGTGGTATGTTTACTGCCAATGTTTGAGACAGTGGCTGCTCCATCAGGCCAGGTTTCTGAGTGGCAGAAAAAGCCACTTTTCAATGTGAAAATTCCCCACCTTTTCCCATCTCTCTGCTGACCTGCTTAGACATGTAACATGAATAAAAACTATGTGCTTGTTATTTTAAGCATTGAGATTGTAGAGCCATTTTTTCTTGCAATCTATCTTAATCTCCTAATATTAAAGTAGTCCTGGAATATACTCAGGGCAAATGTTGGTATTCTTTCCCACAGTCCTCTTTAACATCAGACTTTCTTGTGAATTCTTTGTTTTTTAATTACACTTTTTCTGGGATACATGTGCAGAATGTGCAGGTTTGTTATATAGGTATACATGTGCCATGGTGGTTTGCTGCACCAAACAACCCGTCACCTACATTAGGTATTTGTCCTAATGCTACCCCTCCCCTAGCCTCCAACCCCCCAACAGGCCCTGGTGTGTGATGTTCCCTTCCCTGTGTCCATGCGTACTCATTATTCAACTCCCACTTATGAGTGAGAACATGCAGTGTTTGGTTTTCTGTTCCTGTGGTAGTTTGCTGAGAATGATGGTTTTCAGCTTCATCCATGTCCCTACAAAGGATATGAGCTCATCCTTTTTTATGACTGCATAGTATTCTATGGTGTATATGTGCCACATTTTCTTTATCCAATCTATCGTTGATGGGCATTTGGGTTGGTTCCAAGTCTTTGCTATTGTGAACAGCGCTGCAATAAACATACGTGTACATGTGTCTTTATAGTAGAATGATTTATAATCCTTTGGGTATATACCCAGTAATGAGATTGCTGGATCAAATGGTATTTCTGGTTCTAGATCATTGAGGAATTGCCACACTGTCTTCCACGATGGTTGAACTAATTTATATTCCCACCAACAGTGTAAAAGCATTCCTATTTCTCCACATTCTCTCTGCTTCTTGAACTCTCAAATAGCAATCTTTGCAGCTGAAGAATAGCCTCTATTTTTTTCTTAGATAGACTTTATATCTATCTAACATCTTGGCTCTTTAGGTGGGGAAGACAAATAATTCAAAGCCATTTCCTGAAGTTTCTCTTTCCTTCACTTCTAAACACAGTCAGATTTCAAATTCTGCCTGTTGCATGTCATACATCACCCACTGGCACATCTTATTTTGTTCATCACATCAGACATTTCATTAATTTATGCATTAGTCATGACAGTACTCGCTAAATATTCTTTCTACCTGTAGTACCTCTGCTAATATTAGTCTCTTCACCAATGTAGTTGTGATGCAAAATTGGCAATTAGTATCAGATGGACTGTAGGATACACATATATATGTGCTTGTGTCTGGGTATGTTTATTTTATATATTTATTTCTCTGCAAATTCTTATACATTTTTATGTTAACTAACTAATGGTATGCATTTCTTTGTTTATTTTATTTTATTTTATTTTTTGAGATAGGCTCTGTCTCTGTCACCAAGGCTGGGGTGCATTGGCACAAACTCAGCTCATTGCAACATCTGCCTCACAGGCTCAAGCTATCCTCCCACCTCAACCTCCTGAGTAGTTGGGACTACAGGTGCACACCATCACACCCGGCCAATTTTTGTGTATATATATATATATATATATATATATTTTTTTTTTCTTGTTGAGATGAGGTTTCACCACATTGTCCAGGTTGGTCTCAAACTCCTGGGCTCAAGCAATTCACCAGCCTCAGCCTCCCAAAGTGCTGAGATTACAGGCATGAACCACCACACCCAGCCATTGGTATGCATTTAATTCCATATGTAGGATCTCTCATGTGTCTAAGGTCACAATGAAGTATTTTATGTGTGCATGTATGAAAGACCTGAGGAGTTTCAGACAGATGATACAAGACTATTCAGATAGACTATTCAGATAATCTGGCATGTGAATAAAACTGAATAAAAATTCTGATACCCAGAATAAATGAACCTAGAAAACTGAAGACTATATAGGACTCTGCCTGCACAAGAGGCATTTCCACTTGAATTGATAATCTCTGCCTTTGAAAAGTGAACAACTTCATTAGTTGTTCTGTGAAAAAAGGAAAAGAAGGAAAACATCTGAAAAAGCTTTCCCATAATGCACGGAAGTAACTAATTCTGTCTTATTTTTTATTCTGTATTATCAAACATTCCCTTGCCTGTGGTTTTCTAAAGCTATTACTGTTAGATACTTCATGTTCAAATATATGTTGATTACATTATGCTATGCAGTTAACCTCAATTCATTGATTACTGTTCTATTGGGAAATTGTCTGAAAAAGAATTCTACTTGGTTTCAATGTAATGTGTCACAGTGAAAAAAACAGTCAGAATATCAGGGCATAGAATCTCATGAAGTTTATCCTGCCTGACCATAGATAAAAGAATGCATGTCTGCTATTATATCCTGCTCAGTCTAGAAGTTAGTGGCTTAGACACTTCCAGAAGTGGGGCTCCAACTGCCTAAAATAGCAAGATACTTCCTTATTGGTGAGCTCTGATGATAGGGTTGGTGATAGCTCAAAGCCCATGGGCATCAGTCAGTGGAATTACTACAAACTCCAGACTTACAGATATTGTTGAGTAACTTGTTTATTCTATATTGGGTTTTCCTTAGAAGCATAATAAATCATGATACACTGATCTTACATTCACTTTTTGATATGTGTGAAAATAGACTACCAAATGATGGTTTTATATGATTTAAAACCAATCATTCAGAATTGAGAGGAATAGTTACTTAAAACAAAAACCATCTCCAAGCAATTCAACTTAAGAAAAAAATCAACATTCAAGAGAACATTATTTTTTGTCTCATAAATAAATACCTCATAAATAGATACCTCATAAATAAAGAGAAAAAATTTTGTCATAAACAACTGCTAAGTCTATGCAAGTAAATCTCAAAAATATACTATCTGTGCATCAACTACATAGCTGTTAACAAAACAGAAGTAATATCAACTAGTTATTGAAAAGCTAGATTCAGAGCCCTTCTGAAAAATGAAATCCTGGGTTAATGACTCATATGAGAAGCAATTCTTCAAAAAGAAGCCTTGGCAAGCTTCAGGATTTGAAAATAACTTTTCTTAGATCAAAGAGAGCAATACGCAAGACTAATGTTAAACTAAAAAAAAAAAAAAAAAAAAAACCACATGCACAAAATAATCACTTGCCTAAAGCAAAATACCTGAATTTTTTCCTAATGTTATCTTTTCACTACCATTTATCTGCAGACAATTTCAGACAGGCAATTTATTGGAATGCACAATCACATGTATAAATAGCTGTCACACACACACACACACACACACACACACCACACACATTTTGATTCTTCCTGTCTTGACTTTTTATTTTGACATATATTTTTTAAAAATTTATATTTATTATTATATGCCATATTTTATTGTATCCATTATTATAAACTTCTTCAATTTAACCTTTTTAAAAATAATTTTGGTTTTCCTGTTCAATTTTTATGTACATGAACTCAGTCTTTTTGTGCATAGAATGTACACAGGCACACTTTTAAAAGGATATGTACATGTAGATTCAGCCCTCAATAATTTATAATAATTTTTCTTTATACTTTGAATGCCTTTTTATATCTTGGTATTCATTTCCTAATTTTTGCACTTTTTCCTAACATCACTTGTAAATTATCAGTTATAAAAATGCTGGTTACAAATAGAAACCATCAGGAGACCTCAGACAGTAATTCCCTTTACTGGGCCATATAGGCATCTTGAGACCAAAATCACTTTTTAAATAACCTGATTGTGTTTTTTGACTTAAGTTGTGCTTGAAATTTTTGAACACTTATTTTTCTTCATTCACAAATAGAAATAGTGGTAATGCCGAGCTCATAATTTCACAATTTTAATCAGGTGGCTGAAAGACTAAACTTTCAAATATTGGTTATCATAATCATTGTTACCATAATCCTCATTCTCTTGATACTCATCCACCAACTCCTTCTTGTCCTCTTCAGTATCATTTATACATCATTAGCTCCTTCGTTTTATTCAGGCTCTTGGTTACACACACACACACATGCACACACTCCCACTCACGCACACACAGAATAAACATGCTTTATCAAAGAAGCCTTTCCTAGTCATTGCAGCAAAGCATTTGTCATGCATGGAAGCTTACTGGCCTATTACTATTACTATGGTTTATTATTTTCATAATATTTTTTACTATCTAAAATTAGTTCATTAATTTATTTTTTTCCATTTACACTAAGATTTTGTACCACTCTTGACTAAAAATCTGGCTTTATGAAGGCAAGTACTTTTACTATTCTGTTCACTGTCACAGTGCCTAGAAAAGTTCTAGCAAATGTTTGCTGAGTGAATGTGTGCTGACTTGAAATCCATATCTTCTAATACCATGGTCCATGCTTTCTCCTAGTGTACAATATTCTATAATTGTCTGCTATAATTACATGGACTAAATAAGAACTATGACAGTGACATTATCAAAAATAAAATAAATAATTCTTGCTGGTACATTTCATGATAACTTTTTGACTGGGTCTTTGAAAATGACCAGAGTTTTATCTAGGCAAAAACAAAAAACAAACAAACAAAAAACAAAAAAAGAGACATCCTGAGCAGAGAAAATAGCATCAGCAAAAACCTGGAAACATAAAAAGCATGGCATGTTTTTGTAACAGTAAGTGGACTACAATAGTTTTATGAGAGTAGTGAGTTATAAGAAGGAAAATATTAATCTTGGTAAAATAAATATGGAGTTTATCTTTATTGTAAAGAATGTAGCCCATATCCAATAGAGAGGTAATTTTATATATTTGGAAAGGCCTAGCAGAAAACAATTTCAACAGAAACAGGACTTCAGTATGACCTCTAGCTTTTTTGACAGTTAATGATAATAGATGTTAAAAGCACATGAAGGAAAGAGACAATTTATTGCTAATAACTCTCACATTAGTATCAGACACAGGATAAAGAAAGAAAGGTGGGGTCTCCTATATTTTCCCCCCAACACAATAAATTATAGATTTAAAAGGAATTATAATAGTCAAGAGTTTAATAAAACCATCATACTAATACAAATTAATAAGGTATATTTCAAAATATAAGTCATAATTTAATTCTCAAAAAGAAAAATGCAACATTTAAAAAGTAAATATTTCTTTGTCAAAAAAAAAACTATTTTCATTGGTGATGTAACTTCAGTCTCGGCATGGTGAAAAGTTGTTTTTCTAAAACACTAGCACAGTCCTTATGTCCTTGTCTTACAGATTGCTTATTCTATGTTACTTTGAAATTCTAACAATATTATATTTTGGTTCCTGTCTTGGTAATTTTGGATTTCATAATGATGCTCAAATAATGATCTTTTAAAAAATACTTGTTTCCCTCAATATTGTAGAGCTATATAGATATCACCAACAACCTCTACCCATTTTCTTTATTTAGAGTTTCCTCTCTTGCCTGCATTTATGATTTCCCCACGTATCTGGTTAGGAAAATCAGGGAGAAACTGGATGGACTAACTTCCCCAAGATTAAGAAACGTGTCAGCACCGTGGACAGCACCACGGAGCGCACCAGTGCCACAGCTTCTCATTGTGTTAGACCAATTCCCTTCTCTCTCCTTCTTCCTTTCCCTCTGCTCAGTGTTATTTATCTTTTCGCAGAAATTCTAAGTATTTACTCCCCCCAGCTTTCTTCATTGAAACCACAAAATATAATTTAATTTCATGTCATATCAATTTAACTGCCCGTTTGGTTTTATTTTTTATTTTATAATTTTAAGCACTTAGTTGGTTTGGATCATGACTCATAAGATAAACATGCATAACACTTGACAGAAAATTCTAAACAAGTGGACTTTAATTCACCTAATAGACATCATTGAGCCCTTAACTTGTGGTACATTCTAAGGATAGATACTAAGGAAAGAGAGAGAGAAAGAGAGAGGATAGAGGGAGAGAGAGAATCTCCACTGACATCAGGGACCCTTATTATAAAGAGAAGATCAACATGTGCAGAACAGTCTATCACACTGAGTAATCTGTGATTAGTGCTACATTAGAAAATCATTAAAGTAAATATAAATCATTTACAATTATATATTATTTAAAAATTGGTAGATTATTTCCACATGTACTTAAAACTCATTTTAATTCTTCATAACAGCTCTGTAAGATTGACATTCTAGATAATATAGACTATTTTACAAATAAAGGAAGTTAACAGTAAAATTAAGTAACTTTCCTCAGGTCCAAGAGTTAGTAAATAAAAGATTTATTCTTTAAATATAGGTTTTACTATCAGTATTTCCCACTGTCTTCTTTTTTATTAAACTTTTCCCCTATAATATTTTATTCATATTTTAACTTCAAATTTATGCTGTTTATTTTATCATAAGCAGTATGCCTGCTCTTTACTAAGAACATATAAAGAGTGCTGGTGTTGGTTTGGGAACATTGGTGTAATAAAACCTATATAAACACACAAATAACAACAACAAAAAGTTTATCTTATCTTTTGAGACCATACATACTTACATTGAACACACACTTAATGAGGGTCCACAATGTGCCAGGCACTATGATAAGCACTAAGAACACTGACTTGAGTTAGGTAGAGATCCTCATCTTTAAGAGCTCAAATTAATATGAGGACACAATGTATATTGTCAATCTAGTATTATAGAAGTATCCACAGGAGGTCCCTAAGGAAAGATACAGCAGGGGCTCCAATTCCGCACAGATGGCACTGTGAACTTCTATGACTCTAAAAGGGAATAACTTCTTAAATTTTGTGTCCTAAGAGTCTTATATACCTCACCCTAGTTGCAATTCTAGTGGCAGAGGTTCCAATTCTGTTATATTGCCACCAGGGATGTAAATGTTAGGCATCAGCAGCAGTATTCAAAAAATGGTAGCTTAGAGGTGAGAGGGGTAGAATAAATAATGCAATACCTTAGGTTATGCATAGATAAACATATTGGTAATCCAAACTTCATTTTCCTATTACTTAGTCTAATTTCCTTGTCTTTTCCCTCAACCCCTTGAATAGTGCTCCTTTTTCTATGAGAGACCCACATATTTTTACCAAATATTCTGTCTTTATTGGGTTGCCATAATCTTTCATTGACCAGGACTATTGGCAAGAGAGTATTGTTACTGTAATAATTTCCCTGTGTTCCAACCATATTTCTTATTTTCTCCATTGACTAGAAGCAACTAAATTTCTCTCCAGTAAATGAAATCAAGCTTATGTTAAGCACTTTTTATGTTTGTCAGTTCAGTGGCATGAGGAGCCCAAATGTCCAGGGTATTTACTTGGCTTCTAAGTTAATAGAAACTTGGCTATGACCCCTAAGGGAAACATTCCTTTCTTAAGAAATTCAGTCACTGAAATTCAAAAGTTCCCTGAGTTATTGAGTGTAATACAGTAAGAATGGCCCGCTTTACTTCCATTACTTGGTTCCCAGGCCTCTATATTTTGATCTTGGGGAAAATAACACCACATGACAGTTATTGGTTTAAATCAAATATTATATTATGTAAGATAGCATTTATACTGGAAGGTGTTTTCTTACATGTCATTCTATGAATAAGCTTTAAATAGTATCCTTGACAACAGGGAAGGAGGCTATGCATAAGCTTCAGTTTTTGTTAGGTCAAATGTTTATGGTTAAAGAATTAGATACTATAAGACAAGCAAATTGCTTAGACAAAAGCCTTCTTTTACTCATTTTTGCCATATAATGAGCTCTTTAGTTGAAAGAGATGTTATATTGGATATGCTATGGATTAAATACGTTATATCTTCGCAACATGTATATATTGAATGATGGTATTTGAAGGGGAGGCTTCAGAGGTATCTGAGTAGAAATGAGGTCATGAGGGTGTGGTTCTTATGATAAGATTAGTCTCCTTATAAGAAGAAACTTGATAGAGTTTACTTCCTTTATCTCGTCTCTGCCATGTAAGGATACAAGGAGAAGACAGTCATTTGCACACTAGAAAGAAGGTCCTCATCGGCTGGCACAGTGGCTAACACCTGTAATCCCAGCACTTTGGGAGGCTGAGGCAGGCAGATCACGAGGTCAGGAGATCGAGACCAGCCTGGTCAACATGGTGAAACCCCGTCTCTACTAAAAATACAAAAATTAGCTGGGTGTGGTGGCACGTGCCTGCAATCCCACCTACTCAGGAGGCTGAGGCAGGATAATCACTTGAAACAGGGAGTCAAGGTTGCAGTGAGCTGAGATCATGCCACTGCACTCCAGCCTGGTGACAGAGTGAGACTCTGTCTCAACAACAACAACAACAACAACAACAACAACAACAACAACAACAAAAAAGTCCTCATCAGACATCACGTCTACTAGCTCCTTAATCTTAGAATTCTGAGCCTCCAGAACTATGAGAAATAAATGTTTGTCTTTCAAGTCACCCAGTTTATGGTAATCTGTTATTACAGTCCAAGGTGATGAGAATGGCATTCTGCAAGTCCAAAAATAATGATGCTGACAGACCATGATAGGCACAAAAAATCCTTATTCAGAATAGGTATCTATTCCCAAGAATACAAATTACTAAAACCTCAATGATGGAAGGGATCCAATGTTATCAACTAGCCAATAGGTGACTGGCTGGTTATCTCAAGAAATGGTGTTTATATCTGATCTTCAATATTAGCATCCATTCTTGTCAAGATAGACATTCTGCTATGACAATATCTGGATCAGCCTTATAGCGAAGGATACTTTGTACATTGGCCTACAGAACAAATATCAATAGAGCTCGAGAAAGATGCTGACATCAACAGTATGAATTATCTTGTCCTAGTGAAAACTTTTCCACAGTAGATGTCCTCTCTGGGCATTTACATTGTATAGAATGTGTACTATATAAATCCAGGCTAAAAAATTATAGGAAAAAAACAGATGTTACTCATAATTTTGCCTACTAAGAGGATTTCCATTCCTCTTTAAGTTTATATCCACTTATATTAGATGCTTCTTATTACTCTTCTCATGGTCTCTTGGCCACAGCTATTTCTAGGACTCTTTGCCTTTCACTTTACTTAAAAACTTATAACAAATGATGTATATAGGCACAGCCTAAAATCATACAACCTCATGATGGCACTGTACTCTTCGCATCTTCTAATCTCAGGTTTCTCTGTTCCTGCTGAGGTGAGAGAGATGGCTCCGTGCCCATACAACCTGGAAGTACAAGACAATTGAAATTCTGTGCCTGTAACTTTGAGTAATGGAAGTCAATGGAGAGTGACAAAGGCTAACATCAACCAAGGCAACAGAAAATTATAGCCTCTCATCCAGCTTCGAGATAGAAGTTGGTTCACAAATCCAAAGCCAATTGATTAAAGGCAGAGGCCAGAACCCCTTAAGAAAAGACCCTGTAATGCCATCACAAATCTATAATAAATATACTTCTAATAACTTCACATAAAAACCTTTAACTGCCAGCAAAACAGTGCTGGGGGTTATTCATATTTTAGAGACTGTTGAATACAGAGTTTGCATACCAGTGTCCACATAATCTGGAAGTGTCCCCATGCTCCTGTGATTAGACTGGGAACTTATGGAGGCCAAGTCCACTTTCTATTGTGTGTAATTAATCTATAAACCTAGCTTGCTAGTTTTATTTTTTGGTATCTGAATTTATAAGAGCAATATATTTAGCAGGTAACAAAAGCCTCATGTTAGTTCACTGTTTTGTAAAGCGAGAATTAGCATGGTGTATATGCATATTGGTTCCTAATATTGATACATGACATAGCTAATGAGACAGGATACAGGATGGAATAAGAATACAAAGTTAGAGACAGAGAGTCCTAGGGAAGTGATATGTATGTGGAAAAATGGGAATATCTCCTAATATTCATTCCTAATAATGATACATGACATGGCTGATGAGACAGGAGACTGGATGGAATAAAAATATAAGATTGGAAACAATGAGTCCTAGGGAAGTGATACGTGTGTGAACAAATGGGAATATCTCATGTTGATGTTAATCAGAGAGAATTTATCATAGAAGAGATTCTCTACAACATGGTGAAAAGATTCAAGCTTTTGTTGTTTTTAAGAAATATGCATTTATCCTTGGTTCTAAATGATACCAATAAAATGTGCTAAAATTATTAAAATTTGGTTGTTTATAATACATTTTGGTCTTTAATCCATCTGGAGTTGATTTTAGCATAATGTATAAGTCAGAGATAGTTTTTTTTATGGGTACATTTTATCCAGCTGTGACTACTGAACAGACTTTTTATTCACCACTAATGTGGCACATCACTGCTGTCACATACTAAATTTTCATATATTAATAAGGATCTGTTTCTGGATCTTCCAGTTTATCCCATTGGTCATTTTTCTATTCTCTGCCTACATAAATATTAATACTATACACTCTCTTAATCTCAGCTGTATAGCAAGTACTGATGTCTTACATGTCCCCTATCCTAGTCTACCCTCTCTCTTGTGATTTTATCTGATTTTTGAATCTGTGAATCAATTTGTATTTAATTACTTCTTTAGGGTTTAATCTTCCTTAGCATTAACATGCATGTGTATCAGTTGGGTTCAATCAATAGAGAGAAATAACACAGTGAATTAAACATTACTAAAAGTTTTAAAAAAGTTTTCATTGAAAGACTCTGAAAGAAAGTGAAAATCTAAATTACCTGAGAGAAGGTAGAAATGTTTTTTACAATAACAAAGTATTCCTATCAAAATTATACAATAAGAACATAGATAACCCAATTGAAAAATGTATAAGAGACATAAAGATGCATTTCATAAAAGATAAAGCACCTGCATTTTGTATATGTTTCAAATGAACATATCTGGCACATAAGTAAAAGAGAAAGAAAATGGCTACCTTTATTAGCAAATCGATACCACAATGACATATCATTCTGCACCTATTGGATTAGCACAGTTAAAAATTACAATAAAAAGTGTTGAAGAGGATGTGGATTCACAACATCCTTTCTGATGGAAATTTAAGATAGTAGAATTGTTCTTGAAAATGGCTCAGTGTTATTTACTAAAGTTAAATTTTGTCATACTTCTGACCCAGAAAACCCACTTCTGGAGTAATACTAAAAGAGAAACCTTTACTCATGTGTAGCAAAAGACATGCAAAAGTGTTTTCCAACAGTGTTGTAATGAGTACTATGATAAATGTGATCATGATAAGCTGGTACCACAGTTGTCTATCATCAGGGGAGTGGATGAATAGACTATGGAATAGTCACACATAGAGTATTATATAAGAATCAAAGTGATAGCAATTATATTAATGAATTTTTAGTGTCATAATATAAAGAAAAAAGTAACCTTCAAAAATTACGTATTATTGGCTGGGCATGGTGGCTCAATGCCTATAATCCCAGGACTTTGGGAGGCTGAGGCTGGTAGATTGCTTGAGCTCAGGAGTTTGAGACCAGCCTGGTCAGCATGGTGAAGCCCTGTCTCTACAAAAAAATACAAAAATTACCCGGGTGCATTGGCACATGTTTGTGATTTCAGTTACTCAGGAGGCTGTGGTGGGAGGATTGCTTTAGCCTAGCAGTCAAAGCTGTAGTGAAATTTCAGAGATGGTGCCACTGCACTCCAGCTGGGTGACAGAGCAAGACCCTGTCTCAAACAAAAAACATATTACTTATAAATTTTTTAATAAATGTAAGTGTGCATGTTTTGCATTTAATGTTTAGAAATCCAGAGATGGCAGTGCATAGAAAGAAAAGCAAGGGAATGATAAATACAGTATTCTAGTATTTACAGTATTTACATCCTGTTAGTAGAAGTAGAGGTCTGAGCTGATGAATAAACTTTGCAGTGAGATGTAAGTTATTGCAAAGTTTCTAGTTTGGTTTTTCCATCTTAAGTTTCTGTTTATTATATTATTAAAAATAGCCAAATACATACCTAAATCAAATTTGCAGTAAATAAAAGAATAAGCACCAAATCTAGCATAGGAATCAGGGAAAGCTTTAAGTCATAAATGTATTCTAAGTTCACATTCACAGGATTATAATAAAATGTCATACATAGTATGGTATTTAAGAGCATAGGATCTAGCATATTCAAAGCTTAAAATTACCACCTATTACCACCTACTTACTTCGGTAAATCACCTAACTTCTCTTGGACTTAGTTATTTTATAGGTAGTATTTTCTACCATTAATGGGAATAATACCAGTGTCAAAATGTATAAGGTTGTTGAAAGGATTACATAAATTAATACTGATAAAGTACTTGGTAAATTCTCACAGTAAGATTATAGTGAATGCAAAGTCAGTGCTAAATAATTATTTTCCATTTTTTCCTTTGTTATCTCATTTAAACATCACAATAAACCTGCAAGGTAATCCCTGTTTTACTTATGACACTTATGATGGGTTAAGATAGTTTTTTCAAGGCCTCTTGGTTTAGGATTTGAACACAGGCCTATTGAACTTTAATGAATCTCTTGAATTTTTAAAATAGCTTTCTAATATGTTAATTTGTGATGATCATCAGAGCTGATTTGGCACAGGAAAGATTAAGGCTACATTCAGATGGCTTTAACTGTAGATGCAAGATAATATCTAATATTATTTTCAGCTGGGACTGTACTATTGAAAATGCCAGGGTCACACTGAACAGATTTTATATGGTTGTGACATTTGATGTAGCAGGAGTCAGCTATACTTGTCCCAAGGAAGCTCAAGATGGACGAGTAAGTTATTTCATTGATAGAGTACAGGACTAAACCTTTAAGATTTTGCTTAAATTCCCAGCACTTTTGGTTGTAAGCCATGTTGCCTGAGAACACTTTCCAAGAATTTGCAATTGGCTGAGACTTTTCTCCATGCCCTGCTGAGTTCTGAGAAACATGAATCAATAGTCAATTGTTCACAGTAATAAAATTCTACCTAAAAATGTTGTAAAATACAACTTAATGTGAAATGTTATATCTAGTAGAATGGAACCATTTTTAGATTTAATCTTTTTATTACCTATTGAACTGGGAGCACATACACACTTACACATACCTTGACTCAGAGCAGCAGAAGTCAACATTTTCCCAGTCAACAGACTTCACTTTCAACAACTAATAGAAGAAAATGCCAGATTCACTCAGTCTTGTGAGCACCAAGATGAGTTTTTATAAAACTCTGTAATATCTACTTTTTTTGAAATTAGAAAGAAAATGGCCACTGCAATGGAACAAACAAAAAGCAATTTGATTCTTTAATAGACTGGGGAGTTTTAGAATGAGGAATTTCTGACCCTTCCTCAGCCTGCAACTGTCATGCCTGATTGGATGACTCTGAATTAGGCATGCTACTCAGATGAAAATGCGTATGTGGTATTTGGAGTCTCATAGGTCATCAAAAAATCTATTGTAGATGTTAGCTTACATAGAAGTAAATTTACTTCGTAAGTGCAAAACTATAGGGAGAAAAAAGGCTTTGCAGGTTGGTTCCTGGAAAGGAACCATAGAATTCTTCTTTCCAATTTCTTCATTATGCAAAAGATGATACAGAAAGTGGGAAATTTCTCAAATTCCTGGAGTCAGTGTATGGCAGAACCAGATCTTCTGAATCAGAATACAGTGCCTCTTCCATTTCACCAAAGTGTTTGCAAAGACTATGAACTTTCATTATCTTCTATCCCTTGGGATTGCATTCTGTGTTGTCACTTCACTTCTCACTTCCTGACAAGTGCTCTACATGGAGGAAATTGTCTACAAATCCAATTGGCACCTTCAGGGATGTGGTACTCCACCCCTCTCACTCTGTGGCATCTTCAGCATGTCCTTTTTATTGACTTACTGCCTATAGTCAACATACATGTTCAGTTTTTCTTTTTCCTTAAATACAAACTTCTATGGGCTCGATTTCTTTCTTGTAAAGTTAGCATATCTCCCATGTCTTTCTTTCTTTCTTTCTTTCTTTCTTTCTTTCTTTCTTTCTTTCTTTCTTTCTTTCTTTCTTTCTTTCTTTCTTTCTTTCTTTCTTTCTTTCTTTCTTTCTTTCTTTCTTTTTTTGAGTTAGAGTTTCACTCTCTTTGCCCAGGCTGGAGTGCTATGGCGCAATCTCAGCTCACTGTAACCTCCACCTCCCAGGTTCAAGCAATTCTCCTGCCTCAGCGTCCTGAGTAGCTGGGATTACAAGCATGCGCCACGATGCCTGGCTAATTTTGTATTTTTAGTAGAGATGGGGTTTCTGCATATTGGTCAGGCTAGTCTCGAACTCCTGACCTTAGGTGATCCGCCACCTCGGCCTCCCAAAGTGTTGGGATTACAGGTGTGAGTCATTGCACCTGGCCCCCGTATCTCCCATATTTTTCACTTTCAACTACTAGAGTTTCCTCTTCCTTGGTTGCCAACCAGCTACCTGTCATTGCTTTTTGACTGTTGGACTTTCTTGTTTGTTTTTGTTTTGTTAGCCTGCTTGCTTGTTTTCCCTTCAGATTTCGAGCTATGTCAACAAGTGATTCCATTCTTCAGTAGTAATTTTCCCTCAATATTTCCAGCCTCACCTTCTTGAAAATGTTCCCTGAGCACATTCCCTCCTGCTAGGCTTGGATAGGAGCTGCCTTATCATCCACTACTGTCTCTGTGTTGTAAATGTTCTGTAATCACTTAACCACTTACCCATCTCCCCCATTGTACTGTGAATTACTTCAAGACAGGAATAGGATCTGTTTTCTTTACTATTGTATTGCCTGCAAACTCTCTGGTGCACACAGATGTGTTTTCTGAATGAACCAGTTAATTTCTTTCCCTATGGAGCAGCTGGACTGGACATTTGATAGTTATGAGGCCTTATTCATTTCTTTACTGAAGATAAGAGCGCAGCCAGGCATATTCAGCTAGATCCTTGTCATGTTGTCTTTCCTGGATCATATCTGGCCGAGCTCCTCTCCCAGATGAGGTGGGTTAAAGAAAAGGTGTTGAGTTACATATGGAATGAAGTATCTTGGACTCTGGGTTAGGATGGGTATAGCACATTGATTTCAGCAAGCTGTAGAAGTGTACTGATAGGTGATATCTTAGTGACATAATGGCTTAGAAGTCAGGTAGACTATCTAAAGAAATCCTTAACTAACAAGTGTTAAAGAGGGAAACAGAGATGAAAAGGCAATGAGGTAGAAACTAGGAATGCCATTATAGACTAAGAGTTTGAAACTGACCAATGGGAAATAGTTATCTGCCACTGCATATTTTAGAGAATCTGAAGTTCTGGGTGTGGCAGGAGAGGGTCTTCAAGTCTCTGGCAAGGTTAGATGGCTACTTTCATTCTCTCAGTTCTTGAGTATGAAAAGTAGTTCCAATAAAATATTCCATCAGCCCCAGCTCTTTGGCTAATGTTTAATTTGGTTTTTCTCCTTTAAGGGTCGCTTCTCAATTGGGAGAAGAAACATAAAAGTATAAAGAGATAACACTGGCATTGTGTAATCTTTTGTTCCTCCCAACCCCTATTCTTCAATTCTTCATTTCAGTGTCTCCTGTATTTTCACAGGAAGATAGAGGGGAGATACGTTTCCCATTCTCTAACCTGGGATAAGTCATCACTGTTCTTCAAGAGGTCTTTGGTGTCTCACAGAGTTCTTCCTTCACAAGGATAGTAAGGATCAAATAACCAACACTGCTCTTTTCAAGAGATAGAACTGTGTGTTCCATGCCTCTGCCATAGCAAAATCTGACAACTGATCTGTTTTTTTTCTCTGTTCTTTATTCATCTCTCTTGAAACAAATCTCTTATATGTATAATTTCTAAAACCAACGGACTTTTCAAAATATTCACCAAATATTGTCTCTTCACGAGTTAACATTGAAGCAGCACAGAATCTGACACATAGTAGGGATCTGAAAAGAGAGAGGCTCTTTCTTCCCTTGGCTTCCAGGACATGGAACCTATATTGAGTCTCTTCTTACTCGTCAGAGGTTTCTTTTCCATCTTTTCCTCTCATTTCAACCCCTAAATGTATGACTTAAGCCCCACCTTTACCAGTTATAAGACACGACAGAGTCTCGCTATCAGTCTTATTTCTTCTCCTTGACAAAAAGATGACTACATTTCCAGTCTTTCAATGAAATTAGTATGAGGACAGACATATGGCAAGGCTCTGGCCAATAGACTGTAGGTAAAATTATGTGGGCTTTTTATGTTTTAGCTAAAACTCCCAGCTGGATTCTTTTCTCTCTCACCCTCTTCCATGGATGACCACGTAGAACAAGTTTTTTAAAAGGTGACATCAGACAATGGAGAAACCCGAATTCCCAAGCTTTTCTTTCTTTTTTTTTCAGATTTTTCTTTTTTTTAATTTTATTATTATTATACTTTAAGTTTTAGGGTACATGTGCACAATATGCAGGTTAGTTACATATGTATACATGTGCCATGCTGGTGTGCTGCACCCATTAACTCGTCATTTAGCGTTAGGTATATCTCCTAATGCTATCCCTTCCCCCTCGCCCCACCCCACAGCAGTCCCCAGAGTGTGATGTTCCCCTTCCTGTGTCCATGTGTTCTCATTGTTCAATTCCCATCTATGAGTGAGAACATGCGGTGTTTGGTTTTTTGTTCTTGCGATCGTTTACTGAGAATGAGGATTTCCAATTTCATCCATGTCCCTACAAAGGACATGAACTCATCAATTTTTATGGCTGCATAGTATTCCATGGTGTATATTTGCCACATTTTCTTCATCCAGTCTATGATTGTTGGACATTTGGGTTGGTTCCAAGTCTTTGCTATTGTGAATAGTGCCACAATAAACATACGTGTGCATGTGTCTTTATAGCAGCATGATTTATGGTCCTTTGGGTATATACCCAGTAATGGAATGGCTGGGTCAAATGGTATTTCTAGTTCTAGATCCCTGAGGAATCGCCACACTGACTTCCACAATGGTTGAACTAGTTTACAGTCCCACCAACAGTGTAAAAGTGTTCCTATTTCTCCACATCCTCTCCAGCACCTGTTGTTTCCTGACTTTTTAATGATCGCCATTCTAACTGGTGTGAGATGGTATCTCATTGTGGTTTTGATTTGCATTTCTCTGATGGCCAGTGATGACCAGCATTTTTTCATGTGTCTTTTGGCTGCATAAATGTCTTCTTTTGAGAAGTATCTGTTCATATCCTTTGCCCACTTTTTGATGGGGTTGTTTGGTTTTTCTTGTAAATTTGTTTGAGTTCATTGTAGATTCTGGATATCAGCCCTTTGTCAGATGAGTAGGTTGTGAAAATTTTCTCCCATTTTGTAGGTTGCCTGTTCACTCTGATGGTAGTTTTTTTGCTGTGCAGAAGCTCTTCAGTTTAATTAGATCCCATTTGTCAATTTTGTCTTTTGTTGCCATTGCTTTTGGTGTTTTAGCCATGAAGTCCTTGCCCATGCCTATGTCCTGAATGGTAATGCCTAGGTTTTCTTCTAGGGTTTTTATGGTTTTAGGTCTAACGTTTAAGTCTTTAATCCATCTTGAATTAATTTTTGTTTAAGGTGTAAGGAAGGGATCCAGTTTCAGCTTTCTACATATGGCTAGCCAGTTTTCCCAGCACCATTTATTAAATAGGGAATCCTTTCCCCATTGCTTGTTTTTCTCAGGTTTGTCAAAGATCAGATAGTTGTAGATACGTGGCGTTATTTCTGAGGACTCTGTTCTGTTCCATTGATCTATATCTCTGTTTTGGTACCAGTACCATGCTGTTTTGGTTACCGTAGCCTTGTAGTATAGTTTGAAGTCAGGTAGGGTGATGCCTCCAGCTTTGTTCTTTTCGCTTAGGATTGACTTGGCGATGCGGGCTCTTTTTTGGTTCCATATGAACTTTAAAGTAGTTTTTTCCAATTCTGTGAAAAAAGTCATTGGTAGCTTGATGGGGATGGCATTGAATCTATAAATTACCTTGGGCAGTATGGCCATTTTCGTGATATTGATTCTTCCTACCCATGAGCATGGAATTTTCTTCCATTTGTTTGTATCCTCTTTTATTTCCTTGAGCAGTGGTTTGTAGTTCTCCTTGAAGAGGTCCTTCACATCCCTTGTAAGTTGGATTCCTAAGTATTTTATTCTCTTTGAAGCAACTGTGAATGGGAGTTCACTCATGATTTGGCTCTCTGTTTGTCTGTTATTGGTGTATAAGAATGCTTGTGATTTTTGCACATTGATTTTGTATCCTGAGACTTTGCTGAAGTTACTTATCAGCTTAAGGAGATTTTGGGCTGAGACAATGGGGTTTTCTAGATATACAATCATGTCATCTGCAAACAGGGACAATTTGACTTCCTCTTTTCCTAATTGAATACCCTTTATTTCCTTCTCCTGCCTGATTGCCCTGGCCAGAACTTCCAACACTATGTTGAATAGCAGTGGTGAGAGAGAGCATCCCTGTCTTGTGCCCGTTTTCAAAGGGAATGCTTCCAGTTTTTGCCCATTCAGTATGATATTGGCTGTGGGTTTGTCATAGATAGCTGTTATTATTTTGAGATATGTCCCATCAATACCTAATTTATTGAGAGTTTTTAGCATGAAGGGTTGTTGAATTTTGTCAAAGGCCTTTTCTGCATCTATTGAGATAATCACGTGGTTTTTGTCTTTGGTTCTGTTTATATGCTGGATTACATTTATTGATTTGCATATATTGAACCAGCCTTGCATCCCAGGGATGAAGCCCACTTGATCATGGTGGATAAACTTTTTGATGTGCTGCTGGATTCGGTTTGCCATTATTTTATTGAGGATTTTTGCATCAATGTTCATCAAGGATATTGGTCTAAAATTCTCTTCTTTGGTTGTGTCTCTGCCAGGCTTTGGTATCAGGATGATGCTGGCCTCATAAAATGAGTTAGGGAAGATTCCCTCTTTTTCTATTGATTGGAATAGTTTCAGAAGGAATGGTACCAACTCCTCCTTGTACCTCTGGTAGAATTTGGCTGTGAATCCATCTGGTCCTGGACTCTTTTTGCGTGGTAAACTATTGATTATTGCCACAATTTCAGAGCCTGTTACTGGTGTATTCAGAGATTCAACTTCTTCCTGGTTCAGTCTTGGGAGGGTGTATGTGTCAAGGAATTTATCCATTTCTTCTAGATTTTCTAGTTTATTTGTGTAGAGGTGTTTGTAGTATTCTCTGATGGTAGTTTGTATTTCTGTGGGATTGGTGGTGACATCCCCTTTATTATTTTTTATTGTGTCTATTTGATTCTTCTCTCTTTTTTTCTTTATTAGTCTTATGGCAGTCTATCGATTTTGTTGATCCTTTCAAAAAACCAGCTCCTGGATTCATTAGTTTTTTGAAGGGTTTTTTGTGTCTCTATTTCCTTCAGTTCTGCTCTGATTTTAGTTATTTCTTGCCTTCTGTTAGCTTTCGAATGTGTTTCCTCTTGCTTTTCTAGTTCTTTTAATTGTGATGTTAGGGTGTCAATTTTGGATCTTTCCTGCTTTCTCTTGTGGGCATTTAGTGCTATAAATTTCCCTCTACACACTGCTTTGAATGTGTCCCAGAGATTCTGGTATGTTGTGTCTTTGTTCTTGTTGGTTTCAAAGAACATCTTTGTTTCTGCCTTCATTTCGTTATGTACCCAGTAGTCATTCAGGAGCAGGTTGTTCAGTTTCCATGTAGTTGAGTGGTTTTGAGTGAGTTTCTTAATCCTGAGTTCTAGTTTGATTACACTGTGGTCTGAGAGACAGTTTGTTATAATTTCTGTTCTTTTTCATTTGCTGAGGAGAGCTTTACTTCCAACTATGTGGTCAATTTTGGAATAGGTGTGGTGTGGTGCTGAGAAAAATGTATATTCTGTTGATTTGGGGTGGAGAGTTCTGGAGATGTCTATTAGGTCTGCTTGGTGCAGAGCTGAGTTCAATTCCTGGATATCCTTGTTAACTTTCTGTCTCATTGATCTGTCTAATGTTGACAGTGGGGTGTTAAAGCCTCCCATTATTATTGTGTGGGAGTGTAAGTCTCTTTGTAGGTCACTCAGGACTTGCTTTATGAATCTTGGTGCTCCTGTATTGGGTGCATATATATTTAGGATAGTTAGCTCTTCTTGTTGAATTGATCCCTTTACCATTATGTAATGGCCTTCTTTGTCTCTTTTGATCTTTGTTGGTTTAAAGTCTGTTTTATCAGAGACTAGGATTGCAACCCCTGCCTTTTTTTTGCTTTCCATTTGTTTGGTAGATCTTCCTCCATCCTTTTATTTTGAGCCTATGTGTGTCTCTGCATGTGAGATGGGTTTCCTGAATACAGCACACTGATGGGTCTTGACTCTTTATCCAATTTGCCAGTCTGTGTCTTTTAATTGGAGCATTTAGTCCATTTACATTTAAAGTTGATATTGTTATGTGTGAATTTGATCCTGTCATTATGATGTTAGCTGGTTATTTTGCTCGTTAGCTGATGCAGTTTCTTCCTAGCCTCAATGGTCTTTACAATTTGGCATGATTTTGCAGTGGCTGGTACCAGTTGTTCCTTTCCATGTTTAGTGCTTCCTTCAGGAGCTCTTTTAGGGCAGGCCTGGTCGTGACAAAATCGGTCAGCATTTGCTTGTCTGTAAAGTATTTTATTTCTCCTTCACTTATGAAGCTTAGTTTGGCTGGATATGAAATTCTGGGTTGACAATTCTTTTCTTTAAGAATATTGAATATTGGCCCCCATTCTCTTCTGGCTTGTAGAGTTTCTGCTGAGAGTTCTGCTGTTAGTCTGATAGGCTTCCCTTTGTGGGTAACCCAACCTTTCTCTCTGGCTGCCCTTAACATTTTTTCCTTCATTTCAACTTTGGTGAATCTGACAATTATGTGTCTTGGAGTTGCTCTTCTCGAGGAGTATCTTTGTGGCGTTCTCTGTATTTCCTGAATCTGAATGTTGGCCTGCCTTGCTAGATTGGGGAAGTTCTCCTGGATAATATCCTGCAGAGTATTTTCCAACTTGGTTCCATTCTCTCCATCACTTTCAGGTATACCAATCAGACATAGATTTGGTCTTTTCAATAGTCCCATATTTCTTGGAGGCTTTGTTCATTTTTTTTTATTCTTTTTTTCTCTAAACTTCCCTTCTCACTTCATTTCATCTTCCATCGCTGATACCCTTTCTTCCAGTTGATCACATCGGCTCCTGAGGCTTCTGCATTCTTCATGTAGTTCTCTAGCCTTGGCTTTCAGCTCCATCAGCTCCTTTAAGCACTTCTCTGTATTGGTTATTCTAGTTATAAAGTCGTCTAAATTTTTTTCAAAGTTTTCAACTTCTTTGCCTTTGGTTTGAATTTCCTCCTGTAGCTCGGAGTAGTTTGATCATCTGAAGCCTTCTTCTCTCAACTCGTCAAAGTCATTCTCTGTCCAGCTTTGTTCCATTGCTGGTGAGGAACTGCATTCCTTTGGAGGAGGAGAGGTGCTCTGCTTTTTAGAGTTTCCAGTTTTTCTGCTCTGGTTTTTCCTCATCTTTGTGGTTTTATCTACTTTTGGTCTTTGATGATGGTGATGTACAGATGGGTTTTTGGTGTGGATGTCCTTTCTGTTTGTTAGTTTTCCTTCTAAGAGACAGGACCCTCAGCTGCAGGTCTGTTGGAGTTTGCTAGGGGTCCACTCCAGACCCTGTTTTCCTGGGTAACAGCAGCAGTGGCTGCAGAACAGCAGATTTTCTTGAACTGCGAATGCTGCTCTCTGATCGTTCCTCTGGAAGTTTTGTCTCAGAGGAGTACCCTGTGGTGTGAGGTGTCAGTCTGCCCCTACTGGGGAGTGCCTCCCAGTTAGGCTGCTCGGGGGTCAGGGGTCAGGACCCACTTGAGGAGGCAGTCTGCCCGTTCTCAGATGTCCAGCTGAGTGCTGGGGGAACCACTGCTCTCTTCAAAGCTGTCAGACAGGGACATTTAAGTCTGCAGAGATTACTGCTGTCTTTTTATTTGTCTGTGTCCTGCCCCCAGAGGTGGAGCCTACAAAGGCAGGCAGGCCTCCTTGAGCTGTGGTGGGCTCTACCCAGTTCAACCTTCCCAGCTGCTTTGTTTATCTAAGCAAGCCTGGGCAATGGTGGGTACCCCTCCTCCAGCCTCACTGCTGCCTTGCAGTTTGATCTCAGACTGCTGTGCTAGCAATCAGCGAGACTCGGTCGGTGTAGGACCCTCCAAGCCAGGTGCGGGATATAATCTCCTGGTGTGCTGTTTTTTAAGCCCATTGGAAAAGCACAGTATTTGGGTGGGAGTTACCCGATTTTCCAGGTGCTGTCTGTCACCCCTTTCTTTGACTAGGAAAGGGAACTCCCTGACCCCTTGTGCTTCCCGAGTGAGGCAATGCCTCACCCTGGTTCGGCTCATGCACGGTGCGCTGCACCCACTGTCCTGCTCCCACTGTCTGGTAGTCACTAGTGAGATCAACCCAGTACCTCAGATTTGAAATGCAGAAATCACCTATCTTCTGCGGCGCTCGCGCTGGGAGCTGCAGACTGGAGCTGTTCCTATTTGGCCATCTTGGCTCCACCTTTATCTATTTCTAATGAGCTTAGAATCTGGGGACTGTGAAGACTGAGAATAAACATATAACATGATAATACAGTACTCACTGTGGTGAGTATTATTTTCGAGGGTACTAAGGGCAAAGCCATGGGGAGGAAAGTGGAACACACTCTAATATGGGAATAAATGAAGGCTTCTCTGAAAAGTGGGCCAGATAAAGTGAGAGTGGGGGTCTACCACAATGAAGTTACATGGCTTAACACTTGAAGGCTTGCTTAAAATTAATCATTCCTGCTTGGAAGAGAGTTGTAAAAAAACAGATCTCATTCAATCTCTTCCCTCTTGGAAGTTCAGAATCAACTGAGACACATTCATAGGGGTCAAACAGGGATCAAAATATTGACTTTATTCTTGATTCAGGTGGATTAGAAAATGTGGCCAGGATCTGAAGTCCATTACTGAGGTACTGAGCACAGTATCCAAAATTAGTTTTTCCACCTCCCCCACAGTAGTTCCCATTGTCTATTCCTGTCATATGTATGTTCATGACATAAAATTTGTGACATACTTATATGTTCTACTTATAAGTTCTACATATAACTCAATGTTTAGCTTCTACTTATGTGTGAGTACATGTGATATTTGGTTTTCTGTTTCTGTGCTAATTTGCTTAGGATAATGGTCTCCAGCTGTATCTGTGTTTTTGCAAATAATATGATTTCATTTTTTTTTATGGTCACATAGTAGTCCATGGTGTATATGTACCATATTTGCTTTATCCAGTCCACCATTGATGGGTGCCTAGTTTGATTCCATGTCCTTGTTATTGTGCATAGTACATGCTAGGGCATGTGGCATTTCGGTAGAACAGTTTGTTTTCTTTGGGGACTATATGAAGTAATGGGATTGCTGGGATGAATGGTAGTTCTGTTTTAAGTTCTTTGAGAAATCTCCAAACTCAAAATGCAGTTACTTTAATTATATCACATATGAATAGTTAAATTTAAATTGTTTAAATAACACTGAATATCTTATTTGGTTGTTTGCAAATTTAATTAAATCTTACTCAATGTTTTTTGGCCATAATTCTCTCTAGTATTCAAGCATGTAATGTCCATCTAGTTAATAATGTAAAGAACTGGAATTATTCTTTGTACCCATTTCATCTACATACAAACATATAGAACTTTAAGAGCAACATGAATTGCTTAATACAAGATGGTGTTTCTTAGTTACCCTGTGAAACTGATGTGAATACCTCACCAACTCATCCTTAGCTCTAGAATCATAAGATGGAATCTAAATACAAGCAAAAAATAGATGCTTTGCACCACTTTTTCATGCACAAATCTTTTGCATTTTTACTGGTTATAAGGCAAGATTTCACAAGTTAATTAATGTGTCTATTTTCTTGCTGAAGGTGCTCTTGCTGCTCCAGTCCCAGTAGCATTCATCTCTGACACCGAGAGTGACACACCTGCAGACCTTCATGGCATTTGGATGCACTGACCTTTCCTTTTGAGGATATAGGGCGAGAGGTGTGGAGAAGCGTATCCCTGTGGCTTGAACTCACATAAGGGAGAAGGTTTAGGGTTAGGGATCATGCTATGTCAGAGCAGAGAGCTGGATGCTAAAAAGCAGAGGTGATCGTATATTCTTTAATAAATATATTTTCTGATTAGTTTGTATATATAAATTAAAGCATGAGACTGAGGGTAGAAGCCCTTGTTGCCTAGATCTAAGGATAGGGCTACACAGTGACAGGTTAGACAGTGACTGCGCTAGGGATGAAATGGAAGATGAGCCCTTGGAGTAAGGAGGTGAGGAAGAAAAGCTGCAGGAAGCCAATCTGCTTTGAGAAGTGACTTCAGTGATATTTGATATAACAAAAAGCCTTAACTTTATGACTTCCGTGGACTGAAGTTTCTGCTTAAAATAATACCACAAAATTTACCCTATCCCAAACACACACACAAACACGCACACACACACACACAAGCACACACACATGCACGCACACATTCTGCAGGATTTACAGCCCTGCCTTGCCTGTGAATGGATTATAGTGCTCTGCATGAAGTACATTCCCTTTATTCCCTCGCAGCCTGACCTAAGTGGAACATAAAATGTCTTAAAAAGGCCCATCCAAAACAGATCACTAACAGAATCCCCCTGGAGACCGTTGGAGTCAGCAGTTTCTCAGGTCACCATATTTTACAGATATTCAGATTTTCATGGTGATTTACTGGGTCATTAAAGTAATTCTTGAATTGCTAAACAATGTATATTATTTGCCTTCTGCCCTGGAAAACTGTCCTGTTAGATGTGCAGGATGCTCCTAGGAAAGACTCTGGGTCCATAAATCTTTCACTGAAGAGAACAGCCAGTGTGTCTTCTGGCCCCAGGAACCCACCCCTATCCATATGGTCAGTAGTCAATCGGGGGGACACTAAGCATCTCAGCCCTAATGATGTCTCTGATTCATTTATCACTGAACAAATATTTATTAACTTCTACAATGTCCCAGCACATTTCTTGCTGCCAAGAACACAGCAGTGAACTGATCAAATGCCTGCCCTCATGGAGCTTACTTTGTTGAGACAGTAGACAATGAATAATTATTTGTATAAATCCATCACACGTCAGATGATAAGGAAAATGAGGAAGGGTCAGGGTGATATGATGTGTGAGGGTGGTGTATGCTATTTATTTTAGGTCAATTAGTCAGTGACAGCCTTCCTGCTGATGTGATATTGAAACAGAGACCTGAATGGAATGAACATACAGGTCATGAACAGACCTGGGCGAGAGCATTCCCGGAGAGACAACTGGAAGAACAAAGACCGTGACATGCAGGCTGGCAAGCATGTCAGAGGGGCAGCGTGAGAGGCCAGGGTGCAGAGACAGTGGGAATCAGGCTCAAAAGGTCATGGGGTCTGGTTCAGCGAGAAGGCTTTGCTTTCACTCTGAGCGAGATGATAATCCACTGGAGGGTTTTGTGCAAAGAGGGAAGTAATGTGATTTATTTATTGAAAGAATTGCTTTGGCCACTTCGTGAAGAGACCAGAGGAGGAAGGGTGGAAGGAGAGAGAGTAGGTGAGAGACTATTGCAACAATCCAGACGAGAGATGATAATAATAGATAGCATTTATTTAGCACTTATAATGTGCTAGGGTCTAGAAATCCTTTAAATTACTTTATGTATGTTAATTTACAAGTACTCACAGCAGCTCTATGAGATAGGCTCTAATATTGTGTCTATTTTACAGATGAGGAAACTAAAGCATAGAGTATTTAAATAATCAATCCAAGGTCACAAAAGTTACTGGTGTGTTGGACCAGGGTGGTGGACTTGGAGGCAGTTGGACGGAGAATGCACTCGGAAGATAGAGCCAACAGGATGTGTTGATGGAAGATTTTTAATATTTCAATAATAATAGCTCCCATTTATCAAGCATTTATAATGTGACTGCTTCAGGGTTAAGATCATTTTTATTTTTTTTTATTTTTTTTTTTGAGACAAAGTTTTGGAGTGCAGTGGTGCAATTTCAGCTCACTGCAACCTCTGCCTCTCGGTTTCAAGGGATTCTCCTGCCTCAGCCTCCTAAGTAGCTGGGATTACAGGTGTGCATCACTATGCCCAGCTACTTTTTTTAATTTTTAGTAGAGATGAGGTTTTGCCATGTTGGCCAGGCTGGTCTCAAATTCCTGACCTCAGGTGATCCGCCTGCCTCTGCCTCCTAAAATGCTGGGATTACAGGCGTGAGCCACCGCACCTGGCCAGAGTTAAAATCTTTACGTAAATAATCTCATACAACTTTCACACCTACCCTGTAAATAAGCTACAGTTATTCTCCACACTTTATAACTGTGGGAATCAATACTCAGAGAATTCAGATGATTTGTTCATGGTCATATCTGGTAAGAGCCTGACTTCTGCCTGACTCTAGCCTGTGAGCTGTGCAGCTGGACTTTCCTGCCTTTCTACTTGCTTCCTTATCAATTCCTATATGTAGTCAGGATCTTTTGCATCAATCTGTAGCTTCTGGCTTGCATGCTTGTCTTTTGAACTCAAGATCACACTTGACTTTAAATGTTACTTCCTCCATGGACCCTTCTCTGGCCTTTTCCTCTTTCAGTAGTTTTATTTTCTGTATCATATCATATCCAATTATCTGTGCTATGGACTGACTTGTGCCCCACCCTCCCCCAACATGCATATGTTAAGCATCTTACATCTCTACCCCGACTGAGATGGTATTTGGAGATGAAGCCTTTGGGAGATAATTAGATTCAGATGAGGACATGAGGGTGGGGCCCTCACAGAGACACCAAGGTGGGAGGGGGTCCCCGGACAAACTCCAACCAGCCTGCCCAATGAGGTGGAGCCTTTGCAAGTTCCTGCCCTTTGCATCAGGGAGGAGCCTGGCCTCACCCTTTCCTGTGTGGAATCTGGTATTCCAATGGCAGGTGGGAAACACTCTAGCAGGGACTCTGACCTTGCGGAGGATCTCTGTTTCCCCCTCTTTTTTTTTTTTTTTCCTTTTCACCCAATAAAAACCTGCTTTACTCACCCCTTAAACTACGAGCCTAAACTTCTGTGGCTGTGGGACAGAGAAGAACCCTATCTTTAGCTAAACTAAGGAAAAGTCCTGCAACATCATGTAAGAGACACTATAGTGTCTCTTACAAGAAGAGACACTAGAGATCTTGTTCTCTTTCTCTCTGCCATGTGAAAACACAGCAAGAAGAAGGCCATCTGCCAGCAGAAGAGAGCTCTCACCAGAACCCAACCATGCTGGTACAAGGATCTGAGACTTCCAGCCTCTAGAACTGTGAAAAAATAAATTTCTGTCATTTAGGTCACCCAGTCTATGATATTTTACTATGGCAGCCTGAGTGTATTAAGATAATATGTATCTTATGATATCACATGTAATTATATATGCTATTATATACCATAATATAATATATTATATTCCATTGCATTGTATCATGTAGTATGTTGTATATTATATTATCTCTATTTTCTGCTAGCCTGTTTGCTCTGTTTGTGTCTGCCTGGTTCATCACTTATCTCCAGAAACTTGCATGTTACCTAGCACATAGTAGGTGTACTATAATATTTGACAAGTGCAAAAATAAATGAATAAATAATTACAGACATCCTGAATAACTACCACTGCCAGTTACAGGATTTCCCAACCTGACTCCAGCCTGCTTGATCAGTGTTTCCAATGAGCCTACCTTTAGGTCTAGTGGAAGATCTGACCCATTAGTTTCTCAGCTCAACCAGTTCTTTCTGCCCAACATTTTCAGAGCTGACTCCAGTTCTGTACTACCTCCCTGAGGGATGTTGGGCAAGTCATCTCTCCTCCTTGTTCTTCAGGTGTCTCATCAAGACAGTGTAACTCTGGGCTCCAACAGCTCTGACAAAAGAGTATTCAGATCATCATTTAAGACAAAATGAAAATTGTGGAGGGAAGGATATATCAGGAAATCTTTCAAGTCAGCAATTCATTCTGAGAATAAAGGAGCAATTCTCTGAGTCCAGAGCTGTGGGTGGTGGGGACAGAGAGGGCCACCTAATTGCCCCCAGCTGCCAGCTTCAAGTCTGGGAAACTTGTCAAACCAGGCGCTGTGTTTTGTAATCTCTTTCAACAGGCTGTACACACAGAGGCATTGTGGATGGATTTGTGGTGCTAAAGTACGCACGCCCTTTCCGGAGGGGCAGTGCCTTTGAATATTTAACAAGGCAGGTAATTGTCCTAAATGAAGGTGGAATTGAGTTTTGTGGTTTGGGTCAGCTGTGGCCTAAATTATGAAACTAAAAAGAGGATGGACAATTTTTATTGATTTGAGTCCAATTTTTTCTTTATTTGTTGCTTTAAATGTACGTACTTTTTCCCAGCAGCTTCCTGTCTGGATAATAGAAAACTCTTTCTGTAAGTGGTTGACAGACTTTCATTCGTACCTGGGCTGCCAGGAGCCATTTGTAACTCCCATTCTGCATGTTTACAGTTCTCTATATATCTGGGATTTATTTCTTTGTTTATTCATTCATTCAACCAGCTTTGATTGAATTCCTACTATGTGTATATGGAAAAAAATACTTGTTTTTTGCAAAAAAAAAAAAAAAAAAAAAGAGTAAAAATGTTTCAGCTCTCAAGAAGTTCCCAGTCTAGCAGAACAGGCATGTAAATCAGGATACATTGGCGATGTAATGGGTGATGTGTTATGATGAGGAAAGTGCAGAGTCCCCTAGGAGAAATAGACACAACTTATCCTGGCTTGGATTGGCCGTCAGATAAGACATTTCAGCAGATGTTCCTCTGACTTGGTCTTCACTCATTTTATCTCAACACTTAATATTCAAGTTGGCAAACCATTAAACATCTGGTGGATTCTGCTTTCCATGCTGAGTTGGTTAGACTAGGTTTTAATGGGTTTCCTGGCATTCCTATAAAACTCTCTTAAAAGTCTAGGCTTTTCTTGCTTGGGAAATAGTGTATCAGAGATGCTAAGAGATTCATCTTTGAAATCAGACAGAATGGATCCAATTCTGGTTTCACTCCTCATTTGCTGTATCCCATAGGAAACATTTAAATGCCATGGCCCTACGTTTCCTATCTATAAAATGATGTGAATAACAGTCACCCCTTCATAGAGTTTCTGGAAAATAGCATTTAATTAATATCATCTGTGACAGTGAAAAAATATTAGTAACTCCATGAAAACTTACTGCATTTATAAGAAGAGGCCATTGGCATATATCAAATATACTGGAAAAATATGGAATTAGGTCAATGGCTCTCAATCGTGGGTGATTTTGCCCCACAAGGGTCATTTAGGAACATCAGAGGACACTTCCAGATTTCAGAATTTGGGAAGAAAGAGGGTGCTGGTGATCTGGTAGGTAGAAGCAAGAAATGCTGATGAACAGCCTACAAAACATAAGATGGTCACCATGACAAAGAATCATCTGGCCCAAAAATGTTAAAAGAGTTAAGCTTAATTAGCTGGGTGTGGTGGCACACTCCAGTAGTCCCAGCTACTTGGGGGACTGAGGTGGGAGAATTGGTTGAGCCTAGGAGGTGGAGGTTGCAGTGAGCTGAGATTGTGCCACTGCACTCCTACCTGGGTGACAGAGTGAGATTCTGTTTCTAAATAAATAAATAAATAAAAGAGTTGAGTTTGAGAACCTCTGGATTAGCTCCAGACATCTGCTTAGGATGATATGAAACATGTCAACAAGAGTTACTTTGATTGCCTCAAGGCATAGTTGATAAATGTTTATGCATTGATCCAGAACTTACTTATTCATTAATAAAAATTGAGCACATCCTACTGACCTTGCCCTGGGCACTCAGGAAACTGATCCTGCAGCATGTGCGAAATGGACTTGTGCACCAGAGATTAGGAGGGAGATTGAACATGATGTCTTTCAATTATTTCAAGGAAAAAAATTATGCAGACCTAGTTGGGGGTCAAAGAGGATTCCAAAGCTTTCAGGTTTCTCAGTGTGTATGACAAAAGGATAGGTTAGGATCAGAGATTCTTATGGTCATTGTGATGTGGGAGAACTGTCTGTGACTTACTCCACCTCTAGCTTTAACTGGCTCAGTGGCTCCTATATCCAGCCTTCCCCCAATAAATGCATAATAAAATAAACGTATTCTCCAATTCTCCCAGTACATTTGGGGCTTTGCTCATGCTGCACCCTCCCTCTGCAGCCCCTTATACCACTCTGGACTACCAAACTAGAGTGAAGCATTTTTTAGCATATGGCTTCTGTAACATCTTCTCTGACTCCTGAGCAGAGAGAATTCATGACTTATTCTTCCCTCCAGTATGTCCCGTGTATTAGTCTGTTATCATGCTGCTTATAAAGTCATACCCAAGACTGGATAATTTATAAGGGAAAGAGGTTTAACTCATAGTCCCATGTGACTGTGGAGGCCTCACAATCACGGCAGAGAGCAAAGTCACGTCTTACAAGGTGGCAAGTAAGAGAGCTTGTGTAGGGCAATTCCCATTTATAAAACCATCAGATTTCATGAGACTTAATCACTATCATGAGAACTGCATGAAAAAGACCCACCCCTGTGATTCAATTACCTCCCACAGTCCCTCCCATGACTCATGGGAATTATGGGAGCAACAATTCAAGATGAGATTTGGGTGGGGACAGAGCCAAACCATATCAACCTGCGTGGGCAACCAGCATAGTTCTGTAGTTATTAATGGGTCATTAGACCTGCCTGCCTGTTCTTCACTGTGCTGTGAGCCACTGAAGAACAGGCCCTTGTTCTTTGTCATCTTTGTTTCTCAGGTGCCTCACATAGTCCCTGGCATGAACTGGGTGCTCTGTCAATACTGGTTCAATGAATCAGTTATTGGATCCGTTTCTGCTTCAAAAACCTTGGCCAGCTTGAAAGAACTATGCTGGTCTGGAAGAAGAGATGAAAAAAGAATTAACTAAAATGGATGTGGCTTTATATTTATGTGTCCACTCATCCCATGGAGATTATTTTCCTCATTACATGGATAATTTCCCTGGCTGCTGTGGTGGTAGTTAGGGTCGCATAGGCTTGACAAAAAGGTTGAGATACAATCACATAACTACATTCATTCATTCTTCTGTTCGTTCATTGGATATTTATTGACTTCTGTTTTGTGCAGAAACTGTGCTGGTGGTCAGGATATTATATTCTATGAAACAGATACTGCACTTGCCCTCAGAGAGCACAGAGTTTTCTGGGGAAGACGGATGTAAGTGCATGAGTGATTTGATTTTGTGAGAAGTGCAATTAAAGCAAGGGGACTGAAAGCAGTGATATGGCGGCTTTGTGAAAGATCAGCTTGGCTAAGCTTTACTCCCCAGAATTCTCTTTCTGTTGCGTTTGTTTCCAGGTTTCCAGTTAGGTTTTGCTGCAAAGATTTTTTTTTTTTTTTTTTCAGATTAGAGAGCAGGAAGGGAGGCTTCAGCCATGCTGTAACAACACACACCTTTTCCCAGTTAATCAAATGCTAGCGTCAGTGCTTCATTAAAGGAATTTTATCAATGTGATATAAAGTTCCAAATTAATTGAACTTTTTAGTTGATCAAGAGATAGTTATTCTAGATGAGTGTGGTTTCACAAAGAGACTTTAAAAAGCATCTTCATAATCAGATATTCCAAGCATTATCTGTGCCTGTAATTGCTTTCCTTTCCCCTTGGATCTTCCCTTCCTAACTGCCTGTCCTGTCAAGCTGGCTTAGTCCGCCCCCACAATTGTGTATAGCAACTCCCTATAATAAATCCATGCACACACACATGAATATATACATACCCATGATATGCGTGACACATATACAGGTGCATGTTTGTATATGCATATGCATGTATATAAATATGTATGTGTATGCATGCTACATGTGTCAAATTCAGCTGCTCTGGTTGAAGCTTGCCTAATACCTATGAACATGTAATGCAGCTCAATGGTTCAGAGAAGGCCTCTTAGAGGAAGTAAGTTGAGATATGGAGGATGAATAGGAATAAAAATGAGCTAGCAGGGACCTGTGTGATGCCTGTCGCCAGAGTGGGTGTGGCTGTAGATAGAATGGGAAGAGGTGACGCTGGGGAGTTGGCAGGGGCCAAACCCTGAGAATCCATGTAGATATGGTGAAAGATATGGTGGTTTCTATTTTTGTATTTGTTTGTTTTGATAAGGCTGTAAAGGAATTCAGGAAGACTGAAAATAGTTCCAGCAACAATCCAATAGTTGTCCAGAGAACTGGGTATCACTATTCACAATACAGCTGAGGTTCTAATAGTTTAATATACATGTAATTTAATTTCTTCATTTCTGCCACTGGTTGCCTGCTATCTCTTCCTGTTATGCTACTCATTAGCTTCTTCGAAGCTCAAGACTTCTGTTTACTGCCTTTCTTTGGATGTTCTCTACAACTTCTTGTTTGCATCATAGAGACTGACAGGTGATATAATTTCTGGACATGGGTTTATGACAATCTCTACTGGGTTTTAAGACTATTTTGGATAACAGCCTTCTTTTTTTAATTATCTCTCTTGCATCTCACCATTATCATGCAAGCAATCTTGCTGAAAGCACTAGAGACAAAGTTAACCTGAAGAACATTGTGGAAGAAGTTTGCCCATGGGCATGGCCAGGTCTCTCCTTGCTCAATATGGGTTCATTGCCAAAAATCAGACTCAGCCTTGCTAAATTGCAGATGCTTGGTCAAAATTTGCCTCTTTCCAGACTTTTAGATTATATCCGACATGTAAACAAGAACATATTCTTGGTACTGATATATCAACTGTTATTCTATGTTCATTTTTGTGGGACTACCACTTAGCAGTAATAAAACCTTTAAAAAGAAACTATGGCTGTATGGGCTATTTATAAGCCTTGATTAATTCTGGACTTAATAGTAACAGATTAACTCAGAGAGTTACTCACTTCAGATAACTGTTGATAATGAAACCTTGGGATGAATGAAGGCCCAATATGCTTTTCTTGAAAAAGTATGTACACTAGAAAGAAAATGTTACTATATTTGCTATGTGATCAGCTTAATCATCAATATGTAATCAATATATAATCATTAGAGTTAACAAATAGAAACTTCTGATTCTTTCTTAGAAATGCTAAAACCACTTTACCTAGGTTTTTCTCAGTGTTGCCATGTTTTGCAGCTCTCTTCTTGGGAGAAGCGGTGCAGGGGACTGAATGTTTGTGTCCTCCCCAAATTCATATGTTGAAACCCTAGTTCCAATGTAAGAGCATCTGGAGATGGGATCACTGGTACACTGGTAGGTAATGAGATTGTGAAGCAGAGCCCTCATGAAGGGGATTAGTGTCCTTATAAGAAGAGGCCAGAGAGCCAGCAGGACCTTTCGGCCTTGTGAGCACACAGCAAGAAGTCTGCAAAACAGAGGAATTATTACCCCTGCAAATATCGTAAGGGGTTGCTTCAGCCACATCCTTGAGGACCCAGCAGAGCTCCAGTGTGAATGAATAAAACATTTTTCTCTCAACAGGGTTATGAAAGTGTTTTTACCACATATATCCTGTATACTGCAAAGGCAGTCTCAAATAACAATATCGTCTTGCTTAATATTAATAGAAGAACATTTCTCTAAGTAAAGTGTGAAGTAGAAGGCTATGACACAAGATTCAGAATTTTGCTCCTTTTAAGTCTCTGTAGCTTTTTGCTCAAAGGTACTAGCTTTGAGACTGATCAACTTTTGTGTTTATGCTCTGTTAAAGAATTTATACTCTTCCCGAGGCATGTTTGTCTCTACCAAACTAACATTTATATCATTATTTTAGCTCCACTTTCTCCATGGTAACAAAGTGATATTTAGATCATGCTCTCTACTTTCCACTTGTGTAATAAGAGGTTGGACTAAAGGGTGGTGAGGATTCTTCTAGCTCTAACATTCATAACAATCCTGAGCACACTAGGGTTGCCCTGCTTTATGAGGCAAACCTTGGAAACTTAAATTCTCTTTCTTTAGTAACAAAACAATACATAAAAAAGAAATGAAAAACAACAAAAAAGCTGGCTGTTATCACCGACTCCCAATAGAAAGCCATATATATGTAGATATAGGTAATATGTAGATATACGCATATATGTAATTATGTAGATATATATACATAATAAATATATATATATACACACACATAATTATCAACAGCTAAAATTTTATTGTGTGCTTCATACATACCAGACACTGAAATAAACTCCTTATATTTACACATTCATTTAGCTCCCAAAGCAGCCAGCCCTGGAGAATATAATTTCCAATTGACAGTTGAGTCAATGGAGGCTCACAGCTATAACTTGTTTGAGGTCATACGACTAGAAGGTGTAAGGATTTAGACTGAAACCTAGACTCAGACATAAAAGCCTTTGCGCCATACCAATATTATCTACAGCCTCTTTGCCTTTGATTTCCCCTAAAACAGAGTGTCCTGTGGCTATGTAATACCTGCATAAAACTGAGACCATTTGGCACTTTCTTACAGAAATGAAAAGTCTGTGGCAGGGCGCGGTGGCTCACACTTGTAGCCCCAGTACTTTGGGAGGCCAAGGCGGGTGGATCACGAGGTCAGGAAATCGAGACCATCCTGGATAACAGGGTGAAACCCCATCTCTACTAAAAATGCCAAAAAAAAAAAAATTAGCTGGATTTGGTGGCGAGTGCCTGTAGTCCAGCTACTCGGGAGGCTGAGGCAGGAGAATGGCATTGGAGCTTGCAGTGAGCCAAGATCGCACCACTGCACTCCAGCCTGGGCGACAGAGCGAGACTATCTAAAAAAAAAAAAAAATAAAAAAAAAAGAAAAGAAAAAAATGAAACGTTTGTAACAGTATGGAATGCTGTGTCTGGAGGCACCTGAAAGTCCTTTTATTTGCCATCTTGTCTCAACTCATTTCTGTGTCTGTAGCACTTGCCAGCACTTGTAAACAGTAATACTGAGCAACTGTAGAAAGGCAATGGCTTGAGCTTCTTAGCACAGAAATTCCTCCTAACATCTTTTTATAGTTTGTTTAAAAGTCTCTGTGTCCTCTGTGGAAATGGTGGATAAAGAGGTAATGTATACACTCCGATCTGTGTAACTCCATTATGAGTGTATCCCAGGGCCATTAAGAGCCCTTCAATTGTTTATTTTGCCTCGCTTTGTCAATATTTGATGCTCATAGCAGGTGAGAGTAGGGAGAAAACCAATCTCATTTGCAAGATTGCTGGAACCCACCTTTGTAATGACTAACCACAGAAACAAACCAAATGTCAGTGAAGCAGTGAAACTTGTGTGTCTGGATATAACTGCTGACTTCGTGGCCAAGGGACTGTGGAAATAAAAAAAACACTAGTTATGTTCTAGACCATTAAATAGTCCCTATTTAAAATCTTTGAAGATGCAAATAAAATAAAATAAAATAAAACAGATGAAGAACCACTGACACAGGCTCTGAAGGCCCTGGTTCTTTTAGGGCTCTTAGAATAACATGGAGATTTTTCTGTTGCCACTGAGGTGTTGGTTCTGCCTCATATGTAAGCCAAATCATGGTTTTCAAGACTTTACCCCACTTACTTTCACACAGATTTGTTATCAACAGCCCCTAGAAACAATAAGCAAATATGACCGTAATATTGTAACATGGAAAACAAAATTACCCTTCAACTTGAAGAGGTGAAGTAACTTCCTAAGCACTTCGTCTGTAGGAACTTGGGAAAATTATTTGACCTGTGTAAGTCTTGAATTTCTCTTGTGTAAAATGGGAATATAAATACCTGTTTTGAAGGCTTAGTATAAAGATCAAGGGAAATCATGCAGGTAAGTAAAATTTATGTTTTAGGTGCTGTATTTAAAAGGGGTGGTGGCAGCTCAGAGCTTGACTCTTTGCATGAACCATGTCCCTTATTTTCTGTATCTTATGGTTTGACGTCTAGGCCTTGCTTACTCTGAAAGGCCTGCCCCTCCCAGGGTTAGCTAACTCCTAGAGACAGTAAACTACTACCTGCTGAGCCCTCTGTTCAGATGCAAAGCAACCGATCTAGAGTACACTTCCCAGCCAACTCCTTTACTGGGCTCTCACATTCTGGGCCACTATGGAGCCACCTGACCTAATCACTCCAGGGCCAAATATCAGATCACAGGGACAGTCCCTATGTCCCAGAGCCCTAAAATTATTTATTCAAATTAGCCAATTCTAAACCAAATTGCTTTGCTTGTTTCTTGATTCCAGTGGAATCCACAATAAAGGCTCTTACCCAGTTTCCCCCCTCCCTCTGCCTTCTAACCAACCCCGGTGCTTCCTGTGTGCCCCACCCCCCATAGTGTAGGTAGTATATCCCCGCTTCTTGGGATCTATGAGTACAAGAAACTATCTTTTTAATAGCGTCCTCTCAGCCGGGCACTGTGGCTCACGCCTGTAATCCCAGCACTTTGGGAGGCCGAGGCTGGCGGATCACCTGAGGTCAGAAGTTCAAGACCAGCCTGACCAACATGGAGAAACCCCGTCACTACCAAAATACAAAAAAATTAGCCAGGCGTGGTGGTGCATCCCTGTAATCCCAGCTACTAGGGAGGCTGAAGCAGGAGAATCGCTTGAACCTGGGAGGCAGAGGTTGCAGTGAGCTGAGATCGTGCCATTGCACTCCAGCCCGGGCAACAAGAGTGGAAACTCCGTCTCAAAAAAAAAAAAAATTAATAAATAATAAAACAAAATAATAGCATCCTCTCTTGATTCCCTGGCCTTATCATACCTATTAAAAATAGAATGAAACCTATATTAAAACATTGTTCAGATCATTTGCATCTTAACCCCACCATCACAGAACCGTAAAAAGAGTGTAGCATGCTGGGCAGAGGCAAGGACCCACTCAGGTCCAGAAAATCATAGATTTTTCTCTCCTGACTTGCTATAATGGAATCATGATAACTAATGAAATCTCTCTTCACCTTTCTCTTTATTCATGCTATCATTCCCAATGAGTTTCTGCTAGACAAACCAACACATCTCAGTATAAAATGATTTTTTGGTCATTTCATTCTGTCCCTCTATGTGCACCAATGCAAACCTTAAAGGAATATGTTATAGAGGCAGACTCCTCACTTACTATGAGGTACTGCTAGCCAAAGTGATCCCTATAGATGCCTTTCCTGAAAGGAGCTCACTCCACCCAAGACTGCAAGCCTAACTCTGCAGTCCAGAGGAACATGGCAATGAGATGCTGGCAGGACTTGTGTAGCAAGGATTTAGCTTTGTTGAACTTCTGTGTTAGTTGTTTTCCTCTCTTTTCCCTGGAATATAGTATTTTAGAAAAAAAAAAAAAAAGCAAACATTCATTCATTTTAATGTAATGCTTCTGTGCCAGGCACTGCATCCAGTATTGAAGATACAAATGCAAGTGAATGATAACTATTGCTCTTCAGACTGGTTGCCCTAATTGTCTGTCAAATGAATAGCCATGTACACAAACATTTCCCTATTCAATTCCCAAATACCAATACCTGGATTTGGCACTACACAGGATGAGAGTTGGACAATGCAGAAGTCAGCCACTGCTTGTTAAGGGGAAGAGGCATACACAACATATGATAAGAGGTCGGAAATAAGTGCTACGAGAAAAATAAAAGCTAAGTATAATGGATATTTGAAAGAAGATGGTATATTTTGTTGAGAGGCAGAGGATATTAAGAGCAAAATGGCTCACAGCCCTCAGAAGGAACAAACCCTGCAGCCACCTTGATTGCAAACTTCTGACATCCAGAACTGTGGAATAATAAATTACTTTTGTTTAAATCCCCCAGTTTGTGGGACTTTGTTATGGCAGGTCTAGCAAAGTACTACACTTGGAGACTGGAAGGTATAGATTGGGAGGAGGCAGGTGGAACCTGGAGCATGGACAGAGGAGAATGTGGACTAATGCTGAAGAGCCAGGTTGGGGCCATGTTGGGAATCCCAGAGAGGGGAAATTTGGATTTAATCTGATGAGCAGATGGTGTTTATAGAGAATATTTGAGCAGGAAAGAAGCATGGTAGAAAATGGTTCCAGTTGTAGAAACCACTAGCAGAACTTGAAACTACTGCTCAAGGTTCTTGGTGCAAGTGTAAGAGGATTATTGAGGAGTCTATACTTAGCTATGTGCAAACATGAAGTGGTATTATATGTTTCCAGTCATGGATTTAATTGTACTATATGAAACGTGCATTCCTTTTTCTTGATGACATTTTTGGTATTTTATAAAATTTATGGTTATTTGTCAGTGATAACATTAAAACTCAGCCCATTCTAAGTTAAAACTGTAATGTCATATCCAATTAAAGCTTTCTTCTTCATCACAGGCTACTGGCTGTTAGAATAAGGACTGAGCCAAGGGTTAGAAGATGGCTGCAATTTGTTTTTCAGTTCTGCTTTTTTTTTTTTATCTTTATATTGGAAGGAGATAGGACATCTAAGGAATGACTTGATGTCATAGTCTATTTTAGGCTGCTATAATGGAATACCACAGACTAGGTAATTTGCAATGAACATACATTTATTTGGTTTATGGTTCTGAACACTGGGAAATCAAAGATTAAAGAGTCACAGCTGGTGAGGGGAATCTTGCTGCAACATCCCATAGTGGAGGTGAGAGGTTATGAGAGGGCAAGAGAAAGTGATGAAGAGAGGACTGAACTCTTTTATAACAAATCCACTTTTGCCATAATGATTCTCCTCTTGTGACAGTGACATTAATCCATTCATCACCTCTTGAACGTCCCACCTCTCAACACTGTTTCATTGGGGATTTAGTTTTCAACACATGAACTTTGGGGGACACATTCAAACCATAGCACTTGGGATTGTCTTGTAACTGGCTCTATGTCAGTGGTAGGAAGGTACCTGGTGATTGACTTATTCTGTCTTTAGCTCATAGGGTTACATCTGGAGCTGAAGAATTTTGCCAATGTTCAGGTCAATGTGTAGATGTTGGATATATTTAGAGCAGTGTTTACTCTTACCCAGTCCTCTCTGCCTAACCCTAACCCCAACTCTGATAGTAACCCTCCATCACTGAGCACCTCATTATCTTTTATAGAAAAAGTGGTGCTTTAGGTTCCTAGAAGTGTAATTACCAAGTACTGCTGAAATGGTTGACCTAAACAATAGAAATTCATTTTCTCACATTTCTGAAGTTAGAAGTCCAAGATTAAGGTATTGGCAGGTTTGCTTCCTTCTGAAACCCATCTACTCAGCTTGTAGATGGCTGCCTTCTTGCTGTGTTTTTCCTGTGCATGTATGCTCCTGGTGTATCCAAATGTTCTCTTGTTATAAGCACACCAGTCAGACTGATTAAGGGCCCACACACATTGTACCAGCCTATTTACACTTAATCACTTTATTAAAGACCCTATTTCCAAATACACTCACATTCTGAGGTACTGATGGTTAGAGCTTTAACATATGAATTTGGAGGGGTCACAATTCAGCCCCAAACAGGAAGACTGTAGATTAGGTTTCTGTTTGATGGTGGTACAGCTTATTCCCCCATCTCCTTCTAAAGTCTGGAAATGCTGTCATCTCACCCAGTTGCTGGTAGACCTTTTTGGAATTTGGAATTATTAGTGCTTCTTGTTTTCCTCTATGGGTTCCACTAACTAATTCTGGAGCATCTGGAACATCCTCACTTGAAGTTCTTTGAAGAAATACTCTGAAAATTCTGAATAGCATGGCATTCAGGAAGAGAAAGTAGGTAGCCAGAGTCACAGCCATTGGTCTTGTGGACACTACTGCTATGTCTTTGTATGGCAGAGGCAGCAACCACCAAATTCCTGCTATAGTTGCCTATTGGGCTCCATGTTCCTTGCAGGTAGGTGGAGCCATGTGGCTGAGTTCTAGTCAATGGAATTTGGGCAGAGGTGATGTAAGGCACTTCTAGACGTGGCCCCTAAACAATCTGCATGATCCTCTACCACTGTCTCCAATTCTGCTCATCTACTGGCCAGATGCAGAAGATTAAGTGGAAGACTCTGAGGTGCCGCAGTGCTAGCGTGTTCCCCCAAATTCATATGTTGAAGTCTTAACCCCCCAAATAATGCAGAATCTTACTGCATTTAGAGATAGGGACTTTAAAGACATAATTAAATGAAAATGAGGCCTTTGGAGTGGGCCCTAATCCAATCGGAATAATGTCATTTTAAGGAAAAGAAATTAGGACGCAGACATATACGGAAACACAGGAAAAAGATACCTATCTACAAGCCAAAGAGAAAGGCATCAGGAGAAACCAACCCTCCCAACACCTTGATCTTGGGTTTTTATCCTCCAGAACAGTAAGGAAATAAATTTTTGTTGTTTAAGCCACACAGTCTATGGGACTCTGTTATGAAAGCTTTAGCAAACTTACACATGGGCAATGGCTGGATCACTAGATGAAATGAACTTCAGTCCCTGAATGACTTTGTGGAGCAAAGCCCCCACTTCTGGCTCACTCAGGGGTGTCCAATCTTTTGGTTTCCCAGGGCCACATTGGAAGAAGAATTGTCTTGGGCCACAAATAAAATACACTGACACTAACAATAGCTGATGAGCTTCAAAAATCACAGAAAAATCTCCCTTTTTTTTTTTTTTTTTTTTTTTTTTTTGAGACTGAGTCTTGCTCTGTCATCCAGGTTGGAGTGCAGCGGCACAATCTCTGCTCATTGCAACCTCCGCCTCTCAGGTTCAAGTGATTCTCCTGCCTCAGCCTCCCGAGTAGCTGGGACTCCAGGCATGCACCCCCACACCCAGCTAATTTTTGTGTTTTCAGTAGAGACAGGGATTCACCATGTTGGCCAGGCTGGTCTCAAACTCCTGACCTCAGGTGATCCACCCACCTTGGCCTCCCAAAGTGTTGGGATTACAGGCATGAGCCACCGTGCCCAGCCTCAAAATGTTTCAAGAAAGTTTACGAATTTGTGTTGGGCTGCATTCAAAGCCATCCTGTGCTGCATGTGGCTGGCAGGCGGCAGATTGGACAAGCTTGTTTAGATGGTGGTGTTAGATCTGTTATAGTGACTGTATTAGTCCATTCTCATGCTGCTATAAAGAACTGCTCAAGACTGGGTAATTTGTAAAGGAGAGTCTTAACTGACTCACAGTTCCACATGGCTTGGGAAACCTCAGGATACTTGCAATTGTGGTGGAATGCACCTCTTCACAGGGTGGCAGGAGAGAGAATGAGTGCCAAGCAAAGTGGGAAGCCTCTTATTAATCCATCAGATCTTGTGAGAACTAACTCACTATCACCAGAATAGCATGGGGGAAACTGTGCCTCCATGGTTCAATTATCTCCATCTGGTCCCACCCTTGACATGTGGAGATTATTACAATTCAAGGTGAGACTTGGTTGGGAACATAGAGCCAAACCATTTAAGTAACGAAGTCAATACTGACTAATACAGCTTGGTAATTCTGCTTAAAACACTGAAGTTATTAGACAGTGGGTACTCTTCCTACCACTAGGGCCAATGTACCTTGTAGACACTACATTTCTGCTCCTCTGGCCACTGTCTCTGGTGCTAAAATGAATTCTCCACCGTCCCTGAATCTTTGCAAAACGAAGTACAGATTCAAAGACTGGTGTGTGATTTGATGACACACCTTCCATGTTCTTGTTGCCAAGGGGACTGTGAAAATAAAAATTTGGACTTCTCTGTTTTCTTTTGAGAAATGATCTGTTTTTAGATTATTCCATGGAGTAAGGGTTTCTCCATAGAAGGAAAAAAAAAATAACAATTGTCCTTTATAGATATGTTGCTCTACTATTAATTAGCTATGAAAACTTGGACAAATAATTTAACTTCATTAAGCCTGATCAGCACTTTCAAAATGACTAAAATGATAGCTATCTGTGAGATATTTATCATGAGAGTCTATGGAGACAACACTTGTAAAATGTTTAGCACATGTGCCTGGCACATAGAAAGCAACCAGTAAACGTTAGCAATCTTTACTAGAGTTGCTAAGGGACAATAACTCTAGGAACACATGTAGTTAGAGACATCTCATTTTTATTGAGAAACTGTATATTTGGATTTATAAAATTTAATGACCAAAGTGCTAAATGTTACAGAAATCTCTGTGCACTACAGTGGCAAATAACCTTGTTTAAAATGTTTGGTAAAGTGGTAAGAGCAACTATCTCCAGTATTGTAGTGCATTCATTTGCATTAGTATCTTCAAATACATAGAGATCACTTTGGCTAACAGTAGTTAATTCCAGGTGATAGCTTCTAGGTCAACTCCTCCTATTCCATGTTTATTCTAAGTCTCCAATACTTTAAAACTTTGATTTCCAGATGCTAGTTAAATAGTCCTAATAACATTAGCTTGTACATATTAATCTTTTACTATATGCTTGGCTATGGGTCAATCTCTTTACCTAATATCTTTTCTAATATTTTTACAATCACTTTATGGACAAGCTGTGATTATCATCCCCATAGTCCTGAATTAGATAACTGAAAAATTTGCCATAGCACAGAGATAGTAAGTAGTGGATAGAGAACTCAGCAAGTGCTAAAATGCTTTGCTGTGATCGTTTCCAAGCCAAGTTTCCACTAAGCTGTTTGTGCCAGGAACTGAAAGATCTCTGCAGTTGCTGAGAAGCAGGAGGTGGAGGCACCAAAGAAAGAAAAAGAAAATAAAGAATCAGACCCATATTTGAGTCTCACATCTGTTGCTAACCAGCTGGGTGCCCCAGTGATATCATCTCTTCCACCCTGTGTCCTGAGCTGAAAATGGAGAAAAGAAAATCTGTTTATAGAGATGATGAGAAAATTAAATGAGTTGGTATATGTTAAAGTCCTCTGTAAACCTAAAAACATGACCCAGATGTTAATGTATTATTCTTACCTAAGGAACAAAATGAATAAAGGGGAGAAGAAAAAAGCACTGAAAGTTTACTTAAGATTAAAAATGGCATTAAAGATGGAAAGTCAACTATTACAGTGGGAGGACCCTAGGTAACATGGTTTGGCTCTGTGTCTCCACCCAAATCTCACCTTACATTGTAATAATCCCCATGTGTAAAGGGAGGGATCCAATGGGAGGTAATTGAATCGTGGGGGTGGGTTTTTCCTGTGCTGTTTTCGTGATAGTGAATAAGTGTCAGGAGATCTGATGGTTTTATAAAAGGAGGTTCCCCTACACATGTTCTCTTGCGTGTAGCCTTGTAAGACGTGACTTTGCTCTTCCTTCACCTTCCACAATGATTGTGAGGCCTCCCCAGCCATGTGAAACTGTGAGTCCATTAAACCTCTTTCCTTTATAAATTACCCAGTCTTAGATATGTCTTTATTAGCAGCATGAAAATCGACTAATAGACTAGGAAAGCAAGCAGACATGAATTTGAATCTTGCCTTTTCCTGTCTTAGGCAAATCATGTAATTGTTTTGTACTTCTGATTTATTTAAGTAAAATAGAAGTAACATTATTCATGTATAGGGCATCTGTGAGTCCTCCCTTTCTTCCATGTTTCTTGCTCTCATTCTTTCTATTTATTCATTTAGTTATTCCAAGTCATATCTCACCTATTCTTTTTTTGAATAATCAGATGGGAATTCTGGGTAGAAATTTAAAAATGAAGGTTCAATAAATATCCCAGGACAGAATAGCTGTCTGCTGGCTTAGACTTGTCATCATCAGTTGCTTAACTGAAGCAACTGCACATAGTTATGCAAAACACACATGCATATTCACTTACAGAGAAAACCTTCCTGTAATGGTGCCTACCTAAAGCAGCACAAATCTGAAAGATTTATTGATGATAACAGAACTGGGGAATATTTTCAGTGAGTATGACAAATATTTAATAGCCTTAGTAACAAGTTCTGACAAATTGGTTAGCAAACCACAAGAGCTCTTGAAAAAAAATGTGTATTGCAAAATACTAACAGCAGTGAATTCCAGGTAGTAGGGATATGGAAAATTATTATTTATATCTTTTATAATAATAAGTATATTATATAAATTATATATGTTATGCCAAAATACATATGTATATATTTCCACTTCCCAAAAGAAAGTAGACAAAAGAGTAAATGAACAGCAGTCATGAACAGATTGTTTACTATTGAAAAATACAATGACTAATACATATTTTAAAACCAATAAAAATTATTTCAAGAATTTTAACCATATTGGTGAATCAAATATGTACAAATGAAAACAGCAATAGGGTACTTTGTTCTGCCTATGTGGCTGGGAATATTTTTTGAAAATTTTGAAGATTGTTTTTTTTCTCCCTGGAATTGTGTCTCTGATACCACCAGGAGATGAATCTATTGCTTCCAGAGCATGAATACTAGAACAGAGGACAGTTGGTAAAACTGAGATACCATGCCAGGTAATAGTCGGAGTTTCAGCTGGAAAATAGAAGATATGTTTCCATTGGGTCAAGCAAGAAGAGCTTGAGACATCTCATCGATTACCTACAAAAACTGCCCAGATAAGTGAGGAGACCCATGAGATTTGGTATAAATTGCTCACTGTATGTGGGGTAACAGAAAGAAGAATAACCCAACATAGAAAGCCTCAAAGCAGGAAGATACTACACAGACTTCCAAAGAAGCAGTGAGAGGACACCATCTGATGCTGGCTGCACCAAGAAGCCTGAATGGCTGTCAGTGTCAGGTGGGGAAGCAGATGACAGAAGAGAGGAGAACATGAAATTGTACTATAACTGCGTTTGTTGTCCAAATAAGCACAAGCTGTTCCATATACTTTTACATGTTTCATTTACTTCTGCAGAGAGGAAAGAAGAAAGATGAGAGGGAAAGCTAAGAAAAGGTGAGAAGAAAGGGTCAGGAGGAGAAATGCAAAGAGACTGGGATAATTTTTTGGACCATACCTTCTCTGCTGGCAGCTTACTGTGACTGCACCATCCAAAATTTGGTATAAGGATTTGGAAATTTGACCAATATTTCTTAGAAGGTAATGAAATACCTAATTGTTTTCCTTCCTTTTCAGCCCCATCACCATTTGTTCATTCAAAATTCAAAAGGTAAAGATGATGCCATTTTATGCTTGTATATAGTTTAATTGAGATTGCCTGATATCTCACAACATATTAGTAATCTAATGACTAGTAATTCCTCTCTGGAGATCACCCCTAAAAGTATACCCTAGAATGTGAACCAAAATTTATGTTCTAAATTTCCTGTCAAGTAATACTATGTAAAGAACAAAAACAGGAGGGATATCTTAAATTCCAATGATAGAAGACTGATTGACTGTATATTAATACTTTGAAGTAGTAGAAATATTATAGTTCAATTGAAAATGATATCTGTAAGTATTGCTAATGATGCCAGCATAGATTTACTATGAAATGTTTTGTGAAAATAATTAAGATACAATTGTATTATGGGTAGCAAACACAGGAAAAACTAGAAAGAATACTAACAAGTAAACTGTGATTAAATTTCTACGGTATGTGTTGTCATCTTTTTAATTCTATTTTTCCATATTTTTCAAATTTTCTGTATGTATGCATAGTAATTTTCTATTTTGAAGAAATAGGTGTTATCATTTTTTGAAGAATAAAGGAGGCAGAGCTTTTAATTTTATAATCCATTTCTTCCTTTTAGCCTTGCTACAAGGCTGAAAAAATGTACAAGAAAAATTTTCCTGTTGTTTCTGCCTTATTTTTATTAGAGCAAGAAAAAAATGAAAACCCAAAAGTAAAATGATAACATGAAGAAAATGATACGTTTCTTAGGTATTTAGCTGAAATAGAGGTATAGAGAAAAATAATTGATGATTTTGGGAGGGTATTTTTCCTATGTCAAAAGGTAGAACTTGATGATGTCATAGTAACTCTTGTTTTGGAAGTGCATAAATATTCAAAATAAAAATTTTAAATGATCTTGTTTTCCAGAAGAAAATGATCCTCAAACTTTGTTTTTGTTATAGCTGCACTGCAATTTCTTTTGGTCTGAAACTATAGCAATAGAATTCTTGAAGATCACTTTGGCAAGAACGGAGTATATGGAGAATTAGGGACAATTTAAACTCACTTTCTTCTATTATCTCATATTATAGATGAATTATTGTCCTGAGATTTCATATTTTCAAAGCAAGAATACAGTTGGACATGGAAACATCTTATGATTATTCTTCTATAAGCAGAAAGAAGCATTTAATACAATCTAACACCCTTTTAGTCAAAACACATAATAAAATAGCAAGTAATTAAGATTTTATTAAAAACTTATAGATATATGTACATACTGTATATGTGTGTATATATACACACATACACTTACATACACACACACACAATTGTATATGCAGTAGCCTTCCCTTATCTGCAATACCTTGTTTTATTCCAACACCCCCAGTGGATGACTGAAACCTCAGATACTAGCAAACCTGATTGTCATCAATTGGAAGGTGCTTCTGTTCATGTCTTTCACCCACAAATTCAATGACTTTTTCATCTTAACTAAGCACTTATAAACAGTGGCTGTAACTTTTGTAGTTTGAGGGGCATCAGAAAAACAAGCAAGATTTTTTTTCCTTCTTTACAGTTTCACACATGGATAATTTGTTCTTACCATAGCTCTTAGCAATCTCAGCATATATACATATATTTTTCTTTCCTTATTAAAAACTTTCACCTTTTAACTTAAAATAACCACTTTACAGCTTCACTTTGCATGTCTGAATTGCCAGAATCACTATTCTTGCATTTTGGGGCTATTACGAAGTAAAATAAGGGTTACTTAAACACAAGCAGTGTGATACTGCAACAGTTGGTCTGATAATAGAGATAACTATTAAATGATTAATAATGCACAAATAATGTTGATATTGTGGATACGCTGGACAAACGGATGACTTATGGCCTGGGCAAGTTGGAATGGGATGGCATGAGATTTCATCATGCTACTCAAAACTGTATGCAATTTAAAACTTTTGAAATATTTGTTTCTGAAATTTTTCATTTAATATTTTTGAACCTCAGTTGACCGCAGGAAACTGAAACTGCAAAAGTAGAAACCATGGAAAAGGGAAGACTGCTGTATACAATTCAGCCTCAAGGACAATATATTAATTAGCTATTGCTACAACAGTGCTGTGTAAAGAACAAACCCAAAACACGGTGGCTTACAAAAACACAAGTCTGCAGGAGATTTGTAGTTTACTGGGCTCAGTAGTTATCAACTGGGCTTAGTTCCAGTCTGCAGGATAGGATAAGGTCATTTTTTTTTCTTACTCGGGAGCAAAGTTGATTACTTGGGGCATTTTCTATTCATCAAAGAAGGCAGCAACATAAAAGACCAACTCAAACCATGCAAGTATATTTAAAACTGTATTTGCATCACATCGACAAACAATCCTTTCAATAAAACAAGTCACATGTACAAACTCAAGGCTAATGGGGAGACCATGTGCACTTTACATCTTTACTGGCAGGCCTTTCTGAATCACATGACAAAGAGTGTGACTAAATAGTCTGCAAAGGGGATGGAGTGAAGACTTTGGGAAAATGATTAAATCTATCATAGCTAACATCTTACATCATGTGGAAACATTAGAGACCTTCTACTAATGTCAGAAACAAGAAAACAGTATACTTGATCTCCAGCACCGTATTTAATATTGTGATGGCAGTATTAATGAATACGATTAGACAAGAAAATTCATTAGAAACATGAGAATTGGAGGGAAAGAGGTAAAACTTTATCAGATTATATATAAAATCCAAAAAATAAAAAACTACAATAAAAACAGTAACTTAATAAAGCATTAAGTTGTTCAGTTAATATGTAAAAATCAACAGCCTTTATTTATCCAACAAAAACTTAATAGATGATATTATGGAAGACAAAATAATATATTGTAACAGCAAAAATAAAAATAAAATACCTGGGTGTAAATTTTACAAAAGATGTCCCAAAGTTCTATGAAGAGGATATTTTACACCTGAAAAACATAAACAAAAAATTTCAGATTTGGAGCAGGACAAATTGGTTATAAGTTTCAATTAAAACAATAAATAATTAAAACTATTAAGCAAAATTCTGAAAAAGAAAAATAACAAAAGGACCTGAAGGTTAGCCCTATTAGGCATTAAACATATCATAATGCCTCTATTATAACTGAGTTTGTCCAGGAATTTAATGAGTAAATAGGCTAATGTAAAACTACTGAAAACCCACAAGAGAAATAATTTCTTATGAAAATTTAGTATATGATAAATGTGGCATCTTAAATTAGTGAAGAGAGGGATTTTTTTTAATATGAGCTATTTTAATATGCTATATCAAAGTGCATAATGGATCATTTTTCACTTCATTTTAGAATAAGTTCCAAATGCATCAGAGATTTGTAAAAGCAAAACAAAAATAATATAATGAGACCTTTCAAGTACTAGATGAAAACCTGAGTGACTCTATTTAAAATTTTGGAAAATAGATTACTTTTCTGACTATAAAATAAAAAATGATAATAGAAGCCATGGATAAGTTTCGCTTAAAAGATTTTACAATATTTGCATGGCAATAATACTATAAGCAAAGTAAAAATACAAAATCAAACTGACATCTATTTTTTATAACTTATACCACAGAAAAAAAGAGTTAATATCTTAAATTTGTAAAGATTGAATACAATCCAAATGTCCATTGGTAAAGGTCTGGTTGAATAAATAACCACACAGTGGAATATTATATAGTTGAAAAAAAGAATTAGGACAATTTCTATATTCTGTTAGATCTCCAGGATATGTTATTAAAGAAAAATTGCAAGCTGGAAAAAAATATATGGGGATGCTACCTTTTATTTAAGAAAGTGGTATTTGAAGGTCAATGTATAATAATTTATTTAAAACAATACAGCAATGGCAGGATAAGCTCTACATTAAAAAAAAGTTTATAGGAGGGAGAAAGCAGAGTGGAAGGCTCCCTATGAGAAGCTAGCTTTTTAAAAATATACCTTAATATATAGATTTGACCTTGTAACTAGATAAATATTTTATGTAATTTTATTAAAAGACAATATTTAAAATATAGTTTCTCATAATTGAAAATGAAATAAATTATATAAAAAAATAGTCTGTACAGTGGTGGAAAACCATACAGAAAATACTAAACTAATAATTTAAGGTAATTTGACTGTACTGAGATATACCCTGAGGACACAATTAACTGAAACATTTTTTAATATTTTGTTGGATATAGTATTGATTTTATAATTTTGGGGCTGTTTTGTCTCATAAATAAAATGAATAATTATTTGGATATCATTTAAAATGTGGAGTTTCAGCATATTTTAAAAGGAGATATAAATGTAAGGTCAATGAAACTAAGTAAAATTACATTCTGTGTTTGAATTGAAAAAATATCAGAATAAACCTATGGTGACATAAACAAAAGCAAAGTTGACTTCTAGCTTTGCACACTGAAAACATCTAGAAACAATGGCTAATCTAATAGTAATGAACTCCTCTAACATACAGATTATGGTCTCTAATTACCATTTTCTGTCAAAAAATGAATCAAGAATCCTTTGCTAATTGCAGTTGTGTCACAGTTGATTGGAGCATCTTGTCATTCCAGAAATCAAGAAATATCAAAATATCCTTACATTAAAAGATTCAAGACATGAAAATGTTTCCTGGCCAAAGACAGAACAATTGGAGCATCATTAAAGATAATAATTGTCACGTATTTATATTTATTAAAAATTTTAAATGCATTAGTTTATAATAGGTTAAAAAACAAAAAATAAAAAATACTTTATCATTTTTCCACATGTTTTTCCATTATTGTATATTTTTGAAGGATATCAGAAAATTATCTTGTTATTTTGAAAGTTGGTAAATAAAGAGAAAGAATACAGTATTTATTTTGCCTTTCATAATAATCTATATCTCAGGTTAACTATTTGTTGATAAGTTTCTTTTTCTAATAGCATTTGTTTCAGCTAATAAAGGATTAGGAATGACAGAACTAGAATATGACAATTTTTGTAACTGCTCATGGATTTATGGATCTAGGCAATAATCATCTATGGCTACCAACATCCCAAAGAGACAAACCAGCATTGGATAGTTCATGAAGAAATCATACAACACCATGTGTGAAGTTATCTTGGGAAACAATGCACCCTGAATCATATTGAGCCTTTAGATCTAAGTACTATTTAATAAGAAACCATTACAAGCAACCATGGAGATGCAATCACCAGGAGCAGCTTGTGAGGAATTCTACAAGTCAGACAACTCTTTTTCCTCAACAAATGACCTGCAAGGCAAAAAAAGTACAGATGGAGATGGAAGCCTACAAAGTAAAAGTGACTTATGACCTAGGTAATGGGTTGATAGGTTCAGCAAACCACCATGGCACATGTTTACCCGTGTAAGAAACCTGCACATCCTGCACATATATCCAGGAACTTAAAATAAAATAATGTTTTAAAAGTGACTTATGAATGTGCTTTATTTGAATCCTGACTCAAATGAGTAAGCTGTAAAAAACAGAAGAATTTTCTATTCTTTCCCTACCAAGTCAGCCTTACTTATTTATTTTATCTTCCTATTCATAATAAGCACTATATATGTGTTCCCTATTCTAATATAAAACTACCTTTTCTTTTTTCCAAATTAGTAAGTATAGGACTTGAGCATTCAAAAGACTCTAAGTAACATAAAAACAGAAATTTTATCTATTTTGTTTACTGTTTTGTCTTCACTGCTGAGAACATTATCTGGAAATTAGTAGATGCTTAATTAATATCTGTTGAGTGAATGACTCATATTTAGTTACATTTAGAGTTGGAATTTGTCCCAGGTTTTCTGATTTCCAACCTAGCATAAGTGCCCCTTCACCACTTTACTAGATGCTATCCATAACCTGCCCTGATAATCCCTTGACCCACCTTAGTTTATGCATCAAGGCAGTTTCCAGCATGGTCTCAGCTTCCCACCCCAAGCATCCAGTTTTTTCTTCTTCCTTGCCTGAAGGTTTTCTTCAGTGGGTAAGTAGGCACAATCCAGAATTGCGTAACCCTAGGAAAGCCTCAGGAGCAAACCTTAACAAATGGGAAATTGGAGTCAGTGTATAAATGCTCTAGCCTTTCAACCCTCCGATGAGGTTTTTTTTTGAGATATGTTTCACTTGGTGTCCTAGAGGATTCCTGAGAGACCTGAACCCAGTTCTCCATGACAATTACGTGATCAGGGAAACTTTAACATATCTGTGCCTTATCCCTATAACTTATGTAATAACAGCTTTCTGTAGTGGAAAGAAAACAGCTGTTCCAAAATCTTCATATATATTGAATCTCCACAAGTCCTTACAAAATAAGTGCTAACTTAGGTATTTTTAATTTAGAGATGAGAAAACTGAAGCTCCAAGTGGCTAACTAATTTATCCAGTACTTATACCCGTAGAGTAGATACTGTTGGGCCAGGATTTCTATTCAGCTCTGTGAAAATACAGATGCCATGAACTTTCAGCCATAGAGTGGTGCATTCCTGCATTTCTAGACTAAGGTGGCCAAAAGAACTTAATTAAATTATTGGTTCAATCGTTCACTGAAGAATCTCAATGTCATGCAGTTCATTAACAAGCATCTGATTCTTCAGCATTCTGGTGCTTGTACTGAAGAAAAGATTTATATGTTATAAATCACTACTCCTTGTCTTTTCATTATTTCTCTCAAGTTCTTAAGGGGAATGATGATGAAGAATAGAAAAATAGGGAGAAATAGTAGAAGGATAAAATCAAAACCTTTTAACAGTTTTAGCCTCAAAGCTATTTTGAAGATAAATGACATATCTAGGGTACAGAGTTAATCTTTGACAAAAGACAAGCCCCTTGTGGGATTTTCTATTTGCTTGTTTTACTGATTATTTTTATTTTGTCCTGACAGGATTTTGCACCATCAGATACATTTTGATATTAGAAGATAAAGAGATTGGCCCGAAACTGGGATGGAGGAGAAGCAGCCAAAGAGTTGTTCTGTTTCTTAAGTTACTTTGAAGGTTGTACACTTTTAATATTCATTTTGAGGAATAAATAATTTAGACATCCAATTAAATACAGCTTTTATGTATGTTTTATTTTTTTCAATGTCTCTTGAGATAACTCTTGTAATTGGAGTGCTTCCTTCATATTTGAGCTATTCCCATGAGATTTTAGGAGTTGTGGGGAGGATGATGGAGAACCCTCAATTGTCTTTTTCATTATTCCACTTACTAAACACCTAGATAATAGCTTTAAATTTTCAATAGCCTGGGTATTAACAGCAAAATTCCAGCAACAAATTACTCGGACAAAATAGTCCTGTATAACATTATTAAATATAATACTAAAAGCATCCTGTCCAGAGACACACCTCAAATGTGGAAATGGAGTTATAATAATACATTAGCACCTACATGATAATTGCTGTATGTCTAGTCTATGAGAGACTTCAAAATGGGCCAAAATAATAAATAGTCCATAAATTATTTTTATAAATAATAAATACATAATAATATACTGGCATTGACCATATGTTCCCTGTTTTTGTTGTGCTCGAGTAATATTAAACAACTGAAGAAGATATTAACACAATGATCAGGGTCCCCACTGCAGGAGAATAAAAAATGATGGAAGAGGGGCTGGGTATGAGGGAACCAGAAGGAATATTTCTTCAGAGGGAATATGTGAGGCTCATAGAGGTCTCTGTAAATGGCACTAGGAAAATACAAAGACTGAGTTCCAGCCATGTTAATGCTCGGAACCATTTTGTTAGTGATAGTAACACCGTTTGGGACCAGAAAATAGGTAAGAGCTTGGAAAAGGGAGATTTCACAGCTTCCATTTTAAACTCTAATCTCACAGAAATGGTTCTTCCACCTACTCCTTTTCACTAGAGCCCTTTTCCTATTTCTACACTAGCTGTTCTAAAACTTACCATCTCCAAAGCTCTGCATCTCTCTGCCTCTCTGAGCTCATTCACTCAGAACAGATACATGCTTGAAAAATTAGGGGCAGTTTTCTTCTGCTGAAGCCAAATTTAATGTTGATTCTTTCAGAACAAGAAACGGGACAAAAGTGTCATGTTATTAATCGGCCAGGAGAGTGATCAGAAATCTTCCCTATGTTTCCATTATTTCTATTAGGTTGGTGCAAAACTAATTAACCACAATTACTTTTGCACCAATCTAATACTACATCTCCCTTTGTTTCAAGATTCCACTTGTGAGGTTGGTTTTTCTTGGAAATCCTCCGATATGGTTTGGTTGTGTCCCCACCCAAATCTCAACTTGAATTATATCTCCCAGAATTCCCAGGAGGGAGAGGTCCAACCGGAGGTAGTTGAATCATGGGGATCAGTCTTTCCAGTGCTATTCTTGAGATAGTGAATAAGTCTCATGAGATCTGATGGGTTTATCAGGGATTTCAGCTTTTGCTTCTTCCTCATTTTCTCTTCTTTCGGCCACCATGAAAGAAGTGCTTTCACCTCCCCGCCCCCACCATGATTCTGAGGCCCTCTCAGCCATGCGGAACTGTTAGTCCAATTAAACCTCTTTTTCTTCCCAGTCTCGGGTACGTTTTTAATCCGCAGCATCAAAACGGACTAATACACCCACTACCTGATCAGAGAGAATCATTAAAAGGATTTTTTATTTTGGCCCATTTGAAATCTCTCATAGAATAGACATGCTGTAATGATCATGTAGGTGCTAATGTCTTATTGTAACTTCATTTCCACATTTGAGGTGTGTCTGTGGACATGATGTTTTTAGTATCATATCTAATAACAGTACACAGGACAATTTTGGAGGCACTCCAATTATAAGAAAGTTATCTCAAGGGATATTGAATAAATAAAACATACATACATAATATCTGTATTTAATCGGAAATCTAAATTCTTTATTCCTCAAAATGAATATTAAAAGTGTACAACCCTCAAAGTCACTTAAGAAACAGAACATCTTCTTAGGCTGCTTCTCCTCCATCCCAGTTTTGGGCCAATCTCTTCATCTTCTAGGATTCACAGGCACTCTATCACCTGACTACATATTCTTCAATGCCTGATTTGCTCCTAGGTATCCTTTTATTTGCTGAAGTATAATTATAATACACAGGTATTAAGGATGCAACTCAATGCATTTTGACAAACACATACAAGCTAACAACACTCAGAGAAGATCTACAGCATTTCCAGCACTCTGGAAAATGGTGTGTGTGTGTGTTTGTGTGTGTGTGTGTGTGTGTGTGTGCCACTTTTCACTCAATTCTTAAAATCATTAGCCTTCTGGGAAATGGAAACAAGCAAATTTGCCTTGGGATGGCTGTAATACTGTCAGGTTAACTTTCATAATGTTCTCTTTTCTCACACTTTATTTCTCTCAAGATCTTCCTACAGAGTCAACCTTGTGACCTCCACTTGGCACATCTAATAGTCAGAATTCTATGATATCCCTCCAGGTTTCCTGATCCTGGTGTAACATGCCCTGTGTAATCCCCAGGACTGTGAACATGATGGATTTTACTCCTGTTATTTTATATGGCACAGCTGATCTTAATATATGCAGGTGATTTGGGTGGGTCCAGCCTAATCACATAAGCCCTTTAGAAGCCAAGATCTTTCTCTGGCTGGTCACAGAAATAAAAAATTAAAAAAAAAAATGAAGCATGAGAGGAGTTTAACATGAGTGGCATTTTCCTTTGCTGAGATGGAAAGGGCCACATGGCAAAGACCTGAGAGCAGCCTCAAGAAGTGGAAGATGACCTGCAGCTGACAACCAGCAAGGACACAGAGATTTTATTCCAATTGGAAGAAACTGAATTATGCCAACAATGTGAATGAGCTTAGAAGCTGATTTTTCCCAAGAGCCTTTAGATGAGAACTTGGCCTGACAGACACCTTGATTTCATCTTTGTAATACCTTAATCAGAATACTCAGCCATGCAATGGGAAACTTCTGTCCTACAGAATTATGTGTTAATGTGTAGGTGTTGTGTTAGACCACTAAATCTGTGATAATTTCTTATGCAGTGATAGGAAACTAACACAATACTATAGTCAGTGCATGGGTATGTTTTAGATGCATTATATGTAAGAAACCAGTTATTGATTTTTATCATCGCACCTTCCTAGACTAGATCCAGAGCCAGAGAAACAGGATACCACAAATGTACATGACAGAAGAAGTGGATATAGCAATGGGTGCAGAAATAGGGACTTTTTTGTAATCTGTAATATAGAAGGCACAGTTTTAATTTTTTAATTTTTTACATATACTTACCTTATCTCAGCACCTAGAATACTGCTTGTCTCAAAATAGTAACTATTTCTTGAGAAAATTTTATTTGGTAAGTATAAAGTATTTCTTGAGAAAATTTTATATGGTAAGTATAAAACAATCTCAAAGATGCCAAAAGTAAGAAAAAAATTATAAAACTAATTGATCTGGAAACTATAATTATTCATTTAAAAAGTAAGGTTCAAAATGAGGCATTTTCTAGGAACAAAATTTTTTGAGAACCTCTCAAGTAATAATACATTGTGAAATACATGGTCACATTTGATGAAGTATGAAGAGTTGAAATTATGATCCACAATTTAATGATAGAAAAAGCAATATACCAAGAGGTAAAGCTGTTTGCCCAAGTGAGAAACCAGGATAAAACTCAAATGGGTTCCAGGGCTCTTACTAAGGTATAAGGTGGCCAGATATTATTCAAGATATTTCTCACTTCCTGTTTAGGTTAGACATTTCTCCATTACGAATTAATACACGACAAGAACATCATATTTAAAGATGCAACCTAAAGTACAGGACACTCTTGATGACCTTCAGGAAGACAGAGATAGTCACCTGTAAGAATAAACTGTGGGACAGGGGGTTAATGTTAACTTCTAATTTTGAAATTAACATTTCTTAACTATATGTTCACTATTTCTTGACTTTTCATTATTTGTTTTACCTTCTTAAGGGGAATGATGGTGGAGAATAAAAAGCTAGGAAAAATAAGTAGAAGGATAAAATCACTTTTTTAACAGTTTCAACCTCAAAGTTATTTTTAAGATAAATGGCATACCAAGGGTATAATCTGACTTGACAGTTTAGGCAAGGAAAAAGGGATGTGAAGCTACTCTCTAAACTTCTAATATTATTCCTATTCTCATTTGGAATTGTATCTCCTTTAGCTAGCATTAAAATGTATTGAACAAAAGTGAGGTAATTGAATTTTTAGACTGCCCTCTCATTTGCTTATTCTACAAAAATTTATCATACACTGAATAAAGGCTAGGTATAGTTCTTGATGAGAAAAATAGAGGAATAGGATGAGGCCTCTGTCTTAATAAAAATATGTGAAACCACTATTAGTAATGGCTAATATTTATTTAATACTTAGTCTATGCCTGCTTCAGTTTAGATTTTTAAAATGTATTAACTCAATCTTTACAAAGTCCTGTAAGATAGCTTCTATAATTATCTACATTTCATACATAAAAAGTAGGGCACAGAGAGGTTCAGGGACCTGTCAGAACTCAGTCAATAAATTGGAGAGCTGGAATCTAAACCTAGGTAGGCTGGCTCTTGAGCCTGTGCTTGTAAGTGCTCTATAATACTGCTTATCCCACTGTGCAAGTTGATATATTATTCCTTGTTAGTGAAATTTGACTAAAATTAACTACAGAGGGCTCAGTTACTGGTGTTAACAGAGGCATTGCAAACCTTCATTTTTTTCTCTTTAATAACATGGAACAGATGACTGCCAATTACCAAACTGGGTGTTCTCTCTAATTCTCCATTTGTACTTCCCAATTCCTTTTTAAAAATATTTTTACTTTAGTAAAGGAATCCTTCTCCTATTATTTTCATAGAAAGGATCCATGCTTGGGGTTGAGATTTCCAATCCCCCTCCCCCTTTCAGAATTGATCTTAAGTTCTGATTATTTTCCAAGAAGGATTTCTGTCTTTACGGCATGTATTCAGACCAAGGCACTAAGAGGGCAAATGGCAGCTCTCCTGAGCTTCTATGCTCTGTGGTTCTTAGGATTTCCCACAGTTCACAGGAAGCTGGTGGATTGCTCGGTGGAAGCAGCTCTTTTAATTATTGGAGGGTTTGCATGAATGACATGAGGAAAAGTACTCTCTTTAGTGTTGCTTTTGAATGCCCTTGGACCAGCTCTAGAACTAAGCTCCTCACTCTCCGAGTGCCACATTACACATGCACCATCACTCCCACCACTGCACCGTTGCTTGGCAACAGCAGTACTTGTTCTACTTGGAAGATGGGAAAGAGACAAATGGATAACCAAGAAAACCCCAAGCCTTGTAATTTCTCATACCATTTGTAGAAAAGTACAAAGTGAGTGCTCAGCCTCAATGCTATCTCAAAATTGCAGCCTGAAGGTATTTTTTTGTTACAAGAAAGGAACCATTAGTATCCACCACACTTAAAATCAGGGGCCCCTTTAGCTCTTAAAGTTGCAATAGTTCAGGTAGTGACTTGTATTTGTAAACGTGATTGCACTGCTAACTACTGGGGGGTGCACTAGTGGTAAATTATCTGATAGTTAAGGTGTAGGTAAATTGATGAAGAAAGTTCAATCACTTACCTACTCTTTATTGAGAACTTATTAGGAATACTAATAGCTATTATCTAATGAGTATTTTCTACGTGTGTAGCTTCATGCTAAATGCTCTATACATCACCTCGTTTAATGCTTATGATTCTTTTGTGAGATAGGATCTATTATTCTTGCCTTAGTGTTAAGAAAATTACTGTTCAAACACCTTAAATAAATTGCTCAGTGTCATGCAGAGTGTCAGATTTGAACCTGGGGCTGTTTGACTCCAAAATCTCTTAACCTTTAGGATCATTTATCTCCTGTACTTGCTACTCACTAATCCCTGTACCAGGCTCTGAGATACTTTATAATTCTAGCCATTCTAAAAGTTCTCATTACACATTTACTATATGGCAGTACCCAGCTGACTGATTAAAGCTGTTCCTCTGTTTTATTAATTTCTTTCCTCTTCTTTAACTTTCTTATACTTTCTTTGATAGCTTAGAAATCAGGTAGATATGAATTCAAATATTGTCTCTACCACTTACAAGTTTACGTGGACATTGGTGAATCAAGTTGCATTGTCCATAATTATTAACGTATAATTGTTATGTCATATTTGTCAGGAATGTGAAGATTCTGAGACTTTCATTTTGTAAGCTAACAAATTAGCTTGCCATACATAGATGCTGGCAGAAAGAGGAGACTTCTAGATCAGAGGCAAAGAAGTTAATTACTCACTACATAGCAGACAATAAGATCTTAATGTTCACGTTGGTTTTTCTTGTCCCCAAGTCCCATAGGGCAACGCACAGTGGCCTACGTAGATGAGACTGCATCATAGTGGAGGAACTTCGAGATTAGAAAATCTCTACCTTTTAAAGGGGACTACTAACAAGCATGCTCAACATTTGTTCCAGAGGGAGATGTTATCTTTATTATAACAGCCAAAAAACAAATCTTCCTTCTAATCTGGAGGTAGACTATATCTCACAAGGCTGTTTGCTATACAAACATCCTTTAAAAGCTAATTCAGAACAATGGTTTATTCAAGACATGCAGAAATGTGAGAGACACATGGATAATTGTCTCCCAAAAGGATTATCAAATTGTCAGAAAGTGTTATGAGAAAATTGCCTGCATAGTGTCTGCCTTAAGAGCAAAATCAATCATGTTTCATGAGTGAATAAATGAAAGAATGAAGGAACAATTGATTGATACTAGAATCCGAACAAGTAGATGCACTTGAAGATCAAAAATATCTTCATTTCACAGTTTTTAGCTGTGGGGTCTTGGACATGTAACATAACTTTTATGATTCTCACATTTTTCATCTATAAAATGGGAAATGAACATGAACTCTTCAGAGTTATGGTGATAATTACATATGATTCTCCCTGTGTATACACATATAGGTATATACATACGTTTATATACGCTTATATATGTAAATATGTCTATATGTAATATTATATGTCACAGGCAGGCAATATATTATTGTGGACTCTTGTTTTAAGGTAATAGAAGTAAATTTGAGGAAACTTCAGCAGACAAAAGAGAGGAAACATGGATATTTTTTGGAATCCAAGTGTAAATGTGCCTCTTTATCAGGAAAGATAGAAAAGAAGTACTAGAAAAATATGGGCATCTCTTCTGTTTCTTGTGAATTTTTGTTTGTTTCTTTCTTTTTCAGTGTGTCTAACTCCTTTTTTTTCTCTAAGTTATCTTTCTCTTGCTTCTGGTACACATGGCAGAAGATGTTTGGACCTAGCCAAAGAGGAAGACATGCTATTTCCACTTGGTAAAGTAGAATTCCAGTTTCTTGGAGGAAGAAATAATATTTGGTTTATTGGGTTAGATGTTTACCTTGGATTGATCTACTATGGCCCAGGGCTGGTGAGGTAGGAAGGTGCAGGAGCTGGACATAGAAAACCTATCTCTATGAAGCCATCTCTGTCAGAGAAAGATAGGGATAGGGGTCAGGCAGCTCCTGAAGAAGACTGGTAGACAGTAACCATGATATAATGTTGTTACTCCTATTATGCCATGGTTTGAGTTGGGTTTCTATGACTTACAAAAAAAAAAAAAGAGTCTTGACTAACACAGAATTAATAGGAAGAGAAGAGTTGGGATAGGTGTGAAGACTGGGGAGTCATGTTTTTAAAACAGAAAATGAACGTGTAGTGTTATATCTGGGAGAAGAGCAGAAACGAACACATTTTCCAAGGGTAGCTACTTTTCCTGTATTGAAACAAGTAGAGAACGTAATAAAAGTCTACACATTTCTATATGTTCTCTCTCATTACTGGTAGAACCTGGTTATGTTTCAGAGTCTGTGTGAAGGGCAGGCAGGAAGAAAAGTGATGTGGTTGAGGAGAAGGGGAGAGTAGCGTGGTGAGAATAATGGCTAGAGAACAGAGAAGGAATCAGATCATGCACATAGCTGTGGATCATGCTTCACCTTTATCTAAGAGCACTTAGGAACCATTGAATGGCTTTTGAGGGAGAATGACATGATCTCATACAAATGTCAGAAATGGCACCCTTGTTGCAGAGTAGAAAATGGTAGAAAGGGAGAAAGAAGGCCGGTTAGGAGTTACTGGGGGAGAGAGGTAATGGTAAACTGGGCCAACATGGTGAGAACAATGAGGGAAAGAAGAGGGTGGACTTTAGAGCTGGTTACAAGGTAGTTTCGAGGTAGCTTGGTAATTGGCCAAATGTGAGGAAAAAGTGGCAGTGACGAAGATAAGCGTGATGCAGCACCATGGCCAGTCTCATAATCCAAGAGAGTGCTGCAGAATTTAAGGCCTATTTGAAGCTTTCTAGAAGATGCATATTTCTGGGCAAATTCATGAAGCTCAGGTAACCTTTAATAGTTTAAGAAGCAAATAAATAAAACAAAACAAAACCAAAACAGAACCCTCCTGAGGCAACATGATTTTCATGAAAATGCACTGGGATGAAGAGCAAGGCTGAGGCTGTTTACCCATCTAGGTCACGGAATAGCTTTGACATTTTCATCTCTCTGAAACTTAGTTTTTACATATTTTTCAGAAGAAAAAGAATCGAATAGCTGGGCCACAGTGTTATAGGATTTATGCAGGTAAGAGAACAAAGTTTTGGAATATGATTCTTTTGTTATTTTCCAGTTGTGTGATCTTGGGCAAGTCACTCAGATAACTTATTTTTCTTCCCTTTATAATCAATATCTTATAATAATATATACCTTGTGCTGATTCCTATTAAGCATATTGACAAGTGTCAGGCACATAGTAAGTAAGGGCTTCATAAATGTTAGAATCATTTTGAATATTATCATCTTCCATTACAAATGAGGAAAGGGAACTTTAGAGCACTTAAGAAATATTCTAGGGGCTCACAAATAGTGAATAAAAAAGGTTAGGATTTAATCTCACGTCAATCAGAGGCTGTCCTCTAAATGTAAACTGTCTCTTTGCAGAATTTGACCAGGGTAGCCCAGGAGATGTTCATGTGTGGGACTGCTTGTCACCAGCAGGGAATGGGTATTTAGAAGGTTTTTGGCTGTATTGGTCTCCTTGGAACTCTTATTTATTTTGTGTTCATCAAGTATGGCAAAACACATGATATTAATTAACAGTAGTTACAAATTCAGGTCATAGACAACAAGGTGGGAACAATTTTTTGTCAGCTAAAGCAAAAGCATCTTGAACACTAGCATAGGCTTCTATGCATGGGTGATAGAATGGAAACTAATGATTACCTACTGCATAGTTCATTTACCCAAAAACCTCCAGGCAGTCATTTGGATCAAGTATATAGAAAAGGTAAAGCCAGGCCTCGAATCTGATGGCAATAATTATTCATGATGCAGAAGGAAAGGGTAATTTTTGAAGTATATTTGATCTGTGCTGGACAATGAGGGGAAATGTAACAAATTCAAATGCATTCAGAATCCAAGGAAAATCTTTACCCAAAAGGAGAAAACCAGATTCTCTCCTTTAACCAGCTTAAGTTCTCCTTGGACTCCAAATGCATTACATCTAAGCCTGGTGGTTTGGTGGAAAGACTGTCAAGTTAGACACATAGAGATTCTGATCTTAAACGTTGGTTCTCTAAGTTGTGTGACCTTAGACAAGTTATATCTGCTGTGTGTATTTCTGTTTCATCTTGCGATAACTGCAGTAGTTGGGCTTAATTAGATGATTTCAAACTTCTCCCTCACAGATTATATACTTTTTATTATTTTAATTTATTAAATAATGACACCCAGTAGCGCACAATTCGTTCTTCATTTTTACTAATCAGACACAAAATTGTCAATGTGAACATCTAATCATAGTAAAATAACCCAATTTTTTTTCCTATCAGTCTGGACAAGTATAAAGCAACCCCATATTTAGATAGTCCAAGAATCTTTAGGGTGAGTGATATAGTTTGGGTGTCTTTTTCCCACCCAGATCTCATATTGAATTGTAATCCCCAATACTGGAGGTGGGGCCTTGTGGGAGGTGTTTTAATTATGGATCCTTCATGAATGGCCTGCACCACCCCATTGGTGATAAGCGAACTCTTGCTCTGAGTTCACAGGAGATACGATCGTTTAATGGTATGTGGCACCTCCTGAGTCACCCCTCTCTCTCTTGCTTTTTTCTGCTTTTGCCATGTGACATACCAGCTCCCCCTTCGTCTTCCACCATGATTGTAAGCTTCCTGAGGCCTCACTAGAAGATGAACAGATGCCAACACCATGCTTCCTGTAAAATCTTCAGAACTGTGAGCCAATTAAACCTCTTTTCTTTATAAATTGCCCAGTCTCAGGTATTTATAGCAACGCAAGAATGGCCTAGACAGGGAGTAAACAAAACAATCTGTAAAGAAATAAAAATTCACTATCTCTTCTTCACAGCCTAGAGTCTCTTTGTGTTAGAGTCTCTTTTGATACCTCTCATTTTATGTGCTGCTACTCTCCTTTCACTTACTGTTCCAAAACAACACAAGCTTCTGTTAAATTCTGTAGTCATCAAGCACTTTCCATTACTAAGCTTTATTCAGATTGTTTTCTTATATTGTTCTTCTTCCAGCTTTAGTTTAAGTGCCACCTCCTCAGAGAAGTCCTTGGGTCCATATTATCCAAGTTGATTTTCCCTTGCTAATTTGTATAACTTAATTGAGCATTTTTTCTGTTTGTTATCTTTACGTATGTTATCTTTTATATCTATGGATATATTTGTTAATTTATTTATTTGTTGTATCTTTTCCCCATTTGTGTGAAACCTCTTGAAAGACAGCACCATGTTTGCTTGTTTTTTTGTTAGGTTTAACCAGTCTATCCTAGCATGATACCTGGCATAAAGCTGACAATAACTATTTGTTGGGTGGAGAAACACTTTAAAATAAGAAGCCTTCATAAAACATGGAAAGTAATTTTGATGTGTTCTCTACTAGTTTTAGAAACTGCTAAGAATATGAAGAATCCAAGGGATTAGTTGGTCCTAAGGTCTGTTCAACCTGAAATAAGACAGAGTTCCTCATGTCAGCATTATTGACATTTTGAGCCAGATAATTCATTGTGATGGGGGCTGTCCTGTGCAATGTAGGATGCTTAACAGCATCTCTGATTTCTACCCACTAGATGACATTAGCATCTCTGCCACCAATTGTGACAATCAAACATGCTTGCAGACTTAGTCAAATGTCTCCTAGGGAACAAAATTGCCCCTGATTGAAAACCTCTGATCTAATATGACAAATTAAAGCAAGAAAAAGTAAAATGTTAGCAGGTTACAAGGTACATTGATTTTGAACACTGAGACCATTTCTCTTTGTCTGTTTTATGAACAGATTTCATTAACAATCATTTTAATAATAATTATTTTAGTAATGTTCCTGTCTTGCCATGAACATGAGAGAGTTTATCAGCCAAGAATTGTAACATAGCAACAACAGAAACTTTCTTTGACCAACATAAGAAGGAAAGGACTTTATTAAAGGGCTTTTAGAGAACTACAGAATCACCACCAGGAAGGTTGGAGAACCGGTTGCAGAAAATGAGCCACGGCAAGGAAGGCTCGGCCACCAGGACCTCAGCTAAAATTGTGCCCAATATGAGTTTGGCAGGCATTGCTATTGTTACTCATGAATGCTAGATATTCCAGCTTACACCCCTCCTGTGGTCACCTTGGGTACTGCTGCCCTGGTATATGGACATTGCTGCCACCATTGCCACTGTCGGCCAGAATGTGTTCTCTGGAGCCCCATTTCTGTGTATTCTTTCTTTTCAATTAAATGATGTGTGCATTTAATTTGCTGAGACCAGGACATGTGCCAACTTCCAAAATGCAAGTGGGGCTAGAAAAGTGTGTATCTGGTCTTTTGGCTTCTAAAAGAAAGGCAGACTCTGCCTTTCACCTGGACCATATGGTGGTGAATTGGTGAATTCACTAAGCATAGAAAATAGTTTAGATTCCAGAATGCCCCAAAGCAACTAATATGTACTAATTAAGAGATAAAATATAGCAATAATCAAAGTGTTCACAATGGAATAGAGCCTGTTATAGATCCCTCTCATCTGTCAAAGGATTAAACATTTGATGTGATGTGGCATATGCAGCCTGTTTTTCTCAGGACACATTTGTCAGTCTCTTTATTTAGAAGTGACATTGCACAAACTAAGCTTCAGCATCCCACTGCCTTTTCCTCCCTTGACTATGTCTGTGGTGGAACTGTGAGAGACAAAGCCATTCTGTGAATATCTGGTGAGTCCTGAATAGGCACTGCAAGGCCCATTTTCTTGATGCTATTCCCCAAGGGGCACTGAAGTGGTCTGAACATGGAAAGTCACATGATGTGCTAGCCACCAAAGTGCAGCAGCATTTGCTGGGTCTCCAATTTGACCTCATTGCATTTCAATGTGAAAATTCTGTTCTCTGTGGGCTAGACTGCATGACAAACAGGCAGGGCCTTTATGGATAATTCAAGCTCCAGTAGTTTCTCAGCTCAGATGGAACCGCACTGGCTTTGCTAGACTGGAAAACAGATTATAAACTGCAAACTCATTTATTCTACAAATGTTTGCTGTGCTTAGGCAAAGCAGTTTCCCATAATTTCTTCATTTCCTTCTAGAGTCAAATTGGCTCTCTTTGAACATTTTCTCATAAGATAGTTCCAGTGAATATTAGAGCTGGAAAGAATAAAAGAATTGTGCTTTGTCTGCATGAACAGAGTGGGGGACATAACTTTTCTTCATTTGTAGTATGCTGACCATGGTTTATTCAGAGTTTGCTCGGCTATGCTGCAGTAACCAATTAACCCCCAAATCTCAATGATTTAACACCACATGAAGTTATTTCCCAGCCACACCTCATGTCCAACATGCTTTGCCACAGGCTTCTGCTCCATCCAATTTAGTGTCACAAATATCTACAGAGCTTTATATGAACACAGAGGAATGGTACCTAACCTAGCTTGGACTGAAGTACAGAGACTTTCTGGAAGACGTGAAGCCTGAGATAAGACTTCAAATATGAGAAGCCATTAGCAAGAGTTGCTTTAACTTAAGCAAAATTACCGAAGCAAAAAAAAAAAGCAAGGGTTTGTGCAGAAAACTGGTATCACTAATCATGAAGTTAGAGATGCAAAAAGACAAAGAATAAGGGTAGAAAGGGATAAATTTATGGAAGCTTCAAGTTATCTTAAAATGTTAGGTTTTTATACACAGTGGGGAGTCTTTGGAGGGGTTTGCATCAGAGTATGAAATGATCTGACTGTTGTTTCTAAAAAGATACATTTGACTGCACTGTGGAGAATAGAATGGGTTGGAAAGGTCTGGTGGCAAAGAAATTGGTAGGAGGCTTTCTGTAATCCATGGTGGAGATTATGAGTGAGGAAACTGGTTAGTATGGAGAGGGAGAAAGGAGCCAAGAAATATTTGAAAGTGCAGTGGCAGAGCACATTTAGTGATTGACAGGATGGAGAATGGTAAGGGAAAGGAGGCATGGATCTTTGGTTTTTAGTTTGATACCTGCATGTATAATGGCTCTGGAATACAGATTAAAAGACGATGAAAAATCTTGGGGGAGTATAATTAATTCAGATTTTGATTAATGAATTTGAAGCCTCAATAAGACACCAATAAGAACATAATGTGAGTAGGCAGTCTGGTCAAAATTTTTGTAACTAATGTTAAAAGTCCGATATGAATGTATATTTAAAGAGGCATCAGCCTATGGGTGGCAATATCAGTCTTTAAAGTACATAACATCACTCTTAGCAATTTGTTTACTGAGAGGTTCAGCAGCCTGACAAAAAAACTCCAGGTAGTGCTTCCACTTGAGTGGTGCACAGTGGAAGATGAAGCAGACAATTGAGTCGATTGAGAAGAAGCCATCACAGAGGTAGGAAAAATAAAGAAACTAAGAGTTGTGATGGGTTAAGGACATCAAGGCATTAAAGTAGATGGCTCATCGGTGGTGTGAAATGCAGCAGAACAATCCAGGAAAGTAAAGACGGAAAGATATCTATCAGATTTAATAGCAATGTCATTGACCATCTTAGTTTGCATCAACTGCAGTGGATTTATTTATACAATCACCAAATATTTATTTATTAAGTAATTACCATGTGTCAGGCCCTGGGTTTAGCATTAGGAATGAGAGTTAACAAAACAGATATAGTTAGGCCCCTGTGGAGTTTGAAGTTTAGTGGAAGATATGAACAATAACAGTCACATGAAAAATATATAGTTAAATTTTGATGTGTTGTAAAGACAAACATTTAGAAATAAATTAGAAGTCACTGCAGATTATTCTTCCAAGAGTATACAATGATAGGTTACTCTACAGGGTCCTATAGGGACTGAACTGCACCTATGGGAGGAGTCCAGTCTGAATGTTAAGGATGCATTTTTAGGATGAAAGAGATTTTAATGAGTTTGTGGGCTAAAGAGATAAACATACATAGCAGTAAAGATATAGGAAAAAAGACAATAAGTGATATTTCAAGGTCTGGAAGAAGAAAAGGAGCTCAAGGTTCACATAGAGGATTTGGCGTTAGATAAGAAAAAGAAAACTGTTCCTCTGAACAGGAGGATACAAGGCTGAAAAGAACAGTGGAAAACTTGTCAGGGTGTGGAGGAGAGGGGAGTTGTTATTCTTAATGAAGTAAGAGACAAGTGTATTTGATAAGGATGAGAAAGGTAGCATTTAAGTAGAAGAGTCTGGGGAAATGTAAAATGGGTAGCCATTTAAAAACAAAGAGACTATTTTTAAAATAAATGGATAACTTGTTTTGGGGCTATACTTGTTTTCTGACCTCTTCGGAGACAAGGCAATGTGTTCACCAAACTTGAACCCTCAGCAAACCAACATATTCCAGGACCTCTTATAGTGTGGTGTGCACCATGTGTCTGGGTTCTGGTGAATGTAAGATACACAGAAGTGATGTAAAATACTTCCAGGTTTGGCTTCTGCAAGTATCTCCCATGACTCTCCACCCTTGGAAAACACTAGTTTCAGATTTGGGGTCCTTTAGTCACCATATGGAAGAGACTCCCAAGGGCAGCTATGATTACTCAGTTTTACTCAGTTTAACTGTGATTTGAGTGAGAAATGGATTTTTATGCCACTTAAGTTACTGAGTTTTTTGGTATATTTGTTACTGTTACATAAACTAGCTTGTCCTTCCTGACTAATATAATTACTACTACAATGTTGTATTCATTTATTCCTAGATTCATAAAGTGTTTTGTTTCATTTTGTTTTTGCCTTGTAGTTGTTGTTTCTGTGTTGTTTTGAATCAGGCATGCGTTTGACAAGATACTATTGTGCCTCTTCCTGAATGTCTTGTCTATTGCTTTTGGAAAACAATGAATAAAGGTCTGAAACATAGGATTTAGGCAGACAAAGACAGCACTTCTTGAGAGTGCAATTTGTCCTATTGATGAGATCCTACACTCAACTACTTGGACCCATTTCCCAACCTATTTCAAAATAAAATTGCTACTCTCCACATGTTCCTCAGAACATAGGTCTCCTCGAAGAAGCAGGTATTGATTGGCAAAGACACAAAGAGAAAATACATTTATTTCTTGCAATAAATAACTATACCTTCCAATTATTTCTGACAGAATAGACATGTAATATGAGTCCTTTCAGAATCCGACCATCCAAGATTATAGAGCTTAGAGGCCATCACTTTAGCCCTCATTTTTCTTTATACATAAGAGCTTTCCCTACCCTGTTCTACTCTTTCCTGTATAAAATACTCAAAATTCTCTGCCTTCCTTTTTACCAGGGCTGAAGTTTTTCCATTAGTCTGAGGATAAATAAAAACACACAGCCAGGCATCCACATAAATTTGTGGTCAGATTAACAAGTGTTTGAAAGAAATTTCTGATAATTTCTCCCTCTGATTTTAAAACTTTCCTAAACATAAGAGCTTTTAATCTTTGTAACTTTGGGTAATTATTTAACCTTCTTACTCCTTTGTTTCTTCATCCATAGAATGGGAGTATTCCCATTTCTATCCACAATGGCAGTATACATTCTATTAAATATTTGTAACACATTTAGCACAGATTTTGGCACATGGTCTTAAAATTCTGTTAAAGTTAACAAAAAGTTAACTATCATATGTGAATACCTAATATATGGTGGGAATTTATTTATTTATTTTTTTGCAGATTTTATTTAATCCTTAGAACATTGCTGTCAAATAGAACTTTCAGTAATCATGGAGATCTTCTATATCTGTTCTGTTCAATATGACAGCTACCAATCACATGTGGCTGTTGAGCTCTTCAAATGTGGCTAGTCCAAGGAGGGAACTGATATTTAACATTATTTAATTTTAACTGATTTAAATTGTGATAGCCATATGTGGTTAGTATCTACTATGTTGCCCAACGCAGCCTTAGAACAACAATCAAAGACAATATTATCTTCGTTTTATAGATTAGAAAATAGTGCCAGAAATGTTAGGTGACCTGTTTAGGGTTATTCAGCTGGCAAACACATGAGCTGGGATTTGCCCCATTTCCTGACCATGCTCTTTCCTCTTCACCCTGTTGCTTCTGAGAACGTTAACATTTGTGAATACTTTAGTTCCCTTAAGTACAACAGTTTTGCATTTATTTTAAATACCCCTTCTGATGCTATAATCCTTGAATTGAAAAAGAGACTTGTGACATAGCTTAGTTCAACTTCCTTCTCCCTAGCTCAGGAATGTCCTTTGAGTTTTCCCATAGCAGATCTTCCAAAGTCCTACCTAATACTAGCAGTGTCTGATGGTTCGTGACCTTACGGCATCACCTGTGTTGTTAATACCAACTGCTTCCTTATCCTGTAATAAACAGCAACTTGACTCCATGTGTCATGAGGTTAATAGTTGAGATCAGATTCAACTGCTAAAATAGTTGACATCAGATTCAAGTGCCTCCTCAGCCCATCAAAGTCACTGTCAAACAATCAGGTATGAGCCTGTCTTATTTTGTGGGTACAGGGAGACATAAAATGAGAATGAGGTGATGAGTAGGGGAGGGGTCAAAGCCACTGGAAAGCCAATCCAGGATGTTTACAATGATGGCATATGTTGATTCCAGGTCATTTTGCCAGAGTATAATTCACTCGCTTACATGAATGTGTTCATGGTATGATTAACACAACAGAAAACAGAGCCACGGACTTATTTGAAAGGAGAGTAAGAGAATAAGTGAAGAAGCTTAAGGCTGGAGAGTGATCAAATATAAGGACTAGAATATTTTGCTTTACAAATAAAAGGGCTGTTCTCTCTTAGTTTGGATGGCATGGTTTTCATTATGGCTCTGCAAGAGGCCTCCGGGGTGGGGGACACAGTGGAAAATGCTTAAAGACTAGAATCAGAAAATTCGACTCTGCCTGACACGTTTAGGTTTCCATGCTCCATTCTTTCTTCATAACAATGATTTCAGACTCTTTTGATTCTTCACAAATTTTAAATCTTTGTCATCTTATTTCATCACACTTAGCAGATGCTATTTTTCTACATTAAAGAAAATTAGAAGCTCTTGAAGATGATAAAAATTCTTCAAGTATCTGTCACTAAAATTACAAATCTGCTTTCCCAGCCTTTCCTCCTTTCCTACTGTTAAAATAACAAGGTTTATCTCCTTTTTCATAAGGGCAACTTCTCCTGCCTTCTCAGGGATCCTTATTGTGTTGATTTGGCATCCTCTCCTCAATATGTTCAACATTTTTCCCTTTATAGACACATTCTACCAAAATTTGAACCCACTCAAGTCTCACTCATTTGAAACACAACCATCCATCTTCCTATAGCTATTACCCTTCCTCTCCTTACCTTAAATATTAATATTCTCAAATGCATCACCTAAACTGGCATCTCTATGTCCTTATTTCATACTTATTCTTCAACCCAATGCAATTTAGATTTTAGTACCACCATTCTGTTGGAATTGTTCTCACTGAAGTCACCAAATGCCACTCCATCCATAATCAAAAGGACACTTGTGCTTTTTTCTGAATGAGCTCTCATTATTCACTGCTTTCTTTGCCAGGATGCATGCCTCTCCTTTTGATTCCGTGACTCCACACACTTTTCTCTTACTTTTGCCTGCCTGGCTGTCCTTCTTCGACTCTGTGTGCTCCTACTTATTTAGCTGTACCTAATGTCAGGATAGGGAGCGGTCCTAGATCAACCTGCCATAGGAATGTTGCTGCTGCATGGAATTCTATTCTTATGTTGTTTTCCTCTGTTTTACTCTATACACCCTAATCTTTTTTTTTTTTTTTTTTTTTGAGACAGAGTCTCGCTCCGTTGCCCAGGCTGGAGTGCGGTGGCACGTTGATCTCGGCTCACTGCAAGCTCCGCCTCCCAGGTTCACACCATTCTCCTGCCTCAGCCTCCTGAGTAGCTGGGACTACAGGCTCCTGCAACTATGCCTGCCTAATTTTTTGTATTTTTAGTAGAGACGGGATTCACCGTGATAGCCAGGATGCTCTTGATCTTCTGACCTTGTGATCCACCCACCTCAGCCTCCCAAAGTGCTGGGATTACAGGCATGAGCCACCGTGCCAGGCCTATACGTACTATTCTTAAAGATACAATCACTATTTTGAGCTTTCTATGTTAACATCTTTTACATATCTAGATACAATTCAATCTCTGCTGAGTTCCAGGTTAATAAGTCTACTTGGTAGTAGCATTTTCCTTTAAAGGTCAAATGTCTAAAATTAAATTCCTTACCTTTTGAACCATCAGAACATAATGTCACTTTCCACCAAGTTATGCAAATTTGAAATTTTGGGTTAATCTTGGTCATTACTTTCTTCCCTACATCCATATTCAATCAATTCCAAATGTTCTGGATTGTATCTCAAATATGCCATAAATATCCTTATTATCTCCACTGTTAGAACCTTAATCTAGTCCACTGTCATCATTTATCATCTGGACTATTGCAAACACTCATTAAATTTTCTTTGTTTTTTAAATTCACTCTTACTCTCTTCCCACCCACTACCCATGTTGTTCTGAGAGCGATTTTTTTAAAAGCAAAATTGAGCATATCATTTCTCTCCATAAAACTCTTCAGTGGTTTCCCATTGCCTTTATTATACAATTCAATCTTGTTGATCAGTCTTAAATGCCACTCCGAAATCTATCACCCTTTTGTATTACAGTTTCCTGCCTTTCTCCTATGTGTGCTCTTAGCTCTAGGCATCCACACATCTTTAAGATCCTCTATCACAGGTGAATTCTAATTCCCTAAGCACCAGTCACTTTTAAGAGACGACCACTCTTAACAACAACAAAAAATTTACTTGTTGTAGATATCATAGGACTCAGGAATGATGCGTCCTTACTTGTGGAGGTGGCATCTAAACTTGCATCATTGTCTTTATTCCTTTAATGCATAGTTGATGAGGTTGGGTATCCATTCCCTGAAATCAAACACAAAAAGAAACTCAAAGTCTGGTGCTTGGGTAGTGAAGTGACCTGGGGAGATTCTTGACCCTCGCAAAAACCTACCAGTTTCTCATAGGCAATTTTATGGCACTGGCAGAATAAGAAGATTCTCGCTTAAAATGGCACCCTGCCACTTCACACACTGGATCATCTGAATGTGAAGCCTCGAGACACTAGCTAGAAAATACAAAGTGATGAGGCTAGTTCTTGGCTGGGTTTCAGGAAAGAGGCTTAAATCTGGCTTTGGCTATTATTATGTTGGCACAGAAGTAATTGCAGTTTTGGACTATGAATTTTAAATCATTATAACTAGGCTCAAACATATCTTTGTTAATCAAAATAGGAACCACTGCAATCAACACATGTTTGCCAACGAGAAATAAGTTTGTTTATTCCTGTAGTATAAAAGTTTATGCTTTGGGATTCGATGAACTCCTGGAAAGCATTTTCTGGATCCTGCTAGTCATGGAAGTGCTTTCCCTGCAAAAAGTTGTCAAGATGCTTGAAGAAGTGGTAGTTGATTGGCAAGAGGTCAGGTGAATGTGGTGGATGAGGCAAAACTTCATAGCCCAATTCATTCAACTTTTGAAACATTGGTTATACGACATGTGGTCGGGCATTGATGTGGAGAATTAGGCCCTTTTTGTTGACCAACGCTGGCTGCAGGCATTGCAATTTTTGATGCATCTCATCGATTTTCTGAGCATACTTCTCAGATGTAATGGTTTCACCGGGAAACCATCATTTTGAGTGTCATCTTCTCTTATTCTATCCAACAACAACGACCCATTTCTCCATTGGATGATGATGTGCGATGAAAAATGGATTTTAGATGACAACTGGCAATGAAATACAAAAATGTATTTCAATATCAAATGACGATTCCACGAATGCAAAAACAGTTATTACTTTTGCACTCACCTAATATGTTGCCGTTGGTAACATTGTTTGGCATAGGGAGTAGGAAATTAAGATGAGCAAAGGAGAGAAGGTACTAGGAGAATAATAAGAATAATACATCCTATTTTTTTTTTAATGGTGTTTCGCTCTTTTTGCCAAGGATGGAGTCCAATGGTGCGATCTCAGCTCACTGCAACCTCCACCTCCTGGGTTCAAGTGATTCTCCTCCTTCAGCCTCCTGATCCACTACAGAAAGCTGTAGTGGATCAGACTGGCAGAAGACCCCCAAACAGTGATCATGACCTTTTCTTGGTGCAAGTTTGGCTTTGGGAAGTGCTTTGAAACTTCTTCTTGATCCAGCCACTGAGCTGGTCATTGCCGCTTGTCATATAAAATCCATTTTTCATCGCATGTCATCATCCAACGGAGAAATGGGTCATTGTTGTTGGATAGAATAAGAGAAGATGACACTCAAAATGATGATTTTTTAAAATTTTCACTCAGCTCATTAGGCACCCACTTATTGTGATTTTTCACCTTTCCAATTTGCTTCAAATGGCCAATGATGAGTTCTTTGGCAACTTCTTGTGTAGTTTTAAGGGGATCAGCTTTGATGATTGTTCTCAGTTGGTCATCGTCAACTTCTCATGGCCAGCCACTATGCTGCTTGTCTTCAAGGCTCTTGTCTCCCTTGCAAAACTTCTTGAACCACCACTGCACTGTACGTTCATTCTCAGTGGAACAAATGCGTTGTTGATGTTGCAAGTTGTCTTGGCTGTTTTAAGACCCACTTTGAAGTTGAATTTGCTTTTTGTCTAACATCATTTCCATAGTCTAAAATAAACATAAAATAAACAGCAAGTAATAAGTCATTAGCAAGCAAAAAAACATAAAGCAAGAAATGCCCACTAAAATGATGTATATCATAACCACATTTATTTCAGAATGTATTTCAATATCAAATGACAGATTCCACGAATGCAAAAACAGTCATTACTTTTGCACTCACCTAATATGTTACCATTGGCAACATGCTTGGCATAGGGAGTAGGAAATTAAGATGACCAAAGGAGAGAAGGTACTAGGAGAATAATGCATCCTATTTTTTTTTAATGGAGTTTCGCTCTTTTTGCCCAGGATGGAGTCCAATGGTGCGATCTCAGCTCACTGCAACCTCCACCTCCTGGGTTCGTGATTCTCCTCCTTCAGCCTCCTGAGTTGCTGGGACTACAGGTGCCCACCGCCATGCCTGGCTGATTTTTTTTTTTTTTTTTGTATTATTAGTAGAGGTGGGGTTTCACCATGTTGGCCAGGCTGGTCTTGAACTCTTAACCTCAAGTGATCCACCCGCCTCGATCTCCCAAAGTGCTGGGATTACAGGCATGAGCCACTGCACCTGGCCCCTAGTTCTTATCTGCTTCTCAGCTGCTGCCCCAGCTCTTGCATCATGCCCGTGATAAAGCAGTGTGAAGGTGGAGCAGAATTTAGGCTTTTCCTCCATACCATACTGCCCCCATTAGTCAATGGTCTTAATGGGTTACTTCATCCTCATGTGGGCAGGGAAACTGGAAGAGCTCACCAAACAGGCTTGGAGCAATAAATTTAAAGTTGGCTTAGGTAGGCTTGTGCTACAGAAAATAAGGACTGCATTTTCTGTAATATGTGCCTTCTGGGAGTACGCAACCTCTGTGTAAGCAGCTCTTCTCTCGAACCTAAGTGAACTGTGATTTAAGAATGTCTGGGTAACATGTCCTGAAAGCTTGAATTTCCTAGCTCCCCCATCAAATTTACATGTTGAAGCTTGAACCCCAATGTGATGATATTTGGAGGTGGGGACTTCAGGAGGTAATTAGATCATGAGGGTGGAATGCTCAGAAATGGAATTTATATTCTTATAAGAAAGTGAGAGAGAGATCATCTTTCTTTGGAGCATGTGAGGCCACAGTGAGAAGGTGGTTCTCTATAAACCAGGAAATGGGCCTCAGCAGATGACATTGGATCTACCAGTGCACTGATCCTGGATTTCCCAGCCTCCACAATTGCAAGAAATTAATGTTTGTTGTGTAAGCCACACAGTGTATGGCATTTTTTTTAGGGCAGCTCAAACTGACTATGACATTGGATATGTAATGGTAACGAATGGATTCTCATGAAGTATTCATATTTGGAGGAAGAGGTTTTAGTATGTAACAGAAGACAAAAGAGAAAGAATACAACACTAGTAGGGGCCTTTTGCTTGCTCTAACTTCATGAGCCCATCCCTGAGGTCTTGGAAAGGCAGTATAGAACACGAGTGATATGCGAGGGCACTTCAGTCAGATTGCATGGATATCAAATTGACCCCAGTCATCTGTTGGTTGTGAGACCCAGACAAGTAGCTAATCCCCTCTGAATTCTGTTCCTTATCCACTAAATGATCATATTATACCACAGGGGTGTTGTGAGGCTGAAACAATATCCTCCATGTTTAGAACGTAGCACAGAGCTTAGAACAGAGTATGTGCATAATGCATATTACTAGTTAGTATTAGGGACTTTAGAGAGAGATGTTTCAAGCACACACTAAGGAAGCAGCACACAAGAGAGTTCTTGAGAGACAGAGACATGGATAGTTACTGCTTTGGTGCCAAGTGTGACATTATGTGAGATTGGAATGTTCAACTTCTGCTCCAGGAAATGCAGTTCAACTCTGGCATTTCCGGGGAAGGTCTTGTTGGAAGTACCAATAGACGCCTCTGCCCGGTGATAGACTTTGACGTTCTTTCAGGGAGCATTGTATATGTGGGCAGTGATGAGTCCTCTGAACTACTTGTGAACAAACAACACTAATAAGGGAAATGAGAGATGGCTATGGATTAGCTTGGACATTCTCTCTCAACTCCCTGGTAGATTTCGGGGTTGTTAAAGATCCTGGGTAAGCCAGTGTGATGAGAATCAAAGGAATTTGAGTTATATCAAATTGGCTTCATTTATCCCCATAGGTTAGAGATAACGCCCTAAAAAGGGGACACACATGTTAGCATGTTTTATCCTTTCCAGCAGATCAACCATAGTGTCTTCAGAAGAGAGCTCTGAAGCAGGAGTGTGACCTCTCCTTTAAGCCAGAATCACCATATTTTGACACACGAGTTCTTTTCAATCTAATCCTAATGCCCCAATTACAGCTTTATATTCTGACACTTCCTTTATACAATTTATGATCTAGCTACATACACACTAAATGCAATTGTCAGGAAACGTTTCACTTTGCATCTCTCTCTAAGGTCTCTGTATATGCTGTGCTCTCTTTTTTGAATACTCAATCTCTACCCTACTTGTGGGCTTCAATGATGAAAAGATTCAGTGGAATTCTATTCTTTCTGCTGACTGCTTCGGACCTGACTACAATACAGCTGTTGAATCAGGGGCTCTCTCCCTTGTTCTCATCCATTACATCTATTAACGATGTAATTCTTAGGACTTATCTCCTCCTGATCAAATTATGTGCATGCTTGTGCACTCAGTTTCAGGAACTTCTAATTTGCTATTTCTTCTACTTGAATGATGTTGCTTCAGATGCTCTGTGTAGCTGCCTCCCTCTCATTATTCAGGTATTAGGTCATAAAAGATAATAAAATAGGTATTTAGTGATTGAAAAGAAAGCAGACCTTTCCCACCCCAATCACTACCAGTCATTCTTTGCCACTCTCTTTCTCATTATCTTATTTTACCTGTGAATCTAATACCATACTGTTTATTTTGTTATCAGTTTATTATCTTCCTCACTAGAAAGATTGTGACTTGAGGGCAGTGATTGTCAGCTTTATTTATTGCTATGCCTCCACACCTTGACAATGTCTAATGCATAGTAACATCTCAATAAACATTTGTTGACTGATTGACTGTCATTCCCACTAGGGAGTGAGAGTCTTTAGAACAGAAGCTCCCGAGGTCTTTACATATTCAATACCTAGTGCATGGTCTGGCACCTGTTATATGTTCAAATATATATTGATCAAGTACATGACATTTAAAATCAGCCAATCAGGGGCTAGTTATGCAATGAGAGGTCACAAAGGCAAGCAGCTTCATGGATTGTAATTACTGGAGAGGGTGTCCAGTGGAGACTGGCCGGAATACAGTGAAGAATTGATTAAGATACCAAAGAAAGGAAACCCAGTGCTTTGCACATAGTACAAGCTCAACATATGTTCATAACATTGACTTGACAAAATGAGTTTTATACTTCAACGTTAATTCACTTCGAAAAAAAAAAAAAAACATTTGAAACCTGCCATGGAATCACCTGCTGCTTCATTCAAGTGTGTGTGTATGGGGGTGAGTTGATCTGTGACAGGTGTCCGACAACATGCTAATAGCCACATCTATTCAACGCACAATGTTGACTTTCAGGGACGCTTTCCTTTTCTTCCGCACCCCACCCCCACTTCATAAAACGAATGTCACTCTCCTGAGAGCATCACAATGGCAGTCCACAAATGATCCCTCTCCTTTGAGAGAGACTAACTGTAGGGGAAAAGATAATTACTTAGTTCCTTTATCTCCAAATTATTTGTAATAAAATCTGAAATCACACCACAAGGTCTTTCATGAGGATGTCATAAATTAAGATGCATTGGCGTATCTGGTGCATCTGTTCCATTCTCTGGCCCTTTGTCTTCTGCAAAGAGCACACCAACCTCAATACCCAGCAGACAGCATTTACGCAAATGATGTCATGGTCTGTAGCATTAATATTCAGTGATTGTCTGTCATAGACACCTTACTGTACATCTGTTATGCAAATGTATGTTAATTCCGACTCCCTGACAGCTGCCTAGCTTCCCTCCCTAAAATGATCTTTTCCATTTTGAAGTTTGCAATCTGTTCCCCAAAATGTTAATCCAACAATTAGCTGAAATTGCTAAACAGAAATTGTACATGTTTGATCTAAAATAGAAGGTAGCATTTTAAAATAGATGGTGAACCTTCTTCCCACATCATTTATTTTATATGTGCTTAAACACAATGTAAACACCGATCTCCACACAGCTTGGCTTGGGATATGTGGCAGGTTTTTTTTGACCCCAGCTCTTGGAGTTTGACAAGAAAAAAGGCATCGTTACTCCTGTAATTCCAGTGGCTTTACCTCAAAGGTGAGTCCAGTGATGCACAGTGTTTGTCTCTATGTCTGAAACTTCTGTTTCCCCCCAAAATAATTAAGCAATTGGATGTTAACAAATGACAACAAAAAATTGTAAAGTGGTGAATGATTGAGAATAGAGATCTAAGGGAGCATCCCATGACATACAGAGCATAGGGGACACCCTCTCAGTACATGTTTGATGCATGTTAAGTGAAGGTCGCTTCCATATGTACCACCGCTATCCATTTTGAGGTAGAGGTGAGGAGCTTTGGAGCATTGATGGAAATTTCCATTAAGACCTCAAAGAGGATTATGTTGTTTGAGAGGGCAACAAAATATAGGTTCCATTAAACATTTAGAGAAAACCTACCAAGATTGAAGAAGCACTTATAATGGGCCTACTGTGTGCCAGTCACTGTGTCGGCCACATGAATTGACTCTCAGTGACATTCTTGGGAGGTGAATATCATTATGCAGCCCATTTTGATAGTGACTATCAAAATAGAAAGTGACTCCTACAAATGTACACAGCTTCTGCAACCCTCATCCAGTGCTTTTTTTTTCAGTTTTGTATACTGAAGAAAAGCATGGTTGGATAGAAAGCTATAAAATGTGTAGGGTGAGGTGGATGTCATACACTCCTATTTTAATGGGGCTATTTCTTATTCTGTTCTAAATAGGTGTCTGATGCTTGGCCTCCTGAAAAATCCAAAGCCTTACTAAGGGAAATGGATTTGGATCTGTTCTCTGCTTCAGAGATCCTGAATGCTGAGCCTCTTCAAAAATATTTAAAGATGGGACTTCCCCTGTCACCATAAAAGCCCATTTCTAAGATGATAGTGCTAAACCAGACGATTCCCAAGGCTCTACTCAAGTCTAACATTTTTTTCTTTGCAATTTATTTCTACATTAGTAATGAGATGATGCATTAATAAAACATATTAAAGATATCTTGACTATATGACAAACCTTCACAAATTTTCAGTGGCTCTCTTAATAAGATGGAGATGGCAGAAACATTCATTAGTTAACACAGTAAATTTGTTTTGAGATTCTAATATTTTAAAAAAGTTTTAACTTTATGTATATACTCGCTTCATTCCAGTAAACTTGATATTATATCCTATAATTAGTTGTGATATTTTCTCACTTAAAATCTATCATTTGAGTAGACTAAGGTAGCAAAATATTATGAATTGTTCTGAATGACCAAATGCAGCATCATATAACTCTATTTAGAAGCTACACTTTTTTTTAAGCTACGATATGTACAGCACTCACTAGAAGTCACTATCTAGTTAGGTTCTAGTATTTTATTTACACACATACATATATAGAAATGGGAATAATGAAGTTAAATATTTCATCCAAGTTCATATAGCTAATAAGCAGACTAGCTGAGATTTTAACATGGACTGGATCTCTTACTACCTTTTTATATTGCTGTCTTATATATACTATTTTCTCAAGTATTTTGTTTCAAAAAATTGTAATAAATTGTTTAAACCATCCTATAAATATCAGATGGTACAATGTAGTTTGTAGTTTTGTGTGTGTACTATCATCTTCCTTTATCAGGTTCCTACATTTCAGGCCATGACACATTTTTGTTAATAGCCTCAGAGCAGTTGCCAGAAAACCAAGGACCATCTCTATGTCCCAGAGCCTAGCCTCACCCTTTTTTTCCTGCGGAAACCACAATAAAAGTGCCAGCTCAAAGTTCCTCTTGCCTTCTGCCTGTGACTGACTTTGGTGCTTCCCCATGAGGCCCTGCATGGCATGTTGTGTCTCTCTAGGGAAGTGTGAGTGTAACGAAACTCTAAGACTCTTTTTGATTTCTTTCTCTTGATCTGTGTCTGACCTGACCATACCTCGCCTAAGATAATGTATTTAAAACAGGTGTTAGGGAGTACATGGATGACACTTCCCCAAACTTTACACACTGCAACTCACTAAGAAGCTCTGTAAGGTCAACACATCTGGCCTAATGGCCAGTAGAGAGCATCTTCCCCATGCCTGAGTTTGTTTATCTGTTAAAAAAAAAAAATGAAGATAGCAAAAATACCTGCCTCAAAAGAGTTGGTATGAGATTCCAATGAATACATGTTATAAAAGTGAACCCTATGCTTGGCTCATATTAAGCAATCAGAAAGCATGTCTAAAAAAAGGAATAAGAGCATAAATGTTCTCAAAATATATATAAAACTATATATGTATTTGCATGAATATATACATATTTGTGTGTGCATGTACATACATATTTCTATTTTTGACTTTACAAAGAACTTTGTAGTTGTTATTTATTCCCTGAACCCGTTGCTAAAGCAAGAACTGCTTTATCGTAGTCCATTTTACAGATAAGGAAGCTGAGGCATAAGATAATTAGTTGCTTGTCTGAGACTGCTTGAACAACAACAACAACATACTCAACAGACAGTGTAGATATCATTCATCTAAGCCAAGTTGCATCTTTGGAGATAGTGAGCAGTACTAGTTAGTAGGTACAACTCTGCAGGGGTCAAAAAAACATAGTCAAGGTTGCAGTTTGGATATTTATGAGAAATTGATGTCTCCTCCCTTACCCTTTTATTTTATATGTGCTTACACACAATGTAAACACCGATCTCCACACATTCATGACACTGAAGTGATTATATTAATCATTGGTAATTTTTTTTCTATTTTGCATGAAATTAGTTATTTAGTAAATCTTACATTGCTTGATTTTCCTAGTAGGTGTTTTGAGTGAATTTTTGTTGTCTTATTATTTACTTCTATTCTCCTTTGAGTTTGTGATAAACCATGAATAGCTAGATGAGAAATAAAAAACACATTACTGATAGCTGGACTTTCACTTCAAGATTCAAAATTCTGTGTAGAATGGAGTGGAAGAATGAAGTGTGGAGTCTTATCCCCTATGTCTACTCTGTCCCAGATAGGAATGTCTGGGGCCATTTAGAAGGTCTGTCATTTAGAAGGTCTGCTTTTACTAGGAGGAAAATCCTACCAAAGTCAATCTACTACAAGCAAAGATGAAGACCGCATGTCGATATTGATGTTTAAAGCCCACTGGTCAACATGGCTTGGTAAATGTCCTACATTCATGAATTAGCACCTTCACACACATTGAAGAAGCTGGTAATGGAAGCATGCAGAGAGGAATAGCATGGGGAGATGGGCAGAGCCTCCTTCGTGAGAATCAGGAGAGCTCTCTGGTCCCTGCATTCACAAGAAACTTCTAAGGAAGGCTGGGTAGAAATTATTATCCACATTTTATAGGTGGAGGAAATTTAGACCCAGAGCAATTTTATTCCTTCCCAATAATCTTCCTATTGGAAAGAGTCACAGCCAAGCCTCAAAGCCATTTTTTCTGACTTCCGCTTCACAGGTTTTTTCCACTTCCCCAGATGGTGTCTGTGGGATTGGCTCTCACTTTCAAGCTTCACTGACCCTAGATGATGGACTAGGATCTGCTTTGGACATCTGAGCCCAGGCTAAAGTGTAGGTGCCAGACTTACTGTGGGCTTCCTATTTATTCTTGTTGCAGTTCTAGGCTGAGCTGTCCGTAACAACTTTATAACACATTGCAATTACGGCTTATTCCAGAGGCAAAGGACAAGAGCTGCCCGCTCTTTCAGAAGCATCTCTCAGAGAGTGACATCCCCCTGCACACAGCTGCCATGTCTGTATGGCTGACTTGGGAGAAATGCCAGAAAGGTTGGCATGAGTGAGCAACTGTGAGGAGACCATCAGATGGAAACACCCAAGAGGTACAGACAAAGCCCAAACATAAAAATGTATCTGTCCTCATCGCAGGTTTGACCTCCCCTTCCTCTCCTTTAGCACCAATTTTGAGACCAATTTTTTGTTCATTATTTTATGTTGCATTAAATAAGAAATCCTCTTATTTAATGTCACTGAGACCAGGCATTGGTTGACTAATCATAAAGGTCAGTTAAATTGAAGAATCATAAAAAAATACATGTCTACCTTAAACATTTTATTAAAACTCATAACAGACTAGTGTGCATTCCTTCAGTAAGGTTTTGAAGTAGGAGTAAGCCCTTTTATTCAAATACAGGCCATCCGATTGAATTTTCCTATTGTATTTCCTGTGTAAACCTCAATCTTCATGAATCCTTTGTGACATCTAGTTTCAGTTTCCTTAAAGTGGACTAAGATTTAAAGACATTTGTGAGATCATATGAGTTCATGCTCTTTCTAGATTAATACTATTTCTTTTCTATTTTTCCCATTGTGGTCTTGCTGCCATTTAGTCTGGTATGTTTTTAGTGATTTACCATTATCCATTCTTTGCAAAGCAGGAAACTAATCTGATTTTAGTAGAAATAATAGAATCAATAACGTTTCACTCATACCCATGATGTTTCAGTTGACCTGACATTTAATTACATCTGTAATTACAGAAGCAAGTATGACCAAATATAAATAGATCTGGAAGTAAACACAACAGAGTTTTGCTAAATATACAAACTGATTTTGGGGAGCAAAATTGTATGGAAATACTGGAGTATGGACTAATAAAGTATTGTTATTTTAAAAAACAATAAGTATACTGATGGTACTGTGAGCATCTGTCAATATATTTTACAAAAGCAGTGGGTAATGTAGGTTAATCTGGAGAATCAATTAATTGTACATGGTTAAGAGTGTTGTACTGTATTATTAGATACTTTATAAATACTCATATTTGTATATTATAATTATTTAATGATTCACATCCTTAGGTAACACAATTCTCATAATCATCCTTTGTGGTATTTATTGAAACCACACTCATTCCACAGTTGAGGAGACTCACAAGGTTCCTGAGACTTAGATACTTAACTTGCCCAAGAGCTTCAGCTGATTAATTGGGTGGGATGAAGAGGTGTGAGAAAAAGGGCATGGAGGTCAAACTAAAGATTTTTTGGTTTCTGTAGCCTTGTATATTTTCCCAGTACAATACTACAGAGACTCTGAATCTCAACCATTTAAAAATCAAACAAAATACCCTTGGTCCCTGTTTCTTGAATATTTTCCTTTCCTCTGGAACTTAACATTTCTAAAGGATGATGCGTGAATCACCACACAGACCCAATGTGGCAGAGCTATCTGAGAAGCTTCAGATCAATGACCAGGTTTTCTGCCTTCTTTCTACTCTTGTAGTTGGAGCATCCTCCTCTGGCTCCAGAAAAAGCCTAAGCTCTTGCTGTAGTCACCAGCGGCACACAGGAGAGACAGAATAGCATTGTCCTAGTGAGAAGAATGCGGGTCATATTTATATCTTTGGTACAGAGTTGCCTTCACCACTGTCCAGCAGAGCATGCTTCAGCGAGGTGCTCTGTCTCACTAACAGAGCCTTAGTTTCTGATGACAATGACAATGATGAGGAACTCCGTAGTTAGCTATTATGCAGTTTCAATGAGTTGATGCCTGAGAAAGAACTTAGATAATGTGAAAAGCAAAAAGTTATATATTGTAATAAAATGTGAGAAGGAGAGACTACATAGGAAGCAACAAATAGAGTGTAAGGATAGCTGGTCCTCTCTGCAGATTTCCTTCTTGCCATCACTTAGACAGTCAGAGCTATACCCATGGAGACCACTAAATAGCCATAGCAATTAGTGCATGCTGAATACCAATGAGCACTGCAGAAGATCAATGCCTGAGGCTTCAGTGAGATCCAATTTTGAATTACTGAACATAGTGAAGTCAGTGTGCCCTATCAGGAGACATTCTCTTCACTGAGGTTATACCAGAAAGGGAAATCAGTATTATATATTGAAAAAAATGTCAGTGGAGACTTCCTGAAAGAGAGGATCTGGCCATGAAGTGTAGGTAGATATGGCTGAGTTTTGGGGATAGATGATATTCTAGGCAATAATAAAGAAGGCAAACAAGAAAGCGAACCACACATCTCATGGAGAACCACTAAACATGACAGTGCTTCTGACTGTAGAAGCATTTTCTTTTTCTTTTATGCTTTCTGTGCAAAGTCAGCCTTTGATTTAATCTATCTATTCTCCAGCTCTCCATGGGGTGTAAACAAACATGAGTCTGATTCAAAGGGTTGTTTGTTTTTCCAGCAGAAGAGATTGCTGTAAAGAACAAAATAAATTCGGGAACACTTACAGAACTGGGGAGAGGTGTCGTTGGCATTTGAGAATTTTCATGCAAATTAACAAGGCCCTAGTTTATCACATGCTTCTATTCTCAAAAGCACAGATTGTTGTTCTGAAATTATTGATAGCTTCAAGTAAACCACAGAGGAAACTCACAGGCCTGCAGAGGATCGTGAAATTGATAGAACTAATCTTTGAACTCATCCTCAGCCTCCCCCTTTTGTGCTTCCTAACAAACACTCTCATGATACATTCTATGCATCTGGAAGCCATTTAAAACCCCATTTCTCCTACAAAACTGATTTCTTATGAAAAGAAGTATATTAATTAGCTTGATAATTTTTTTCTTCTCATAGGAATGTTTGCACTTGACTTTGGAACCTGCGAACAAGTAGGAAAGGTATTTTGTTCAGGAAGACAGAAGGCCGTCTTAGACATCTTGACATCATAGTGCCTACCCTACTAAGTCTTCCCTATAAGAGCATTTGCATTTTGACTCTTCTCGAAGCATATATTTTAAATTACACAATTGGGGGGGGGGATATAGATAATTAGGTGGCATTCAAATGTTTTCAACTGGGAGTTGAGAAGAATAGATACCAATATCCAATAACAACAATACTAGCTGCCAGGATAGAGTAACTTCTCTGTACCCCCTCTGTACCAGATGAATTATGTTAATCATTTCAACCTATCTTTTCCAAAATGTGCTCTGAGGACTATTACTTGATACTGCAAAATATTACTTGATAGTCTTTACCACTGGAGACTCAAGTTTTGTTATGGAGAACACTCTATGCTTATTTCACAAGGATTACTCTTCCCCTCCTCCCATGACAGACTTCTTGGATCTTCACTGTTGGAATTTGTTGAAATTTCTAGAGGTAAAACTCAGTAAAGCGTGGCTTCCTCCCTAAATCTGTGGTCTTCAAGAATTTCTCTTTCATGTTAGTCCACACTCAGTCTCCAGCAATTATTGAACATCACTACTTAAATTTTCCAGTTTTTGTCTCCAGTGGCTTCTGCTCCCGGTGAGCATATTTTAGTTATCAATTTCTGCATTTTCTTGTCTCTCCAGATTTGGGGAAGTGGTGTGCTCTGTGAGTGACCTCAATTCAATGATGGGCTCAAAACAAGTCACTGATACTCATTTTCTTTGCCTTTTTCTTATGGTAAAGATAGAAGTAATAGTGTCCAGAGCTCTTTACATGCTGGAGCTGGCATCAGAAGCTTTCTTCTTAATTTTTAATGGATTTTCCCAGGAAATATAGAATTCTGGGTTGACTCTGTTCTTTCTTTCAGCATTGTAAATATGTCACTGCATTGCCTTCCTGCTTGCACAGTTTCTGATAAGAAATGTCCTGTACTTCTTTTAAATGTTTCTCTTTCGGTAATGTATCCTTTTTCTCTGACTGCCTTTAAGATTTTCTCTTTGTCTTTGGTTTTCAGCAATATGATTATGACAGAACCAGGCATCGTTTTATTGTATTTATTCTGCTTTGTGTCCTCTCACCTTGGAGAAGTTGTCTGTCCCTAATTTTGGAAATTTTTCAGCCATCAGTTTTTCAAGTATTTTTTTCTTTTTCTTCTCTATTGTTCCAATTCCACATAGGCTACACCATTTGGTATTGTCCTTCATCTCGCTGATATTCCATTCTGTTTTTTTCCCCTCCACTCCTTTATTTCTCTTTACATTTCAGTTTGAGTAATCTCTATTAACCTATTTTATGCTCATTGATTCTTTCCTAGACTGTGATGAATCTACTGGTACATACATTAAAGGCATTTTTCACATCTATTACTGTTTTATTTGTGACACTGTTTATTTGTTTTTATTTTTAATATCATTATTTGTTTTTTTCCTGAGGGTTTCATGTCCCTGCTAACCTTGCAATTTTTCCACTCTTTCCAATCAAATTTTAACACACAAATCACAGTCATTTTAAATTTCTTATCTGATGGTTCCAACATCTTTCTCACATGTGAGTCTGACTCTGATGTTTGCTTTGTTTCTGGAGACTATGTTTGTTCAGCTTCTGTGTTTGCCTCATACATTTTTTTGAAATGTTAAAAGCCTGACACATTGCGCAGGGCAGTAGGTACTACTACATATATACATATATATAATATATATTTATTATATATAATATGTTTTTACATATTTTAAGACAGGGTCTTGCTCAGTCACCCAGGCTGGAGTGAAGTGGTGCCATCATAACTCACTGCAGTCTTGACCTCCTGGGCTCAAGAAATCCTCCTGCCTCAGCCTCCCAAGTGGCTGGGAATACATGCCACCACACCCCACTAATTTTTGATAATTTTTAGTAGAGATTAGGTCCTGTGATGTTGCTTAGGTTGGTCTAGAATTCTTGGACTCAAGTGACCCTCCCACCTCATCCTCCCAATCCCATCCTCTGGGATTATAGGTATGAGCCTCTGTACCCGGCCAGACATAAATAATTTTGATGCTTGGAGATAATCATGCCTTTCCTTCTTCTAGCCTTTTAATGTAGTGATTTTTTCTAATCTACTTGAGGAGTCAAACTGGGTTTGAAGTTTGCTCCCTACTTGACTTTGGGTCTTCCCATTTGTCTTTGGGCTTTCCATTTACTCTGGTTCTCCAAGAAAATTTGTCTCTTGCAGCCATCTCTTTTTTTTTTAACTGTTCTAATGTTGTTTTACTTATTGTCTGTTAGTGTGAGGGAGTGATTTCTGGAGGCATTCTCTGGTTTTTAATTTTTAAAATTAATATATAACAATACATATTTATAGGGTACATCTGATATTTTGATACGTGCATATGATGTGTAATCATTGATGTTTTATTTGTTTTATTTAATGATTGATGTCAGTCTTAGTCAGGCACTGTGAACCTGGACCTTGCGGGTATGGCCTTTACAACTATCCCTGCTCTTCTCAAGATGTAAAGCTGGGTCTTACATTTAGTCTTGCTCATCCCCCAGTGGTAGAGTTTTTATTTCTCTGTTTCCCCCCCAGTAGGTTTTCATCAATATCCTCAGGCTAAAGTTTGATTGCTTTTCCTTACACAGGTCAAGTGTTTTGTTTCATAGAAAACAACGTGGGTTTGGAACTGAGCAGAGTCAGCAGTGACTCCTGTTTCTGCCCCTTAAAGTACCGTGGGAAAGCATTCTTGAGTTCCTCCCACATGTTCCTGGTGAGCACCTGAAAGAAAAGCCTGAAAGAGTGTGAACGTCATAAGCCTGTGGCCCATAGTAGCTTTACATGTTCTTGTCACTCTACATTTAGTCTTTAGCAATTCATAAAATTGTCTAGTTGGTTCTTCCTATGACTTGAATGGCGTTCAGTGGCAATGGTCAGCAAATATTAAGTTCTGCTTTTCATTGCCTGTGTCAATTTCTTTCCAGATTTTGGGTCAGTCATATGTCCTTGTGACTTCAGTTCTCTGATACAGTTTTTAAAAAAATCGTTTGCCCAGCATATTTTGTTGTTGTTGTGAGAATGAGAGACATGCTTATTCTAGCTGTCTCCATCATGGAATCAAAACTGCTGACCACTTGACTTGACTTTTACTCTAAAATTTGACTCTTCTTTTCTCAATCTAACATGGTTTATCCTTTAGTTCATAAGATGACTAGGTATCATAATTCAGACCCTCAGTTGTCTGTATGCCTCAGCTCATCCCTGAAGCACAGGAAAGATGCCTAGATCTTCTGAAGATCTACTTTCTTTTTAGCATCTATTATTTTATAATATTGCCATTGCTCACCTTGCCTTCTGGTTACAAATGTATAATTCTGTAACTTTTTTTCTACACTGACTATCTTCCAGGAATCACTGCACATCACAGTACAGAAATCATAAATTATATCAATACAATTTTTACCCCTAAGGGGCTCATATTCGACTTGATAATAGAACATACCTACATCTGAGACAGTAACTTACTGTGCAAGCCTCAAATAAACAAAAAACAAAGGGTGTTATAGAAGCTCATTTTTATAAATATGTAACAAAATATGCACTTTAAAAATATATATGTGTATATACACACTTTGTATTTTAAATAAAAATACCAAAAATGTATAATGTTTGTGCCAAATATATTAGCAAAGAATATAATACGTGATTTTTTAAAAAATGTATTTCTTCACCTTTTTACGTATCTGATCTTGTAGCTGTGAATTTTTCCAATTTGTTACATGTAGATTGCTAGTGAGAGTATCTGAAGCTCATTCAGGAGGCAGGTCTGCACCATAAATACACTGAACACTCTATGCTTTGACTAAAGTTATTTTGAAAAAGCTGTTTTTGAACTCTGAGACAGGAGAGACACTCATGAAATAGCGGACTTTGAAAGTATATCATAGAATGTTTTTATTTTTTTTTTTAAGTTCTCTGAGGATGCAAGTGATATGGAAGAAAGTAAGGAGAGAAGTTTGTCATAGGTCATTTTTAATGTCCAAGTACAGATTTCTGATTGTCTAAAGAACTTCTCCCAAAGACAGGAGGACATTTCTGGCAGGGTAGATTATATTGCAGTGACTATTCTTGGAAATATATGCTGGACCCCAGTGAGGCATATTAGCAGTAAGATTAATACAATGATAACCACAAGAGGTTTAGAGATGCACAAGCACACATATTCCCTTCATCATTTAGTAGCATCATGCTCTGAGTTTCTTGTACATGACTACTAGACATCCTCACAATAAGTCTTCTTTCTGGGAATATATATTACATTCATACTAATGGTTATATGTGGAGAGAGAGAGATAAATGGATTTAAGGAGTACAGAAACAGCTGCAACTATGCATAATTATGCTAACAAAAGGATCCAAAATAAACAATTCAAAACTGTTATGAAGTGTTAAATATCCTTGATGGGTACATTGTTATATTACCATGTGCAGTTTTCTCTATGTTTAATTTTTTAATAATTATCATAGGAAGAATCCAGATCTATTTTCAGTTTCTAATCCTGCTTGAATATGCAAGACAGGTTTTCTGGTGAATTGTGAATTGACATGAAAAAGACACAGGCTCATACAAACAGTTTGCAAGCACACAGAAATGTGAGTTGATTAAGTATCCATTCTAATTAGTCCCAAACCCAAAATCTTATCAGCAGTGATGTGGCTACATAGGGCATAGCAGTAACTTAGCATGGCTCTCCTCGGTTCCTGAGTCCCTGGTGGGGAATCAAAGCTGTCTATGTCATTCTCCTGTAAAGGCAGTTATTAGAAGATGTGTATAGTTGAATTCTTATCATATAATTGCCCTTTTTATATATGACCATACCTCATGCATCTAGAAACACTTCCAATAATGCTGCATGTTTTTATTTTTAAGAGATGTTTTCTAATGTTGAGACTTCCTCTTTCTAGAATCAAGCTCTGAGTCTACAAACTTAAATCCTTATTCAGGAGAAACACCTGGGGCAGTGATGGCTGTCTCAGAATACATACATATGTCACTTAAGGATGAGGATACATTCTGAGAAATGCATTGTTAGGTGATTTCATCATATGACCATCACAGAGTGCACTTACACAAACCTAGATGGTATAGCCTACTACACACCTAGGTTATGTGGTAGAGCCTATTACTTCTAGGCTACAAACTTTGACAGCATGTTGCTATACTGAATGTTGCAACACAGTAAGTATTTGTGCATGTAAATATAGAAAAGGTAAAGATACAGTATTATAATCTTATGGGACCACTGTCATAAATGAAGTCTGCTGTTGACTGAAATGTCATTAGGCAGTACATGACTGTAATTCTACCTCCAGGTTTCTAGTAATAGTTCCCTTCACCACTGAAGGTTAACAGGGAAAGTGGTAGGCTTTTGCCAAGAATTTTGGATGAGAAATTGGATAAACAGTGGTGCCATTTATGAAGAAGAAGAATATTAGTAAAGGACCAGGTTTAAGGAAAGAGAGAATTTCATCATTGTGTTTTGTACATATTATGTTTGAGAGAATTATTTGGCATTCAGGGACAGCTCAAGTACATAGTTGATATTTCCAATAGTTTTGTGGAACCAAATACTACAAGTTGAAAAAACACAATGTCACAAGTCACAATGGTGCCTTAAAATTGGCAAAGGTGGGAGCATTTGCAGCACAAATATCAACAAATATTACACACCAGCGTTTTTTGTCAGAGCAGATAGGGATACAAGTATAGAGATAGCTGGGATGAAGTACAACAGGGATTTAGACTGAAGATTGAGATTTAACAGACATTGGAAAGATGAGATGCAGTAGCCACTTTAGAAGAAAGCCATGAGAACATGCTATCTTGGAAGCTAAGTGAAGAAAATATTTCAGGAAGGAAGAATCAAATCACTGTGTCAAATGCTGATGAAAGGCTGAGTCAAACAGTGATACGACATTAACTGTTTATTTTGACATGTGAAGTCATTGGTGTCATTGGTGGGATAGGGTCACATTGGAATATGTTTAGGAGAGAATGACAGCTTTTCTTCTCCTTTAATTCACTTTACCACTTCCAACTTTTCCCCAATGCATAGACTTTTCTTGGCCTTTTAATTAATTGTCTGTTAGTCTATTCAGTTTTCTTATTTTACTCATTGGCTTTTTGCACCTTCTTTCAAACATTTTATCTTAATAATGTGGGGAAGATGATATTACTAAAGCATGACACATTAGAGCAATATAAGCTCTTGATGTGCTCTTGTGGGAAGAATAGCTGAGATAAGACTTCAGCATACCCTGGCTCCTCTAGCCTAGACTGGCAAACAACATAAACGCATGCATGTGTGACAAATTTGTTAGCATGGCTTTTCAATTTGGATGTTGAGTTTTTGATAAAACATTTTTGCAAATTGCTGCAGAACATATTTGGCTAGTGAAAGCTCAGATAGTGAGGGAGACGTAAAATAAATGAAGATAATAATAGATAATGTTTCCATTATCTGCCACAATGCAGTGATTTGAAATGTGGTCTTTGGAGTTTATAAGTTTGACTTTGAAACTTGGGTCTGCTACTGGTAGCCTGGGGATAACTGTGTAACATCAGCTAGAGGTTTAGCTTCTCTAAATCGCAGTTTTCTCGACTGTAAAATGGAGCTTAAAATACTAACATTTCAGGGTTGTTATGAAGATTAAGTAAGATGGATACAGAAAGGGACTAGAATAATATATAGGCAGCTAGTTAAGTGTTGAATACAGGTTAGCTAAATCAAAAGGAAGGAAACATTAGGAGAGATGATTCTTTGAACCACTAAAGGCTAATGAGCAGACAATATTGTGTTAACTCTGAGAGATTGCTAGTTGGTGAAAAAAGATCACATTAAATATTTTATAGCTCTCATTTTCTGCTCATGTCTAGAGGCATGCTGAGAGATTATGGAGACTTCAGATTTCTCTCTTTCTCAATTTTTCATACTCTCATTCCGCAGGCACTGAAATGATCAGGACTAGCTGAACTGGAAAGGACAAAGGCAGAAGAAAAGTACCCTCAATGTTTGGGCACCTTGGGTCCAAATAGAGTTTATTTAATAAGGACTTACAGTGATTTAACTTAAGGTTTTTGCCTTCATGATGGGTTTATCAGGGTATTAAATGCATTTTTAATTTAGGATATTTTTGACTAACAATGGGTCGATTGAGATGTAAACACTTTGTAAGTCAAGGAACATCTGTATATGAATAAAATCACAAACTGACCAAGGCCAAAGAGTTCTCCAACACATTGATTTCAAGCTCATGAACAAAGTATCTCCTTTAAAACATCCTAAGATTATCTAATCCAATTTCCTTATTCTACAATTAAGACTCCTGAAACCTAGAGGGAAGGTGACTCAACCAGACTCCAATCCAGCTTGCTTCCAAGAATGTGAACCAACGAATCTATGTAATCTGCTCTATCCATTTCAACATAAGGAATGGTGTTACTTGAATTGTTCACTCTCTAGGACTTTCATTTGTTTCATTTCTTTTCCTATTTAGAATTATAGTATGTGAAGCCTGAAGGCATTATAGGGATAATCTAGATCCAAACCTTATTTTCCAGAGGAAGAAATGAATGCACATAGAGGAAAAGTAGATTGTCCCAAGGTCATCTAATGGCACAGCTCAGATTGGAATCTCCATTTCCTCATCTCAAACCAGTGCTCTGTCAACTAAAATAGAATACTTAAAGAATGCTGAGGCATTGAGAGACAAGTAATTGGATTCTGATACACTGTCAAATATTAAGAATGAATAGCTGTAAGTTCCTTATTTGACAAAAGCCAAGATTCTCATCTTTATTTTCCACTGAGAAATATCATGCTAGAGACAATCTTTGCAAACTTTGCTTCTAAGATGCTAAGTCCTGCGGCATGTAATCTTTTCTTTTTTGTGAGTGAGTTGGCCTAATGCCTAGAAGTTTCATTACATTTCCAGAAAGTCTTCTCTGGTAATTTCATGAAGCATATTACCTGTTTTATCTTGAAATGTCTTTACCTTCTAGGAGGTTTACTCATGAAAGCAATGCTGAAAAATACAATTTGGTTGTTTAAGTGGGAGACTTAGGTTATTAAATGTTTATTTCCTTGGGTAAGAAAATATTTTCCTCTCTTTAAGGGAGTGTGGTTGTTATTATGAAAAGTTTTAGAAGTTAAAATTGCTGATGTACCTGAGGAAAGCCAAATGTCACCTGTATATTTTTGATCCTCATTTCTTTGGCTCATAGTCCATTCTCTGTATTTTCTCCAAATTTTCATCAGTCTTAGAAAAATATAAACTTCATAATTCTGGAGTCATGACAACTTGTACTTATTTTAAATGCAATTTGTGATATTACTTATTATTCTCTTTAAAGTATTTTAAACTTCACTATTTTTATCATTTGTAGATGTAGATATTAAATTTTGTGAATGAGTTACTAATTCACATGGTTTATCTATAACTATCTATAAAAGTATACAGTAAAAATTTCCTTTCTCTACTCCATTTTTCTTCTATTCAGTTTTTATTCTCTCATCCCTCAATTGGTGTTCAATGTTACTGGGCTCTTGTGTATCTTTAGCTATTTTTCGTACACTTAAATTCAAATATATATTCCCTAAATTACCCAATTTCTACAGACATTAACATCCTCACATTCATATCTGCACATTGCTCTTTCCACCTAACAATAAATCTTAGTTATCTTTCTATGTCATTTGACAAAAAAACCTCTGTAATAATTTGTTAGCTTAATATTTTATTCAATTCTCCAATCCTACTAATGGACACTTGGATTGATTCTAATCTTTTGCTGTTAGAAATAATGTTTCAATAAATACTCTTGTAATATGTCATTTTGCAAGGATATGAGTAAAGTTCCTAGAAGTATAATTGATGGATCAAAGAAAAAACATCTGTAATATTAATTTCTGTAAACAACTTGCCCTCCATGTGGGTTGTATCAGCAATATATTAATGTTTTTTCTTCACAGTTTTCCCAACATAGTGAGTTACCAAAATTTGTTATTTTCTTAACAATCTGACAAACGAAAATAGTGTCTCCAGCTTATGCTTCTAGAAAGAATATGATCGTTTACTCTAGGCCAATGTTCACACTGCAACAATTAGAAAAATGCGATTAATTATACTGAGTTTTTTGAGCTAAGATTATAGGGGCTTTTCCATTTTTATTAGTTCTTGGTTATTATAAAACTACTATAAACATTCTTATACATGTATTTTGGTGAACATATGTCTTCCTTTCTCCTGGATATAAACCAAGAATGATATTACTGGGTTATACTGTTGGTATGTGTTTAACTTTCTTAGAAATTGCCAAATGGTATTTACAAAATGGGTGTATCATTTTATATCCCTACCAAGAATGTGTAAGAGTAAAATTAGCTCTACATTGAGGGGTTGATATCTGAGTTCAAACTTAAGTAATACAGCCAGTCACTGAAAGCCCTGAGGATAAAAGAGCTCCCAGTAGAGCAACACTAAGCTCAAAGAACCTGTGGCATTTCTACGGGGATATTCCCTGCAACGTTAAATTTAATGTATTCTAAAGTTTCACATCATATGCCCCATTGGTGGACTGTAAATTCAATTCAAGTTTTACCAAGAGATAATTTTTGATGGAATATAAGGGACTAGCTTTTTTTTTCTACAATAAACACTTAAAAATGTTTTCCATGTTGTAAATGCAGCTTAACCAGTAACCATAATGATAGACATTTAAATTACTTCTACTATTTTGTTTTAATACATAATGCTGTGAAATTAACTTGTAATATGATCTCAAAAGTACATGAAGGTATAAATTGTATAAATTCCAGAAGTGTAATCTCTGAGTTAAAAAAAGAAAACACTTGTAATTTGATAGATATTTTAAAAAGTGAACTTGTCAATGTGCTCTCCAAATTATATTATCAAGATCTGCTGAATAAGCTAAAATATGGTGAGACTTAGCATGCTGATAGAAGAGGCCACACATTTTTGACCATTATTCAAAACCCAACTTCTTAGCATTTCCTAATATTTCAAAAGTATATTTGGAAATCTCATAGGAGTCTTTATTTAAATCATCAGCAACTCCTTATCTTATTTCATCTTTGGCAGTTTCTTAGATAATTATGACAATATTAATGTAAAAATACAAATGATAATGTATGATATATTTCAATGTAGCAAGAAGAGAGGATTTTGGATGTTATCACTACAAATAAATAATAAGTGTTTGAGGTTATGAATATGCTAATTAACCTGATTTGATCATTACACAATATATGCATGTATGAAAACTTCACATTGTACCCTTTAAATATATGCAATTATTACGTGTCAATTAAAAACAAAATAAAACTTTTAAAGGTACCAAAACTTCTAGTCCTTTGCCAAAAATTGAGACTCCAAAGGCTGAATTCTAAGGAGTATATTAGCATCAGCTTATTCAATATTTACTTTAAACATAAAATTTTCTCTTTGGTTTATGAGTTCTGTAAAAAAGAGTCTGTCCTTGGAATTTTTATCATACAGATCATCTAATTCTATAACTAGAATTATCAAAACACTTTTACAAAAATCTACTAATATCTGGTTATATAATATTCATAATAGGCAACATTATTGAGCGTTGACAATTATGTGCCAGATATATACTAGATAATAAATGTTTTACATGTATTTTATGCATATATAGTACATACATTTTTTACATATAATTCTAGCCACAGTCATATGAGGCAGTTGCTATTTCTATGCCTTAAATATTAAAACAATGAGGCTCACTCAGAAAAAAAGTAATCTAGAAATGTTGTATAATTTAAGTAACTAAAGCAAAATTCAAGTTCACATATTCCCAAAAAATGTAATAAGCAGAATACAACATTGTTGATTCTAAAACCAAAGTGATAGGATTTGGGGAAGAGTAGGAATTTCCAAAATGTTACACAAATAATTCACTATAAAATTTTGGTGAGATATACAACCATCAAAAGATATAACTAAATTCTTCTTTGCATACCACATCCAAGCAAGAATGCCAAGATCAGTGCAAATACGTAGCAAGTGGGCTTGAAATTGGCTCTTTAGTTAAACTTGGACCCATCTTCTATGGCAAACATGGTACCAATTCAAATCCTGTGAATGTAGATGGTTCTGAGAAAAAATACACATTTTCTTTCCCCCTTCTAGGATGATGGTAGAGGCACATTTTCCAGATGGAGTAGATGTAATATGGCAGAGCATCTATGAACTTAAGTCTCTGAGTGACTGTGGTTCAGCATCCTTTGCCTGTATCCATTGAACAGGTAACATGAATGAGAAATAAAGCTTAGCTGTGCTAAACCCCTGGGCTTTTGAGTTAGTTTATTACCTTAGAATAACGTAGCCTAACCTGATCCATGTTCTACGATGTAAGGTTTCTGTGAAAATTAAATGAGTTCATGCAATGCCTGCCACATAGTCTATACCCAATAACATTAGATATTATTATCAGAAATCACACTTTCTTAAATTAGTCTGCATGCTTTATAAAAACTTTTGGGGGGAAGTACTGAACATTATATCTAGGACCAAGAAGAGAGTTATAAAATTTACTAGATCTCCTTTTAGCATAGTGCCCTTATAAAATGCAGAAAAATAATCAAATAAATAATGATTTCACATCACCAAAAATTACAACCCCTCCACCCCTCCCCCCCCAAAAAAAAACTCTAGCTTTGGAAATTCAGGCAAAATTAATCAAAGAGTAAGGAATTTCTTTAGCTAAAAAATTCATCTTATGCAAAAATGCCTTCAGTTATTTAGTCATTCATTCATTTACTTATTGTTCATGATTCAGTAAATTGACACACATGTGTTGCTACTATTGGGTATTTTCACTTTGGTTTAATGATGCTGGATATCTCAAGTGGATGAAAGATATGGTGAGGCACTTGCACAAGCCAAAGTGAATGCAAATGGCCAGAAAATGAGGGTTGGGTGTTCTGATGACAGCATCTAAGAAAGTAATGGAGGCATGGCAGAAATATGTGTAACTATGACCTATAAGACCAGCACTAAGCACTAAGTAAAGAGACTCCAAGGAAGAAGGTGCCCATCTCGGAGATGCCTATGGATATGGGGAACCATATTGACTGTAGCCAAAAGTCAGGAGAAGCTGAGTCAGAGAAAGGAATTGGATAGGAGAAGTATTCACAGTAATGAGTAGGAGGAGCATGTGTGAAAATGATGAAAAGGAGCACTGTTGGTGTCAGTACCCCTCACAAGGCTGGTACATCGATGAGTGTGTAAGGTTCATCAAAAGTGCTTGTATTAGTCTGTTTTCATGCTGCTAATAAAGAGATACCTGAGACTGGGTAATTTATGAAGGAAAGAGGTTTAATTTACTCACAGTTCCACATGGCTAGGGAGGCCTCACAATTATGGTGGAAGGCAAATAAGGAACAAAGTCACATCTTATATGGCGGCAGGCAAGACAGCATGTACAGGGAAACTCCCCTTTATAAAACCATCAGATCTTGTGAGACTTATTCAGCACCACGAGAACAGTATGGGGAAAACTGCCCCCATGATTCAATTATCTCCACCTGTCCTCACCCTTGACACATGGGGATTACTGTAATTCAAGGTGAGATTTGGGTGGGGATGCAGCCAAACCATATCAGTGCTTCTAACAGAAGCTGACGTGTGGCAGACAATGCATGCATGAGAAATAGCTTATGGAAATTAGCAGCTCATCCCACAGGGATGCTGGATAAAATGCAATGTGTTATTTACGTGAGAAAATTCTTCATGACATACATAAGGTGTTTTACATGTACTTATTTACATGTTTAAATTATTTTTAAAAGTAACTTCAGCTTTTATTTTAGATTCGGGGGTACATGTGCGGGTTTGTTACATGGGTATATTGCATGATACTAAGGTTTAGGCATCATGTTTGTCCTAGGTTTGCTTCTGAGATTCTTACAGTTTGAAGTCTTAGATTTAAATCTGTAATTCATCTTGAGTTAATTTTTGTATACAGTGAAGGGTAGGGGTCCAGTTTTATTCTTCTGCATTTGGCTAGCCAGCTATCTTAGCACCATTTATTCAATATGGAGTCTTCTCCCCATTGCTTATTTTTGTTAACTTTGTTGAAGATCAGATAGCTGTAGGTGTGTGGCTTTATTTCTGGGTTTTTATTCTGTTCCATTGCTCCATGTATGTGTTTTTGTACCAGTGTCATGCTGTTTTGGTTCCAGTAGCCTTATAGTATAGTTTGTTGGGTAATATGATGCCTTTAGCTTTGATCTTTTTGCTTAAGACTGCTTTGGCTATTTAGGCTCTTTGGTTGGTTCTACATGAATTTGAGATTTTTTTTAAATCTGTGAAAAATTACTTCAATAGTTTTATAGGGATAGCATTGAATCTATCAACTGCTTTAGGCAGTTTGGTCATTTTAATAATATTTATTATTCCAATTTATGAACATGGAATTTTTCCCATTTGTTTGTGTCATACATGATTTATTAGAGTAGTATTTTATAATTCTACTTGTAGATATCTTTCACCTCTTTGGTTAGATATATTTCTAGGTATTTTATTTTTTGTGGCTATTGTAAATGAGATTGAATTCTTGATGTGGTTCTCAGCTTGAACATTATTGGTGTATAGATATGCTTCTGATTTTTGTACATTTGTTTGCATCCTGAAACTTTACTAAAGTTGTTTATTAGTTCAAGGATCATTTTGTAGTCTTCAGGGTTTTTTAGGCATATCATCCCTGAAGAGAGAGTTTGAATTCTTCTTTTCTTATTTGGATGCTTGTTATTTTTTCTCTTGCCTGATTGCTTTGGCTAGGATTTCCAGTACTATTTTGTATAGGAGTGGTGAGAGTAGGCATCCTTATCTTGTTTCAGTTCTCCAAGGGAATGGTTCAAGCTTTTTCCCATTCAGTATGATATTGGCTGTGGGTTTGTCATAAATGACTCTTATTTAGTTTGAACTATGTGCCTTTGATGCCTATTTTATTGAAGGTTTTTATCACGAAGGGATCTTGGATTTTATTGAATAATGTTTTCCATCTATTGAGATGATCACATGATTTTTGTTTTTAATTCAGTTTATGTGTTGAATCACATTTATTGATTTGATTTGTGTATGTTGAACTCCCTGCCCCCCCCCCCCCCCCACCTGCCACCATACATCCTAGAAATAAAGCCTATTTGGTCATGGTGAGTTAACTTTTTGATGTACTGCTGGATTTGGTTTGCTGGTATTTCATTAAGAATTTTTGTGTCTATGTTCATCAGGATGTAGAGACACAACATACCAAAATCGCTGGGATGCAGCCAAACCAGTGTTAAGAGGAAAGTTTAAAGTGTGAAATAGCTACCACAAAAAGTTAAAATGATCACAAATCAATAATCTAACATTACACCTAGCAGAACTGGAAAAATAAGAGCAAACTAACCCCAAAGTTAGCAGAAGAAAGTAAATAACTAAAATCAGAGCAGAACTGAACAAAATTGAGATCCAAAAATCTATACAAAGAATCAGCAAAACCAAAAGTGTTTCTTTGAAAGGATTATCAGCATTGGTAGACCACTAGTAAGATTAACAAAGAAAAAAAGAGAGAAGATCCAAATAAGCATAACCAGAAATAAGAAAGATGACATTACAAGTGATCCCACAGAAGTGCATAAGATTCTCTGAGACTATTATGAACACTTCTATGCACACAAACTACAAAATATAGGGAAAATGGATAAATTCCTGTAAACACACTACCTCCCAAGATTGAATCAGGAAGAAACTGAAACCCAAAACAGACCAATATCTAGTTCTTAAATTGAATCAGTAATAAAAATCTTACCAACCAAAAGAAGCCCAGGACTGGATGGATCACAGCTGAATTCTACCAGACATGTTCAAAGAAGAATTAGTACCAATTCTACTGAAACTATTTCAAAAAAATTCAGAAGGGGAGACTCATTTATAAATCATTCTAAGAATCCAGCATCACCCTGATACCAAAACCTGGCAAAGACACAATTGAAATAAAAAGGAAACTAAAGGTGAGTAATATATTTTTAAGCAATTTGTTCTGTGTTAGGGATAGTTTCGGGTTTTGGAAATTTAATGATTCATCAAATAAACTACTTCTCTAACCTGTGGTAGCTGGGAATCTGGTAGAAAATAAACATAATATAGTAGCAAAAACAGCATTCATATCATGTTATGTTAGGTGGTAATACATTCCATGAGAAGGAAGAAAGCCTAGCCTGGTATTGGTTTATCCAATACCAATAAATGATAAGGTATAGGAGGTATTTTTTAAAAGGGAGATTGTTTAAGAGTGAATGCATTTTATACAAATGCATCTTACAAAAGCAAAATATTTTTAAGATCAGATGTCTCATGATGAAGGGGGACATTTTGTAGAGGAGAGAATCCTGAGGCAGGAAGACCAATTAGTTTTGAGATGAGGAGAAATGTTCTTTAGTGGAAAAAGTGAGAAAAACAATAATCCTAGGGAGAACACATGCAGAATCAAGAAGTCTCCTTCTGTTGTTTGAATGATCCAAGTATAGTCTACTTCAAACTTTGCTTTGTAACTTATCTTCCGTTATTGTCTCTAAATATGATTTTCATCTTCGAATGCTATATAAATAGCTGTGTTGACTTTGGGAGAGGAGAAATTTTGTCTTACATTTCTTTGCACTTAAACTTCTGGGCACCAGGATATTCATGACAGTGAGAGGGTGGAAAATGCAAACATACGATAAGGTGATTTAATTAACTATGTAATGGCACACTCATGAAGACATATATATTATTCAATATTTAATACTGTGCTTTAACAAAATATTTAATAATGGGAGAAATGCTGAAACCCTGAGATTAAGTGAAAATATAAGATTAACTTTTATAGAGGGTATTCTGGTTTTGCCAATAATTGTCTGTGAGTTAATGTGTCCATTTGTTTGTGGTATAAAACTGAAAAAATATGGAGCTGGCATTTTAACAGTTGTCTTCTTCATGTGGTGAGTTTAGAGACAATTTTATTGCCCATTTATTTATTTGTTTTATAAAATTATTAACAAACACATAGTACCTTCATAATCATATATTTAAAACATTATTAAAACTACTAATACACAGGTTAATAAGTGGACAATGTATATGGACAAAGACTGGAGAGACACAAATACAAATGATTCATAGACATATAAAAATACTTCAGCCTCACTGGCAATCAAATAATTGTGAATTAAATAACAATAAAAATGTAATATTTATTGTCAAAGTGGCATTTTGAAGAAAATCAACAGACACACTGAAGATGTGTATTGAAATAGTCCTATCCATGACTTGTGAGAATGTAAAATAATCTGTTACAAACCAATTTGTCAGTATGCATTAATACCTTCACTTATGCTGTTTTTTTTTAAGTCTGTAAGGATCCTTTTTGTCATCTATTTTGAGGATTTAGTTTGGAATTCAAAGATGTACCTAAGTTATATTCACCAGAATATTTTTCATACTAACTGATGGTAAACAACCTATACACTTCATATCTCAGGAATGCTTCAGAAAATTATATTTTAAATATATGACAAATAGTATGCATATTTTTCTAATGTAGAATAAAGACAAAATGACCTTTAACAAAAGAAATGAGACACTATTTATATTATTCCAATTTTGTATCTTTAGTTAGATAGAAACACATCAACACTCTGAAAGTAGTTATCTCTGAATGATTAAATTATTGGAAATATTACTAAGCTTATGCAATGCTTGTTTGCTTGTTTTTGGATTTCTAAAATACTATGTGTAAAATAAGGTTGTGAAACCAAGATCAAGGGTGTCAGTTGACTTGCACTGAAAGCCTACAGCTCTTTTACTCCAAGGCTTGAGTTTTCTCCCACAGCACATCCCAAGACAAGGTGGGTCGCCTACATGAAGCCGTGTTGTTTACAGGGATATTTTGGCCCAACACGAAATGTCTAAAAATGAAACTTCCTTTTTTAAAGAAAGATGGCAAATGTCTTCACTGCCCAGAGTCTCATCTAATTCTTGAGAGTAACCCATTGCTATCTCCCATTACTGAGAATACCCTGGTGAAGTGCGTAAAGTTTAGGAGATAGTAAAAGGTTGGAGAGAATAATATGGCTGTGATTAGGTTAAAATAGAAAAGTGGGAAGCAGATCCCAGACCACCAGGTGTATGCCCCAAACCACAGAATACTGAAATTCTCAAAGTGAAATGTATGTCATTATCTAAGAATTCACTTTAACTTCTCAGGACAATAATATATTGACTTGAGAGTTTTACTTAAGGTTACAATATCATAATTTTTTGCACTAAATTGGTGCATAGATTTGGCTGTTTAATAAAGAAAACTTCTGTTTTCAATTTGAAAATCCTCAAAATGGATGCTAATGATCTTCTGAACTATCTGATTGGTCCAGCCAAACCCAAACGGGCATTTGAGGTCAAAATATGATATTTGATTTTTTTGTTCCAAACTATACATGTAATTTTTAATGCATGCTAAGGATCATTTCTTATGATGTATCTTAGAAATATACATCATATTTAATATTTAAAAGTTCTTTATAATAATAGTTTTGAGAGATAAGATGAATAATTGCTTAGATATTAATCCACCTCTAACAAAGGTCTTTCCCCTACTTTTTAATAAAAAATAGTGTATTAAAAATCCTTATACCTTTGTTTTATAGAGACATATAAATAATACAATTTTTAAAGCATTATTTGCATATAGCAGGATTCCAGTTGTGTCAAAAATTATATGGGTATGTTTATGGTATAAACCTGGAAAAATATAAAACAATGTAGCATTAATTGTTACTTCTTTGTGGTATGTTGATGGATAAATTATTACTGTCTATTTTGTATTTTCTAAAATTATTAAGTTCGTATTTTATGTTAAAAACTATGTTGTTTTATAAAAGCATATAAAATATAGGATTTTAATACAATATATATTTTTATTAAAACAGACAAAATTTTATATTGTTTATAAACATATAAACCGTATAGAACTTAATAAAACTAAAATGTTTTATAATGGATTAAGTGATGAAGGGAGCAGTAAGGTTTAGAAATACCCATGGTGCGTATTTCTTCATTGTAAACAAGGGCAAGTTTGCCCTCTAGCCTTGCCTCTTTAGTTTCTCTGCATTCTCTTTTACAAATGGCAATATCAAGAAGCTCAGCATCTGCATCTTCTTTGTCTCCAGATAATATTCTGGAAAACTGTAAAACTGATTCTCTGTTGAAGTCCAAGAAGGGTACACTTATATGGATGTGACTAAGAAGCAGAAAAAAAATGAAGATTGTCACCAGGTAAACGGGAGCGCCATCTGGATGGGACTAGAGTTTCTCTGTGGACCCAAGTCAGCTCAGTCACCCCTTCATCACGGATCCAGACCTGACGAATTTCTAATACAAATGTCCACCTGGAAGCATCACTCTGCCTAACCCAGCTGTGCTTTCATTCTGAGGTTTTAATTCTCTTGTATCTCAGTGTCCAATGGCCCTTCTATCTGATGTCAACTTCTGAATTTCCTGACTTATGATCACCATCAAGAGAACTGCAACAATGGCAGAAATGATTTCTGAAAACCTGCAGCACAAGATGCATTCAAATCTTTCCTGGGTCCCTTGCTGTTCATCACTTCTCTATTTTTTTCCCTCCAAACATTTATTTCCAAGCACTTTTCCCTAATCATTCTTAAATCTTAGAATTTAAACTCTCAAGTATATTTACATTTAAATAGAGTGCTGGGGCCTTTTGGTATTTGAAAAAGCTTTTGAGATTTGTAATGAACTTCTAAAAGGTTCTGAAACTTTGCCAAGTGTTGGTCTATTCTGAACAATGGGAATCCTGGATTCAATTCAGAACTACCCAGTCTTTAATCCAAAATCAAAAGGAGCTTTCAAAAATCTGCAATTGTTCCCTGACTCCTGAGCTTCACAGTCAAGACCTTCGCTGATCGGCCCCCCACCTACCTTGTCAAGTCCATCTCTCAACCCACAAGAGCGACACTGGCCTGCCTCTTCCTCTCCTGGTTTCTCCCTAATTGCCATTTTCTTTCTCTTGTCTCTTACTTTCCCCTTGGCCTGAAACACCCTCCCTCCACTGTACCAACTGCCTTTTTGAAATTGATAGGCTAAGCTCAATATCACCTCCATTATTACGCTAATTTTTATGGCCTTCAGATAATTTAGGGAGAAGTACATAAATTAGTCCCCAGAAATGTCTGAGTTGATGTTTTGCATAAGTTCTCAGAAGCCATATCACTAAGGCACACTATTACAGCTTTATTTTCTGTAAAATGAAGCTTAACAATTTGTTTGGTATGATTTCTGTATAAGTCAAGTCATGTTTAGGAAGTTTTTGGCGTATAATCAGTGCCCCTTACTAGCTTTGGAAATTTGGAAAACTCACTGTCTCTGCTTCAGAATTCTCAGCCAGGTCACAGGTTTAATAATAAGACATTCCTGAAAGGGTTGTGGTGAGGATTAAATGAGGATATCTATATGAAAATCTTAGAACAATACCTTGCCAATATCAACATCTCATTAAACCAATTAATTGTTTTTATCAAAAAATGTTTTCTTCTCTGCTCCATGTTTATCTGAGTTAGCTTAGCTGAAATAGAAACACCTGTGCATGTTCTTTGCATTCCTCAAGCACTGTATACTACTTGATGACAACTACTATATTTTTGCAAAGCCAAAAACTAGGCATGGTGCAGTATACATTTTTAATATACTATATATGCAATGCAATCAAATTACATCCAGAAAAAAAAGCTCTGCCCTATTGTAAATGTCCTCATATTTTTATCCCAACAACCACAAAGAATGTGAACAACAAAGCAAGTTTTACTTTTCAATGAAAATTATTATCACTCACCCTTCATTCCATTACTTCTTTTGGGAAATGAAAATAAGCAACAGCATTCCTCCAAAATGACGTGTTTGTCCCTTTAACTTTGGACTGCTTCATTTTTCTTTGGGAAGCAGATCACCATAGGGTGCATGTTATAGACAGATGACATTTCTTTTTCTAATTTAGATGAAAGAACTCTGAAATACTGGTATTTGGTCGAGCATACTGGGCTGTTCCAGACTAAGACTTTTGATCTTGAATGCAGACCTGCCAGTACTCTATATTTCAGATTGATGGATGGTATTACTGGCATCATATTTTCATTATTTTTTGTTCTCCTGTTCCCTGTGCCAAACCACCACTAAATCATAGACACTAAATGTTGAATAAAGTAAAATATCTATGAATTAGAAATGAATCCTTTTATTATTTTATTCACTTATCTCATCCCATGCTACATTTTCCATCATTCATCTGATTTTCCTAATTTCTTCGTATATTCTTCTCTTTGACCTTTCCTTAGATTCTTTACATTTTAAAGGAGGCAGCATGGGGAGACAAAAAGGCTTTGAGCTCGGAGTCAAGAAACCTGGCCCTCATCTTAAATTTGCTTTCAACTTGCTTTATAAGCTTGGGAACCTGTTTTCTCACCTGTTAAGAAGCAAAATGCACCACACAATCTCCAAATCACTTGTAATCCTATCTCTAATTTCTAATTTTTATCTAGAGCTTTCCCCCACTATCTTAAGAAATAGATCCTTCACTCAACTTTTGTTTATTTCCATTTAACTAATACTTTAATGTCTCTTTCTGTCATATTTTCTACCTATGATTGCTTTGAAGTTTAATGAAATCATCTGCATTGAATATCTTGTAATCAACCTTCTTTGTCAATCCTTTATTCTGCCCTCTCCCTTTCCTCTATACCACCTTGTTTCTATCCTTCTCTCTATTCCAAAGTCCTATTTACTCTTTATTGTTTTGCAACCTCAAATTTAATACATCAGTAAATTGTGTCATAAGTTCATTCAGCAAATACATAGCTACAGTGGGCCAGGCACTAGGATGTTTTGGGATTTCAAAGGGCCCAATAAATAAAATTCCCATTCTTTGCCTGAGTTTGAAACTAGTTGAGAAACACATATAACAAAAAAAAAAAAAATTGAGAGGTGAAGATCAAAATATCCTGATAAAACTGTTGGAAGATGCTGCTTTTAGTTTGTTAGCCAAGTCCCCAAAGGGAGAGAATAACATGTTCCCATCCTTCTCCAAACTCATTGATGAGCTGAGTTCCTTCGCTGCCTCTGAGAGAGAGTAAGTGTAGTAACTGAGTCCAGGGAAGGTGGGCAAGAGAGAGACCAGGGTGTTACTGATGCAGGCCCTGCCCTAGAGAAACATGAGAATTGGGAGATAGTGGTGACCACTAAGATGAGGGACTGGCAATATGTCAGTAAGTAAGACAGCCATTAGCATCACTCTTGTGGAGTTTATAGTTTAGAGAAGACAGAGCTTGAAAAGTAATTAGAAGAGAGGTAAATATGTAATGCAGAGTAGAGCATGCCACAGGAATACAAAGCAGAAAGGCTTACTGCCTCTGGGGAGCCAAATAAAGCTTCTCCTGGAAAGTGTGCATGAGCTGAGGCCTAGAGATGAGAAGAAACAAGACGAAGCGCTGGCTGATGAGATGAGAAGAGTGTCTAGGGTAATGGAAAAAGCACAAGAGAGTTTGTGGCATGTCTGGGGAGATGAAGTGTGGCCAGAGGCTGCGTGGTGAAAGAGCGATTGGAATTAGATGAGGAGGAAGGGCAGAGAAGAGCCCAAATCATGCAAATTAGAACACAGACTATACCCTAATGTCACCGAGGGAACTTTGAGAGATTTTAAGCTACTGCAAGATATTTTAGTAAAAATGTCAGGTCAACAACTGGGTGTGGACATCCAAAGAGAAGATTGTGTAGGGTATGCGAACATGAAAATCATTGGCAAATAGATTATTTATGAATCTTGAGGCTGAGGTGGGCAAATCTCTTGAGGTCAGGAGTTGAAGACCACCAGCCTGCCCAACATGGTGAAACCTTGTCTCTAATAAAAATACAAAAATTAACCAGGTGTAGTGGCATACGCTTGTCATCCCAGATACTCAGGAGGCTGAGGCAGGAGAATTGCTTGAATTCGGGAAGTGGAGGTTGCAGTGAGATGAGATTGCACCACTGCATTCCAACCTGGGCAACAGAGACTCTGTCTCAAAAAGAAAAAAAAAGGGTTATTTATGAACCTTAAGAAATGAATATACTTATCCACTGAGCAAGCACTATGAGGCCATAGGAGAGTTTATGAGAGATTCCAAGGATCCCTAATATTTAATGGCTGAGTAGAGGAAGCTAGAGAACTAGGACCGGAAGAAGAACTGAGTGTTCGGAGATGGAGAAATCTCTCATCATCCTTGCAGAAGACAAATTTGATATCCTCTGTCCTTGTATGCTGTTTTCTTACCATAGTCTGCTGAAAGGTCAAGCAGAAGGAGGAATGAAAAGAGGACATTGGATTTAGTGTATTAAATAATTCAGGCAACACTAGCAGGAGCAATTTCAGTGGAGTGGTGGATGTGAAAGAGCCAAAGTTGGACTGGGTTAAAAAGAGTTTAGGGAGGCTGGGCACGGTGGCTCACGCCTGTAATCCCAGCACTTTGGGAGGCCAAGGTGGGCAGATCACGAGGTCAGGAGTTAGAGAGCAGCCTGGCCAATATGGTGAAACCCTATCTCTACTGAAAACACAAAAAATTAGCTGGGTGTGGTGGCACATGCCTGTAGTCACAACTACTCGGGAGGCTGAGGTAGGAGAATTGCTTGAACCCAGAAGGCAGAGATTGCAGTGAGCCAAAACTGTGTCACTGTACTTCAGCCTGGTGACAGAGCAAGACTCCATCTCAAAAAAAAAAAAAAAAAAAAAAAGAGAAGAAAAAGAAAAAGAAAAAAGAAAAAGAAAAAATTTATGGAATAAAATTTTCACCTAAAATATTTTAAGATTAATTATAAATAATAATTAAAATGAAACGTAGAATAAGGGGAATACTTACTGTGTCTTTCTTGTCCTCATTATGGACAAAAAGGGAGAAAGATGCATGAATCTAGATTAAGGAGAGCTTGTAAATTAATGATGCAAATTTCAAATATTTTCAGTGTTGTAGTTCTTCATTTTTTGTAAATTGGGAGGAAGTGATATCCACCAAGAGTGAGAAGAGAAGGGAAAGGGTCTGACTTTACAAATATTGAAAAAACAGGGTGACTAAAAATAAATCGTAAGGTATTTTTGGCAGGGTTTAAATTAAAACTGGCATTAGGATCTATAAATGTACAGTTGTACAAGTCATCAGATTAGGAAACTCAGTAGATTACATGAAGGTGAAGAACTGGTGGCCAGGCAATGGCTCACACCTGTAAGCACAGCACTTTGGGAGCCCGAGGCAGGCAGATCACTCAATGAGGCAGATCACTTGAGGCTAGAGTTTGAGACCAGCCTGGATAACATGGCAAAACTCCATCTCTACTAAAAATACCAAACGTTGGCCAAGTGTGGTGGCAGGCACCCATAATCCCAGCTACTCAGGAGGCTAAGGCAGGGGGATTGCTTGAGCCTGGGAGGTGGACATTGCAGTGAGCCGAGATTGCACCACTGCACTTCAGCCTGGGTGACAGAAGAGACTCTGTCTAAAAAAAAAAAAAAAAAAAAGGAAGGAAAGAAAGAAAGAATTGGAATTTATCCATCTCAAATTTTTTCAACGGGATGCTTAATGAATGTACAAAAGGGGTAAACCAATATAAGGTTTGGTGCAGACATGGGTATAAAAAGATAGGCTTTAAAATACAACCTAGAAGGAGAGCATAATAGATGCAGTAATTTCCTGTGGGTTTCAAGGAACTAGATATTCTGATGAGGCAGAAAATTAAATGCAGACTGGTGGGCGAACTGTAACATTAGTGGATTATGGCAGAGAATGTGGGATCTACATCAGCACCTTCACAGGAAGAGCTGCTTCCAAGTACGACATCTTGAAAAATGGTCCTGGGATTGACATCTGAGGCAGGGAATACAAGAGAAAGTGAGTGAAAGATGTATAAAAGGCCGGGTGCGGTGGTTCACGCCTGTAATACCAGCATTTTGAGAGGCCAAGGCGGGCGGATCACGAGGTCAGGAGTTCGAGAGCGACCTGGCCAATATGGTGAAACCCCATCTCTACTAAAAGAACAAAAATTAGCCAGGCATGGTGGCATGCACCTGTAATCCCAGCTACTTGGGAGGCTGAGGCAGAAGAATCGCTTGAACCCGGGAGGTGGAGGTTGCAGTGAGCTGAGATTGTGCCATTGCACTCCAGCCTGGGTGGCAGAGCAAGACAGTGTCTCAAAAAAAAAAAAAAAAAAAAAAAAAAAAAAAAAAAAAAAGAATGATGGTGTCTCTCTCAGCATCATTGCAGCAGGGAACTCTGATATCCTCTGTCCCTGTGTTCTGTTCTCTTAGCATAGGAGAGGAAACTTCCAGGGAAAAATTAGGGTGAATACAGCTGATGACGATAAGTGTGGGTGAGCAGGTGAGATGTCACAGGCAAGGCAGAGATACTCTGGATTCTGTCCCAGTTTTGCAGAGTACAAATGGGATGCAAATGGTAAGATAAACCTCGTATTCTCCCTTAGGATAGAGAATGCTAGTTCCTGAAAATGTGGCAAAGGAAGCCCAGTGAATTTCCAAGTATGTCTATTTACTTACATGTATTCTCAGCTCACAATTTAGCTTTGTGATTGTGTTCTGAGGATCATGAGTATAATTATACTAATTAATTAACTGATCAAAAAAAATCATCCAATTGTCTAAAATTGTAAACAACTGAACAGAGATACTGTCCTCCACCTGCAAGGCTGGCAAAGAACCAAGAGTTTGGTAGCATACTGTTTAGTGCAGCTATTGGAAAATTCCACATCACAGCAATAATGGAAATATAAAACGGCACCTCGTCCTTGGTGGCTATTTAACATATTCCCCTGAACCAAAAAGCCCATATGCTTTGATGCAGCAATTTTATTATTCAGCAAATATACCACCACATGTATGAAGTATTGTGTCTATGTTTGTGTGTGTGTTTATACACAGACATACACTATTCCATTTCAGCAGATTGGAAACAACGAAAGTGCTCATCAGTGAGATATTGGTTAAATCACTTGGCATAAAACCATTCCATGGAATTTAAGTAATCATTCCAATTGAAGAGATTCTTTATGCAGTGATAATGAACTTGAGGATGTATTTTAAGTGAAAAGAACACAAAGAATAGTATGTATGTATCATACACTACCATTTAGTATATGGGTAAAAATTATGGGGAAAGGAAATACAGACATGTTTTATATGTATAAAATAACTAAGAAATAATAAAGTTATAAAAATTTGTCAGCATTGACTTCATATGACCATCTCTTTTGGATGTTGAAATATGTGAATAATAACAAACAAAAAAATAAAATTTGTTCAGACAGATGAATCTTCATTAAACTTATTCTCATGTATTGACTAGATTTTCTTCTCTCCTTGTCTTTTTTTGTTCCTTCCTTCATTTCTTCTCTCACTTTTCTTATTCTTTCTTTTTTTTCCCTGATTTTCTTCATCTTCTTTTGTCCTGATATCCCCTTTCCCACACTCCTTCCTCTTTTATCTCTCTTCTTTTCTTTCCACCTTTGTAACTGGTGGGTCATGAGGCATTGTAAAGAGTAGGGGTTTTTTTTAGAAGCTCTGCTTGGGCCCAGAACACTTGCCCTTCAAGGATGCATCCACTGGAAGCTTACAGCCTCCCTCTTCTCCAGATGACCACCATTTCTCCAGCACTACTTTGCTCTATTTTCTCCTTTAATAGTGTATCATACACTAGGGGACAGAGGTCAATGGGATATCGACATTAACCTTAGTCAAGACATTATATGACAGTGTGTGTAAGGAAAATTCAGGGTAGGAGATGTGAGCTTGCAGAACTTATAAATCCAACAGTCCAATAATGGGGAAGTACAAGAGAAACAGCCATGAACACTGTTTGTAAGCATCAGAAAAGTCTTTAAAGAGGAGACTATTCTTTCTTTGGATTTTTAAGAATGATTAAATGTAGATATGAAGAAAAAAAATCCCAGAAAACGTCTAGCATGTGTGAAGGCATAAAGAATTATAACTGTGTTTGGTGGAAGTGATTAAGTTTTTAAGTATGGCTGAAACCAAGGGTGGATAGTGTGAGGAAGGGGCTTGTAATGTTTGGGATGGGACTATAAACTCAAGAAAATAAAAGTGGACCCTAAAGAGTATTATGATTAACCAAATATGTATTGTGACAGTTAATCTTATGTATCAACTTGACTGGGCCAGGAGATGCCCAGATAGCTGTTTCTGGATGTGTCACTGAGGGTGTTTCTAGAAGAGATTAGCATTTGAGTTGATAGATTAAGCAAACCACATGGCCCTCCCCAATGAGTAAGCATCATTCAGCCATATTGAGGGCTGAATAAAATATAAAGGTAGAGAAATTTTGTATTAACTCTGCCTGACTGAGCCAGAACATTCGTCTTCTCCTGGCCTCTGCATTCCTAGTTCTCAGGCCTTCTGACCTAGAGTGGAATGCACACCATCATTTTTGTGGCTTTCAGGACTTTAAGGTACACCTCCAGCCTTCTTGAGTCTGCAGCTTGCAGACAGCAGAGAGTGGGACTTCTCAGCCACCATAATCATAACATGGGCCAATACCTTATAATAAATTTCCTCATATATATAAAAAGATATATATGTGTGTTTCTGTATGCGTAAATATGTGTGTATGTGTGTGTATGTGCATGTGTGTGTGTTGTAATACATTTTGTTTCTCTGGAGAACACTAATATATGTGTGATGCTAAAAAATTGGTATTTTATTCTGTAGCTTGAATAAATGGAGTCATTAAAGTCTCCACCATTCTCTCTTAACCACTTAAAATATGTAAGATCACATATTACAAGTCACCATGTTAGTCTTTCCCCACTCCTAATTTGGGGAAACCCCCCCAAGTTTACATTTTTAAGGGAGGATGTGTATTAGTCTGTTCTCACCGTGCTATGAAGAAATACCCAAGGCGAGGTAATTTATAAAGGAAAGAGGTTTAATTGACTCACAGTTCTGCATTGCTGGGGAGGCCTCAGGAAACATAATGTAAGGCAAAGGAGAAGCAAGCACCTTCTTCAAAGGGTGGCAGGATGGAGTGAGTGAAAGCAGGGAAAATGCCAGATGCTTATAAAACCATCAGATCTCTTGAGAACTCACTATCATGAGAACAGCATGGGGTAAACCACCCCCATGATCCAATTACCTCCATCTAGTCCCACCCTTGACACATGGGGATTATGGGGATTACAATTCCTGATGAGATTTGGGTGGGGACATGACACAGAGCCAAACCATATCATTATGTATTTGGAGCAAAGTCATGGAATATACATGGGCATTAGTTGTTTTCACTCTTGTAACCTCACTGGATGATTGTAGATGAGTACATATTTGTGGTACAGAAGATGAAATAGGAAACTTGTTCTAAAAAAAGACTTGAAAATCAATATAATGATTTGCCTTTCTGTATGAAATATTCACATATATCTGCATGTGTAACCTGAGATGATGTACAGACATAAAACTTTCTCATTAGAGGGGTAAAGAGATGGGGAAAAAATCAACAAGCTTTAAATTGCGAGTCACAGTTGCAGTAAAACACTTATGACCACACACAAATGAGACAAGAGAATTATGTTCCTAGATTCAGAAAAGCTTAGTAAGCCCATTGAATTTAAAAAATTATCCCCACAAGAAATTTGTTGTTTGCATGTTTTTGTTTTTGTTTTCTCCCTCAGCAAATTGAAGATACTAGCTTTAGGGCAGAATGAAAATTTAGCAGAGAAAATGTCCAAGTCTATCACTCCCTAGCTTTTGTTTGGTATTGTTAAGAAATCCTGTATCTTCATTTCAGCTCACCTCAGGAGAAATGATAAGCCCTCCAGAGATAAATTCCATTTCTCCATACATATCTGATAGAAGAAGTTTAGAAATTTTTTAGAACTTGAGCTGCTTTAATTCTCAAATGGAGTCAGGCACCTAGAATCAATGCTCTACTTCCCTGACCATCCCATTCTTGATTTTCTTGCTTCATTTTAGATAGTTCTCAAATTTAGACAAGATTATACATGATCTACTTTAAAAAGTACAACTTTTAATTGCCTTTTGATTCATTAAAGATAACTTGGGTGTTTCAGTGCTCAGGGATATTAGTGACATTGATTCAACTCTTTCAGTTTTCAGAGTTGGAAACAGATAACATTATGAGTTCTGAGAATGAGCACTGGATCATGAATGAGGAGAACTGGGTTTTACTATTAGCAGTGCAGTTTATTATCTGCATGATATTGAAAAGTTCTTTTCCCTTTCTGGACCTCCGTTGCCTTACATATAAAATTTGTATGCTGCTTTAGAAATTCTTTATAATCTTTTTCTGTGCTGTGCTGCTATTCTGTCTGCCTGTCTCTCTCTCTGTGTGTGTGTGTGTGTGTGTGTGAATATATATATAAATATATATATACACTTTGAAATAATAAAATAAATCTAAAAATACGTATACTTATTTAATAAGTATTATATTAAAAGTATATATACATGTATATATACTTATTAAATACACACTTCTCTATGCCAAGGTGGCTTGAGCTAGGCTCTGTAGTGTTGTATTCTCTGATCTCTGCCTTCCAGGCTATCTCATATGCATGAAAATTATATTTGGAATCAAATAATTCTCTAAAATTTTATTTTAGAAATGTGTGTAATTATCTGTAGCAAGATATTAATGCTTATAATAGATTCATAAGGAAGACTGGGACTCTCAAAACTTTAGAACTACTAGTTTAATTGGTTATTGAAAACTAATTTGGTATTTATGTAATTGAGTCAAATAGTTAAGATACTTTCTGTCATGGATATTGCACTTTAGGAGAGAAATAGACAACAAACATTAACAAGCAAATACAGAAACAAGCTAAATTCAAATGGGGACAAGTGATCTAAAAAGTAAAGTAAAATAGGATGGTACATTATAGAGTGATGGGAAAATAGAGCGTTTAGATTCAATAATCAAGACTGAGCCTGTGGGAAAGTGATGACAGCAACATAGGAGAATAGAAAGCCCTGAATTCTTCTTCCTCCCCACAGACATACCAATTCAGCCACAATTAACAGATTCCTTTTGTGAGAAATCAGAAACTAATGGAAAAGCTCGTGCACTTCGGGAGAACACACAGCCAGACTTAATGGAGCTGGTGGGGAGATCTAGAGCTTCCTCTCTCCAGAGGTCCTGCTCCTGGCACAGTGTCATACAATCAGAAAGAAACTCCAATCTGCCAGTTTTACCCAGAGGGAGAGAAGGGGCTGATTCATACACTCAGCACCCACATTTTCCAAGGGATATGTCAAAAGACTGGCTCTGTGTCTTACTAGTCTTGGAGTTCTGATGGATGTGGCACAGACTAGAACGGAGGCAGCAGGTTGGGCTGGTCCCTTCTCCTCAGCACACAGTGGGCAAAATGAAACCCTTGGTGGAAGTATAGACTGATAGAACAGAACAGAGTCTAGAAATAGATGAGCACATGTAAAGTCAACTGATCTTCCACAGGGATACCAGGAATACACAATGAGGAAAGGATAGTCTACTCGATGAATGATGTTGAGAGAACTGAGCATACACATGCAAAAGAATGAGACTGGACTCTTGCCTTACACTGTATGCAAACTCAAACTGGACTAATGACTTAAAGGTAAGACCTGAAACCATAAAACTCCTACAAGAAAACACAGGGGAAAAGCCTCATGACATTGGTCTTGGCAATGATTTCATGGAAATTACACCAAAATCATAATCAATAAAAAGAAAATAAATAAATGGGACTACATCAAACTAAGAAGATTCTGCACAACAAAGAAAAAAATCAATGCAGTGAAAAGGCCACTAATAACAGAATGGCAGAACATATTTGCAAACCGTATATCTGACAAAGGGTTAAGCTCCAAAATATATCTGGAATTCCTACAACTCAACAGTAAAATAAATCTCAAGAAATAACAGCAAAAAACCTGTTAATCTAATCAAAACTGAGCTAAAGGAGTAAATAAACATTTTTCCAAAGAGTACATATAAATGTACAATAGATATATGAAAAAATGCTCAACATCACAAATTATCAGGGAATGCAAATCAAAATCATAACGAAGTATCACCTTATACCTGTCAAGATGGCTATCTTAAAAAAAAATGTTGATAAGCATATGGCTAAATTGGAGCCCTTGCATATTTTTGGTAGGAATGCAAAATGGTAAAGTCACTCTGGGAAACAATGTGGAGGTTTCTTAAAAATTTTAAATAGAACTACCAAATGATCTAACAATCCAATTGTTTGGTATTTATCTAAAGTAATTGAAATCAGGATATCAAAGAAGTATTCGTGTTCCTATATCCATTACAATAACCAAGATGTGGAAATAATCAACATGTCTATTGATGAATGGATAAACAAAATGTGGTATGTACATACATTGTGTGTGTGTTTATACACAGACATACACTATTGCATTTCAGCAGACTGGAAACAATAAAAGTGCTCATCAGTGAGATATTAGTTAAATCACCTGGAATGGAATAAAATACAATGGAATACTATTTAGCTTTGAAAAAGAATGGAATTCTGTAATATGTGATAACATGGGTGAATCTTGAGGACATTATGCTAAGTGAAATAAGCCAGTCACAAAAGGACAAATACTACATAATTCCACTTATATGAAGTACCTAAAATAGTCATTATAGAATGAAAGAATGCAACGGGGTTGCCAGGGGCTGGAGGAAGGGAAAATGGATTATTACTAATCAATGGGCATAAAGTTTCAGTCAATCAAGGTATTTAAGCTCTAGAGATCTATTGTATAACATTGTACCTATTGTCAATAATAATGCATTCAACACTTAAAAAACTTTAAGGGGTAGATCTCATGTTAAGTGTTCCTTCCACAATAAAAGAAAAAGAATGGCTCTATGAAGAGTTGGGCTTTGAGTTCAGACACTGAGCTCTGAATGTCACAAGTCAGCCAGCCATGAGACAGCACCGGGGTAGAGCTTCTCACAAAAGGAAACAGAATATGCAAAGACTCCAAGAAGAATCAAGCTGTGCTTATTCCAGGAATTAAAAAAAAAAAAAAAAAAAAAGGAAGAAGAGGACAAAGAGGCAGCAAAACAGGCCATGGAAAAGAGAGGAGAAAAAGGCCTGTGTGGTCAGGACAGAGTGAGAAGAGGAAGTGAGATAAGGTTAGGTCCACAGTCTTTTTTTTTTTTTTTGAGACAGAGTCTCGCTCTGTCACCCAGGCTGGAGTGCAGTGGCGTGATCTCAGCTCACGGCAAGCTCCACCTCCCAGGTTCACGCCATTCTCCTGCCTCAGCCTCCCGAGTAGCTGGGACTACAGGCACCCGCCACCATACCTGGCTAATTTTTTGTATTTTTAGTAGAAATGGGGTTTCACCGTGTTAGCCAGGATGGTCTCGATCTCCTGACCTTGTAATCTGCCCACCTTGGCCTCCCAAAGTGCTGGGATTACAGGCATGAGCCACAGCACCCGGCCGGGTCCACAGTCATTAAGTAGAGCCTGATAGGTCATAGTAAAAATTTAAAGTTTTTTTTCAGTCATGACAGAAAGCCATGGACTGTTCTTAGATGGAAGCATGGCATGGCGTGATTTACTTTTTAATTTTATTTTTTAAAATGTTTTGTTTGTTTGTTTTTTGAGACGCAGTCTTGCTCTGTTGACCAGGCTGGAGTGCAGTGGCACAATCTAGGCTCACTGCAACCTCCGCCTCCCGGGTTCAAGCAATTCTCCTGCCTCAACTTCCCCAGTACCTGGGATTACAGGCGTATGCCACCATGTCTGGCCACTTTTTGTGATTTTAGTAGAGACGAGGTTTCACCATGTTGGCCAGGCTGGTCTTGAACTCTCAACCTCGTGATCCGCCCACCTTGGCCTCCCAAAGTGCTGGGATTACAGGTGTGAGCCACAGTGCCTGGCTGATTTACCTTTTATAAAGACCACTGGACTGCCATATGGAGAAGGGAGTGTAGTAGAAAGATGGGAGGACAGCATGGAGAAAAATGCCATTGCCCAGGTGACAGTGGTTGAGACAAGAGTGTCTGGAGTGGAGATAGAGTGGAGTGAACTGATTTTGCAAAAAGTTTTCAGCTAGACTCACTTGGATTCACTGATGGACTGGATGTGACAGCATGTGGAGTGAGGAACAAGAGGGTAATTCTAGGATGATTCTTAAGAGTAATGGGATCAACTCCTGTATGTAACAGAACTGAAGAGAACACACTTGCGTTTAACATAGTTAGGGAAGTGTAGTCAAAAGGTACTAAGGCTATACATAACCCAGAGATCAACGTGTACAGAGCAATAGTAATAATAATCACCTTTTATTGAATAAGTATTATTATGCTAATTTTACAAATTAGGAAAATAAATGACGCTAAATGTGGTTAAATATTTTGTCCAAGGTCACATGGTGAGACACTATAGTCTGCTTCTAGGAAGTTTTCATGAAATGGTGGCTGGAAGGCCATGTTTGCTCACTGCTCATTGCCACTTCTCCCGTGGATTCCTTATTCTTCTTTCTGTCTCTCCTCTCTGGTCTATGCCCCTCTTTGTTCCAGTTGGCCTTAGTCACAGACCACTACTCCTTTGCCTAGATTTCCCCCCAAACACGATTCACAGAAGGCATTCACACAGGAGAATTTTACAAGAGATTTGGATGCAGTGGCAGATGTGAGGTAGAAGGAAATAACGCATAACTCATAATTGAATATCAAATATTAAGTAGTTCTGCTATTTAAAAATGCTCTTGATTACACCTGCCATAGGTAATTCTCAATTGCCACTTTCTTTTATAATTTTTTTTGTTCCCTGGCTTTAAACTTTCACCTTCATTTTTCTCTAGACCGCTGCACCTCCTTTCTTATTGGACACTTCTTTAATACCAGGAATCTTCTATAGCCCTGATACAGGACGGTTTAATGATCTCCGTGTCACTCTGGCACATTTTGACTTTGTCTCCAAACACGTCTATTATGGTGAGCTCTTGTGTAAGACAGATTTTTTTTTTTCTCCTGAAATCGGCTTTGAACATCATGAGTTTGCTCCCTGTCGTATCTTCTCTCACTGGTTTTTCCTTCTTCCTTTCTCATTTACCATCTGTTTTTATTATACACAAACATAAATAAATATCTTCTTGGAAAAAATTGAATTGGTCCTTTGATAATCGCCTTGAGACTGTGTTTTTATTGCTCCTACTGTTCTATCCAGAAAGCTGAGCTTTTATGTCTGTGACTGAAGGTAAGACTTCAGCCTTCATCAAGTCAGTGAAAAATAGACTTGTGAAAGTCACACACCTTCTTTGTGAGTTGCAACCCTGCCAAGCCAATGTGAATCACCTGCCAAGTTTAATATGTCAGGTTGGGACATGTCTGTCCTTTGGTTTTATGCTCTTTCCAGTAAGGCTGGCAGTTTCATTATATTTATAAAGTTGTGTACATATTATAAGTACATGCCAGTCTTTACCCTACTCACTTTCATCTTTGGCCTTCCCACTTGCTAGTCTTTTCTATTCTTGGAAACCAGATAAGTCTTCCTCTGTCACAACTATGATTTTCCTGCTTCTAAATTAAGAACTTTTCACAATTCACCTACTGAACATGGAGCCTGCAGACTTGGCATCACATCTTGGCTCCTTGACCCAGAATCTGTGTGAACTTGGGCAAGTTACTTACATCATCAAGTTTAGTGTCAATCTCTGTAAAATGGTTACATTTCTTATCTCACAGGCTAATCATTAAGATTTATTTGGAAGTGTGTGAAAGAGTTTGTAAACTCCAATACGCGATTTGATATAAGTTGCAAATCTCCTTCTATGATGAAACTTAATCTTTTAGTCTGTTCTTCTTTTTTTTAGACAGAGTCTTGCTCTGTTGCCAGGCTGGAGTGCAGTGGCGCGATCTCAGCTCACTGCCACCTTCCCCTCCCGGGTTCAAGCGATATGGATCCTGTCATTCATAAACCATATGATCTTGGAAGAGTTGCCCCACCTTATTGAATATCAATCTCAGTGCCAACAAAATGGTTACTCTTATAAACATGCCCACCGCCAGTGTTAATTTAAAAATTATACAAAGTAGTTATAAGTAATAAAAATGTAGCAAAGGACAAAGTTAAGCTTTGTATTTTTTCAGAAGTTTCACCGTGCCTAGCAAAGTCTTGGATATGTAAAAACACATCCAAAGCAGAATTCACTACTTTTCTTGCTAAGCCACTATTATATTCTTACTTTCTGCAAATAGTCTCAATTTCTTAATGGTAGAAACAACTAGGATGTTTTTCACTCTTTCCTCTCCTTCACAGCCTGTCAGTAACCAAGCCCTATTGATTCTACTGATTAAATAGCTTTGAAATCCTCCCACTCTCTGCTGCAGCCTTTTTTAATTTAGATTTTCTAATTTTATTTTCTGGAAGACGGCATCAGCCTTCTCTCTGGTCTTTCCAATTTCAATTTATTTTCATTGTGTTATTCCATCTATCACTTGGTTACCAGAATAGGTATTCTTAAATTGAAATCTAATAGGACTTCATCCTGGCTCAAAGGTGTGCTATACTTTAAACATGGCTTTAGAAACAAACTGCCTGAGAACTGCCACTTAGTATCTTTGTGAGCTCAGTGGAATTATCTCTCAGTTCCTCAATCGACTCATGTGGTGACCATGAGTATGTGCCTCTCAGATCTCTGGCTGCAGGGAATCACAGGACTTCTCTCATAGCTGTCTCTGGCATGAAGATTTCCCATTGACCTTGTGGAACTTCCTCTGACCGTATTGCAGTTTTAAAATCTTCCACTCAACAGTTCTTCCTTTCTTACTCCTTCACAAAGGATAGACCTGCACTATGGTCTGACCTGCTCTCCTGGCCTCCGCTGGATCCCACTTCATTCTCCCTCACAGGTATTTTCCCTGATAAATCGCTTGCATATCTAACCTCTCAACATTTGCTTCTTGAAGAACCTGGATCAACCTACTTCATCTGTAAAATTGATATAATAATGGTATCTATGTTATAGGACTATAAGAAAGACGAAACATAATATAGCTATAAAGTGCTTTCAAAAGTTTCCAATGTCTACTAGGTGCTATAAAATTGTTTGCTACTATTAGCATCGTTATTAATTTGCTACTCAACATAGCATACACTTGCATGAAGTATAGCATACACTGTCACGTTTTCATCATTAGTCAGTTTCTTTTAAATATATATAATCCCCTCTGCCAAAAAAAAAAAAAAAAAAAAAAAAACCCACTCCCTTTTCATTCCAACCATGGAAAGTCATAATGACCTTTCAGGGTACAGCTCTGAATTCATCATCTATGAAATGCCTTTTCTAACTCACTTCCCTTTTCTTCCTACAGTCCCATGTATACCATCCTCCTACAACTTTTATTAACACTAATCTCATTGTGGGGCCACTGATTATTGGTTGCTACCTCCAATGCTTGAGTCCTTCAAGGACTTAGATTTTTATCACTTTTTTTTGTATGTGTTTGTAGTACTTTGCACAATACCTGGCACATTTTAGAGGCCAATAACATATTTTTTTTAATTTCTGAGAAAATGGATGTTAGCACATATGCATTGTATTGATTTAGTAGCAATGCAGGAATAAAATGAGCCACAATAGCACTCAAGCTGGAACAGCTGAACTTTCTTTGCTTGAGTAGAATCTAGAACACTCAAAACTTCTCAAAATTTTCAGCATCAGCCTGTGACTCAAAGACTAAGGTTTTTGAAATCCAAGTTAAATAGCTGTCCTTGGTTTTCGTGGGGAGGCACTGCTAATGAAAACTAGATGCTATTCTTCATAAATCACTTTGTCCTTCTACAAGTTCCTTTGGGCTCTAACAGGCTGTAATTCTAAGCCAAATTCAAGCAGAAGCTACTGAAAATTGAACATTGCTCCTAGTTTCATGGTTTTTATCTTGTTCCTTTAATAAATAATTGAATAAAGACAATCCTGAGGAAAAAAAAAGGGCTGAAAGAGTACGGTTCCTTGACATCTGTTCAAATCTTGTGCCTCATTTTCATATCCAGCTGATTATTTTTAGTCTGTGTTTCCACAGACCTGGTTATCTTCTTACTCTAATACTCATAAATGAACAATGATAATGACAACAAAACTTTCCATTTGTGTTTATTTATTAAACAAATTTTTTTGATCACCTGCACTGTTCTAAGCACTGAAGAAATAGTAACAAACAAAACAGACAAAAATAAAACAAAACAAATACACAAAGGCTCACCTGCCTTTATGGAGCTCACATACCAGGAGGGTGAGATAGATAACAAATAAATAAATGCGTAAGATGTTATATGGTGATTAGTATTGTGGAGAAAGGTAGGAAAAAAAAGCAGCAAGAGAATATAAAGTCCTCAGGGTCCAGGGAGTGTAAACTTTTAAAATAGGGAAAAATAGAGAAAGCCTTACTGGGAAGAAGACATTTGAAGAAGTACCTGATATAGATGAAAGGATGAAGCAGAAGGTATCTCAAGAATGGCATATCAGACAGAAAATACTAAGTCTTTGAGATGGAGTACGTCTAGAACATTTCAGGAACATCAAGAAACCAAGGTAGTGGGAACAGGAATCTCTAAAAGAAGAAAGTGGTAGCAGATGAGGTCAGAGAGATAACAGGGAGCTAGGCTTAGGTCATGGTGAGGTTGCTGGATTATACCCTGTGTGAGATGAAGACATACTAGAGGTCTTTGAATATATTTTTAGAGATTTCTGTGTACACATCTTGAATGAAGACCTTTATATTATACCATGTCCTCAGTAGGAATAACACACAGGGCCAGGAACCAAGAGATGGAAGCAGGTATGGCTCTCTTACTATAATTCCCAATGACCCACTCAGAAAATTTGAGCTTCCTGTACATGCAATGCTATGCTGTGCAATATTACAAGTCCTCATCTTCAAAAGGGGAACATTCCCTCAAGGGACCAAAGCAAGGGTTAGATATGGAGCTATGGCTATGCCCGGGCACTTTAGGTTCCTACTGTCTAGGGATCATAGGGAAAAAGAAGACTCATTTTCTAAAGCTAAAATGGAGTATGTTTGGTGCCCACATGATCCACTAGCCCAGTGGTGTTGACAAATGCACAAGTACCAAAATTCTGGCCTGAGAAGAGCATAGTAAGAAACTATGGGGCTCATATTCCTCCAAAGCAGGGTCTGGGCTTTGCCATAGGTAAGCCTCCAAGTTCAGCATAGGTGCCAGCTACAGGTAAAGGTGATATAGGTTAAGTCATGGAGAATGGATATAATGAGTTTCATCTGTGGTCCTAAGACTAACTGCATGGGAAGAATTGTAGCTCTTCTCACTAACATTACTCTTTTAATTTACCTCTCAGGAACCTAGGAGATGTTATACCCAAATGAATATAAAAAGGTGAATGTGAGCGGCACAAGGGGTGGACTTCAGAAGAAATAGTGATGAATCCCCAAGATGTCCTTCTTGGGAAAAACATATTGCCTTAGCTTCTGGAGGTGCTGAGGTCATAGCCTTCAGGTGTCAGAACCTTCAAGTCTTGTCTCAAGAGATCCATCTTGCTCAAAGTCATCCTCTTCCCAGGGCAATCTATTAATAATGGCTGGTTGAGGTGGGGTCTGTGAAGGTCCAGCTATTTCAGCCTAAGAAAGGAAAACATTAGGGGCCATTTTATTACCAGAGGCTCCTGTGGGTTGACTTGAGGTTATAAAGCCTACATCTCAACTCAACATCTCCCTCTGCCTGATCCTACTTTCTTTCCACAGCTGTTGATGATGACAAGGGCACTCCATAATAAATATTCTTCTTGATGAACTCTGTCTCGGAGTCTACTTCCTAAAGAACCACTCTTTCAGGGAAGGAGGTGCCTACTGTCTCATGAATGGCTCTTTTGTTCTGTTGACCACCGAGATTCATTCCAATAGTCAAATCTTAGAGATGCATGGGTGAATTTGGGTTAGAGAAATCTCAATTGGCCCAGCTTAAAATAGTGAGAAAATGTGAGACTTCCTGGAACTAACGATAGAGGAAGTGAGGAGAGTGAAAAATAAGCCAGAGAAGGAGAAACAGATCAGAAAACAGTATTTATACCATTTACTGGTGCTACATGAGGTAAAGCAAACCACTAGAAGAATTCTGGTGGCAGCATGATCAGAAGAAGGAGTAACGAGGATGACTGACGTGGGATTTTACATTGTTTGCCTTATGTGCATTGTTCCTTCATTTTATTTAACATCCAGTGAAGTGTGCCATTTACAGAGATCTTATATGGTAGCTTTTGTAAAAAGGGTCATATCTGAATTGATAAAATACAGAACAGGTAGGAAGCTGATCTATTAATGTATCAAATATATAGGAATCAGGAACTCAGAGTCATTGGTAACCGTGGTAATATAATCTCCAGTGAAGGTGCTGGTATTTCATCGTATTGAAATCTTAAGCAGTATTTGAGTTGTGTCTGTTTACTTGTTTGTTTAATCTTTTAGACAGTGCTTTCTTATGGGTAAGGACAGTGCCCATGATGCAACAAATTGCCAAGCTCATAATTAATACTCCTTAAATATTTGTGTAATAAATGTATATGGGCATGAATGACTATATTTAGTTGTACAGATATCTGCCTCCTCATTAAACTATGAACTTTTGTGGATCAGGATCACTAAAAAAAATTATTATGCAAAGTGCCTAGAACAACGTTTGACTCATAGTAAATGAGTTAATTGATGAATAGAATGCCTAAAAGCTGATACACACCAGAGGAAGACACAGGTGCCAAGGATCAATTTATTCTCTCAGCTCTTAATATAATATTCATTGCCTGATCTATAAAACTAGAGATGGGCCTGGTGAATACAACTTCTTTACTACCTGACACAATGTTAAGCTTTTAAGTAGAGGGTACTGGAGAGACACTGCAGGAGGAAGAGAATTTCCTGGTTCTGATAAGCTCTCCTGGCAGGATCTTGTAGAGCACTCGGCTTATCCAACTCCTGGATTCTGCAGCACCAAAATTTTCCAATGCTTTGCTCCGACAGCACGTGCAGCTTCTCCATTGCCCAGCTACTGTAATGCATGATGGTCAACTTCACCCAGTAGCTAGCAACTTCCTGCACAGCCATTCTTCTGTTGGTCTGGTTTATAATTGAGTGTCTCCAGTAAGACACCTATCTATGAACAGCTTTCTCCAGGACTATACAGGGAAGTTTTCTAACAAGTTTTGGAGAGTAATTACCAGAAAGTTTCTCTGGCATGGCATCACAGAGAGACTTCTCTGTTATCTAGTGAATGATGGTTGTCCCTTCTATAAGAAGGTCTGCATCTCAGCCCTGAGAGGCTACTCCTTTGGGCTCTCTATCTCAAACCTAGGGTCAGCCTGCTGCTTATATCTGCTATTTCTGTATACTGTGGACTTCATTCTTCTTGTTGATAATCCTAAATTACTCCAGTGACCCTTTATAGTTGATGAATCTTCATATTAAACTTATCATGTTCAAATTTCTGTGTGGTTTCTCTCTTCCGATTGGACCCTGCCTGTATGGTAAAATACTCAAGACTGAAGGATCAATAACTACTGTGAATTGAGTGTTCTCCTTTCCACATATTTGCCCTCTGAATTCCAGCTGTTTTCCACACAATTTAGAGCACTGAAAAAAACTTAAAATCTGTAAGAAATTCAGGTTAACTCCCTTTACTCCATAATAGTAATAATATCCAAAGATCAAGTGTCAGCAAATATCAACAAATATGTTAAATCTGGTGACAATGTTTGTGAATGTTTGGTAAATAAATTCAAATTGTTTGTTTTTTTCTTTAACTTCAGGATTTTCTCACAACCTATATCCTGCCAATGTGAAATTTTGAACCTCTAAGAGGTAGATGGATTATTAACATCTTGCAAAAACTATTTAACCATCTTTGTATTTGGAGACTATTTCACCAAACATGTGCTTCTCAAACACATGTGGAGGAGCTACCTTCAGGATTACCTAGCTCGGTGATTCTCATGTGTACTTCAAGGACTAGCATTAACATCACCTATGAACAAGATAGAAATGCAAATTATACTGCCTATCCCAACCTACTGAATCAAGAACTGAGTATGGGGCCTAACAGTCTGAATTTTAACAATCCTTCTAGGTGATTATTAAACACATTAGAATTTTATGAAGTATTGATCTAGCTTAATACTATCTTTTTATAGGTGAGAAAACTGAATGTCAGAAAATTTAGAGCATGCCAGGTTCAAACAACTTGCAAGTAACAAAACAGATGTTCTGTTTTCAAATGAACTTGCTTTCTGGTTCTTTCTTCTAAGCCTGACCTTTAGTTATGATTGCTTCTGAAACCTTTGTCTAGCACTTCTCACCATTTTTGGGGTGTATAACAGGGAAACAGAAAATGGATTTGAATAAAGTAAAGATAGTCTTTTTATAGATTTTTAAAAGAATACGCAAGTGTTTAAATATGGAATCGCTTCTGAGATGCAGTAAACACTTTGTTTCTAAGGTGCTCAAATGTTACTGTCCGTTGGGTAGAATACAGTATAGAGAGTTCAAACATGAATGACGTTTGGACTAGAAGAGGTGGTCTTTAGAAGCCATTCACTCATGAAATGTTGTAATTTTATGATCCCATAATATGATGTTTGCTGTCTTATTGAATAATCTCCCTGCGGGTAGAGATGTCTTTCAAACAGAAATAAAATCCTCCCGGGCTCTGGCTCCTCCCTCCTTTCTCCACGAAGACTTGTATTTGGCCAGATGCTTCTCCTTTTCATTTTCCATTTAGGTGGCATTTTCAAATATAGAAAACAATTTTGTAAACTCCCTGCCGTTTCTGTTTTGCTCGGGCTCCACAGAGGCCCAAATAATTTATGGAAAAACAGCACCTGTGTTTTCACCAGGAATGGCTTTCACCACACTGATGAATTTCAAATGAAGGGCATCTACCTCATTCAAGTTAAATGGAAAGCAAGTTCTCTCTCCATTTCCAGAAATTGATTGCAGAATGTGCTTGAAAACTATTTTCTTGCCCCATAAAAACATTAGGCCAAATGTAAACATGTTAGACCAGGCTATACCCTCTGAGGGGAAGGAAGACAGTAGGTTCAAACAATTTTTTCAAAGAAAGAAATTCTGGGGTTATTTTTTGAGGATTTCTCCAAATTGATTGATTCATTGTTTCATTTATTCATGCAGCAAAAGTTTGTGGAACATTTATTCACTAAATATTAATTCATTTGCCACGTATTCTGTAAAGAGCCTTTCTAAGAAATAAGAATATTTTACAGGGAGCAGAGGCCTATTAAATTTTTAGGTCAGCATGGAAGATTGAGCATGAGTTTATCATTTATCTCTTCTTTCATCTAAAATAAGAATCAGCAAACTATGATCTGTGAACCATTTTTTTGTAAATAAAGTTTTATTGAAACACAGCCACACTGTTTATGTATATATTATTTCAGAGTGTTCTGTTTATTTTTCCCTTTGATTTTCTTTTTTCTCTGTGTTTTATTTTGGATAGTTTCTATTGGTATGTCTTTGTGTTCACTAATCTTTTCTTCTGCAACGTTAAATCTGCAATTGGTCCAATTCATTTATATATTTTTTTAATTTTTCACATAGCTTTATTTATCTCTAGAAGTTAGGCTTAAATTTTAATTAGTATCTTTTGTGTCTTGAGTTTACTTTTTGAATAAGCAGAGGAGGACACTAAATTAGTTCTATAATATATTATTTTAATAATGTAAATAATATGTTATATTATAATAACCTATTTAGTGTCCTCTGTTTCAATATCTGTGCTACTTCTGAGTCAGTTTAAATTGATTTGTCTTTTTTTCCTCTTTATGGATCATATTTTCTTTTTTGCATGCCTAGTAATTTTTAACTGGATGCCAAACATTGTGAATTTTATCTTGTTAAGTGATTAATAGTTTTGTCATCCTGTAAATACTCTTGAGCCTTCTTCTGAAATGCAGTTTAACCATCCGAGGCCAGGGAAAGTGCCATCCAAGAGAATTAGAGGGTACATACCTGGTACTCAATATAAAGGACCAGGAATAGTGTCTGTTTCCTCCTAGCCAGACTCAAAAATTATTAGTTCATGGAGCACTAGTTAGCAGCACAGAGCTTAGAGTTAATTTATTATTATTATTATTATTATTATTATTATTATTATTATTACTGAGGCCAAGGCCCGTTGTACCCTATCCAATTCTCATTGAATCCTGAGGCTTTTACAGTCTGGCTGGTGAGAACAGGCACTATGACTGTATTAGCTCAGGACACTGTTTTATTTAACCCTAAAAGGTGGCTCTTTCCTTGGCCTTTGGTAGTTTCCTCATGTGCATTTGCTTCTCAGTACTCAGCTGAACATCTGCAGGGTACCTTCTGCTGGTTTCTGCAGAGCTCTCTGTGTGCACCTTCCATCTCCCTAGTAGTCTGTCTTGTGAACCCTAGCTATTTTGCTTTCCCTGGACTCTCAGTTCTGCTCCTCTGCTCAAGGAGTACACATAGCTCTATCTTGGTTCTCCTACCCTGGGCCTGAAAAACTAGCAAGGTGAGGCAATTATGTACTCATCTCTTTTATTTTGCATCTGTCAGAGAGCCATGTCCTGTCTTGCCCCATGCACAGTGTTTTTAAAATTGTAATTCCATGTATTTTGTCATTTAAAAAACGTGTTTGTTGTTTTACACAGGAAGTTAAATCCAGCCCCTGGCAGAGTAGAGGTCTTGGAATGATGTGGAAAAGAGCGTGGACTTCATGCTGAGGAAGTGAAGCATTCTTCAGTCCAGAGTTGCCCACTGTGTGCACCAAATGTTGATGATTGCCTCTGGCCATGGGCAAATTTATCTGTGTGCTCCTGAGTTCTACATTGATATTATTTTCTATGGGCCCTGAAATGAAAACTTCAGGGAAAAGCTTTTCTTAGACGTTAGGGTTTTAAAGATAGTTCTTAAGAAAAGTAATGGGGACATGCCTGGTAGTAGAAAGAACAGATGTGTAGTAAGGTGAAAAGTGATTAAGGGGGAAGAGCAGTGGAGTGAGGAATGAAAGTTTAAAGGCTTGTGATATGATCAAGAGATCATTTTCAGTCTAGCAGATAATCAGAAAAGTAAAAACCTAAGATATTTCTTATTTTAAATTTTTTTAAAGAAGAGCTCAAGCAACACAGTGGGAGTTTTTTGAGGCAGGTGGACAACATACTCAAATGAATAGCTGATTTTATTTCATACATGAAGGAAAATAGCCAAAAATGTTCATCAAATGAGATAAAAGCCTGTGAATGATTATCCCTAAGGAATTCTTCCACCTGCTGGCCCTTGGAGAACTAGATTGCCTCCTTTTAAAAATCCTCAACAGTTGTTCAAAGATCTGGCAAATTCATTATCACCTCTAATAGCTTCTAATTAAACTGTTATAGTAAAGCTGTAGGATTTTTTAAAAGTCACCCATGCACAATAACACCTGTTAAGTGTTCTCACATGTTGAGCCCAGATTCAGAAAGAGTACACACCTGCTCTATGGCATGCTATCTTACCTCAAATACAGGCACTCAGACGGTTCCTTCAGGAAGGGACCTCTGAGACCAGAGACTGCTGGGGACATGGTGGGCATCCTCTTTCCAGCAATACTCAAATAGGAACTGGATGACTTTCCCGAAGTGTCTACAGCAAAGAACACTCTATTATTCATTTAAGCTGTCAAGTTGTGGTGTTTCTGACAAGCTGTGGCAAATATGTAGAGACCTAATGAAAAACACAATATCATTATGCTTACCCAGTGCCTTATAACTCAAAATGCAAGTCCATGTGATGAATTTAATCAGGCATTAACACATGATTGAGTTCTTATGATGTTCCTGATACTTTGCTTAGTAGTGGGATAGAAAGGTGAGATCATTAACCTCACAAACCTTGGAATGCAGTGGAGAAGGAAGAGCCTCTACCCATAGGACACTGAGCTCATTTGATTTGGTTTCTGCCCCCCCACCCCTAGCCTTTTCAGGAGGGCAGGGCAGGTGTTCTTCACACTTTTACCACAGTGTCAGTGCTTGGCCAACGTCTTATAGTTTATAAGTGGCCAAATCTTGGACAATCCTCTGGTTATTTGGGATCTTCCCCTTGATCTCTTTCCTCCACAGCAGACTTTCAACAATTCTATGTTCCTCAGAATATCCTGTCTCTCTCAGCAGAAGGTTCTAGAACATAATTGCTAGGCCCAGATTCATGAAAAAGGTGGCAGCTGGCATTTTCCATCAAGGGAGCTTTTTAATAATGAATAATCCCATGATATATTTATCTTCTTTAAAACTATTGCAATTCAGACTGAAGAATAACAACAATTCTCTGTCCCTCATGAAACCAGTAATTAATTGCAATGAGGACCTAAGGTTGCCACCTTACATGCTGGCATCTAGGAGACCCAGGGGCAATGGAAACACAGGCCTAGTTGCAGTTCTGAGGAAGGGGCTTCTGAGAGCTTCATGGCACAAGACAAGAGAACAATTCTGATTCTTTCAGGGTAATTCCCTGTTTCCAAAAAAGTGAGGAAAAGCACATCCTAAGGGAAGCTGTCTTTGTGAGACGAGTTAGCTCTTAGGCATGACTAAAGTTTGCTGCTTTTCCCATGTTTTCTTTTTTTTTTTTTTTCTTTTGTTCTGGATGAAGTTTAGAGAAAAAGGAAGGCAGTATTCTTGGCCTTCAGTGGACTGAACCCAGCATGAATTCTACCTCAAAGCTGAGGTGGCTCAAAATAATATTTCTTGAGTACTTGCATTATTCTATGTTTAGTGCCTACTGCTTTCACATATCAATATCAATATCTATACTTGTACATACCTTGCGTGTGTGTGTGTATACATACACCTGTACACACACACAGAAAGAGAGGAAGGGTAAAAATTACATATATATATATATATATATGTATATATGCATACATATATATTTACCATGTCACATAGTAATATAATGAAAAGTTTTACAATGTCTCCAAAAATTTGGCATCCGTTCAGTTTTATAGAAGATGAAAATGAAATCATTATATAATTATAATAAAAAAATAGGTAACTATGATATGGAGTTCTCTGTATAATAGTCTTTGCTCCAAGCATTCTTTGATACACTAACTCATTTATCCTTAAAAAAAAAAAAAACCAAAGAAAGCACAGAAACAAAAACAAAACTATGAAATGAGTACTATTAAAATGGTTCCTAATTTTAAAATGAGGACATACTGACACAGAGACATTAAAAGACCTGTTCATGGTCCTCACAATTAAAAAGTGGCAGGTTTCTCAGGTGATGAGTGTAGGAGAAAACTTTCACAAATTCTGCATCCGACAAAAGACTAATATCCAGACTCTACAAGGAACTCAAACAAATTAGCAAGAAAAAAAAACAATCCCATCAAAAAGTAGACTAAGAATGTGAGTAGACAATTCTCAACAGAAAATATACAAATGGCCAAGAAATATGAAAAAATGTTCAACATCATTAATTATCAGGGAAATGCAAATCAAAACCACAATGCGATACCACCTTACTCCTGCAAGAATGGCCGTAATTAAAAATTTAAAAAGTAGTATGTCGGCATGGGTGTGACGAAGAGGGAACACTTTTACACTGCTGTTGGGAATGTAAACTACTACAACCACTATGGAAAACAGTGTGGAGATTCCTTAAAGAGCTAGAAGTAGAACTACCATTTGATCCAGCAGTCTCACTACTAGGTATCTACTCAGAGAAAAAGAAGTCATTATATGAAAAAGACACTTGCACATGCATGTTTATAGCAGCACAATTTGCAACTGCAAAAACATGGAACCAGCCCAAATGCTCTTCATCAACAAGAGTGGATAAAGAAAACGTGGTGTATATATACTATGGAATACTACTCAGCCACAAAAAGGAATGAAATAATGGCATTCACAGCAATCTGGATGAAACTGGAGACCATTATTCTAAGTGAAGTAACTCAGGAATAGAAAACAAAACATCGTATGTTCTCATTTATAAATGGGAGCTAAGCTATGAGGATGCAAAGGCATAAGGATGATACAATAGATTTGGCAGACTCAAGGGGAAGGGTGGGAGGGGGATGAAGAATAAAAGACTACACATTGGGTAAAGTGTACACTGCTCAGGTTATGGGTGCATCATCATCACAGAAATCACCACTGAAGAACTTATTCATTCAACCAAACACCACCTGTTCCCCCCAAAACTATTGAAATAAAAAAAAATAAAAGTATTACAAGTAGACCTCAAGAAAAAAGAAATTATCATAAGCCTGATAGCTTAAAACAACACAAATTTATTACCTCACAATCTGGAAGTCAGAAGTCTGAAACGGATCTCCCTGGGCTAAAATCAAGGAGTCAGCAGGGCTGAATTCCTTTCTGGAGGTTTTAGGGGAGAATCTGTTATCTTGTCTTTTCTGGATTCTAGTAGCTGCCCACATTCCTTGGGTTGTGGTTCCCTTTTTTTTTTCAAGACCAGCAATGGCCAATGGAGTCTTTCTCACATTGCATCACCCTAAGACTAATTTTCCTGCCTTTGTTTTTCACCTTGTGATTATACTGGGCCCACCATGAAAATCCAGGACAGTCTCTCCATCTCAACATTTATAATTCAATCACGGATTCTGAGGTTTAGGATGAGGATATCATTGTGGGTACCATTATTCTGCCTATTACACCAACTAATAGGATATCACTGGGGGATCCTTATTCTGCCTATTATACCAAGTATCTGAATGCAGCAGTTTACAAGAGAATACATCAATTTGTCCATATTTTTCAAAATGGAAAATATGTATATTTAACCCAGTAATTCTATTTCTGGAGATTTATGCTAAAGAAATATTCACATATGAACATAAAAATATTTACGAAGAAGTTAATTGCAGCACTAACTGGGCAGGCAAACATGGACATGATGAGCCTCAGGGCTCAGCAGCAGCAGAGACAGCAGAGATAAGTTACAGCCTGTCCTTGCAAAGGATTCCTGAGCCCCTTCCTATGTCCTCTCCTGGTGAGTCTTTTGCTCTCTCATTCTGATGCAGCCACAGTGGCATCCTTGCCTCCTCCTCAGTCAGACCATAGCCCTTTGCTCTTCCTCTTCATGCACTTCCCTCAAATCTCCATTCAAATGTCACCTTCTCTTTCCCCTTTCCAGACCACATCCTGTGTCCAACTTAGCCATGCTTATCTTTCTCTGCAGCACCTATTTCCAACTGACAAGCTGTATATTTACCTATTTATATGTTTGTTTATCTACCTACACTAGAATATAAGCTCTTCAAGGGAAGGAATTTTTCTATACAGACCATTATTTTATTTGCAGTACCTGGTATAGCACCGGCATTTACTAGGAACCTAACAGAAATATTTGTAGAATGAATGAGTGGGTGAATGGATATACTCATTAAAAAGAGATTAAAAGATGTCTAAGATGAATTGCTTAACGAAAATATTTCTTGAATAACAATTTGTTATGCCATATATATAGATATAGATATAGATATATAGATATATAGATTCATTCCTGTAAATACTATTGAAACATCTACATAGCCATACCTAATACATGATACCTAAATGTGATCTGTGGCTTTTGCTATTTACTTTATTATTTCTGAATTATAATAAACAATAACCATGTATCTTTTCTGTGGTCAGAAAAAAGTTTTAAATGAATTTAAAAAATCTGAATCTAGGTTTATAATCCAAGTCAAATGCTGCCTTCTCACTATGTATCAACTGCCTTGGAAAGAAAACTTCATTTTAATTTTTTCTACCTCTCAGATGACTGAGCAAAAATGAAATTCTAAAGAAGACATTTGTATCTGTCAGGATCTAGTCAAAATACAGGAACTACTCTTGGTATTTCATACTGAAAAAAATTGTAAGAAAGGAATTGATTACATGAGTGATAGAAGAAAGA